>NC_000001.11:32678835-33303835 GCF_000001405.40 Homo sapiens
TGCCTCAGCCTCCCAAGTGCTGGGATTACAGGTATGAGCCACCACACCTGGCCTGACTGGCTTTTTTATGCCAAATAATATTCCATCATATGGATTGGATATACCGTGTATCCATTTTAGTAGTTGATGGATATTTGGGTTGTTTTTACTTTTTGGCTATTATTAATAATGTCTGGTTAGGCTGGGCACAATGGCTTACTCCTATAATCCTAGCACTTTGAGAGGCCGAGGTGGGCAGATCACCTGAGATCAGGAGTTCGAGACCAGCCTGGCCAACATGGTGAAACCCCATCTCTATTAAAAATACAAAAATTAGCCAGGCGTAGTGGCATGTGCCTGTAATCCTAGCTACTCTGGAGGCTGAGGCAGGAGAATTGCTTGAACCTGGGAGGCATAGGTTGCAGTGAGCCGAGATGGTGCCACTGCACTCCAGCCTGGGAGACAGAGCAAGGCTCCATCTCAAAAGGAAAGAAAAATAATAATGCCTGGTTAAAGAACTCAAGAATGTTGGCTATCAAGACAAATAGTATCCACACTGCAGTTTTGTGGGAATGTCCTAATCAGGCGTCTGGGGATCAGCTGCTTATTTTTATTGGAACATGATCATGCTAATTAATATTTCATTACCCATTATAGGTTGTCTCCGGATACTTTCATCCAAGAGTTGAATAGTTGTAACACAGATTGTGTGGCCCAAAAGCTATAAAGTATTTACTCTCTGGCTTCCTGGCCTAATCTGTTGTTGAAACCTTGAGTTTTAGAAGAAGTCTTCATGTTTAAATTCTTTTTCTTGTTTTTGGGCAGGCAGAGAACATTTATAATGATGAAGACCCTGAAGGAAGCGTGGATCCAGAAGGACAAGGGTCCTAGATATGTCTTTACTTGTTGTGATTTTAGACTCCCCTTTTTTCTTCTCAACCCTGAGAGTGATTTAACACTGGTTTTGAGACAGACTTTATTCAGCTATCCCTCTATATAATAGGTACCACCGATAATGCTATTAGCCCAAACCGTGGGTGTTTTCTAAATATTAATAGGGGGGCTTGATTCAACAAAGCCACAGACTTAACGTTGAAATTTTCTTCAGGAATTTTCTAGTAACCCAGGTCTAAAGTAGCTACAGAAAGGGGAATATTATGTGTGATTATTTTTCTTCTTATGCTATATCCCCAAGTTTTTCAGACTCATTTAAGTAAAGGCTAGAGTGAGTAAGGAATAGAGCCAAATGAGGTAGGTGTCTGAGCCATGAAGTATAAATACTGAAAGATGTCACTTTTATTCAGGAAATAGGGGGAGATTCAAGTCATATAGATTCCTACTCGAAAATCTTGACACCTGACTTTCCAGGATGCACATTTTCATACGTAGACCAGTTTCCTCTTGGTTTCTTCAGTTAAGTCAAAACAACACGTTCCTCTTTCCCCATATATTCATATATTTTTGCTCGTTAGTGTATTTCTTGAGCTGTTTTCATGTTGTTTATTTCCTGTCTGTGAAATGGTGTTTTTTTTTTTGTTGTTGGTTTTTTTTTTTTTTTTTTTAACTTGGGACCACCAAGTTGTAAAGATGTATGTTTTTACCTGACAGTTATACCACAGGTAGACTGTCAAGTTGAGAAGAGTGAATCAATAACTTGTATTTGTTTTAAAAATTAAATTAATCCTTGATAAGAGTTGCTTTTTTTTTTTAGGAGTTAGTCCTTGACCACTAGTTTGATGCCATCTCCATTTTGGGTGACCTGTTTCACCAGCAGGCCTGTTACTCTCCATGACTAACTGTGTAAGTGCTTAAAATGGAATAAATTGCTTTTCTACATAACCCCATGCTGATGGGTTTTATTTAGTATAAAACATCCATCAAACACCAGTCTCTGGCTTCTAGAAGAGTCCTTCAGATGACAGTTGTTGTCCATGGTCTTTGACTATCAAGAGCAGAATTAAATGTAATAGTCCCAGAGCTGTAGAAAAGAACTTTACTCCTTCCCAGGGAAAGTGAAAGACATAAAACACTGAATCAGAGGTGGCACAGATTAGTCTTTGATAAGGTAACGTTTCTTTGAAGTCTATCTGTAGAGAACTACATGGACTTCCAAGAGTGTCAAAGGCAGTGTGGTAGAGAGAATTTAAGGCAAGATTTAAATTTGGAAAAGGTGCTTGAACCTTTTCTCAGAGGTTTTATTTCCCCAGTATGTTTTTCACTGGGGCCTTTACTTAGGTTAGAAATAATAGGCTTTGAAGGCCTCTATCACCAGATGCAATAACCAGATAAAATTCCTGTTTTTTCCCAATCGCTTAGTTTTTTGTTGTTGTTGTTTTTTAACTGAGTAGATCATTCTGACCCAGAACTACTTTCATGAGGTAAGATCTTTGGGAAAATCTGAATAGCGTTAACCATTAGATTCAAATCTCAAATGGTTTCTTTTCAAGTCTAGTTGTTTTAGAGTATAGTGAGAAATACCTTGACACAATTTTAAGAGTAAACTATATGGGTCAGCATATCCTTGAACAAAAAGTAGACTTTGTAAAAGTATTCATTTAAATTCTAACACTCGTGGCACAAAAGAATGGAAATTGTAAACCCATGTAATGGAAATTGGCTATCTTTTTGACCCCACATGTGCCCCTCAAAAATGTTTTTGGTTTGGGTCAACACAAGGCAAGATACATTCTTTAAAATACTCCCAGATGTGTCCATACATTCATCCTTCACTCAGTGCATATGTGAGGGTTGTTGCTGGAAGACAGGAGGCTCATCTTTCCTTTCCTTGGTGCATTGAGATCAGTATCAACAGCAGATGAAATAGAATCCAGCAAAGAGTTGACATGTTCTGCCTCCGGCCAACTCTAGAATCTTTTTAAGCAGGTCAGCCAGTATTTGCAACTTCCACAGGATGAATTGCTTGCCAAGTTTCTGGCACTCTTGTCTGGTTGGAAGAGTACATCCAAAGGGTACTTAGTGATCCTTTGCTAAGAAGTTTTTTGCTGTTTCCGGGTTACAGATTTGGCCATATATTTCTAAACAGCCCCTGTAAAGTTGAAAGAAAAAGTTTATAACAGTGAACTTCTGAGGTTTAGTTACTGCAGGCTTTGTTGAGAAGAGATTGTTACAGTGTGATTTATGGATGATCAGGGATGACTTTCCCCTAGCAAATATTTGGATGCCTCCTGTTTGTCAAATAGAATGAATGGTGATGGTGATGGGAGGGATAGTTAAACGTTTTCTCTGCTAGGTTAACTTCTTACAGGTATAATTACAATGCCTGAAATTCTGTAGTTTCATTTCTTTGGATTAGTCGTTGTCTTTTCCAGATTGTACACAATCTGATCAACACAAAGGTAGTTAGTAGATCATTAACCTCAATTGCAAGGTTATAATTTCTCAAACATTAAGCATATTATCAGTCATGTGGATTCAAACACAGTATAAGAAAATCCTCAAGGCTGGGTGTGATGGCTTATGCCTGTAATCCCAGCTACTTAGCAGGCTGAGGCAGGAGTATTGTTTGAACCCAGGAGGCAGAGTTGCAGTGAGCCAAGATCGTGCCACTACTCCAGCCTGGGCAAAATAGCAAGACCCGACCCCCCATCTCTACTAAAAAGAAATTTAAAAAAATAAAATCCTAGAAAATTAGAAAAAGCAACAATAGTTACTTGTGGGCCAGGCGCGGTGGTTCACGCCTGTAATCCCAGCACTTTGAGAGGCTGAGGCACGTGGATCACAAGGTCAGGAGTTCAAGACCAGCCTGGCCAAGATGGTGAAACCCCGTTTCTACTAAAAATACAAAAACTAGCTGGCCGTGGTGGCATGCTCCTGTAGTCCCAGCTACTCAGGAGGCTGAGGCAGGAAAATCACTTGAACCCAGGAGGTGGAGGTTGCAGTGAACTGAGACCGTGCCACTGCACTCCAGCCTGGGTGGCAGAGCGAGACTGTCTCAAAAAAAAAAGAAAGTTGTGAATTTGATGTAAGCTTAGGAAATGAATAAAATTTATAGGCATCTGTATAATGTACAACTTGACACGGACTTTCTTTTATCCTTAGTTTCTTTCACGGACTCTAGAACTTTTATCAGAATATACTGGTAAAACATTGGGGGAGGGATCCTGAGTAGGTGATTGGTCAGAAAGATGCCTTCAGTTTTGTCAGTGTCTAAAAGTTAAGTCTGTTTAGGCCAAGCATGGTGGCTCACACCTGAAATCCCAGCACTCTGGGAGGCCGAGGCAAGTGGATCACAAGGTCAGGAGATGAGACCATCTTAGCCAACATGGTGAAACCCCGTCTCTACTAAAATACAAAAAAATTAGCCAGGCGTGGTGGTGCGTGCCTATAATCCCAGCTACTTGGGAGGCTGAGGCAGGGGAATCGCTTGAACCCGGGAGGCAGAGGTCACGCCACTGCACTCCAGCCTGGCAACAGAGCAAGACTCCGTCTCAAAAAAAAAAAAAAAAAAAAAGAGTAAGTCTGTGTAACATGAACATCTCTGCTTCCACCCAAAACCACAGCCTTTGAATATTATATAAGGAACTTAATGGATAGATATGTTTATTATTTTTGATAGCACAACTGCTTTCTCTGCTATTATAAGGAAAACTGAGAATAGCAGGTGGGTAGGGTAGGATGAGGAAACAAGATGCCCAAAGCCTAGATGCCACAGAATTCATGGTGATAATCAGGGCATATTTTGAGTCCTACTAGAAACAAACATTCCAAATGAACTCTGAATGCCTGACTCAGGCGTTTTGGAGGTTTGGGTTATCCCCTTGTCATTAGGCACACAAGGGTTTTTTGTTGTTTTTGTTTTTTGGGTTTTTGTTTTGTTTTGAGGCAGTCTCACTCTGTTGTACAAGCTGGAGTGCTGTATTGTGATCTTGACTCACTGCAACCTCTGCCTCCTGGTTCAAGCGATTCTCCTGCCTTGGCCTCCTGAGTAGCTGGGATTATAAGTGCCTGCCACTATGCCCGGCTAATTTTTGTATTTTTAGTGGAGATGGAGTTTTGCCATGTTGGCCAGGCTGGTCTTGAACTCCTGACTCCAGGTGATCCACCCTCCTCAGCCTCCCAAAGTGCTAGGATTACAGGCGTGAGCCACCCCGTCCGGCCTGTTTTTAAGGCATTAATTAGTATTGTTAGGAAAGCAGTAACAATGCAAACACCACTCTTCTCTTCACAAAGATCACCTTGAGACTGTGTCTCCATTCCACCTGCCTGAGAAGTGGGAGCATCAGCCTGTTCCAGGCTCTTGGGTAGTAGCATAGCCCTTTAAAAAGAGAGAGCCATTTTCCATGTGTTTTTGGATAAGCACAATTTGAAAATCATTTCCCAAATCCTCTTTTTGTTTTTGATTCTAAGGTAAAATTTTCCCTAAGCCCTCCCACCATCCCCTCAGCCAGTATTAGATGAGATTTGTATAGCAGCAGAAACTGACTTATAAGTAGAGAGCTCTTCAGCAAGACTGAGCCTTAGCTGTTCCATCTCTTTGTTCTTCTGTTGCTGGAGTTGCACCCCATTTCTTAACTGCCTCTGGCGTTCTTCCATTTCCTCCAGCTGTTCCTGCATGAGATGGCCAAGAACATTTCTAATGAGCCAAACAATAAAAACTCACATTGTCCACTCTTACTTATAAAACACTTTTTTGTTCATTGTTTAATCTTGATAGCAGTATTGAGGCTGGTATTTATATGATAGGTTATGAAACAGGTTCAAAGAAGTTGTGTCTTGGAAAAAAAGTGACAATGCTTTTGAAAATGATGACGAAAAAGGCATCTTGTCTGTTAACCACAGCTTGCTTTAATAGAATCCTGGGAGGGTGATTGGGACTTTTTAGTATTACAACCTTAGTGTCATTGAGGAGGATTTTGGTCTAGTTAGTGGGCTGAGTTTCATATACCTCTCCCTCCATGTGCAGGTTTGTTAAGATAATTGGTAGTTTTTAATAATATAAAATACTTAAGTTGAAATACAAAAGTGTGGCAACAATTATTAAATATTGGCTAGAATTCTAGGAGAGTTACACAACTAGTGGAAGTCCATGTTTAGAAAATAAATGGCTTGTTTAAGGAAAAGTTTTTGTGTCCAAAGCTCCTTAAAGTCAGAGAGATTTCTACCTGGTACTTAACATCATATGGAAATTGATGCTTTAGTGAGGGTGTTGGCTATCCTATTGCTAATTTCCTGCATCCTTTTTTCTTCTTTATTTTTGTATAGAGACAGGGTCTCGCTATGTTGCCCAGGCTGGTCTTGTTCCTGGGCTCAAGCAGTCCTCCCGCCTCGGTCTCCCAAAGTGCTGGGATTACAGGTGTGAGCCACTGTGCCCAGCTTATCCTTTTTTCATTACACAAAAAGACTGAATTTGGTTAGTTCTAAGTTGGAAGATAAAGATGGTATGCACAGGAGGCCCTTGGGAGCCCTCAGATAACTTTCTCATTCTTCCAGAATCAGGCTGGGATGCATTCTGTAAATTTTCCCTGCCTAGGATGTATACCTGAGGAATAAGGTAAGGAAGATGTCAGCAAGTCAGTCTCTGGTTTACCTGCTAGCTGGCATGGATCCTTAAGGAAGCAGGAGGGAGTTGGGAAGAGAGGAAGGGGTGAAGTTGGTATCTTTTAAAGCGAGAGTGATTTTACCTCAGATTTTGAAGAATACTAAGGAATCCAGTTGTTGGGGTACATGCTATTATTAGAAGGATCTAGATAATTTGTCCTCTGAGTCATACTTGACATTGTACCTGTGGCACATCAATCCGCACTGTTTGATACTCTGGCTGAATCTCAGCTTTCACCAACATTGTCAAAGGACCTTTTTTAGTGCCCAGCCATGCCTAAGAGTGTGTCATCTGAAGAGGGAAGCATCTGCATACTGCTGTCCTGATTGCTCAGTCCTCACTACCTACCAGACCCGTTGGTAAGGTACAAAAGTACATGCTTGGAAAAGCAGTCTGCACCACCAGTGATAAGCTGTGACAGAGTGGAACAGCCTCAATGAAATGAAGGAAGGATTGCTACAGTGGCATTAAGGATGGTCTCTTAATCCTGTGTTAACCACTAGATTAACTTTACAATCAACTCAAAATCCTTCAAAGGCTTTCCACTTTCTTTAGTGGCATTCAGACCCCCTCTAGTTTGACCCCTACCTCCAACTTGAACCTCTGTTACTCTTCCGTATGAACATTTTCCTCTAGCCCTGGACTACTAGTACCGAAGTCACTAGTCACATAGGACTCATTTGAAATATGACTAGTCTCAATTGAGATGTAATGTAAGTGTAAAATACACAGCAGATTTCTAAGACAGCACACAAAATGTAAAATATGTCAAAAATATTTGATACTGATTACATGTTGAAATATATGTGTTGGGTTAAATAAAATGCATTAAAGTTAATTTCATCTGTTTCTTTTTTTAATAGAGCTACCAGAACATTTAAAATGACATCTGTGGCTTGCTTGCAGTGATAGACAGCACTACTCTAGCCTAACAACTCAGATCTGTGTGCCTGTGTTCCTGCCACTTTTTTCACCTAGACAGCCAGTCCCTTGTTTTCTGCTGCCTTCTACCTAGATACTAATTTCTCAAGGGCCAGGACATGTCTGTCTACAGTTGCCCCAGCACTTGCATTGACAGCATTGCCAGTTTTAATTTTCTACATAGGACAAAGACAAAGAAAGGATACATTCCCCAACTCAGGAAAAGGGGAACTGCTACAGCAATAGTAGTATAAAGTAACAGGTGCTGTGGAAACAGGAGGGTTATCTGTCGCACACTAAGGATATCGGGAAACTTCAGGAAGAAGGGAAATGGGTTTAAAGGATGAGTAAAGAGTTAAAGGGGAAGAAGAGGTCTAATCAATGTATAGTCATGGAATTGTGGGAAAGTGGCTTACTAGTTCATTCCTTGCAACCCTATGGATATGGGAGTATTATTAATCTCATGTTTCATGTGAGGGTGCTGAGCCACAGAGCTTAAGTAATTTGTCCAAAGTTTCCAACTTAGTGATAGAGCCAGGATTTGCCATTGGCTTAGAGCTCATACTCAAGGTAACAGGCTTTTTAGTGGTTCTCAAACTTTTCTGTGCAACCCCAAAAGCTGGCCAAATTGGAGTGCCCTTGGTACTTTTCCGTTAGAGAATAACTCCGCTTTTAACTGCTTTATATATTGCATTCTATGTAAAATTATCTGGGGGAGAAGGTCCACAGCTTTAGAGAAAACTTTAGTTTTGGAAACCACTAGTCTAAAGAATACATAAAACTGGCCAGGCACAGTGGCTCATGCCTGTAATCTCAGCATTTTGGGAGGTTGAGGCGGGTGGATCATCTGAGGTCAGGAGTTCGAGACCAGCCTGGCCAACATGGTGAAACCCAGCCTCTACTAAAAATACAAAAAATTAGCCGGGCGTGGTGGCAGGTGCCTGTAATCTCAGCTACTCGGGAGGCTGAGGCAGGAGAATTGCTTGAACCTGGGAGGCGGAGGTTGCAATGAGCTGAGATCGTGCCATTGCACTCCAGCCTGGGGGACAAGAGCGAGACTTCATCTCAAAAAAAAAAAAAAACCATAAAAGTGTTTAGTAGGCCAGGCACGGTGGTTCACGCCTGTAATCCCAACACATTGGGAGGCCAAGGTGGATCACGAGGTCAAGAGATCAAAACCATCCCGGCCAACGTGGTGAAACCCCATCTCTACTAAAAATACAAAAATTAGTTGGGCATGGTGGCACACGCCTGTAGTCCCAACTGCTCAGGAGGCTGAGGCAGGAGAATTGACTTGAACCCGGGAGGCAAAGGTTACAGTGAGCCAAGATTGCGCCACTGCACTCCAGCCTGGAGACAGAGCGAGGCTCCGTCTCAAAAAAAAAAAGAAAAAAATGTTTAGTCCCAGCTGGATCTAGTTAACATTCCTTGTGATTCCACCACTAAGCTCACTTCCCAAAACATGTCTTTTTGTGTTTCCATGCTTTTGTATGAGCTGTTCCCTCTGTCTGGAAGACCTCTCCCTTACCTGCCCAGTGAATTATTATTATTATTATTATTATTATTATTTTTTGAGATGGAGTCTTGCTCTGTCGCTCAGGCTGGAGTGCGCTGGCACCATCTTGGCTCACTGCAACCTCCAGCTCCTGGGTTCAAGTGATTCTCCTGTCTCAGCCTCCCAAGTAGCTGGGACTACAGGCGGCCTAATTTTTGTATTTTTAGTAGAGACGGGGTTTCACCATATTGGTCAGGTTGGTCTTGAACTCCTGACCTCAGGTGATCCACCTGCCTCGGCCTCCCAAAGTGCTGGGATTACAGGTGTGAGCCACTGCTCCTGGCATGAATTCATTCTTAAGGTTCAGCTCCAGCATCTTGAAGAGCCTGAGTATGGACTCAAGCTAGATTGTTCAGGAGTTACATCCTCGCTCCATCACTCTCAAGCTGCCTAACCCTGGGCAAATCACTGCTCTGCCTTACCTCTGTCTTCTTATTTTTCAAATGCCTTATACCTAACTCATAGAGATGTAAGGACTAAAGGAATTATTTTGTGTAAAGAACTTCAAGTACATACTAGCTATTGTTGATCTATGAAATGTCCCCTCTTTTGCCCAGGCTGGGGTAGTCATGCCTGTTTTCATCAGGACAGTGCCTTATCACTACAGCTATTACAGTGCTTATAACATTGAAATATGTTTAATTGATGCCAAGACTGCCACATTTTAACATCTCTGATCAGGATGCATGTTAAAATCAACAGTGCTTAGATTTTACGAAATACATTCATTTTGTCTGTTATGCTTCCTTCTGGAGTACAAACTTTTTTTAAGGCGGAGTCTTTGTCGCCCAGGCTGGAGTGCAGTGGCGCGATCTCAACCTCCACCTTGCGGGTTCAGGCAATTCTGCCTCAGCCCCCGAGTAGCTGGGATTACAGGCATGCACCACCACGCCCGGCTAATTTTTTGTATTTTTAGCGAGACAGGGTTTCACCGTGTTAGCCAGGATGGTCTCGATCTCCTGACCTCATGATCCACTCGCCTCTGCCTCCCAAAGTGCTGGGATCACAGGCATGGGCCACTGCACCCGGCCTCTGGAGTACAAACTCTTTGAGGGCAGGAGCATTACCCCCACCCCGCAACACACACACACTTTTTTTTTTCTTTTCTGAGACGGAGTCTTGCTCTGTTGCCAGGCTGGAGTGCAGTGGCGCAGTCTCGGCTCACTGCAACCTCTGCCTCCCGGGTTCAAGCAATTCTCCTGCCTCATCCTCCCGAGAAGCTGGGAACACAGGCACATGCCACCACGCCCAGCTAATTTTTGTATTTTTTAGTAGAGATGAGGGTTTCACCATGTTGGCCAGGATGGTCTCGATCTTTTGACGTGATCCGCCCGCCTCGGCCTCCCAAAGTGCTGGGATTACAGGCGTGAGGCACCTCGCCTGGCCTTTTTTTTTTTTTTTTTTTTTTTTTTTTTGAGGTGAGTCACTGTCACCCAGGCTGGATTGCAGTGGCACAATCTCAGCTCACTGCAACCTCTGCTGCCCAGGTTCAAGCTATTCTGCCTCAGCCTCCTGAGTAGCTGGGATTACAGGTGCCTACCACCATGCCTGGCTAATTTTTTTGTAGTTCTAGCAGAGACAGGGTTTCACCATCTTGGCCAGGCTGGTCTTGAACTCCTGACCTTGTGATCCACTGCGCCCGGCCACACATACTATTTCTAATTGCTATTGCCAGCACATAGCTCACTGCCTGGCCCACAGTAATTAGGCACTTAGAAACTGTTGAATTGATGAAGGTGATGATAGAGGCAACGTTAAGAGTGGAGTGCAGCCTAAGGATTAAAGGGACACCCTTAGGAAGTAAGCTGATGGGCCGGGCGTGGTGGCTCATGCCTGTAATCCCAGCACTTTGGGAAGCCGAGGCGGGCAGATCACAAGGTCAGGAGATCAAAACCATCCTGGCCAACGTGGTGAAACCCCATCTCTACTAAAAATACAAAAATTAGCTGGGCGTGGTGGCGTGAGCCTGTAGTCCCAGCTACTTGAGAGGCTGAGGCAGGAGAATCGCTTGAACCCGGGAGGCAGAGGTTGCAGTGAGCCAAGATTGTGCCACTGCACTCCAGCCTAGCAACAGAGTGAGACACCGTCACAAAAAAAAAAAAAAAAAAGTAAGTTGATGAAATAGAACTTTAGCAAACAGTTTAGGAAGCCATTTCAGAAAGAAAAATTAGGGACCTCAGACCTTGCTTCCTACTTTAATGATGGTATAGCAACAAGAGAAGCTATTATACTACCAAGAGTGTATCAGGCCAGATAAAGTGGCTCACACCTGTAATCTCAGCAACTCGGGAGGCTGAGGCAGGAAGACCAAGACTTCCTCTCAATAGAGAAAGATTCATTTGATAGAGATTAGATAGACTTCTGAATATTCTTTTTAAAACTTTGTGTCATAAGATTATCTTTGGAAAACAATCCTTGGGAAGATGCACAAATCGTCAAATCTGAAACCATCTTAACCTCTTCCTTAGAGTAGCTTTCTAATTATTCTCCATTGCTCTGCATCTCTAGCCCACTTTATATCCTGCCACCAGTACTTCTTGTAATCCCAGCACATTGGGAGGCCGAGACGGGTGGATCACGAGGTCAGGAGTTGGAGACCAACCTGGCCAAGATGGTGAAGCCCCATCTCTACTAAAAATACAAAAATTAGCGAGGCCTGGTGGCGGGCACCTGTAATCCCAGCTACTTGGGAGGCTGAGGCAGGAGAATCACTTGACCCGGGAGGCGGAGATTTCGGTGAGCCAAGATCATGCCACTGCACTCTAGCCTGAGTGACAGAGCAAGACTCCATCTCCAAAGAAAAAAAAAAAAAAAAGTAGAGAGGCAGGCAGTGGCTCAAGCCTGTAATCCCAGCACTTTGGGAGGCCGAGCCAGGCAGATCACCTGAGGTCAGGAGTTCAAGACCAGCTGGCTAACATGGTAAAACTTCATCTCTACCAAAAACACGAAAATTAGGGCCGGGCGTGGTGACTCATGCCTGTAATCCCAGCACTTTGGGAGGCCGAGGCAGGCAGACTGCCTGAGCTCAGGAGTTCAAGACCATCCTGGGCAATACGGTGAAACCCCGTCCCTACTATACAAACAATTGGCCGGGCTCAGTGGCTCACACCTATAATCCCAGTACTTTGGGAGGCCGAGGCAGGTGGATCATGAGGTCAGGAGATCAAGACCATCCTGGCTAACATAGTGAAACACTGTCTCTAATAAAAATAGAAAAAATTAGCCAGCTATGGTGGCATGCACCTGTAGTCCCAGCTACTCGGGAGGCTGAGGCAGGAAAATCGCTTGAACCCAGGAGGCAGAGGTTGCAGTGAGCCCAGATCATGCCACTGCACTCCAGCCTGGGTGACAGAGCGAGACTCCTTCTCAAAAAACAAAAAAAAACAACAAAAAAAATTTGCCAGGCGTGGCACTGTGCACCTGTAGTCCCAGCTACTCGGGAGGCTGAGGCAGGAGAACTGCTTGAACCCGGGAGGTAGAGGTTGCAATGAGCCGAGATCACGCTATTGCACTCCAGCCTAGGCAATAGAAGAGACTCCGACTAAAAAAAAATTAGCCACGTCCATGGTGTTAGGCGCCTGTAATCCCAGCTACTTGGGAGGCTGAGGCAGGAAAATTGCTTGAACCTGGGAAGTGGAGGTTGCAGCAAGGCGAGATCGTGCCACTGCACTCCAGCATGGGTGACAGAGGGAGACTCCATCTCAGAAAAAAAAAAAAAAGTAGCAAGGCAATCATGTTACTTCCCTGATTAAATCCCTTTAATGATGCAGCAGACTACTGAATAAAGTCCAAAACTCAAGCTTGTCACCTGCAGCCAAGTTACTAATTATATTTCAGATATGTTGAGTTAGATAAAATATATTTAAATTAATTTTACCTATATCTTTTCTCCCCTGCTCCCCTCAGGCTTAGCTCAGCTGAATTTTTGCCTATTTTAATGTGGCTATTAGAAAATTTGTAATTATTTATGTGACTTGCATTATATTTCTGTTGGGCAGCACTGGTCTAGATTCTCCCTATGCTTTCATACCTAGCTCAAATTCCACCTCTTTTTTCATGAAGAGTTCTCTGATTTAACCAGCGCCTAAAAATAATCTATCCCGGCCGGGCGCAGTGGCTCATGCCTGTAATCCCAGCACTTTGAGAGGCGAGGCGGGCGGATCACAAGATCAGGAGATGGAGACCATCCTGGCTAACACGGTGAAACCCCGTCTCTATTAAAAATGCAAAAAATTAGCCTGGTGCGGTGGCGGGCGCCTGCAATCCCAGCTACTCGGGAGGCTGAGGCAGGACAATGGCGCGAACCCGGGAGGCAGAGCTTGCAGTGAGCTGAGCGCCACTGCACTCCAGCCTGGGCAAGAGTGACAGACTCCGTCTCAAAAAATAATAATCATCATCATCATCATCATCTATCCCACAGCCCTTTTACCTGCACCTCTCATAAATCACCTATTACTTTCTTCTCTGAGATACAACTATTAATGTAATGTCTGTCTGAGTATTGGCTGTTAAGGATAGTATTGATGCTAAATAAATGACTTTTCACTAGACTGTGAACCAATTTTTTAAAAAATAGGGTAAGGGGAATATGAAGAGTTTAAAAACATTCAGTATTACTTCTGGGTGTGGTGGCTTACGCCTGTAATCCCAACACTGGGAGGCTGAGGCCGGTGGATCACCTGAGGTCAGGTGTTCGAGACCAGCCTGACCAACATGGTGAAACCCCATCTCTACTAAAATACCCAAATTAGCTGGGCATGGTGGCACAGGTCTGCAATCCCAGCAACTTGGGAGACTGAGGCAGGAGGATTGCTTGAACCCAGGAGGCAGAGGTTGCAGTGAGCTGAGATCATGCCACTGCACTCCACTGCACTCCAGCCTGTGTGACAGAGCGAGACTCTGTAAAAATAACTGGGAGGCTGAGGCGGGTGGACTGCCTAAGCTCAGGAGTTTGAGACCACCCTGGGCAACATGGTGAAACCCCATCTCTACTAAAATACAAAAAATTAGCTGGGTGCAGTGGCGGGCACCTGTAGTCCCAGCAACTCAGGAGGCTGAAATGAGAATTGCTTGAACCCGGGAGGTGGAGTTTGCAGTGAGCCGAGATTGGTTCAGTGCACTCCAGCCTGGGTGAAAGAGCAAGACTCTGTCTCAAAAATAAATAAATAAAGATAAAAATAAAAAACATTCAGTATTATGACCCCAAAAACCACAGTGTTTTTTTTTTGTTTGTTTGTTTTTGTTTGTTTTTGAGATGGAGTCTCACTCTGTCACCCAGGCTAGAGTGCAGTGGTGCAATCTCAGCTCACTGCAACCTCCGCCTCCCGGGTTCAAGCGATTCTCCTGCCTCAGCCTCCCAAGTAGCTGGGACTACAGGCATGTGCCACCATGCCCCCCTAATTTTTGTCTTTTTAGTAGAGACGGGGTTTCACCATATTGGCTATACTTGTCTCAAACTACTGACCTTGTGATCCACCCACCTCAGCCTCCCAACCAAAGTGCTGGGATTACAGGCGTGAGCCACCGCTCCCAGACAGAGTGTTTTCATAATACAAACTACAGAAAGCTTGACAAAATCTTCAGTGAAGTGAATGCAGCCATTTCAACAGGGAAACTTGTTCCCTTAAGGGCATATCACAATCTCTGGGAAGACATAGATTTCTAAGTTTATCCAAAGGAATCAGTGTTTCAAAAGATTAAAGTACTGCTTAGAGCACCACACTACAGTCTTCTCATTAGTGCCCAGCAGCACATGTGCTCTGAGCCTTGAGTAGCAGAGAGTAATACAACAATAAGTAAAATGTATTCCCTACCTTCTGAAAGTTCACAGTCTAGGAGGGACTACGTAATTGTTTATTCACTTAGTATTTATATCCCACTCTGTTCTAAAAAGGGATTAGAACTGGCTCACACTTAATCAGAAATAACTTGAATGCAAGAGAGATGGGGACAAATGCACATAAAAGGAAAGTGAAGATGAGAGGATTCTATTAAGGTTGGTGCAAAATTAATTGCAGCTTTTGCCATTAAAAGTACTTGAGCCCAGGATTTCAAGACCAGCCTGGGCAACATGGCAAAACCCTGTCTACAAAAAATACAAAAATTGGCCGGCTGCGGTGGCTCACACCTATAATCCTAGCTCTTTGGGAGGCCAAGGCAGGCGGATAGCTTGAGCTCAGGAGTTCAAATCCAGCCTGGGCCACGTGGTGAAACCCTGTCTCTACAAAAAATTAGCCAGGTATGGTGGCACACACTTGTAGTCCCAGCTGCTTGGGGGCTAAGGCAGGAGGATCGCTTGAGCCCAAGAGGTTTGAGGTGCAGTGAGCCCTCAAGATTGCACCTGTCTCAAAAAAGAAAAAATTAGCTGGGCATGTTGGTGCACAGTTGTGGTCCCAGCTACTCAAGAGGCTGAGGTGGGAGGATCGCTTGAACCTGAGAGGTCGAGGCTGCAGTTAGCTGTGATCATGCCACTGCACCAGCCTAAGTGACAGCAAGACCCTGTCGCAAAAAAAACAGAGTGCAGGCCGGGCGCGGTGGCTCACACCTGTAATCCCAGCACTTTGGGAGGCCAAGGCAGGCGGATCACGAGGTCAGGAGATCCAGACCATCCTGGTTAACAACAGTGAAACCCCGACTCTACTAAAAATACAAAAAAATAGCCGGGCATGGTGGTGAGCACCTGTAGTCCCAGCTACTCAGAAGGCTGAGGCAGGAGAATGGCATGAACCCAGGAGGCAGAGCTTGTAGTGAGCTGAGATCGCACCACTGCACTCTAGCCTGGGCGACAGAGCGAGACTCCATCTCAAAAAAAAAAAAACAAAAAACAGTGCAGATAACTTCTAGTCCCTAGCATGGGCCTGAATGAATGAAGAATGGAGAAAAAATTGCGTGGCCCCAAAGAACAAATTTTTCTTCCTACATGTGACACTATCTTTCAGCCCCAAAGACCTTGGACTCTGGCCACTCTTTCCCCAGGTTAAAAGACCTCAGTTCTTTTCATGCCCAATGGGCCTACCCTGTACTGCTGCACCTCTTCATCTCGTTTTTGCCTCACAAGTGCGATCTGGTCCTCCAGGTTCCTGTTTTGCAGGCGGAGCTGCCGGGCCTCTGCTTGCAGGGGTCTCAGAGCCTCCTTCATTTCCTGGATCTCAGCCTGGGTTCTCTGCAGAGCTTTGGTCCCAGCTTCTTTCCTCTCTAGGAGCCGCAGGAACTGAGGCTCATACTCCTCCTCCAGGTCCTGGCGGCTCTCTGCCATGAGATTTTCAAACTGGGCAGAGAGTCGCCGGCTTTCCTGGAGAAAGTGCCCATCCCTCTGGCTTGGAGGGGCTTCTAGTTGTTGCCGCAGCTGCTCCTTCTGCTTCTGATAGGCATCCCGGAGCTGGGCCAGTTCCTCTGAGAGCTGGGTTGCCCTTGTAGTCAGCACTTCCCGGAAATCGGCAAACTGAGCCACGTCCTGCTGGCGGCACTCCAGCTGGTATTGGTAGGCCACACATTCCTTTGTCACTTTGAAAAGCTTCTGCTTGACCAGCCGGATCTCCTCCCTTAGGCCATCTCTCTCCAGCTCTGCTTGGGCATGGAGCTTGTAGGCAGCCAGGATGTCTTGATGGACTTGCTGTACCTCCTGCAGGGCTGGTTCCCGGAGCAATACAAGCTCATGGATGAGCTGATCCCTCTCCTCTTCCAGCTGGGCCACAGCTTGGACACACTGCTGGAAACGCCCCTCTAGCAATTCCAGGTCCTCTATGCTCAGGTTCTCCTCCATGCTGGGGCTCTGCTCGGCTCTGAGGCTCTCCTCAGGGTTAGATTTCTCCGCCCTTGTGACTGTCTCTCCCTCATAAACAACGTGCTCTGGGCTTGTGGGCTTTCCTGGCTCCACGGGCCCCTCCACAAACTGTATCCGATCTGGCTCCGTGGTTTCCTCCACACACACTGTCTCCTCTGGATTCCCAGGCTCCTCCACATGCAGAGCCTCATCTGGCTGCATGGCCTCCTCAATATACAGGGCCTCCTCTGCCTTCTCAGTCTCTTGCACATAGAGTGTCTCATCAAGGTCACCTGTGTCCTCCAGGTAGAGAATGTCTTCGAGGTTTAAGGACCCCTCTGAAGATAGAGTAACTTCTGGGTTCAAGGCTTCTGCCTCATTTAGGGATCCAGAGTTCTTTGGAAGAGGAGAATTGGCCTCTACTCTTGTTTTCCTGCAAAAGAAATGATTGAAAGTGAAAGGGCAGCCACAATCCCAGGATGGTGCAATTCTGGAGCCAGCAGCCATGGGCCTAGACTACCTCAGGTTCTTAGATGTCAGCAGCCATTCGTCTGCTCCCTCCACTCTGTCAATCCACCCCTCCACACACCCAACCACGGTGTAGATCCCCTGCCAGCATCCCAGCGACATCACCATATGGTCTCTGCTTATGCAGCTCCAAGGACTCGACATACCTGAGGCACCACTGTTTGTTCCACAATTATAATAATTTTTTTTTTTTGAGATGGAGTCCCGCTGTATTGCCGAGGCTGGAGTGCAATAGCGTGATGTCGGCTCACTGCAACCTCTGTCCCCCAGTTCATGCGATTCTCTTGCCTCAGCCTCCCAAGTAGCACCACCACGCCTTTTTTTTTTGAGACGGAGTCTTGCTCTGTTGCCAGGCTGGAATGCAGTGGTGCGATCTTGGCTCACTGCAGCCTCCACCTCCCAGGTTCAAGTGATTCTCCTGCCTCAGCCTCCTGAGCAGCTGGGATTATAGGCACACATACCACCACGCCCGGCTAATTTTTGTATTTTTAGTGGAGATGGGGTTTCACCATGTTAGTCAGGCTGTTCTCAAACTCCTGACCTCATGATCTGCCCGCCTCGGCCTCCCAAAGTGCTGGGATTATAGGCATGAGCCACTGCGCCCAGCCCAGTTCTAATAAAATTATAATGTTGAGGTAAAACCTTCCTTATAACTTTTTTTTTTCTTTGAGATGGAGTCTTGCTCTGTCACCCAGGCTGGAGTGCAGTGGTGCCATTTCAGCCTCCACCTCCCAGGTAGGTGGGACTACAGACACGTGCCATCACACTCAGCTGATTTTTGTATTTTTAGTAGAGATGGGGTTTTACCATGTTGGCCAGGCTGGTCTCAAACTCCTGACCTCAAGTGATCCGCCCTCTTCAGCCTCCCAAAGTGTTGGGATTACAGGCATTGAGCCACCATGCCCAGCAATTCCTGGTAACTTTTAGCCACTGGATTTACCTGATTCTTCCTTCTAGGATCAGATATTTCTACCTTCTTTTCTGTGTAAGTTATCTAAACACTTAAAGAGAACCATGGTCGGCCAGGCGTGGTGGCTCACACCTGTAATCTCAGCACTTTGGGAGGCCGAATCAGGCGGATCACCTGAGGTCGGGAGTTCAAGACCAGCCTGACCAACATGGAGAAACCCCATCTCTACTAAAAATACAAAATTAGCCGGGCGTGGTGGTGCATGCCTGTAATCCCAGATACTCACTGAGGCAGGAGAATCTCTTGAACTTCAAAGAGGCAGAGGTTGCAGTGAGACGAGATTGCACCATTGCACTCCAGCCTGGGCAACAACAGCGAAACTCCGTCTCAAAAAAAAAAAAAAGATAACCGTGGTCAAGTGCGGTGGCTCATGTCTGTAATCCAGCACTTTGGGAGGCCAAGACCTCTTGAGTCCAGGAGTTTAAGGCCAGCGTGGGCAACATGGCGAAACCCCATCTCTACAAAAAAATACAAAAAATTAGCTGGGCATGATGGTGTACACCTGTAGTCCCAGATACTTGGGAGGCTGTGGTGGGAGAATCACCTGAGCCTGGGAGGTCGAGGCTGTGCTGAGCCATGACTGCACCACTCTGCACCCCAGCCTGGGCAACAGAGACCCTGTCAAAAAAAAAAACAAAAAAAACCCAGCTTATCTTTGTTATTCCATACATGTCCAGGTTTCCAGTGCCCTCTTCATTTGTGTCATATCCTTGTGACACAAATGACAGCTTTCAGACTGTCACTCTTTTGAGGATTTTTTTTTAATTTGCCTTTATTCTTAAGTTCCCCAAGAGCTAGAAATTGGGATGGGTATCAAAAACAGTGCCCCAGGGCTGGGCGAGATGGCTCACGCCTGTAATGCCAGCACTTTGGGAGGCCAAGACGGGTGGATCACCTGAGCTCAGGAGTTCGAGATCAGCCTAGCCAACATGGTGAAACCCCGTCTCTACTAAAAATACAAAACTTAGCAGGGCATGATGGTGCATGCCTGTAATCTCAGCTACTCGGGAGGCTAAGGCACAAGAATCGCTTGAACCTGGGAGGCAGAGGTTGCAGTGAGCCGAGATCACACCACAGCCTGGGCGACAGACCGGGACTCCATCTCAAAAAAAAAAAAAAAAAAAAAATGCCGGGCGTGGTGGCTCACGCCTGTAATCCCAGCACTTTGGGAGGCTGAGGCAGGCGGATCATGAGGTCAGGAGATCGAGACCATACTGGCTAACACAGTGAAACCCCGTCTCTACTAAAAGTACAAAAAAATTAGCCAGGCGTGGTGGCGGGCACCTGTAGTCCCAGCTACTCGGGAGGCTGAGGCAGGAGAATGGTGTGAACCTGGGAAGCGGAGCTTGCAGTGAGCCCAGATTGCGCCACCGCACTCCAGCCTGGGCAACAAAACCAAACTCTGTATCAAAAAAAAAAGTTTTTCATACCAAGTGCTTGTAAGCAACATTTCTTGTTTCTGTAAAAGTTCATCTTGTTAGAACTGGCCCACCCTTCTATCCTGTCAAACGCTCTTGAAGTCAGATTCCATCATTCTGACATCTGAGCTCTTTGACCCAGCTGCCTATTGCCTGCCAGCTCAGTCAGTTCCCACTGGGGAGTGTTCTCTTGCTGCTTTGCCCCTCAAATGCAAATAGCTTTGGTCTTTCCTGTTTCTGTTTTTTTGTTTTTGTCTTTTTTTTTTTTTTTGAGATGGAGTCTCCCTCTGTCGCCCAGGCCTGAGTACTGTGGCATGATCATAGCTCACTGCAGCCTCAACCTCCCCGGCTCAAGCCATCCTCCTGCCTCAGCCTCCCGGGTAGCCAGGACTACAGGCACGTAGCGCCACACCCGCTAATTTTTTAACTTTTTGTAGAGATGAAGTCTCACTATGTTGCTCAGGCTGGTCTCAAACTCCTGAGCTCAAGCGATCCTCCTACCTAGACCTCCCAAAGTGCTGGGATTACAGGCATGAGCCACCACATCCGGCCACAGGCAAGAAATCTTCAGACAGCTCTTTCCCTCCCCTGTATAGCCAGTTCACTGAGAAGTGACTTTTCTTTTCTTTTTTTTTTTTTTTTTTGAGATGGAGCTTCACTCTGTCGCCCAGGCTGGAGTGCAGTGGCGTGGTCTCAGCTCACTGCAACCTCCTCCTCCTGGGTTCAAGTGATTCTCCTGCCTCAGCCTCCTGAGTAGCTGAGACTATAGGTGCCTGCCACCACGCCTGGCTAATTTTTGTGTATTTAGTAGAGACAGGGTTTCACCATGTTGGCCAGGATGGTCTCAATCTCCTGACCTCGTGATCCACCAGGGATCATGGCCTCCCAAAGTGCTGGGATTACAGGCACGAGTCACTGCGCCTGGCCAAAAAGTGACCTTTCTATCTTAGAAAGACTACAGTCTCCATCCCCCTCTTCTGCATCCCACTATCAGGGCCCTACTCCAAGACATCCTGTCTCACTGGCACTTTTGTCCTGGTCTTCTAAAAGGACTTCCTCCTCTCCTCACCTCAATCTATTCTCTACACCACCACAGTTAACTTGCTACAACACAGAGTGAACTATTGCTCCACTTCACCAATAAATACCCAAATTGCTACGCATGGTTTCAAGGTCCTTAAAGATGTGGCCCAAACATACCTTTTTTTTTTTTTTTCTTTTTTTGAGCCAGAGTCTCGCTCTGTTGCCCAGGCTGGAGTGCAGTGGTGCAATCTCGGCTCACTGCAACCTCCGGCTCCTGGTTTCAAGCAATTCTCTACCTCAGCCTCCCGAGTAGCTGAGACTACAGGCGCCCACCACCATGCCTGGCTAATTTTTTGTATTTTTAGAAGAGACAGGGTTTCACCATCTTGGTCAGGCTGGTCTCGAACTCCTGACCTCATGATCCGCCTGCCTCGGCCTCCCAAAGTGCTGGGATTACAGGCATAAGCCACCACACCCGGCCCCAAACATACCTTTTTTAGCTTCCTCTCACATTATTCCTGCAACCCACCCAATGCTTGACATCCTAGAGCTTGCATTAACTTTTTACACCTCCTACTCTAAGCCCACGGTGTCCAGCTGAGAATTGCAGCTTCTCAAAAACCACCTAACTAGAGAACCCTGTACTACCTGGGAAGGCAGAGCTCCTAGAGCCAGGGCCAGGAAGGATGCACCTGCTCAGCCAGCCAAACTCACTCTGATATTCAACAGTCCCTGCTTTCCCAGCAGACGGCCCTTTCATCATTCTCGTGCCGAGCCGCCCACCTTGGAATGACTTCACCGTGTTCAAGATTATTCTAGGCATTTTACATGAATACTCATTTATAGAATCCTCATCATCTATTGGCTGGGTGCAGTGGCTCACGCCTGTAATCCCAGCACTTTGGGAGGCCGAGGCGGGTGGATCACCTGAGGTCAGGAGTTTGAGACCAGCCTGGCCAACATGGTGAAACTCCGTCTCTACTAAAAATACAAACGATTAGCTGGGTATGGTGGTGTGTGCCTGTAATCCTAGCTACTCAGGAGGCTGAAGCAGGAGGATTGCTTGAACCTGGGAGACAGAGGTTGCAGTGAACTGAGATTGCGCCATTGCCCTCCAGCCTGAGCAACAAGAGCAAGACTCTGTCTCAAAAAAAGAAAGAAAGAAAGAATCTTCATCTATTATCTCCATTTTATAGATGAGGAAGCCAATGCACAGAGTAAGAACTCACACAAGGTTCCACAACTGTTGTAAGTGGTGGAGGCTGGAGAAGGCCTGCAGTATTTACCACCCTCCTAGGATAGGCGTGAGGTCCAAAAGAGGTAACTACAGCACATATAAAAAGCCTGGCATGCAGCAGTCACAATATACTTTTTTTTTTTTTGAGATGGAGTTTCACTCTTGTTGCCCAGGCTGGAGTGCAATGGTGTAATCTCCGCTCACTGCAGCCTCTGCCTCCTGGGTTCAAGCAAGTCTCCTGTCTCAGCCTCCCAAGTAACTGGGATTACAGGCACACGCCACCACGCCTGGCTAATTTTTGTATTTTTAGTAGAGCCGGGTTTCACCATGTTGGCCGGGCTGGTCTTGAACTCCTGACCTCAGGTGATCCGCACACCTCGGCGTCCCAAAGTGCTGGGATTACAGGCGTGAGCCACCGCGCCGGGCCCACAATATACTTCTATCTATCTAACAAATTTCTACTCATCCTTCAAGCCCTGCTCAAACTTCATCTCTTCCGTAAAGTATCTCCCAGACAGCCCCATGTGTGTTCTCAGGGCACTCTGTATGCAGCACATCTTCACACTTATTGCTCCAGTTACAGAAGTACATGTGTCTGTCTCCCTGATAGTGAGTTTCCTAAGGACAAGCAGAGTTCTCATTCTGCTCTATATCCTAGGGTGGGGCTCTGTAAGGGCAGACAGGCAGAAACCAGATGAACTCCAAGGAGGAAATCTGCCCAAGGTCGAATGGCAAAGCTGGAAGTAAAACCCAGGCCTCCTGACCTCCAAGCTGTGCTGTTAGCACACATCGTGCTGCCTCCACCACCCCACCCATGGTGCCAGGCCTCTGCTGGGTGCTGCCCTCACACAGCCGCCTCTTTTAAACAGAGAGAGGAGGGAAAGAAGCAGATGACAGGAGGCTCAGAGGAGAGGAAGCCAGCTTAGTTGGGGCCCCTGACCTCGGGCTTCCTTGGGCCCTGGGCAGCCTGCCTCTGCCACTCTGTCCCTGTCCCCAGAGAACCGCAGAGCTCTCCAACCCTGTTCAGGGATGTGGCTGGGAGTCCATGTGACATTGTGCAGGCAAGAGTCCGTGTGTCTGACTGTAGCTGTAGGTGTGGACAGCAGTATGGGTGAGTGTGTGTGTGTAAGACCGCTCAGCTTTGTGCCCCTGTGTGACAGTGAAGGGGTGTCGGGAGCTATGTATTTGCACCCTCACCTCTTGGTACACTGGGAAGTCCCAGAGCCACAGTATGACCTGGGACAGAAATACACCTCACCCCAAACCCCTCAGCCACAGGTCCCTTCCCCCAATAATCAGCCGTGCCCTGCCAGGAGGGATAGTGGGGAGGGCCCCTGGACCCTTCCCCCACCCATCCCAGGCCAGACGGGAGAGAACAAGCCCTGACAGACTCTTAACTTCAAGCTGGCAGATGCCCAGCCTTGCACCAAGTGGCTTCCACACAGCCACTTCAGCAGGGGAGGCCTCTGTCTCCAACTGACATTTGCAGGGAGGAATGAAGGCTAGCGAGAAGTGTCTTTGGCTGCTATGGGCCAAATGGCACTTGAGCGGTGGATGCCCACTCGCCTGGAAGGGTTAATTTTCATGTAGTCCCGGGAGGGGGAGGGGTATTATAAAAAGCCACAGACAAACGGAGGTGCCAGGACCCCGGGACGGCCCGACTCCCCGATGTCCCCTCACGAGGCGGCTCCAGTGCCCCACCCCGGCTGGACCACTACCCCTAGACAGGCGAAAGACGCCCGCGGTCGGGGGGAAAGGGAACCCGTCCAGCAGCACCCCTTCCCCAGCGGGGCGGCGACGCGGGCCCGGCACTGTCCTACCTCGCGGCCTGGGCGGCGCCGTCCCCGCCGCGCCGGGGCTCCGGGCTGGCCATGGCTGCGCGACCCCGGGCTGGCGGCCGCGTTATTAATAGCCGGGCCCGCGGGCCCCTCGCTCCGGCGCCCGCGCCCGCCGCACTGCCAGCTGCAACCGACACCGGATCCCGGCCGGCCCCGGGCCGGGCGCGCCCACTTGGCCGGGGCTCCTGCCGGGGGAGGAGGGAGCGGCCGCGCGGACCTGGGGGCGGGGAGAGGCTGCCCCTCCCGGACCAGCCTGGGGCGGGGGTGGGAACGGGGGCCTGGAGCTGTCTTTCCAAACCTCCCAGCCCCCTCGTCTTCCCGAACCTTCTCTCCACCCTTCCTTTCGTGAGGTCCCGTTGCAGGGGGAGTCAGAAGGGGGGTCTGAAGCCCCAGGGAGCACCTTCCCTGTCCAGCCTGGGAGGGTGGAGGCAGGGTTGGGCGGGCTGCTCAAAGGGAGCCAGCACCCCTCTCCCGCGAGTGTTTGGGGGTGTCCGCTGCCGCTCAGCGCCCTCTGGTCCCCACCCAAGAGGGGAAGGGCCGCAGCCACCCTCTGGGCACTCCGGGCTGTCCCCGGCAGCTGTCGTGAAGGGCGGGGCAGGGCGCGGCCGGGGAGGAGGGTTCACGGCCACACCCCGCGCGTTTGGGGACAGCCTGGAGCCTGGGGGCGGGCTGGGTGGCTGGGGTTAGAGAGAACTGCGGAGGAGTTTACGCCTATCACATTGAGTCCATATTTAACCCCACTTTCTGCCCCACCCTTTGAGGCTTCCTGGGGTCTCTCTCCTGCTCCACCTGTCACCCCACTCAGCCCACTTCTGTCAACTTCAAGACATACCTCCCCCCACGTCCTCAGCCCACTAGTGTGAGGGTCAAACCAGCACTGACGTCTTTCTCCCCAAGAGAGAAGCTGCTGGGCCCCTTCCCAGACCTGGGCTTCAGGCGTTCTTCCTTCGGATTCCTTTTTCCACTTAGCTACCCTGTCTGGGGAGGTCTTTGACTCAATCGCAGAAGAATGCTGGCACCATAACAAGCCCCAGGGGCTGGGGTGCCTGGGAGGCCGGTGGGGGAAGCATGCCGTGGTGTTGAATGTGTGTGGGCTTGTGTGCCCCTGTGTGACTCTGCGGTGATTGTGGGGTACATGTCTGTGTGTGAGCATGTGGATGTGTGATTGTGTGATCTCAGGGTGAATGTGTGTGGTGATTGTGCCATGGTGGAGTGTCTTTGTGGGGCTGGCGGTTTTGACTCTGTGTGGGGGGCATGCATATGGTCCCGCTTGTGACTCTGACTGTGTGCTTGTGCGTGACTGGGGGTTGATAAATGTTCATTCATCCTCGCGTCTGAGTGTGCTGCCTGTGGCTGTATATTTATATTTCTCTGTCTAATGCAAGGGGGTGGAAGATTTAACACCCAGGGCAGCCAAATATACCCTTGTAAGGTACGCACGAGAAAAAGCCAGGTTTTGAGGCTGCTGGTCATTTTCTGACTTACCCCCGAACTATTCCAGGGGAGGAGGCTGGCGAAGCCTCAGCTGCTGGGCATTTGACATCTGCTGCCCGCCAGAGGAGAGCTAAGGCAGCAAGGGCAGGCCTGCCAGAGGCTCTGTTTGCTGTGGTACCAAGCAACAGGCGGCAAGGGTGGCATTCAGAAGAGCTGGCTCTGCCCCTCCAACCCCCAGCCCAGGACCTGGCCTTAGGCTGTCCCTAGGACTGAATTTCTGACCCGCTCCTACCCTCCTGCTCAGCGCTTCTTTAGGCTGAAACCCTGAATTCCCCAGGGTCCCAGAAACTTCCCCACCTCCAAGCCTTTGTTGTTGTTTTTTTTGTTGCTGTTGTTTCTTGCAGTCAGGGTCTCACTCTGTCATCCAGGCAGGAGTACGGTGGTGCAATCATGGTTCACGGCAGCCTCAACCTCCTGGGCTCAGGTGATCCTCCCATCTCAGCCTCCCGAGTAGCTGGAACTACAGATGCACACCACCACACCTGGATAATTTTTGTATTTTTTGTAAAGACGAGGTCTCACTGTGTTGCCTAGGCTGGTCTCAAACTCCTAGGCTCAAGCAGTCCTCCTACCTCAGCCTCCCAAAGTGCTGGGATTACAGGAGTGAGCCACCACACCCAGCCAGGCCTTTTCTGCTGCTCCCTCTGCCTAGAAAACCCTTTCCAGCTCTTCACAGCCCACCTTTTACTCTCCTTCAGGTCTCAGATCACATCTCACAGAGGCCTTCTCTGATGCCTCCCCACCCCCTGCCCATAATGTCCACCCATTTATTTTTTTGTTATGGGCTTTTTTGTTTTGTTGGGTTTTGTAAAATTTTATTTAATAGAGATGGGGTCTCACTATGTTGTTAAGGCTGATCTCAAACTCCTGGCCTCAAGGGATCCTCCAGACTCAGCCTCCCAAAGTGCTGGGATTACAAGCAGGAGCCACCATGCCTCACCCCATTTACTGTTTATCCCTGTCACCCTGTTTATTTTCTGTGCAGCACTTATCAATCTGCAACAATACTATTCATTTTCTTTCTTTTTTTTTTGAGACGGAGTCTCACTCTGTTGCCCAAGCTGGAGTGCAGTGGTGCAATCTCAGCTCACTGCAAGCTCCGCCTCCTGGGTTCAGGCCATTCTCCTGCCTCAGCCTCCGGAGTAGCTGGGACTACAGGTGCCTGCAATCATGCCCAGCTAATTTTTTTGTATTTTTAGTAGAGACGGGGTTTCACCGTGTTAGCCAGGATGGTCTCGATTTCCTGACCTCGTGATTCGCCCATCTCGGCCTCCCAAAGTGCTGGGATTGCAGGCATGAGCCACCGCTCCCGGCCAATACTATTCATTTTCAATTATTTTCTTCTCTGCTTCCCCACTAGAATGGAAGCCCCATGAGGGCAGAGACTTTATGTGTCTTGTTTACTGCTGTGTCTCCAGAGCCCAGCACAGGGACTACCACATAGTAGGACCTTAAAAAAATTGTTTGTTTTTGTTTTTTATAATAATAACAATCATTTATTTTACCCACAGATCTGTGATTTGGGCACGGCTTGGTGGAGGCAGCTCATTTCTGCTTCACGTGGCATCAGCTGAGGTGGCTTGCCCAGAGGTTGCAGAACTCGCGTCCAGGACAGCTCACTCATGTGGCTGGCAAGTTGATGCGGTCTGTCAGCTGGGAGCTCAGCAGGGTATTTGGCTGGGGGTCTTGGTTCTCCTCCACATGGGCTTTTCCACGGGTTGCTTGTGCTTCCTCATGGCATGGTGGCTAAGTCCCAACAGTAAACGTCCCAAAAGAACAAGGCAGAAGTGAAAGGCATTTTTTTTGAGCTAGCCTTGGAAGCTACACACTGTCACTGCTGACCTATTCTGTTGCTAAAGGCAGTCACAAAAACCCGGGCCTCCAGCTCATGGGGAGGGGACATAGATGCCACCTTTTAATGGGAAGGGTGTGTCAAAGTCACAGTATAAGAAGAGCTTATGGAATGGGATATAGTATTGCCTCTGTCTTGGGAAAATACAATCTGCCAAAGATGCAGAATCACAGCTTGGTCTTCCACCATCTCCAGACTGTGGCCCTAATCCACACCCATCCAAGACCAGTCCAAGCTCCCTTCTAATGCCTCATTCTATCCAATGAAAGTAAAAAGGAGGGGTCGCTCACCTCACACCACTTCTGATTGTGTCCTATTGCCAGAGCTCAGTCACATGGCCATATTTAGCTTTAGTGGCTTATTATAAAGGATATTGAAAAGGATACAGATGAAGAGATGAATAGGGCAGAGTTATGGAGGAAGGGGCATGAAGCTTCCATCCCCTCCCTGGGCACACCATCCTCCAGGAACCTCCATATGTTCAGCTATCTGGAAGCTCCAAAAAAATTGTTGAATGAATGAAGGGAAGGAGGATGGTTTTACTTAGGCTAATTTAGGCAATATTTGATGCCTGCTGTGTGCTAGGCCTGGGCCACTCACCTCTCAGGAGCCCCAGTCTACTCAGGGAGACAGACACACATGTGCCCAGATTGCATACAGCAAGGCAGTGTGAGGTATTTGAGCCCATAAGATTCAGCTCACTTGGCAAACATTGGCACTTGGGCTGTGCTGGGCCCTGTGTCAGAGCAAACAGCCTTATTTGGCCCAAGCCTGCAAGAAGCTTTCAGTGTAGAGGAAGCTAGAACCGTCTCCTGGGGAGAAAAACCTATGCAGAAAATAATGCCAAATCACTGGGCTGAGTGATGTGATAGACATTGAGAACCAGGGAAGCCAGGGATGGATGGGAGAAATTAACTCCGGGACTGGGGATGGCCTCGTGAACAAAGTACCTGGGCCTGGAAGGATGAGAAAAGCTGTTCTGGAATCAGGAATCAGGCACAGACTCTGCTTTGAAGGACAAGCGCAGCCACTCTTAACTCTCAGCCCCTCCACAAAGCCAAACCCAGGAGGAGGAGAGAGGCCCCTGGGCTGGCTACTCTTAGCCTAACCTTCCTTCTCAGAGCTTTGTGTCCAGGAGCTGACTCCTGCGGCCAGCGTCTCCTGGGCCCCCTTGCCTTCTGGTTTCAGGTGGGGTTTGGCCAAACTGGGGACCCTGGCAGGAGATCAGAGAGGGAGGAGAGTGAGATCAAGATATTTATTTTTATTTTATTTTTTATTTTTGGGGGGACAGAGTCTCGCTTTGTCACCCAGGCTGGAGTGCAGTGCCATGATCTCAGCTCACTGCAACCTCCACCTCCTGGGTTCAAGTGATTCTCGTGCCTCAGCCTCCCAAGTAGCTGGGACTACAAGCATGTGCTACCACACCCAGCTAATTTTTGTATTTTTACAAAATACAAAGAGACAGGATTTTGCCATGTTGGCCAGGCTGGTCTCAAACTCCTGACCTCAGGTGATCCACCCGCTTCAGCCTCTCAAAGTGCTGGGATTATAGGTGTGAGCCATCACACCCAGCCTAGATAAAGATATTTATTATGCCCCCTCCCTGCCTGTGACTTTGGCATTAACTATATTCCTCCCCCAAAAGCCATGGCTCCTGTTGGGTGGTTTGTACCCATGGGTACAGCTCTGGCCAGGTTCCTTAACAAGGCTCCCTCCCCTGCTCCTTCAGGCCCAGGGGTAATGATTCCATTCCACCATTGCGAGTCCCAGGTGCTCCGCCATTCCTGCCCACACCTCTGTGAATGGTCTCTTCATTAAATCCTCTTCTGGCAAACACTGAGTGTTTGAGTGTGCCGCTGTTTCCTGCTGAGATCCCTAAGATAAAAACTGAACCTTAGAAAGCTGGGCCCTGGACAGATAACTTAGGGAGACTTTCTTTCTAAATACCCCCCACAGCTGGGTGTGGTGGCTCACACCTCTAATTCCAGGTGTGAGGGAGGCTGAGGCAGGAATATTGCTTGGGTCCAGGAGTTCAAGGCTACGGTAAGCAATGATCACACTACTGCATGATGCCCTACTGCCTGGGCAACAAAGTGAGACCCTGTCTCCAAAAACATACATAAATAAATCCCCACCGGCTGGGCTCCGTGGCTCACGCCTGTAATCCCAGCACTTTGGGAGGCCAAGGCAGGTGGATCACCTGAGGTCAGGAGTTCAAGACCAGCCTGGCCATCATGGTGAAACCCGGTTTCTACTAAAAATACAAAAACTAGGCCGGGCGTGGTGGCTCACACCTGTAATCCCAGCACTTTGGGAGGCCGAGGCGGGCAGATCACGAGGTCAGGAGATCAATACCATCCTGGCTAACACGGTGAAACCCCGTCTCCACTAAAAATACAAAAATTAGCTGGGCATGGTGGCGGGCACCTGTAGTCCCAGCTACATGGGAGGCTGAGGTAGGAGAATGGCCTGAACCCGGGAGGCGGAGCTTGCAGTGAGCTGAGATTGCGCCACTGCACTCCAGCCTGGGCAGCAGAGCGAGACTCTGTCTCAAAAAAAAAATAAATAAATAAACAAATAAATAAATAAATAAAATAAAAATACAAAAACTAGAGCCACGCGTGGTGGCTCACGCCTGTAATCCCAGCACTTTGGAAGGCTGAGGCAGGTGGATCACCTGAGGCCAGGAGTTCGAGACCAGCATGGCCAACCTGGTGAAACCCTGTCTCTACTAAAAATACAAAAATTGGCTGGGTGTAGTGGCTCATGCCAGTAATCCCAGCTACTTGGGAGGCTAAGGCAGGAGAACTGCTCGAACCTGGGAGGTGGAGGTTACAGTGAGCCAAGATTGTGCCACTGTGCTCCAGCCTGGGCAACAAGAGCAAAACTCTGTCTCAAAAAAAAAAAAAAAAAAAAAAAAAACGCACCAAAAACCAGAATCAGAAAAGTTGTGAACAAATTTCATCTCGAGTGAAGACTTCTGGGTGCCACTCCAGGCAGGGTCCCCACCCAAGGGGTCCCTCTGTCTTAGGACTGTAGTTTCTGTGGCTGGTAGAATGGGGCAGGCAGGGGACTGTGAGTGAGTGGACATGCGTGTGGGAGGAATGGATGGATGAGCTGGGAAGTGGAGAGGCACCAGAGGGCAGCAGGGGAGGCATGGCCTTGGCAGCTGTCTCTACCAGACCCCAGAGCAGATCCTATAGGACCCTGGGAAACCAACCTCCCTGAACCTCAGCTCCCTCTCAGCAAAATGGGCAATTAACACCCTCTTCACAGGGTTGTTGTGAAATGCAATCAAATGTGAGGCTCAACACATGAGCCACTGGAAGTGGAGCTGCTCTCCAAGCTGAGAGTAGCACATTCCCCATTACTACTGATGCAGGTGGAGGCCATTCTGCTCACTTTTTTTTTTTTTTTGAGACGGCGTTCTTGCTCTTGTCCCCCAGGCTGGAGTGCAATGGCATGATCTTGGCTCACTGCAATCTCTGCCTCCTGGGTTCTCCTGCCTCAGCCTCCTGAGCCACCTGCCTCCACACCTGGCTAATTTTTGTATTTTTAGTAGAGAAGGGGTTTCTCCATATTGGCCAGGCTGGTCGTGAACTCTTGACCTTCAATCCGCCCTCCTGGGTCTCCCAAAGTGCTGGGATTACAGGCATGAGCCACCACGCCTGGCCTCTGCTCACTTTCTTTGTGCCAAGAGCTCCAGCAACCCGTCTAGAGGTGGGAGGAGGGTGGTACAGAGATGCCCTGGCAGGGCCCTCAGACCCACCACTTCTGTTTTTTGTTTTCAGACAGAGTCTTGCTCTTGCCCAGGCTGGAGTGCAGTGGTATGATCAGTGGGACCACAGGTGTGTGCCACCCCACCCGGCTAAATATTTTATTTTTTGTACAGATCACAGCCAGATAGAGGGGTATCTCACCATGTTGCCCAGGCTGGTCTTGAACTCTTGAACTCAAACGATCCTCCAGCCTTGACCTTCCAAAGTGCTGGGATTACAGGCATGAGCCACCGCACCCAGCCTTGACCTACTGCTTCTAGAGAGCCAGGGTATGAATCCAAGCTTTGGAGCGCTTACTTGCTGTGTGACCTTAGGAAAGTCACTCCACTTCATGGAAATTGTTTTCTTCTCTGTAAAATTAGATAACACAGCCAGGCGCGGTGGCTCACTCCTGTAATCCCAGCACTTTGGGAGGCCGAGGTGGGTGGATCACCTGAGGTCGGGAGTTCAAGACCAGCCTGACCAACATGGAGAAACCCCGTCTCTACTAAAAATACAAAATTAGCTGGGCATGGTGGTGCATGCCTGTAATCCCACCTACTCGGGAGGCTGAGGCAGGAGAATCGCTTGAACCCAGGAGGCGGAGGTTGCAGTGAGCCGAGATCGTGCCATTGCACTCCAGCCTGGGAAACAAGAGCAAAATTCTGTCTCAAAACAAAACAAAAACAAGAAATAATTAACTATTATTTTTGAAACTCCCCTTTCTCCTGCTTCCTCTCTCTGAAGCTGCAACCAGGGGCTGGCTGACTACAGCATGTGTTTTCACTCGCTCATTCATTCACTTCACCATTTGTTAGGCCAGACAATGTGTTAAACCCTAAGAACACAAAGACAGTAAGTCATTAAAGCAAGACCTATATCTGTATGACTTCATGGCTGTGTCCCTTGTCCCTAGGTTTTCAACAAATAGTGGCCAAATGATGTGTTCATGAAGAGTATAGTAATGAATAAGACAAATAGAAGAGAATAAAGAATGAAAAGAAAAAACAAATAGTGGCCAAATTAGTAAATGATGTTAGCTATATTCTTGAGCCCCTACTGCAAGCCAGATGCTAAACTAGTCTTTTTTTTTTTTTTTTGAGACAGAGTCTCGCTCTGTCACCCAGGCTGGAGTGCAGTGGCGCAATTTTGGCTCTCTGCAACCTCCACCTCCCGGATTCAAGCAATTCTCCTGCCTCAGCCTCCTGATTAGCTGGGATTACAGGCACCCACCACCATGCCTGGCTAATTTTTGTATTTTTAGTAGAGAGGAGATTTCGCCGTGTTGGCCAGGCTGGTCTCAGACTCCTGACCTCAGGTGATCTGCCTGCTTGGGCCTCCCAAAGTGCTGGGATTACAGGCCGGAGCCACTGCACCTGGGCTAGAAGGCATTTTATCTGCTTTAATGCAATAAATCTTCAGAACAGCCCTATAACATGGGGCCTGTAATAAAGCCCATTTACTGATGAGAAAACTGAGGCTTGGAGAGGTTATGCAACTTAGTTGACCAAAGTCACACAGAGAGGAAATGGTGGCACCCAAGATTCAATACACTGCCTCCACGAATAAATGATGTGTTATCCACATCATTGTCATTAACCTTGACTTTCAGAGACTTATAGTCTAGTGGGAATCTGGCAGCCTTTCCATCCTCAGACTTAGCCCCAAGGGGCCCAGGCATGGCCACAGACTTGTTTTGTGTCTCCGGGCAAATTACTTAACCTCTCTGGTTCTGCTTCCTTTTTTTTTTTTTTTTTTTTTTTTGAGACCAAGTCTTGCTCTGTCACCCAGGCTGGAGTGCAGTGGTGCCATCTCAGCTCACTGCAAGCTCCGCCTCTCAGGTTCATGCCATTCTCCTGCCTCAGACTCTCGAGTAGCTGGGACTACAGGCGCCCACCACCACGCCCAGCTAATTTTTTGTATTTTTAGTAGAGATGGGGTTTCACCATGTTAGCCAGGATGGTCTCGATCTCCTCACCTCGTGATCTGCCCACCTTGGCCCCCCAAAGTGCTGGGATTACAGACGTGAGCCACAGCGCCCGGCCACTTCTTTTTTTCTTTTTTTGAAACAAAGTCTCACTCTGTCACCCAGGCTGGAGTGCAGTGGCTGGATCTCAGCTCACTGCAACCTCCGCCTCCCGAGTTCAAGCAATTCTCCTGCCTTAGCCTCCTGAGTAGCTAGGATTACAGGCACTTGCCACCACGCCAGGCTAATTTTTGTATTTTTAGTAGAGACGGAGTTCCACTATGTTGGCCGGGCTAGTCTCAAACTCCTGACCTCAGGTGATCCACCCGCCTCGGCCTTCCAAAGTGCTGGGATTACAGGCGTGAGCCGCCGCGCCTGGCCCCCTGATTCTGCTTCTAGGAAATGAGATTGGGTGGGCGTTAAATGAGAAAATGTGCAGGAAATGCCCAGCCTTTTGCCCAGTATACAAGAGACACTTGATAAGTGTTCTTCTCTTTATTTCCTTCTTTCTCCCTGCCCTCTGGGACCGCTGTCTGGGAGCCATTGGGGCCTACCCGGTGCTGACCACCAGCCACCGCTTCAGAGGAAGCTGCGTTCAGGGTCGTTCCTCCCCAGGTCGGGCAATGCCGAGCACTGCCTCCAGGGGGCGCCGCCACGCCGACCCCGCGCCCCGGGGGTTGTCTTTTCCGCCGCAGCCGCGCGGGGCCGCCCGGGCCCTGAGTTTTCAGGACCGATGGCGCGCCGACAGTGGGGAGGTCGGCGTCCCAGCTGAATCAAGGACGTCCTTTAGCACCGCAGTGATAATGAACACACAACAATAATAGCCGCAGATCCACCCATAGCGAGCTGCTGGAGTTTAAAGGGCGCATGCGCTTGCTGGGAGGCTGTGGGACTCAGGGAAGGTGCCAGGCCTTAGACTCTGAGCTGGGTTCGAATCCAGAGCAGAGCAGTCTCTCACGTTTCCCCGCTCTGTACCCTTAGGCTTCTCTGAGCTTCTGCTTCCTTTTTTTTTTTTTTTTTTTTTTTTTTTTTTTTGAGACGACGGAGTCTGGCTGTGTCGCCCAGGCTGGAGTGCAGTGGCGCGATCTCCGGTCACTGCAAGTTCCGCCTTCCAGGTTCACGCCATTCTCCTGCCTCAGCCTCCCGAGTAGCTGGGACTACAGGCGCCCGCCACCACGCCTGGCTAATTTTTTTATATGTTTTTAGTAGAGACGGGGTTTCACTGTGTTAGCCAGGATGGTCTCGATCTCCCGATCTTGTGATCCACCGGCCTCGGCCGCCCAAAGTGCTGGGATTACAGGCGTGAGCCACTGCGCCCAGCCTCCTTTGTTTTCAAATGGGAAATGTATTATAGTTCTTGAGAGGAATAAATGAGCAACTTAGGAGAAGTGCATGTACCGTAATTCCCTCTGTCCTGTGAGGGAGCTCTGATTGAATTCCTTTGTGGAATGAGAACGCTGGGGACCCTTTCCCAGGCTCGCGGGCCTCCATGGGTCTCTCTCTCCCCTAGCACAGCCCAGAGGCCAGTCCAGGAGCTCTCTCCCTAAACCCCCTCTTCGGAGCTTCCCTACTCCTCTCTGGAGTTGGCAGCACCTTCAGCTCCTTGGACTCCTCTGGGAACTGCCCCTCCGTCCCCAGGTGCAGGCCCAAGCCAGCAATCTTCCCCTGGCCAATCCCACTACATCCCTCAAACTGAAGCAACGCCCCGTTTGTTCTCCTTACCGCTTCCAAAACCCCATCCAGCCATCTTCTCCAGAAAAACCTTTCCCCGTGTCCTCTCCCAGGTCCACAGCCTTTGCACATGCCACTCCTTGTATCTGGAACACCCTTTCCCCAAGCCCTAAAGCTTGTTACTCAGAACACAGCTTAAATATCACTTTTTCCAGGACGCTCCCTCCCTGTGGTCCTATGGTCGCCTGAGTTTCTTTTGCATTTCTTGTTTTTTTTTTTTTTTTTTTTTTTTTTTTGAGACAGTATCTCGCTCTGTCTCCCAGGCTGGAGTGCAGTGGCGCGCGATCTCGGCTCACTGCAAGCTCCACCTCCCGGGTTTTACGCCGTTCTCCTGCCTCAGCCTCGCGAGTAGCTGGGACTGCAGGCGTGCACCACCTACGCCCGACTAATTTTTTTTGGTATTTTTTTAGTAGAGATGGGGTTTCACCGTGTTAGCCAGGATGGTCTCGAACTCCTGACCTTGTGATCCGCCCACCTCGGCCTCCCAAAGTGCTGGGATTAGAGGCGTGAGCCACCGCGCCCGGCTGTTTTGTTTTGTTTTTTAAGATGCAGTCTCACTCTGTCCCCCAGGCTGGAGTGCAGTGGCGCGATCTCGGCTCACTGCAACCTCCACCTCCTGGGTTCAAGCAATTCTCTTGCCTCAGCCTTCTGAGTAGCTGGGAGGGACTACAGGTGTGCACCACCATGCCTGGCTACTTTTTGTATTTTTACAAAACTACTATATTGGCCAGGCTGGTCACTATATTGGTTTCACTCTATTGGTTTCACTATATTGGCCAGGCTGGTCTCGAACTCCTGACCTCAGGTGATCCGCCCGACTCAGCCTCCCAAAGTGCTGGGATTACATGTGTGAGCCACCATACCCAGCAGGATTTTTTTGTTTAGTGCCTAATCTCCCCTCATTACAGAGTGAAGCCCTCAAAAACAAGAACCTCATCAGTCAAGGGCTCCATGTTATGCCTAGGGCCCTGCCCTGTGAATGTTTGGTAAATGTGTGTCTAATGAATAAGCGATTCCACCCAACTGGGTCCACACTCACTAAGCTTTCTCAACAGCCTCGGCTCAAAGGCACATACACAGAGTCAACACAGCCACACACACACGCACACACATGCACAGAGTCACAAATGGTGCACAAATATGCAACAGGCTCACGCACAAAGCTGAATTCATCTGTGCTCACTACTCCTCTGTGTCCCAGGTCTGTTTTCTTTTGTGACTTGGGGTCCCTGAGAACAAGAGTGTTTTTTTTTTCTTTTTTTAGATGGAGTTTCACTCTTTCGCCCAGGCTGTAGTGAAGTGGCAAGATCTCGGCTCACTGCAACCTCTGCTTCCCAGGTTCAAGTGATTCTCCTGCCTCAGCATCCCGAGTAGCTGGGATTACAGGCACCCGTCAACATGCCCGGCTAGTTTTTGTATTTTTAGAAGAGACAAGATTTCCTCATGTTGGCCAGGCTAGTCTTGAACTCCTGACCTCAGGTGATCCACCTGCCTCAGCCTCCCAAAGTGCTAGAATTACAGGCATGAGCTACTGCACCTGGCAAGAGTTATGTTTTTTTGTCTTCGAGATGGAGTTTCACTCTTTTGCCCAGGCTAGAGTGCAGTGGTGCAATCTCGGCTCACTGCAACCTCCGTCTTCCGGTTTCAAGCGATTCTCCTGCCTCAGCCTCCTGAGTAGCTGGGATTACAGGTGCCCGCCACCACGCCTGGCTAACTTTTGTATTTTTAGTAGAGACGGGATTTCACCATGTTGGCCAGGCTGGTCTTGAACTCCTGACCTTGTGATCCACCCGCCTCAGCCTCCCAAAGTGCTGGGATGAGAGGCATGAGCCACCGCGCCCAGCCTTTTTTTTTTTTTTTTTTTTTTTTGAGTCGGAGTTTTGCTCTTGTTGCCCAGGCTGGGGTGCAATGGCACGATCTCGGCTCACTGCAACCTCCGCCTCCCAGGTTCAAGCGATTCTCCTGCCTCAGCCTCCCGAGTAGCTGGGATTATAGGCATGTGCCACCATGTCCGGCTAATTTTTAGTAGAGACGGGGTTTTTCCATGTTGGTCAGGCTGGTCTCGAACTCCCGACCTCAGGTGATCCGCCTGCCTTGGCCTCCCAAAGTGCTGGGATTACAGGTGTGAGCCACCGCGCCCGGAAAGAGTTGTGTTTTTTACCAGCCTAGGAGCCCCTAGGAGAGGGCAATTTGCTCCCATCAGACTGGGAATCCCAGGCGAATGCTCTATCTCCCCAACTAGTTTGAGGACCTGGGCTCAGGAGTGTCTCCCTTACCAGCCCAGGAGCTCCTGGACCAGGCTGCTTCTACTTCAGGCTTTGGAGCCCTTGGGCCATGCTAGATATGTTCACTAACTAGCCTTGGAGCCGCAAGAACAGAATGGGCCTTCCTTGCTTCAGCCAGGTACTCCAGGAGCAGAGCTGAGCTGGATCTCCCCCAGCAGGCTGGTGGCTCCCACAGGCATGGCTGTGTCTCCCTGACCCCTCTCCACCTCTGCCACTGTCCACCGGCCTAACCCTTCTACCTTGATACAGCAGTTAGGGCTGGGCTGGGCTGGGCTGCCCGAGCTTTGGAAGCAGCAGCAAACCACACTGTGAGACAGGTCCTTTGGAATTCCCTAGGAGGTGGCAGGATCAGTGAGGCTGCAGTAGGGGTGACCTGGCCTGCCTCAGTATGTTGGGCAACTCATCCATATATCTAGTCACTCACCAAACCAGTCCAGAGTTCTTGGGCCTGGGCCTACAGCGCTCTATCTGTATTATGTAGTTAAATTGTCTCATCAATCCTGTGAGGTGGGTGTGATCACGCCTCATTTACAGATGAGGAAACTGAGGGTCAGAGAACAGCAGTGACTTGCCCTAAGTCACAGAGCTGGGAAAGAGCTGGCTGGTTGCCTACTGCATCTTCTACCCAGGTTCAGGAAATGTTTAGGGATAGATTCCACAGGTAGAGAGAGGTGTGTGGCGGGATGCCCAGGTTTCTGGCTTGGGTGGCTTTCAGGAGAGTGCTGACTCCTGAGACAGGGACTGCAAGAAGGTGGGAGTGCCTGTCAGGGAGCTGAGGAGCAGTGGGGAGGCGTAGGTTGCCAAGCAGCTAACCAGGGCAGGCAAGAGGTGGGTCTGGAACCCAGGCTTCCCCATTCCCAGCAGGAGCATCCCCTGCCTACTCCCCACCCAGCTCTTGGCACTGGAGTCCTGGGTTCAAGTCCCATTCTCCATTTGACCCCATCTGAAAAACATGGGCACAGACCCTGTGAGGTCAACACCTGGGATTCCTGCTCCTTTAAGCCTTTCCCAGTGGAGGGCGTGGCCCTGGCTGCAGGTGAGCGCTGTTGCCACATCAGCCGGGTAAGCCCTGCCCTGTCCCCTCCCCCAGCTCTGGAGAGAGGCCCTAGAGGCCCCAGAGGACGGTGGGAAGTGGGCGGGGAGAAAAGGCGGAGCCTGCTTGGCTGGAGAGAAGGGGACAGCCCTGGGCTGGGTGAAGGCACCTGAGTGTTGAGAACACCTGACTGTGCTAGCCTCTGTGTGTCTGTGAGGGTGTCTCTGAATGTTCCAGAGTGCACAGGAGTGTGTACAAAATAAACGTGCACTTTGACTGTGAGGATACAAGGTTGTATGCAAGACTGCCTGAATGTCTCAAATACCTCTTTTGTGTGCCTTTGTTTCTGTGTGGCTGTCCCTGGGTGTGCAGGAGTAAGTATGAATGTGTTTGTTTGTCTCCAGCGTGCCTTTGTGTGGCCAAGTGTGTGTGTGACCCTCTGAATAAGTCTCAGAATAAACCTGAGCTTTTGTGAGTCCACATTTAGAAGTGCCCCTCCAACTGGCCCCAGGCTGATGGAGGCATAAAGCCTGCCCCATCCTTTAGAAAAGCCCAGCCCCTGTGCCCCCTCTCCCTTCCTGGTGACTCACTGCCCCCCGCACCTGCCCCCAACCTCCAGAGCCTCCTGCCTTAAAGAGCAGTCCCTCTCTTGCCCAGCTTGTCCTCTCAACACTCAAAGGAAGGCTCAGTCCCCTCCTCTAGGTGGACTTCTGTGACCAGGGAAGGGGGGCCTTACATTATTTGCTAAGCATCTTCTATTGTACCCCCATTTGACAGATGACGACACACAGCCCAAAGCAGTGCAGTGACCTGCTGCAGGTGGGCACTTGTGTTTGATTCCATGACTTTTTTTTTTTTTTTTTGAGACAGGGTCATGCTCTGTCACCTAGGCTGGAGTGCATTGGTGTAGTGTTGGCTCATTGCAGCCTCAACCTCCTGGGATCAAGTGATCCTCCTGCCTCAGCCTCCCATGTAGCTGGGACCACATGTGTGCACCACCACACCCAGCTAATTTTATTTCTTTGTAGAGACAGGGTCTCACGTTGTTGTCTAGGCTGGTCTCAAGCTTCTGGGCTCAAGTGATCCTCCTGCCTCAGCCTCCCAAACTCCTGGGATTACAGGTGTGAGCCACAGCGCCCGGCAATTCCATGACTCTTAAAGCCCCTGGTGGAATCCCTGGCCATGTCCAGCCCCGTCAGTGTCCCCAACCCAGGGACTTTGAACCTGGGAAAGAGAAAGGAAACTGACATTTAGTGAGCCCCTCAGCCGCTCGCTTGGCCTTTCCCATGTTGTCATTTTATTCCCTTCAGGCTTGCTCAGAGAGGGAGGCAGCTTGCCTAGGGTCACATGGTCAGAAAGTAGCCAAGCTAGGATTTGAACCCAGGCCTTTCTGGCTCTGGAGCTCATGCTGTTAGGTGTAGGGGGAGGTTGGGGATGGGCTGGTCCAGGACTGACTGACCTCTAGTTGCAGAGAGAAAGGAGGAAAGTATGACGAGACATGGGTGGAAATGGAGAGAAGGCTGAGGTGACACAGTCTCATGTGAGCTCCATCAACAGCCCCAGTAGGACTTCCTGTTCTAACCAGAATCCAGCTCCCTGTCCATTGCCCCTCTCCCCTAGATGGAGGGGGCTGGATTGGGGAAAAACGTGACTAAATCAGCCCAGGCTTGAACAACCTCTCTACTGGCTAGTCGCAAGTGTTTGGAATTCCACCATTCCAGTGATCTCTGTCCCCTTTCGGCCCTTCTTTCAGAACCACAGGCTCCCAGGATGTGTCTAGTCTCCAGCCCCACCTGGGGAAGTCTGGCTAGAGCAGGGGGCACCAGATTGATGGAAGTCCTGGATGCTCTTCTGGAATAAGGGTGGGGGGCAGTGGCGATGGGACAGGGCACTGGCAGGGAGTGGGAAGAGCAGGCCTCTGGGAGGCAGATCACAGCAAAAGGAGGACTTGAATCTCACCTTTGGACTTCAGGTCCAAGGCTCTTGCTACCATATGTGGCTTCCACTGGATACCAGGGCTGACTTTGGCTGGTGGAGGAGGCCACAGAAGCAAGGATGTGAGAGCCAGAGTTCATTTGGCTCTTCTGGGTGACAAGGACCAGAGAAATGCTCACCCAAATGCTTCAGGAGACAGGGCCTTGTTTGAGGCTGTTTGGAGAAGGCAGGCAGGCAGGGATGGTGTCCCTCACCTCCAAGCCTCAGGGAGTCTTCATGGATGTTCACAAAGCAGAGTAGCTCTACTGATCTGGATGTCTCCTCTTTGCCTCGTCTGCAGGCGCCTGATGCTCCCGAGTCTGAGGCTTAGTGGTCACAGAGACTGTCACGCTGAGACGTTGCTTCTGTCCTTCCTGCACATCTTGCCCGACCAGCGTCCTTGCTGCCCTCGGCTCCTGCTGCTTCATGGTCCTGCCCACAGCCTTCTCTGGGTACTCCCTCCTCCCTGACAGAGGATCTACTGATGGGGAGGAGGATCCAGTGAATCTGATTCTTAGGGGGCAGCTTCCAGCCAGACCATGTCATGGACCACTGGCCAGCTGAGAGAGGGCCAGGCCCTAGGTCAGGCCCACCTCTGATCTAGTTAGTGGCAGACCAGTTGGATCACCAGGTGATGTAAGAAATCCTTAGAAAGGATGGTGGGCAAGGCAGGCATTTAGAGCATAAACCACTCCCTTGAATCCAGACCCCGATTTCAGCCATTTCCATGAAGTATCTTTTGGTATCTTTGCCCCATGCCCAACACAAGGCTGGCAGAGTTAAACGTCAGTGACTGTGTTCGTGAACAACCAGGTGAGTGAAGTCCGCCAAGGAGCTCTGAGGCTCCGTTGAAGGCCGATGCTGTGCGGTGGGGCCTGGGACTCCAGTGTCCTTGTCCAGGGCTCTCCAGGAGGCCTGTGGGCTTGGGTCCCTCACATGGGTCTGCTTCTCTGTGTCCTGGAGATGCCAGGGCACTGGAGCTCTCTGGTGCCACTCCTGCCACGCCAGACGCTGGGGGGTAAACACACAGCCTCTCTCTGCTTGTAGGTCTGACTATACTATACATCCCTGACCCTGGATCTCACAGCCTCTCTGCCTTGCTCCCTCACTGCCTGGGTGTCCTTCTGTTTCCGGCCTTTATGGGTGGCCCTGCCTGACCCCCCTGACCCATGGCCAGGCCTGAGGGGCCGGGTGGGTGGTGGAAGGAGGGTGCACAGTGGAACTCTTGTGCAGGGTATCAGGGTGGGGCCAGTCCCTGCTCTGTGTTCCAGCCTGGCTTGAGTCCTGGCAGGCCAGAGGGTGAGCTGCTGCTCTGCCCACAGCATCATCTCAACATCTGTTCCACTGAATGGGTCTGGAGCTGCTGTGGAAGCTGCCCAAGAAAGCCCTTGGCTGGGCTCTCCTTCCAGGCTATTATTGATCCCTTTGCCTCTGGCTCCTCCATCTCTCAGCCTGTGCCCTGGGCCATGACATGACAAGGATGTGGCTGGTATGGCTATGGCATGTGAACACAATGCTGGTTCAGGGCTGCAGTTCAAAATGCTTCATCTGGGAACTGGAGGTTAATACCAATAAGGCTTGATGAGGGAGATGGGGAATCAGCGTGGGGACAGGGCTAGCTGAGGGGACCAGACTGAGTGAGGGGATTGGGGCTGAGTGAGAGGATGGGGACTCAGTGAGGAGATGGGGACCTAGTGAGGGGATGGGGCTTAGTGAGGGGATGGGGCTGAGTGAGGAGATGGGGACCTAGTGAGAGGATGAGGACCTAGTGAGGGGATGGGACTCAGTGAGGGGATGGGACTCAGTGAGGAGTTGGAGGTTCAGTGCGGAGTTGGAGGCTGAGTGAAGAGATGGGGCTCAGTGAGGCAATGGGGGTTCAGTGTGGAGTTGGAGGCTCAGTGAGGGGATAGGGGTTTGGTGAGGGGATGGGGCTCAGTGAGGGGTTCGGGCTCAGTGAGGGGATGGGGCTCAGTGAGGGGTTGGGGCTCAGTGAAAGCTTGAATTAGAGAAGGGGTAGACAAGCCTCTGGAACTCATTACCTTAATGATCTCTTCCCACCCCAGCTCTGGTCCTGGAGCCTACCCCTGGTCTATATTCAGCTTGACCCTAGAGGGACATGGCTGTGCACCTTGGTATCAGTGACCTGTATCTGGGACCAAGACAGGCAACACCAAACAGTCCTGAGTGGCAAACTGTGAGGCCTTAGGGGTTAGGGGGCCAGGGCTGGGAGGGAGCCACGGAAACCAGTGAGAGGGAGGCCTGGCCTTGGGTCCTGGAGGGCAAGGAACCTCTTATTTCCCAAAAGGTTCCTCCCACCTCTAGGGTCCTGTAGGCTGGAGGCAGCTTCCAGAAAGGCATTTGGAATGCTGGGAACAGAGGTGGCCCTATCCCAGGTTCTTGGGATGCCCCTTCCCTCCTCATCACTAAGCCCCCATCTCTTTTTTTTTTTTTTTTTTTTGAGACAGTCTTGCTCTGTCGCCCAGGCTGGAGTGCAGTGGCACGATCTCGGCTCACTGCAACCTCTGCCTCCTGGGACTCAGTGAGGCGATGGGGACCTAGTGAGGGGATGGGGCTCAGTGAGGAGATGGGGACCTCTCCTTAGTACAGACAGGGTTTCACCATGTTGGCCAGGCTGGTCTCTAACTCCTGGCCTCAAGTGATCCACCCGCCTCAGCCTCCCAAAGTGCTGGGATTACAGGGGTGATCCACCGCACCACAGCCCTCATCTCTTTTTACCAATAACCTCCCCTTGACTGAGCCCACCCTCTGCCATAGAGTCCCCACTCTCTCTGTCTCTGTCCTCTTACTGAGCCAAGGTGCCCCTCGAAGAACCCTCAGACCAGAACTGAGACTGTCTTTCAGCTGAAATGCTCAGGCACTGCCCTATCTCACCTTCAGTGAGGGCTGTCTACACTGGTCCCAGCCATTCTGGCTGGCCTAAGGCCTTATTGCCCAAAGAACTCACTGCTCATTTGCATTCATTTACATCTGATCATTTAACATTCAAATACCCAAGCCTGGACTGGTGAGGAATGGCTGCACATATGCATGCTATTTGTATATTCCCTTTTAGTGAGAAAATACTCAAACTCTCTTCCCTCTCCAGCTCCCCAAGGTCACCCTGTTTAGGGTCTGAGTTGAGGAGATCCTTGGTTGGGCTCCGCAGAGAAAGTGTAATAGTGCACAATGTTACATGGGAGCTAGTCTGTGTTCAGAACCCAGAAGTGCACTGAGAACATGGTGCTACCACTACTCATTTCTGCATTCATGGCAGACATGATTAACTGATCATGGTACTCTCTCCCTCTAACCCAGAACCATTTTGGGGGCATCAACTGGCATGTGAGATTAAATCTATTTGTCTCCCCTGATTAGTCCAACCATTTCCTTTCCAGACAGGGAAACTGAGGCCCAGAGAAGATGCAGAAAATACAGATCATATCCACCATCAATGCCACTTTCCAGCCTGGAAGCATATGGGCCATTCCCTTGGAGGATGGGGGAGGGCAGTTCTACTCTGTGTAATAAAATCTCCTGTGTCAGCACAGTGGCTCATGCCTATAGTCCCAGCGAGGTGGGAGGATTGCTTGAGGTCAGGAGTTCAAGGCTGCAGTGAGCTATGATCTCACCACTGCACTTCAGCTTGGGTCACAGAGTGAGACACCCCTCTCAAATAAAAAGAAAGAAAGAAAGAGATAAAGAGAAAAAGAGAGAGAGAGAGAGAAAGGAAGGAAAGAAGGAGAGACAGAATGGAAGGAATGAAAGGGAAGGGAAGGAGAAAAGAAGGAAGGAAGGAAAGAAGGAAGAAAGAAAGGAAGGAAGGAGAAAGGAAAGGAAAGGAAGGAAGGGAAGGAAGGGAAGAAAAAAAGAAATAAATAAAATATCCTAGGCTAGATATGATGGCTCATGCCTGTAATACCAGCACTTTAGGAGGCCAAGATGGGCAGATTGCTTGAGGTGAGGAGTTCTAGACTAGCCTGGGCAACATGGCGTAACCTCATTTCTACAAAAGATACAAAAATTAGCTGGGCATGGCCGGGCACGGTGGCTCACGCCTGTAATCCCAGCACTTTGGGAGGCCGAGGTGGGCAGATCACGAGGTCAGCAGATCGAGACCATCCTGGCTAATATGGTGAAACCCCAACTCTACTAAAAATACAAAAAATTAGCTGGGCATGGTGGCGGGTGCCTGTAGTCCCAGCTACTCGGGAGGCTGAGGCAGGAGAATGGCGTGAACCCGGGAGGCGGAACTTGCAGTGAGCTGAGATTGTGCCACTGCACTCCAGCCTGGGTAACAGAGCAAGACTCCGTCTCAAAAAAATAAAAACAAACAAACAAACAAACAAATAAATAAAAATTAGCTGGGCATGATGGAAGGTGTATGTAGTCCTGGCTAGCCAGGAGGCTGAGGTGAGAGGATCACCTGAACCTGGGAGGTTAAGGCTGCAGTGAGCCGTGCATGACACTGCACTCCAGCCTGGGTGACAAAGCAAGGCCCTGTCTCAAATATATATATTAAAAAAATAAAGAAAGAAAAATATCACAAAAAGGTACTTCTGGATGGAATTAGAGGTGACTTTTATTTATGACTTTGTGTTTCTCTGTCTGTAATCCCAGTTACTCAGTAGGATGAGGCAGGAGAATTGCTTGAACCTGGGAGGCAAAGTTTGTGGTGAACCAAGATCGCACCACTGCACTCCAGCCTGGGCGACAGAGCAAGACTCTGTCTCAAAAAAAAAAAAAAAAAAAAAAAAAGAAAATTGTCCCAAGATCACACAGCAAGTGGTACGGCTGTGACATCAGCCACATTACATACAATTTAAACCAGTCAAAAGTTAATATCAGGAGCTGGGTATGGTGGCCCGTGCCTGTAGTCTCAACTAGTCATGAGGCTGATGCAGGAGGATCACTTGAGCCCAGGAGTTTGAGTCCAGCCTGGGAAATATAGCAAGACCCCATCTCTAAAATAAATAAATGAATTATAACTAAAATTACAACTGGGAGGCCAGGTGCGGTGGCTCACGTCTGTAATCCCAGAACTTTGGGAGGCCAAGGCAGGCGGATCACCTGAGGTCGGGAGTTCAAGACCAACCTGACCAACATGGAGAAACCCCCATCTCCATTAAAAAAAAAAATACAAAATTAGCTGGCGTGGTGGTGCATGCCTGTAATCCCAGCTGTTTAGGAGGCTGAGGCAGGATAATTGCTTGAACTGGGGAGGCGGAGGTTGTAGTGAGCCGAGATTGTGCCATTGCACTGGGCAACAAGAGCAAAACTCCGTCTCAAAAAAAAAAAAAAAAGGCAAAATTAGCCGGGCATGGTGGTGCACACCTGTAATTCCAGCTACTTGGGAGGCTGAGGCAGGAGAATCGCTTGAACCCGGAACGCAGAGGTTGCAGTGAGCTGAGATCGTGCTCCAGCCTGGGCAACAAGAGCAAAACTCTGTCTCAGGAAAAAAAAAAAAAGCCCAGGTGCGGTGGCTCATGCCTGTAATCCCAGCACTTTGGGAGGCCGAGGTGGATGGATCACGAGGTCAGGAGTTCAAGACCAGCCTGGCCAAGGTGGTGAAATCCCATCTCTATTAAAAACACAAAAATTAGCTGGGCGTGGTGGCAGGCTCCTGTAATCCTAGCTCTCGGGAGGCTGAGGCAGAGAATTGCTTGAACCCAGGAGGCGGAGGTTGTAGTGAGCCAAGATCACGCCACTGCACTCCAGCCTGGGTGACAGAGTGAGACTCCGTCTCAAAAAAAAAAAAAAATTACTATTGGGGCTAGTCTGGCCTAGAGAAGAACAGTGATTTGCACGCTCTCCTGTATGATGTATGTGCAATAACCCATCCTGTGGGGAGTGAAGTGACTTGCCCAATGTCACACTGCATGTTGTATAAAAAACCAGCCTGGGCCCCAAGAAGGCTGCTTTGCAGCCTGGGAAGAGGTGACAGGCCCTGGCATGATCTGCCCTGCCCTCTCAGGACCTGAATGCCCCTCTCCACTCAGGACAATGGGAACGCCTCCTGCCAAAGCCACTGCTATTCCTCTCAGTGGGGAGGAGGGAGAAGACAATGAAAGAGGCTGGGGAATGAGGGGTGTGGGGGACTCCAAACAGAGCCAGCAACAAATGGGCAGGGCACAGAGTGGGGCAGGAAGGATGGCCCTCTCTCCACTGGGACTTTGAGAAGGGGCCATTTTGGCAGGAGGATGGGCGCAGTCTGCCTACTGGTATGCTTGAGCCCCTGGACAACTTCATTCACTGTCTCTTTACATCACTCCCTCCTGTGTGCCCAGAGCATAGGACGGGGACACCAATGCACCAGCGCGCCAAATCTGCGTGACCTCGTGCAAGCCACTTAGTCTCCTCACCTGTGAATTGGAGGTGATCGGCCCTACTTCCCAGGGCTGTTCGGAGCATTAAAGGCAATCACAGAAGTGAAGCACCCCAGCTGGAGTGGGCGAGGCAGTCCAGCAAAGGCTAGTTGTTACAGTGGCAGAGGCGCTCCTCTCCCAGACTGCCCCACACAGCTGGCAATGGTGGGGACTGGCCAGGAGAGCTTGTGGGGAGGAGCCCTCTTCCTTCCTGCCCCTTCCAGCTGGGTATCAAGATCTGAGACCAGATGTGTTGGTGAGTGACTCAGCGCTTTCCTGCCTGGAAACTCCTCCCTGCCTGTCTCACCAGGCTGGGCCAGGGAGGGTGAGACAGCAGACTGGGGGTGGGAGTGGCTGGTTCCGAAAAACCTCAGGGGAGCCATGGGGGCAGGAAGGGAGAGGGAAGGAGGGATGAGAATAGTGTGCCTTGGCCTGCAAGATGGGGATGGGATGAAGGAAGTGGGACACTTCCGAGACTGTCAAGGAAGAGCTAGGTTGAGGGTGTCCTTGTCTGTCTAGTCAACCTAAAATGACCAGGTGGGAGGAGGAAAGCTCACCCCTTCCTCTTCCCACCTGCATACATCCTAGCCCCAGTATTTCCAGGCCAGCCCAAACCCATTTGTCTTGCCCTCCTGGGCTGCATACCCACATGACGCTCCCTTCCTTCCCTTTCCTCTCCTCCTCTTCCCAGCCAACCACCTCCACTTCCCCATCTCCCACTCCACTGGATCTGTTACTAACTCCTTGGTGCCCACTCTCTCTGGAAGGTTGTCCTCTATTGCCTAATCCCTCACCCTGACAGCTTAAGCTGTCAGGGACAGTAAGCATGGTTGACCTGGTCCTTCTGGACCTTCATGGAGCTTTTGTTTTTGAGACGGAGGCTCTCTCTGTCGCCCAGGTTGGAGTGCAATGGTGTGATCTCGGCTCACTGCAACCTCTGCCTCCCAGGTTCAAGCGATTCTCCTGCTTCAGCCTCCCAAGTAGCTGGGATCACAGGTGCGCACCACTTGGCTAATTTTTAAATTTTTAGTAGAGATGGGGTTTCACCATGTTGTCCAGGCTGGTCTTGAACTCCTGACCTCAGGTGATCTGCCCACCTTGGCCTCCCAAAGTGCTGGGATTACAGACCCGAGCCACCATGCCCAGCATCTTCTTGGAACTCTTTTCTTCATCTCAAATATCACCCTGCTGGTTTCCCTTCTATCTTTTGGACAATTCCTTCTCTAATCTCTTCTTCCCACTCTCCCTTTTAAAGGTAGAGTGTTTTGTTTTGTTTTTTGTTTTTTGAGACGGAGTCTCGCTCTGTCGTCCAGGCTGGAGTGCAGGGGCGCGATCTCGGCTCACTGCAAGCTCCGCCTTCCAGGTTCGCGCCATTCTCCTTCCTCAACCTCCCGAGTAGCTGGGACTGCAGGCGCCCACCACCACGCCCGGCTAATTTTTTGTATTATTAGTAGAGACAGGGTTTCACCGTGTTAGCCAGGATGGTCTCGATCTCCTGATCTCGTGATTTGCCCGCCTCGGTCTCCCAAAGTGCTGGGATTACAGGCGTGAGCCACCAGGCCCGGCCTTTTTTTTTTTCTTTTGAGACAGAGTTGCTCTCGTTGCCCAGGCTGGAGTGCAATTGCATGATCTTGGCTCACTACAACCTCCACCTCCCATGTTCAAGCGATTCTCCTGCCTCAGCCTCCCAAATAGCTGGGATTACAGGCATGCGCCACCACATTCAGCTAATTTTTGTATTTTTAATAGAGAGAGGGTTTCACTATGTTGGCCAGGATGGTCTTGAACTCTTGACCTTGTGATCCACCTTCCTGAGACTCCCAAAGTGCTGGGATTACAGGGGTGAGACACCGAGCCCAGCAAAAGGTAGAGTGTTTTCTAAATTCAGTCCTTTCTTTTTTCTTTTTTCTTCTTTTTTTTTTTTTTTTTTTTTTTTTTTTGAGACGGAGTCTCGCTCTGTCGCCCAGGCTGGAGTGCAGTGGCGGGATCTCGGCTCACTGCAAGCTCTGCCTCCCGGGTTCACGCCATTCTCCTGCCTCAGCCTCCCAAGTAGCTGGGACTACAGGCGCCCGCCACTACGCCCGGCTAATTTTTTGTACTTTTAGTAGAGACGGGGTTTCACCGTTTTAGCCGGGATGGTCTCGATCTCCTGACCTCGTGATCCGCCCGCCTCGGCCTCCCAAAGTGCTGGGATTACAGGCGTGAGCCACCGCGCCCGGCCTCTTCTTTTTTTTTTTTTGAGATGGAGTTTTGCTCTTGTTGCCCAGGTTGGAGTGCAGTGGCATGATCTCGGCTCACTGCAACCTCCGCCTCCTGGGTTCAAGCAATTATCCTGCTTAAGCCTCCCGAGTAGCTGGGATTACAGGTGCCCACCACCACGCCCAGCTAATTTTTGTATTTTTTAGTAAAGACAGAGGTTTCACCATGTTGGCCAGGATGTTCTTGAACTCCTGACTTCAGGTGATCCGCCGGCCTCAACCTCCCAAAGTGCTGGGGTTACAGGCATGAGCCACTGTGCCCGGCCCTAAATTCAGTCCTTTCTAGTCTACCATATGGAGAAAGGATTAAGTGCATGGACCTTGGCATCATATAAACTTGGGTTCAAGTCCTGGCTCTCCTTTTTACGAGCTGTGTAACCTTGGGTAACTCCTCAGCTTCCTCCGCCATTAAATGTGTTGATCTTACCTACCTCCTGGGGATCTAATGCAATAATGCATATAAAGCATTCAGCACTGGGTCTGGTGCATAGTAAGTCAGGTAACGGCACCTGTAGATAATATCCTTTCTTTCTGGTCAGTTCCCCCCACCTCCCAACTCCTACCTCCTGGGCATGTTTTGCTGGATGTCCAAGTCAAATTCTAAGTAGCTAAAAGCAAAATTCCATCTCTTCTTTTTCCTCCCTAAACACCAGCTTCTCTTGCTGCCCTACCTCTATTAATGCCTCACCATCTTTCACTGAGGCCTGAGGCCTAGCCCTTAGGGATGTTGTACAAACAAGTACCAAAGCTATGTGCAGGGGAGGCTGACTTGAAAAATCATTGTCTTTGCCCTTAAGGAACTCACAGTCTGGTGAGAAAGTTAGACAGACAAACAAACATAATAAGATAATTGCTCTACTAGAGGTTTATATGGAGGAACTTCTATGCTTAGAAGGAATGCTGAGCCAGGTGCGGTGGCTCAAGCCTGTAATCCCAGCACTTTGGGAGGCCGAGGTGGACGGATCACCTGAGGTTGGAAGTTCAAGACTAGACTGACCAACATGGAGAAACCCCATCTCTACTAAAAATACAAAATTAGCTGGGCGTGGTGGTGCATGCCTGTAATCCCAGCTACTTGGGAAGCTGAGGCAGGAGAATCACTTGAACCCGGGAGGCAGGAGGTTGCAGTGAGCCGAGATCGCGCCATTGCACTCCACCCTGGGCAACAAGAGCGAAACTCCATCTCAAAACAATAAAAAATAAAAAGAGGGAGTGCTGAAGTGTGGCTGGATCAATCCAGGAAGACTTCCTGGAGATGATAGCATTTGAGTTGGCACCTGCAGGCTGAGTAGGAGCTTGAAAGGTAGACAAGTCAGGGAAAGCCAAAAAAATTACCCACAGACAAAGCTGTGGCCATGAGAAGGCAGGGACTGGAAGCTCACATGTGTTTTGGAGAGCTTCTCTAGGGCAGCACGGAGGATGCTGGAGGGGAGAAAAGCTGAGGCAGCAGACAGATCCAAGAGGAAGGTTTAGGATCTGAAAGTGTACTCATGCTTTGCCATGCAATGCTGTGCAACCTTAGGAAAGTCACTTGAGCTCACTGAGCTTCCATCCCTCATCTGTCAAATGGAGAGAATAATAGGTACCCATGGGGATGCTGGGGAGGGCTGAATGAGCTAATGGAAGGGAAAGTGCTGGATAAATGCAAGCTGTTGTTATTGTAGAGAATCCACCGGGGCAGGCCATGTTTCAGCTGCAGCCCCACCTCAGAAATGGCCTCCCTGAGCCTCATTCAAGTCAAGTCCACATCCTCCCAGGCTGGGGGGTGGGGTGGGGTGCAGGATGCAGGGGAAGGATGCACACACACCTGACTATGGATCTTGGCTCACTGGCTCTGTGACCTGGGACCAGTGTCTTCCCTCTCTCAACTTCATTTCATAGAGCTAAGAACCCAACTTACAGGGCTTCCGTGAATTCTGTGGGAACAGGTAAGTGATCATTAATTGTAGACAGTTAGTTCCCTGTCCCCTAGTCTCCAATTCCCTCCTCCAGGGCCTGGCACCAAGCTGAGCAGAGCGAGAAACAGTAAATATTTAATAACAGATGGGCTGAGAGCTCCTAACTGAAGGGAGATGTGGAGGAGCCGGAGGACACTTGCTTCCCCAGCAGGGGCAGCTGTGCAGACAGGCCGACCTGGGCTTCAGGGCTAGTGATAGCCAGATCCTGAAGGAGTTCTTGCCTTCAGTGACTTCCTGAGGGAGCCACAGCTACCAGTGGCCTTCCCAGGGTACCCTAGCCCCACAACACATCTCTCCTATTTTCTCACTTTGCTGCTCAGATGAACATCAAATGGATGTGGACCCCACTCAACAACCACCCACTGAATCCCTCTCCACTGCGCCAAGCCTCTCCTGGCACTATAAATTCAGAGAGGAAGGAGGCCAGCCCTTGCTCTTCAGGGCCTCCCATCTAGCTGCGAGAGTGATGGAAAACATGTTTGCTAAAATGTGATAGCTAGCCTGGGCAACGTAGGGAGACCCTGTGTCTACGAATAATTAGAAAAACTAGCCGGGCGTGATGGCACGTGCCTGTGGTCCCAGCTACTTGGGAGGCTGAGGTGGGAGGATGATCGCCTGAGCCTGGGAGGTCAAGGCTGCAGTGAGTCGTGATCATGCCACTGCACTCTATCCTGGGCAACACAGCAAGACCCTGTCTCAAAAAAAATAATAATAAAAAAAGCTGGGTGGCCGGGCGTGGTCCTGAAGGCTGCAGCTGTGCATGTCATCACTTAGTCACTTGCCTGGTGGTCACCTATGAGTCAATGATTCAAAGGTTTCCATCCCAGGGATACATCTGCTTCTTAATAGGAATTTACAGGGACAATCCTTTGACCAGGGGAGCCACCTAAGGGACTGAGACTTGATCCCAGAGCAATCAGGCAGAGACTCTGTGCAGCTTCCTTTCCCTTCCTGCCCAGACATGCTGCCCCTCCCTCCGACCCTGGGCCTCCCCTTTGTGAATTTAGGTCTCTGTGGTTGTCTGTGGGCTGAGGCAGCAAAAAGAGCATTTTGGAGTGAGCCAGAGCTAAATCCAAATCCTGGTTCTATTACTAACTAGCTGTGTGACCTTGGTCCAATTTCTTATCTGCTCTGAGTCAGTTTTGCAGAAAATGTTCAAATTTGCTGTATCTTTACGTACTTGTATACAAATGCGTAGAAAAAGGCCAGAGGGCAGTCAGGCGCTGTGGCTCACACCTGAAATCCCAGCACTTTGGGAGGCCGAGGTGGGCGGATCACCTGAGGTCGGGAGTTCAAGACCGCCTGACCAACACGGAGAAACCCTGTCTCTACTAAAAATACAAAATTAGCCGGGCGTGGTGGTGCATGCCTGTAATCCCAGCTACTTGGGAGGCTGAGGCAGGAGAATCGCTTGAACCCAGGAGGCGGAGGTTGCAGTGAGCCGAGATTGCACTATTGCACTCCAGCCTGGGCAACGAGAGCGAAACTCTGTCTCAAAAAAACAAACAAACAAAAAAAAGGCCAGGCGTGGTGGCTCATGCCTGTAATCCCAGCACTTTGGGAGGCCAAGGCAGGCAGATCATGAGGTCAGGAGTTCGAGACCAGCCTGGTCAACATAGTGAAACCCCGTCTCTACTAAAAATACAAAAAATTAGCCGGGCGTGGTGGCGGGCGCCTGTAATCCCAGCTACTTGAGAGGCTGGGGCAGGAGAATCACTTGAACCTGGAAGGCGGAGGTTGCAGTGTGCCGAGATTGCGCCACTGTACTCCAGCCTGGGTGCCAGTTCCAAAAAGAAAAGAAAAGAAAAAGGCTGGAGGGGTTTATGCTACCCTTCTCATTAATAGTGGATGGGGTGGGGTGGGAAAGGGGTATGTGATGGGGAACTTTCACATTGTATCCTATTTTCTCATGTATTATCTGGGCCTTTATAAGCATGTATATTATTGCATTTGTATGAAGCAGGGATAATCCTACCAACTTTACAGATTATTGGAAGGATTTTAAAAAGATCCTACAGGTAAAACTGTTCTCATGCTGTCTGCTGCAAAATTGGCTCTTACCAAGTATTAGTTCCCTTTTCCTCTCTTCTCCTTGCCTGGAACTGTGTTTCTACTTGTAAGTGTTTGCCTCTTTACATCTATGTTTGTTTACGGGGCCTGGTTGAATCTGTCTGTGGTTTTTTTTTTTTTTTTTTTGAGACGGAGTCTCACTCTGCCCTATCTCAGCTCACTGCAAGCTCCGCCTCCCGGGTTCACGCCATTCTCCTGCCTCAGCCTCCTGAGTAGCTGGGACTACAGGCTCCTGCCACAATGCCTGGCTAATTTTTTTTTGTATTTTTAGTAGAGACAGGGTTTCACTGTGTTAGCCAGGATGGTCTCGATCTCTTGACCTCGTGATCCGCCCACCTCGGCCTCCCAAAGTGTTGGGATTACAGGCGTGAGCCACCACACCCAGCCTGTCTGTGGTTTATGGGCTGCTAAGCGTCTGTGTGTATTCTTTTCTTATATTGGTGAATGTCTGTGCATCTGGAAATGTATGCATTTGTGTATGTGTGTCTGTGTGTCTCTGTATAAGTGAGTATATGCTTGGGTGTATTGGTGGTATGTATGTGTGTGGGGTGTAGCTGTGTATCTCAGCTTGTTTGTGTCTATTTATATGTGTTTATTTTATTTCATTTTTTATTTTTTTTGAGACGGAGTCTCACTCTGTCACCCAGGCTGGAGTGCGATGGCACGGTCTCAGCTCACCACAACTTCCACCTTCTAGGTTCAAGTGATCCTTCTGCTTCAGCCTCCTGCGTAGCTAGGATTACAGGCGCCCGCCACCACACCTGGCTAATTTTTGTATTTTTAGTAGAGACAGGGTTTTCACCACGTTGGCCAGGCTGGTCTTGAATTCCTGATCTCGTGATCCACCCACCTCAGCCTCCCAAAGTGGTGGGATTACAGGTGTGAGCCATCATGCACTGCCTATATGTCTTTATTATTATTATTATTATTTTGTTTTTTTGAGACAGAGTTTCGCTCTTGTTGCCCAGGCTGGAGTGCAATGGTGCAATCTCGGCTCACTGCAACCTCTGCCTCCCAGGTTCAAGTGATTCTCCTGCCTCAGCCTACCGAGTAGCTGGGATTACAGGCACTTGCCACCGAGCCCAGCTAATTTTTTTTTTTTTTTTTGAGATGGAGTCTTGCTCTGTCGCCCAGGCTGGAGTGCAGTGGTGCAATCTTGGCTCACTGCAAGCTCTGCCTCCCGGGTTCATGCCATTCTCCTGCCTCAGCCTCCCAAGTAGCTGGGACAACAGGTGCCCGCCACCACGCCCGGCTAATTCTTTGTATTTTTAGTAGAGACGGGGTTTCACTGTGTTAGCCAGGATGGTCTCCATCTCCTGACCTCGTGATCCGCCCGCCTCGGCCTCCCAAAGTACTGGGATTACAGTCATGAGCCACTGCGCCCGGCCGCTAATTTTGTATTTTTAGTAGAGACAGGGTTTCTCCACGTTGGTCAGGTTGGTCTTGAACTCCCGACCTCAGGTGATCCACCCACCTCCGCCCCACAAAGTGCTGGGATTACAGGCATGAGCCACCGCACCCGGCGTGTTTATTATATTTTTAATGCATATATATTTTTGAGACAGAGTCTCTGTTGCCCAGGCTGGAGTGCAGTGGCACGATCATGGCAGCTTTAACCTCCTGGGCCCAAGTGATCCTCCCACCTCAGCCTCTCAAGTAGCTAGGACCACAGGCATGCACCACGACACCCAGCTAATTTTTTTTTTTTGAGACGGAGTTTAGCTCTTGTTGCCCAAGCTGGAGAGCAATGGCGCTATCCCGGCTCACTGCAACCTCCGCATCCTGGGTTCAAGCGATTCTCCTGCCTCAGCCTCCCGAGTAGCTGGGACTACAGGCACGTGCCCACCACATCCAGCTAATTTTTTGTATTTTTAGTAGAAATGGGGTTTCACCATGTTAGCCAGGCTGGTCTCAAACTCCTGACCGCAGGTGATCCGCCTGCCTCAGCCTCCCAAAGAGCTGGGATTACAGGCGTGAGCCACTGTGCCCAGCCCAGATAATTTTTAAATTTTTGTAGAGATGGGGAGCTTCCTATGTTGCCCAGGCTAGTCTCGAACTGCCGAGCTCCAGCAGTCCTCCCACTTCAGCCCCCCAAAGTGTTGCGATTACAGGCGTGGGCCACTGTGGCCAGCTTATATGTGTTTAGATGTCAGTCTGCCTCAGCATATCTGAGTGTTTAAGGGTATCTAGGTGTGGCAGTGTGTATCTGGGCTTGTATATTGGTATATGTACCCACATGTTTGGATGTGCCACTGTGAAGTGGTGTGTAGGTAGGTTTGTCAACCTGTCTGTGTCTCAGTGTGTTTGTGTCTACATCTATGTAGATGTGGGGGTGGGAGCTGGGGTCTCTAAGAGTCCACATCCAGTTGTTCTCCTATCTGTGGGCGGAGAGCTCTGCCCACACATTTCAATCCCTCCCCCTGCTTCCAGAAGGCCCTGAGTGTGGGTGTTTCACTCGTAGCCCTGCTCCTGGGCACAGGGCTTGCTGCCGAGGACTGGTGGAGTGCATGTCTGCAAACACCTAGAGAGGGGCTCCAGCCAGCAGCCCCCGACATGTAGCCTTCCCAGCTGGCAGACCAGATTGATCATTTTCCTGTTTCTGAGAAGAACCAAGCCCCTCTCTTTGGAGAGCAGAGAGACCTCTGAATCTTGAGGTCAGGAAATCCCTGCTCTCTCAGCCTAGGTCAGTGTCCATCTGGCTGAGCTTGTCGTGTTTGTCAGATGCAGCCAGACAGCTGGGGAAACAAAACGTGTCTCCATGGCAACCCGCCTCCGCCTTCGAACTTGGGCAGTTCAGTGGTTTTGCAGGGCCCCCTTTGGGCCCAGTGCTGGGATGGGGTGGGTGGTGAGGATGAGTTAATAAGGCTTCTGCATATGTGCACTGCAGCCCCACACCCCAACATACTCAAATACCTCCACACACACTCCTTCCCTAGGTAAAACTGGATGTTCAGAATGGGGAAACTGGTTCCCAGAGAGGGCAATGTCTTGTTGCCCAAGTACACACTTAGCAAGTTAGTGGCAAGACCAAAATAATGAGAACCAGGTTAACTGTAGGGATTCTTTTGCCCCACGTAGTTTTCTCATTCTAGGATTTAATAATTACTTTAGAATATACATATGTAGGCCGGGCGCGGTGGCTCACTCCTGTAATTCCAGCACTTTGGGAGGCCGAGGCGGGTGGATCACGAGGTCAGGAGATCGAGACCATCCTAGCTAACACGGTGAAACCCCGTCTCTACTAAAAATACAAAGAATTAGCCGGGTGTGGTGGCGGGCGCCTGTTGTCCCAGCTACTCGGGAGGATGAGGCAGGAGAACGGGGTGAACCCGGGAGGTGGAGCTTGCAGTGAGCCGAGATCGCGCCACTGCACTCCAGCCTGGGTGACAGAGCAAGACTCTGTCTCAAAAAAAAAAAAAAAAAAAAAAAAAGAATATACATATGTATGTATGTTTTATGTATACTGTATATTTATAAAAACATTTTTTTTTGAGACGGAGTTTCGCTCTTGTTGCCCAGGCTGGAGTGCAATGGCTTGATCTCGGCTCACTGCAACCTCCGCCTCCCAGGTTCAAGCGATTATCCTGCCTCAGCCTCCTGAGTAGCTGGGAATATAGGCATGTGCCATCATGCCCGGTTAATTTTGTAGTTTTAGTAGAGACAGGGTTTCCCCATGTTGGTCAGGCTGGTTTTGAACTCCCAACCTCAGGTGATCTGCCCGCCTTGGCCTCCCAAAGTGGTGGGATTATAGATGTGAGCCACTGCACCGGCCAAAAACATTTTTTTGAGACAGAGTCTCGCTCTGTCACCGACGCTGGAGTGCAGTGGTGCAATCTCAGCTCACTGCAACCTCCACTTCCCCGGTTCAAGCAATCCTCCTGCCTCAGCCTCCTGAATACCTGGGATTACAGGCGCATGCCACCATGCCTGGCTAATTTTTGTATTTTTAGTAGAGATGGGGTTTCACCATATTGGTCAGGCTGGTCTCAAACTCCGGACCTCATGATCCTCCTGCCTCGGCCTCCCAAAATGCTGGGATTACAGGCATGAGTCACTGCACCCAGTCCCCAAAACATTTTCTAAAGTAGTGAAAAGCATGTACACACATATAGTTGAGTTCTATGCTAATTTTTTTTTTGAGGCGGAGTCTCACTCTCTCGCCAGGCTAGAGTGCAGTGGTGCAATCTTGGCTCACTGCAACCTCCGCCTCCTGGGTTCAAGCCATTCTCCTGCCTCAGCCTCCCGAGTAGCTGGGATTACAGGCACGCGCCTCCATGCCCAGCTAATTTTTGTATTTTTAGTAGAGACAGGGTTTCTCCATGTTGGTCAGGTTGGTCTCAAGCTCCTGACCTCGTGATCCGCCCGCCTAGGCCTCCCAAAGTGCTGGGATTACAGGTATGAGCCACCGTGCCCGGCTGATAACTTGTTTCTTTGCAGACCTGAGAATAAAGCTTCTCCTGACATTTTTACGAAGCTGTTAAAACTCTTACTACCGGCCAGGCACGGTGGCTCACGCCTGTAATCCCAGAACTTTGGGAGGCCGAGGCAGGAGGATCATGAGGTCAGGAGTTCAAGACCAGCCTGGCCAAGATACTGAAACCTCGTCTCCACTAAAAGTACAAAAAAATTAGCTGGGCGTAGAGGCATGCACCTGTAATCCCAGCTATTCGGGAGGCTGAGGCAGAAAATTTCTTAAACCCAGGAGGTGGAGGTTGCAGTGAGGCAAGATCACGTTATTGTACTCCAGCCTGGGCACAGAGTGAGACTCTGTTTCAAAAAAACAAACAAGGACCGGGTGTGGTGGCTCACACCTGTAATCCCAGCACTTTGCGAGGCCGAGGCGGCCAGATCACGAGGTCAGGAGATCGAGACCATCCTGTCTAACATGGTGAAACCCCGTCTCTACTAAAAATACAAAAAATTAGCGGTGCATGGTGGCAGGCGCCTGTAGTCCCAGCTACTCAGGAGGCTGAGGCAGGAGAATGGCGTGAACCCAGGAGGCGGAGCCTGCAGTGAGCTGAGATCTTGCCACTGCACTCCAGCCTGGGCGACAGAGTGAGACTCTGTCTCAAAAAAATAAATAAATAAAATTAAAAAAAAATAAAGTAAATCAGTGAGAACAGTGATGCCTTTTTTTTTTTTTTTCTTTTGAGACTGATTCTCACTGTGTTGCCCAGGCTGGAATGCAGTGGCATGCTCACGGCTCACTGCAACCTCCACCTCCCGGGTTCAAGCAATTCTGGTGCCTCAGCCTCCTGAGTAGCTGGGATATTTGTTGAAAGAACGAAGGGAAACACAACCCGTTGCATACTAGAGACTGGGTGGTGGCAATAACTACCTCTCTGCTCTCTACTTTTTCTCCTCTTTCCTCCCCCTGCACCCTCACCTCTTTCCCCTCCTCTCTTTTCTTAGGAGCTGGCACCAACTTAAAGATGGGAACGCATAAGACTCCATTTGATCTGGCCACACACCACTAACACCCTATGCGAGCCATTTCTCCTCTCAACTCAGCGGGAGGAAAAATGGGTGGAATTAGGCTTGGGGCTTGATTCTAAGAGATGCCTAGAGGATCAAAGAAGACCTCAGCAGGGAGGTTGTTTGAAATGTTAAGACGGCTGCCACAGATGCCAAGAGCCAGGGATTAGGGGACATAAGAATGCTGGCTGGGACCTACATCTCCCCCCTCCCAACTTTCAACTATGCAGGATTGCTCTGCCCTCTGGTACAATTCCGGCCCCTGCAATTGGTCTAAGAACTGAGGGAAGCCACAGGTGCTCCCATCCCAAGGCTGTCTGTCCCTTCCTGGTCTTCCCTGTAAAATGTAAGAGGCTCAGCCACACCTTTGGCCTGGCTGCCCTGTCTGGAGTGAGGAGTCTTTGTGGAAGGAGGCCAGGCCCAGCAGAGGACAAAGCTGGCTCCTGTGGAAGGCAGGTCTCCCAAGTGGAAAGGGGGATTGGTGTGTGTGAGGGCAACATCAGGGTGGTCCTGGGCTTTCCCCAAACAGAGGGGCAAAGTTGGAGGGCCCTTAGGATGCTGCCCCAAGCCTGGTTTTTGCTGGTTCCTCCCTGGGGACAGGCTGGAAGTTTCCTTCCTGGTCAGGTGACAGCCTGGCTCCAGGTTGAACTTTGGGCCCTATCCACAGGGACTGCTGGGAAGTCAGCTCCCTCCGCTGCCTGCAAGGCCAGCAAAGACATGTAGCTGAGCTGAGCAATCATTATTCCAGGGAGCCGGATCCAGCTACAGCTGAGACACAGGCTAGCTCTTCCTAGGCTAGCCCTCCCTGGGTGGCTCAGAAGCATGTCTGTCCTTTAGGCCAGGGGGCAAGAGGGAGAGCTGGGCCTGCTGGTCTGAAGGTGGTCCGGGCTGGGGATGAGAAGTGAGAGTCTCTGGGTGCTGGAGTCAGGAGCAGTGAAGGGAATATAACCCTGAACTCTCCTCATTTCCCTTCTTCCTCTCCCTACCTGCAAATCAGAGGATCCAATCTGTGGGTTGATTCCTGGAAATTCTAGTTTGAGGGGAATTTCCCTGAGGAATTATATGAGACACTGGCAGGGCTATCTTCAGAGGCATGCAAACTGTGTAGTTATGCATAGCCCATGCTCAGAAAGGCTCTGTGCTTGGTTGAATGTTTTGCTGTTGCCTCTTTTTTTTTGAGACAGAATCTTGCTCTGTCGCCCAGGCTGGAGTGCAGTGGCACAGTCTCGGCTCACTGCAACCTCCACCTCCCGGGTTCAAGCAATTCTCTGCCTCAGCCTCCCAGGTAGATGGGATTACAGGCACCCGCCACTATGCCCGGCTAATTTTTGTATTTTTTTTTTTTTTTGGGATGGAGTTTCGCTCTTGTTGCCCAGGCTGGAGGGCAATGGCACGATCTAGGCTCACTGCAACCTCTACCTCCCAGGTTCAAGCGATTCTCCTGCTCAGCCTCCAGAGTAGCTGGGACTACAGGCATGCGCCACTATGTCTGGCTAATTTTTGTATTTTTAGTAGAGACAGGGTTTCTCCATGTTGGTCAGGCTGGTCTCGAGCTCCCGACCTCAGGTGATCCGCCTGCCTCAGCCTCCCAAAGTGCGGGGATTACAGGTGTGAGCCACTGCACCTGGCCTAATTTTTGTATTTTTAGTTGAGACGGGGTTTTACCATGTTGGCCAGGGTGGTCTCGATCTCCTGACCTCATGATCCGCCCTCTTTGGCCTCCCAAAGTACTGGAATTACAGACGTGAGCCACCGTGCCCGGCATTTTTATTTTTGAGACGGAGTTTTGTTCTTATTTTCCAGCCTGGAGTGCAGTGGCACCATCTCGGCTCACTATAACCTCTGCCTTCTGGGTTCAAGCGTTTCTCCTGCCTCAGCCTCCCGAGCAGCTGGGACCACAGACAAGCACCACCATGCCTTGCTAGTTTTTTTGTATTTTTATTTATTTTATTGAGACGGAGTTTTACTCGTCGCCCAGGCTGGAGTGCAATGGCATGATCTCGGCTCACTGCAACCTCCACCTCCCGGGTTCAAGTGATTCTCCTGCCGCAGCTTCCTGAGTAGCTGGGATTATAGGCGCCTGCCAGCAAGCCTGGCTAATTTTTTTTTTTTTTTTTTTTGAGATGGAGTCTCACACTGTCACCGGGGCTGGAGTGCAATGGCGTGATCTTGGCTCACTGCAAACTCCGCCTCCTGGGTTCAAGTGATTCTCCTGCCTCAGCCTCTCGAGTATCTGGGATTACAGGCGCTTGCCACCTTGCCTGGCTAATTTTTGTATTTTTAGTAGAGACGGGGTTTCACTATGTTGGCCAGGCTGGTCTCAAACTCCTGACCTTGTGATCCACCTGCCTCGGCTTCCCAAAGTGCCAGGACTACAGGCGTGAGTCACCTTGCCCGGCCTGCTATTGCCTCTTGAAATTCTTTTTTTAAAAGACAAAGTCAGGCCAGGCACAGTGGCTCACGCCTGTAATCCCAGCACTTTGGGAGGCCGAGGCGCGTGGGTCACCTGAGGTCAGGAGTTCGAGACCAGCCTGACCAATATGGCGAAACCCCGTCTCTACTAAAAATACAAAAATTAGCCAGGCGTGGTGGCGGGCGCCTGTAGTCCCAGCTACTCAGGAGGCTGAGGCAGGAGAATCGCTTGAACCCGGGAGGTGGAGGTTACAGTGAACCGAGATTGTGCCACTGCACTCCAGCCTGGGCGACAGAGCAAGACTCAGTCTCAAACAAACAAACAAACAAACAACAACAACAACAAAAAGACAAGATTTCACTCTGTTTCGCAGGCTGCAGTTCAGTGGCGCGAACATGGCTCACTATAGCCTTGACCTCCTGGGCTCAAGGGATCCTCCCACCTCAGCCTCCCGAGTGAGTAGCTAGGACCACAGGCACTTGTCACCACACCTGGCTAATGAAAAACAATTTTTTTTTTGGAGAGATGAGCTCTTACCATGTTGCCCAAGGCTGGTCTCGAACTCCTAGGCTCAAGCAATCCTCCCACCTTGGCCTTCCAAAGTGTTGGGATTACAGACATGAGCCACTGTGGCAGGCCTTGAAATTCTTAATAAGTTTTTTTTTTTTTTTTTTTTTTTTTTTTTTGAGACAGAGTCTCGCTCTGTCACCCAGGCTGGAGTGCAATGGTGCAATTTTGGCTCACTGCAACCTCCGCCTACCGGGTTCAAGCAATTCGCCTGCCTTAGTCTCCCAAGTAGCTGGGACTACAGGCATGCACCACCACACCCAGCTAAGTTTTTGTATTTAGTAGAGACCGGGTTTCACCATGTTGGTCTGGCTGGTCTTAAACTCCTGACCTCAGGTGATCCATTTGCCTGGGCCTCCCAAAGTGCTGGGAATACAGGCCTGAGCCACCATGCCTGGCACCTGTAACACTTTTCTCTTGAAAACTGCATTCTCTACATTCCCTTTCCTCACCAACTAACAGAGGAAGAGGCTGGGTTCTTAGGAGTGCTAGGCTGGGCCAAGAGCACCCAGAGTACAGGGCTGGTTCCTGATCCAGAATGGGTGCTCTGGGATTGTGGGCTGGATCTGAATGAATGGTGGTTAGACAAGAAACTGAGGCCCAGCATGGACACTGGGTGGTCTGCCCCAGGGCCCCCAGGTGGGAGAGTGTCAATGATGTCCCAGGTTCACCACAGCTGAGCCCCTGGGGACATGCAGGGGGCTAAGGCAGGTTAGGGAGATCCCACTGCACTCTAGTAATCCTGCAATGTTATGGTGAGTGCTATCTACAGTGCGCCGGGGCTGACTGGGCTGGGTGGCCCAGACAAATGGGCCCCTGCCCTCGTGGAGACCAGGACCAAGAGAAAGCCGTGTGACCAGAGTCAGATTGGGTGATTCTGGCCACCCCACTGGTATGGACATCACAAGGCCCTTCTGGGGACTGACGGAGGAGGTTCAAGGGTGCTGAACCCACAGCTGGTCCCCAGCGCAATTTCTAGTCCTTAGGGTTTGAAGCCTTGGACCAGCCTGAGACAAAACCCAGATGACCATCTTGGCTCCTCTCCCGCTGACCACCTCTGTCCCCTTCTGGCCTCCATTTCCGTTGTCGTGGGATCAGATGATATAAAAGGGCTTGGTCAGCTGTAATAGACCCAGAGGCCTGTAGGCAATGAGTACAGCAATTTCAGGATTCTTAATGTTTCCTTTCCTACCAGCCTCCCAGTCACACCTCTCACCTGCCCAGAGTTCAACCCTAATTAGTGTTGAGCATCTCAGTGGGAACTCCTGGTCCAGGCAGGAGTGCCCTGGGGCCTCAAATCCTAGTCCAAGGGTAAACGGAGGAAGGGCTATCCTCATCTTGCCACCAAAGGGTGAGGCAGGAACACAGTGGACCTGGGCCCCCGCTGCACACCGAAGATGGTTGGAGCCTGGAAGGTGTGGTAAAGAGCGAGGAGGCGACCCCAGTCAGCAGATGGGAGGGAAATGCCCACTGCGGGTCACAGGTCTTGGACGTGTCTGAAGCCTCTATTCCTGGCGCAAGCGCCCCAACACTGTCGGGGCTTGGAAGGAATTCTCCAAATTCCCTTATTCCAGGAAAAAATATTCCAGAATCCCCTGTCTATTCCCAGCCCAAACTTGGGATACCAAGTCTCCTGGGGTCCAACCCCAGCCTCTCGCTCCTCCTTTCCTGCGCCCTTCCCCTTTCCGTCCCCACCCCATACCACCCTCTTCCGAACAGATCTCCCGCGGTGCCCCCTGCGGGACGGAACCTCAGTGCCGCCCCCTCCCGGGCGGCCCCACGACCCGCCCTCTCGGGCCCCAGCGGGGGGCACGACCCCGGGCTCCCGGGACCCCCTCCTCTCGGGACTGGACCTCGCCCTCCGCCGGGACCGGGGGAGGCGGGGAGGGGCCGCAGGCAGCGGCGCTCCCGCCCTGCGGCCGCTCCCGCCCCGCTCCTTCCCTCCCCGCCGGCCTGCGCCCCGCCCGCCGCTCGGCCGGCCCCTCCCGCGCCGCTCCCGCCGTCCGCTCTCCGCGCCCGCTCGGCCTCCGCCGCCCAAACTTTTCTCCGGGCGCGCGTCCCCGGCGGCCGCCCCCGGCATGGGCACCGCGCCGCAGGGGGCCTGACCCGCCGCCCGCTCCGCCCCCGCCTGCCATGGCGGCCCGCGCGCCCCCCGCCGCACCTGCGGCCGAGGAGCCGGGGAACCCGGGCGGCCCCCCGCGCAGGAAGAAGTCCCGCTCCGGCGCGTCCGGCCTCCGCCGCGCCTTCAGCTGGCTGCGGGGCAAGCGGCGCAAGAAGAAGGCGGCGGGGGCCGAGGGCGCCGAACCGGCCGCCCCCCGGGCCAAGAAGGCGGAGGACAAGGCCAAGAGGGCCAAGGGCAAAGGCCGAGGTAAGGCGGTCGGCACCTGGGCTGAGCGCGGGGGGGCGTCGAGGGTGCGGCCGAGGGGGCTCTGCCGGGGGTCCGCGCGCGGCGTGTTGGAGGGGGGTGACCCCCAGGAGCTGGTGCTGGAAAGCGAAGAGGCCAGGGCTGAGTCCGAACACTTCCACCCTGCGCTGCCTTCCGCAGTTTCCAGACCCAGTCCTGCCCCGCTGTGAGGGGAGGGGACCCCCGGCTGGGGCAGGGATCCCCTGGCAGAGCAGGAAGTGCTGGTAGCCCGACTCCAGGGCGGTGAGGCGATTCCCCCTCCCCCAGGCTCACCGAGGTTCTGCCCTCTGCTGAGTCAGGGGGTCAGAGACTTAACGCTGGCCTGTGGCCAATGGGAGAGACAGGTGGCCTTGGGTCTCTGGTGGGGACCCTCTGGGTCTGGAAGGTCAACCGCACTCACAAAGAGTTTCAGCTCCAGCTGGATCTGGATTTCCAGCCCCACAAAGGACCTCACATGGAGCACAGTGTGCCCTGCCTTAGCTTCTTAACAGTGCTGGCTTTTCCCACCTGGCCTCCCTCAACGCTCACCTGGGCCAGGCCACAAACATCACCTCCTGGGGTAGTGAGCTCACCAAGGTGAACCAACCCGCCCCTCCCTATCACTCCTTCTTCCAGCCCTGGAGAAACATGCCAGTGTCGGAAGTGTGCTTACAGATGGGGGAAACTGAGGCCCAAGCTCAGTGGAGAGGCTGTACCTGGGCTGGGGTGGGTACTTAAAATTCAACAGCTAATTCTCAGTCTTTCTGAATTTGAGTCCCTGGGCTCCTCCTCTGGCCTGGACGGGCAGCCTGAAAGGCGGGGAAGCCGACCTGGCCCATCCCTGCTGGGGTCATTTTCAGTTCCTTTCTTGGGCCTTCCCTCATTTTCCAGTTTCTGTCTTCCTTTTGATGGGGAGGGCTTGAGTCTTTGCAAGAGGGTGGAGCTCCCTTGGGGCTTGCTGTCCTGGGAAGTCCACCTTTCCTAGACTGCTGCTGCAGTGCTGGAGGTGAGGAAATGGCTGGGTGTGCGGGCCCATCCCATTCTGCCTGTGTTTACCCTCCCAGTGTCCTTTAACCACCTCTTCTGGGAGAGTTAGAAGGAACACTTTAGGGGTCAGGAAGAGGGTGGAAAGCCTCATGTGTGATTGTATCCGGCTTGATCTTCCTTTTGGATAAGGGCCCTGCTTCCCTGCGGCACAGCCACACATAGAAGTGAGGGTGCTGGGGCTGGGGTGACTGGGCCAAACCCTGAGGGAGGACTGGATTTGGGTGAGGGGTGTTTCCAAAGCCTCTGCAGTCCTAACAGGACATGGAGTCTGTCCCAGGGCTGCCCCACTGGGATTCAGTCTGAAGTCATCCCCGTCTCATTCAAGAGGGCATTGCAGCAGGATGTATTGTGGTCAGACTGTCAGGATTGGCAGGCAGAAGGCTAGTGGACTAGCAGTGTATACTCCAGGGCAATGGACCTTTTTCCTCTGGGAGACCAGCCTGGAAGGCAGGGGGCTGGAAAAGCTGAGCCTGTAGGTCACTGCTCCAACAGCCTGGGTTTGGGTTCATTGGGTCAGTGGCCAGGCCTCCCTCTTGCCTTGTGTTTGGTATCAGGTGGCTCTGGGCTTTCTGGGCAGCATGTCGGCCTGATTTGAGCCCACGTGCATGGGTAACACCTCCTTGCCCCTGGCTGTTGTTTCTCCAGGTCTGGAGGTGGCCCTGGGTATGACTGGAGGAAGTCCTGTTCCCTTTTACTCCAGCCTCCTATTATTGCAACTGTTTCCTTGTCACCTGCCTGGCCCAACTTCTTTTCTGTTTATTAAGAGAAATAAATCTGATCCCACTAATCTCCACTGGCAACGCTGGCCAGGAACGGGAAGCCTGCAGAAGGCTTAACTCTTTCAGGGAGAATGTTCAGAATGGAGATTGGGAGAGGTGGGGAGGAGGGATACACAGGAGATTCCTGGGAGGTCAGGGATCTTTGCTGGGGAAGTCATTATCTCCTCCATTCCAATCTCTGGCTCAAAGACCTATGAGAGGCAGGTCTTGATTCCTCTAATCTGACTCTCCTACTTTAAGATGGAAAAACTGAGCTTGTCATGGAGTTTTGAGCACCAGTCTTCCATGATTCCCTTGCTGACCTCACTACCCTGCACAAACTTAGAAGAAGAGAGGAAGTCTGACATTTATTGATTAGTCTGAATATGTCAAGATCTTACTTGCAGATGAAAAAATTGAGGCTCAGGGACAGTGAGTGACTGATTTGACCAAACGGATTTAAACTCAAATCACCTGCCTCAAAAATCGGGACTGTTTTCATGACTCTCCCAAGGACATAGAGCAGCAGGTAAGGCTTGAAGATCTTCTTGTTCAACTCACTTTACAGATGGGAAATGGCCCAGAGAGAGAAGTGAGGGAACTTGATAGAGTGGGGAGAGTATCAGAATCAGGCCAATGAGAGTTTAAATCCTGGCCCAGCTACTAGCAAGCCCCATGATGTAGGATGAGCAACTTCTCAGTGGGCTCCCTGATTCCACCACTGTCTTGTGGGGAAGAAAGGGGGAATCCTCTGGCTGGACATTGCCTTGATGGGCTGTGACCTTTCTGTCTCACCAAGATTCTCACAAGAGAGCATATGAAAATTATATTAAAGGCTGGGCGTGGTGGCTCATGCCTGTAATCCTAGTATTTTGGGAGACCGAGGCGGGCAGATTGCCTGAGCTCAGGAGTTCGAGACCAGCCTGGGCAACACGGTGAAACCCCGTCTCTACTAAAATACAAAAAATTTGCCAGACAAGGTGGCGTGCACCTGTAGTCCCAGCTACCCGGAAGGCTGAGGCAAGAGAATTGCTTGAACTCGGGAGGCGGAGGTTGCAGTTAGCCAAGATTGCACCGCTGCACTCCAGCCTGGGCAACAGAGCGAGACTCAGAAAAAAAAAAAAGAAAAAAAAAAGAAAATTATATTAAAGAGAAGTAACCATAGAAATGCAAGGGGTTGCTATGCCTGTGTTTATAAGTTTAGTCACCTGAGCTCTAACGACCCAGTCTGGAAGGAATGGGCTCTGGGCCTAAGAACAACTTTGCTTGACTGGGCGTGGTGGCTCACACCTGTAATCCCAGCACTTTGGGAGTTTGAGGTGGGTGGGTCATGAGGTCGCGAGTTTAAGACCAGCCTGACCAACATGGTGAAACCCTGTCTCTACTAAAAATACAAAAATTAGCTGGGCGTGGTGGCGCGTGCCTGTAATCCCAGCTACTCAGGAGGCTGAGGCAGGAGAATCGCTTGAACCCGGGAGGTGGAGGTTGCAGTGAGGCGAGATTGCACCACTGTACTCCAGCCTGGGCGACAGAGCGAGACTAGGTCTCAAAAAAAAAAAAAAAAAAAAATGGACAACTCTGCTTCCCTGGTCTGCCCCTCTCAAGCTACAAGATGCTGGCAGGTTATTCACCCCTCCAAGCCTCAGTATCCTTATCTGTAAAATAGGGATAATAAATCCTAGCTTTATAGGGGCCTTTCCAGGATCAAATGAGCTAACAGACATGCAAGTGCGTTGTGAACTGTGGAGCATGGTGCAGCTGGCAGCAGGTTTCTGCTGTTGTTATGCTGCTGAGGACTTGAGCATTAGTTAAGTTCACCCTGATCCATGTTTGGAAAACAGCCCATGATGATGATGATTATTGAGGGGGATTCACAGAGGATAGAGTCTCACCTTTGTCCCACAGGAGGACTCAGACATAAGAAAAAGTTAAAAAAACAGGCCAGGCACGGTGGCTCACGCCTGTAATCCCAGCACTTTGGGAGGCTGAGGCGGGCGGATCACAAGGTCAGGAGATTGAGACCATCCTGGCTAACATGGTGAAACCCTGTCTCTACTAAAAAATACAAAAAATTAGCCAGGTGTGGTGTCGGGCGCCTGTAGTCCCAGCTACTTGGGAGGCTGAGGCAGGAGAATGGAGTGAACCCGGGAGGCGGAGCTTGCAATGAGCCGAGATCGCGTCACTGCACTCTAGCCTGGGCGACAGAGCGAGACTCCAGCTCAAAAAAAAAAAAAAAAACAAAAAAGAACAAGTTAAAAAAAACAAAAACAAACAGGAATCCATATCTTCCAGAAATATCACCTGGACTCTAGACAAGTGTGTGGGTAGGAAGTGTTTCTGGGACAGATGCCAGGATTGGAGCCCAGCAGATAATCAGGGGAGGCTTTCTGGAGGAGGCGAGCGCCTATGGAAGGAGGGCAGGGTCCTGGCTAATCTGAATGGGAAGAGAAGTAACAGGAAGGCTGCTATGTGCTATATATACCCTGGCCAGGCATTTTCATCAAAGTCTTCCTATGTCCTTACAGCAACCTGGGAGGTGGACAGTTACCACCATTTGTAGGTGAGAAAAAAGGGGTGAGAGTAAGTAGCCCGAGGTCACTCAGCTTCATTTATTTGAAGAGGACATATTCTTTACTCTGGAGTGTAAGGCACTGTTCAAGGTGATGTGAATGCCAGAGGACCAGACAGGCAAGGTCCCCATCTATGTGGAAGTGAGGTTCACAGCATCACAATGACGGAGCCACTCAGTCTGCCTCCAGAGGCCACACTCTACAAAGAAAATTATATGATGATGGCTGTGTTTCTGACTCTGGAGGCAGGTAACCTCTCTAGAGTTTTAGACAAAACCAGTTTTGGGGAAAGGGGTATGTAGTCCTCCTGAGGGTTTCTCTTGTGCAGTGGGCAGCGGCTGAGGGGTGGGAGTAGGCATGGCTCTGATACTGAGAATTTGAGAGCTACCCTGCCAGGCCTAGCTGACTTAGCCCCATGTTAACTCCAGTCAGTTCACTGTGGCCTCTCCAAGTTCCCTCTGGCCACTCAGGGAGGACTGTCCTTTCATGGTGTGGAGTTGTGGAGAGAACCCTGAGTTTGAGTTCTGCTCTGTTGTATGACCTTGGGTAAGTCCTGCCCCTCTTTGGACCAGACATGCCCTGTCTTGACAAAGATGGTTTTTTTTTTGTTTTGTTTTGTTTTTTGAGACAGAGTCTCACTCTGTCGCCCAGGCTGGCGTGCAGTGGCGAGATCTCAGGTCACTGCAACCTCTGCCTCCCAGGTTCAAGCGATTCTTCTGCTTCAGCCTGGGACTACAGGTGAGTGCCACCGTGCCTGGCTAATTTTTGTATTTTTAGTAGAGATGGGGTTTCACCATATTGGCCAGGCTGGTCTCGAACTCCTGACCTCATGATCCGCCCGCCTTGGCATCCCAAAGTGCTGGGATTACAGGCGTGAGCTACCGCGACTGGCCGACAAAGATGGGGTTTAATGGCCTCTGAGACTCTTGCTAGTTCTAGGATTCTGTGAGTTTGAGAATGGGCTGAGGGAGCAAGCCTGTAGGGGCTGGGGGCTAGGCATGGAGATGGGAGCTGTGTCCAGGAAAGGAGAGCTGACCTCCAGCCAGCCAGATAAGACACTGAGACCCAGTGGCCTGGATGTCATAGGAAGGGGAGTAAGGTGGCTGGGCGTGGTGGCTCACACCTGTAATCCCAGCACTTTGGGAGGCTGAGACAGGTGGATCACTTGAGGTCAGGAGTTCAAAACCAGCCTGGCCAACATGGTGAAACCCCGTCTCTACTAAAAATACAAAAATCAAAAATTATGGCCGGACACAGTGGCTCACGCCTGTAATCCCAGTGCTTTCGGGGGCCAAGGCGGGAGGGGATCACCTGAGGTCAGGAGTTTGAGACTAGCCTGGCCAACATGGCGAAACCCCATCTCTACTAAAAATGCAAAAATTAGCTGGGCATGGTGGCATGCATCTGTAATCCCAGGCTACTCGGGAGGCTGAGGCAGGAGAATAGCTTGAACCCAGGAGGCAGAGGTTGCAGTGAGCTGTGATCACGCCATTGCACTTCAGCCTGGGCAACAAGAACAAAAAGCTCCGTCTCAAAACAAAAAACAAAAATTAGCCAGGCGTAGTGGCAGGCGCCTGTAGTCCCAGGTACTTGGGAGGCTGAGGCAGGAGAATCACTTGAACCCAGGAGGCGGAGGCTGCAGTGAACTGAGACCACGCCACTGTACTCCAGCCTGGGCGACGGGAGTTCAACTGGGCAACAGTTTCATTCAAAACTCAAAAAAAAAGGAAGGTGGGTAAGGAGAGTCCATTATGAACAATGTCATTTCTCTCTGCTGAGGAAGGGGCCTAGATAGTTCCAAAGCAGTCAGAGTCAAGTCTCTGGGGTCGTGGGCGCCTTGCCCTTCTGAGGTCAGGATGGTGTCTGTTTGCCCGTCAGTCAACACTCCCATGTGTTTTCCCCTTCTGTGTCAGTTCCTGTGCTGCTTCTCCTGCCTGGAATGTGCTCCCCTTCACTTTGCTATCCAGTGAACTCCTATTCAGCCCTCAGGGCCTGGTGTCAGTGTCATCTCTGTGATACTCCCAGGGGAAATTATTGTCCCCAGACCCTAGAGCAAGGTGCTTAAGAGAGTTGGGGTTGGGCAGTATATGCTTTTCCAGCCACTTTCTTCTTGGGTAAAGGGCACCTCAGTGTCCTTACCTGGGGCCTGGACCAATGTAATAGGGGCGGAGTTCCCTCTGCTATGGGATACCTCCAATAGGGGAGTGGTTTCCCAGAGGAGTTTGGGGTTTCTCAATAAGAATGTGACATTTTGGCTTCCCAGAAATGTAAAAAATAAAGAGTGTGACAGGGTGGCTGCTCTGTCTCCCCCAGACCCCTGTGAGAGGATAGACATTGTTTTCCTAGGGTCCAGACGGGAGAGGGAGCCTCACTCACTTATTTCACAGATATTTCCTAAGTGTTATATACCAGGCACTATCCTCGGGATGAATAAGAGAGACAAAGTCCTGGGCCTCATGAACCTCACGATGAGTGTGTGTATAGGGGGGAAAATACGCTGAACAAGTAATTAAGGGTTAACAAGTGTGACAAGGGGAAGCACAGCAATCTCTGAGGGAGGTCAGGGATGGCTTCCCCAGGGAGGTGGCGCTTGAGCTGAAATGGAAGGATGAAAGGAAGCTGGGATTGAAGGGTTTGTGGCACTGGCCTCAGGCAAAGCACGTGCTAGGGACTTGGGACCAGCTGGCTATCTGGGGTTCCGTGGGATCCAGGGATTGCTGTACCTCACTATTTTGAATACCCGAAGGGCAGAGACTGGGTTGACAGACTCTTCCCTCTGCCCTGGCCAGCACAAGGCCTGGCTAAGTGGCCTTGGATGATAGGTAATGCTCCAGTATGGGCCCCCAGAGATGGGCATCTCCGGATCCTAGACTCTCAGAGCTCATGGCCCGAGATGTCATAGGGAGCCCTCATGGTACATACAGATGGGGCAGCTGAGGCCCGGAGGAGGAAGTGACTTGCTCAAGTTCACATGGCCATCTAGTGTCAGAGGCAGAAGAAAAGCCCACAACTGCCAGGCCTTCAGCTTCTTCACTCCTTTCTTCAGACTTCAAATGGAAAATCGCATCCCAGAGAGGTGCCTCTGCTAGGGGTGTGAAGAGCTGAGAAGGAAGCAAGGCCAAGGGAGTCTTCCCTGCCCTCCCCTCAACACCTTCAGGGGCTCCTTCCAGCTCTCTCTCCCTCACCCTTCTCTTGGAAATTCCCCTTGGGCCTGAAAGGGGCTCTCAATCAGTGTGCTCTCCCCATACTGTACCCTCCCTGCAGTCCCTGAAGCAGGGCTCCTAGCAAGGGTTGAACTGTGGTGGCCAAGCCCTGTGACCCCAAAAATCTGCATTCTCTTGTCAGCAGAGGGCAGAGTGAGAGCCTCCCCTCAGCACTTGCTCCTTGGAAATCCCTCTCTCTCCAGACCCTCAAAGCTGTCTCAGCTGCTCATGGCCTGTCACATGCTAAAGAAAACGAATAAGAGGAAGCATTGTATGTTATTTGGGCCACAGTGAACATGGTGGGGTTGGAGGAGCAGGGACACACACCTTCCTTGTGCGGACCCAAAGGCCACCTCTAGCCCGTTGGCAGACTTGGGGAAGTCAGCCAAGTCCCTGCAGCTTCCTTGGTTAGGAGGAGTGAAATCTCTGTCCGCCTCCCCCATCGTTAGTTATACCCCACTGTACTCTATGCCCTTGTACTCCACTGTCCTGAGGGGCTGATTCATTAAAAGACTGTCAGCCCACTCACAGGGTGCCCATCTCTGTGCTTGGCATGGAAGGGGCGATAGAGACAGCTCAGCTCACAGAGGATTTAAACCCTGAATCTTGTAGCAAAGTGCGTGATTCCCAGGAGGCTCCTGGTAGGGAGATTACTAAGTGAGGCCTCCTGTCTGCTTAGGACACCCCCTCCTCCAAGTCTAGCCAAGTGAGGTCTTCCCCACCATTTTCATTTTTATTTTTTGAGACAGAGTTTCGCTCTTGTTTCCCAGGCTGGAGTGCAGTGGTGCGATCTCTGCTCACCGCAACCTCCACCTCCTGGGTTCAAGTGATTCTCCTGCCTCAGCCTCCCGAGTAGCTGGGATTATAGGCGCCTGCCACCATGCCCAGCAAATTTTTGTATTTTTAGTAGAGACGGGGTTTCACCATGTTGGCCAGGCTGGTCTTAAACTGCTGACCTTGTGATCTGCCCGCCTCAGCCTTCCAAAGTGCTGGGATTACAGGCATGAGCCACAGCGCCCGGCCCCTTTTATTTATTTATTTATTTTTTTGAGACAGTCTCGCTGTGTCACCCAGGCTGGAGTGCAGTGGTGTGATCTCAGCTCACTGCAACCTCTGACTCCCAGGTTCAAGCGAATCTCCTGCCTCAGCCTCCCAAGTAGCCGGGACTACAGGTGCCCGCCACCATGCCTGGCTAATTTTGTATTTTTAGTAGACACGGGGTTTCACCGTGTTGGTCAGGCTGGTCTTGAACTCCCGACCTCAGGTGATCTGCCCGCCTCTACCTCCCAAAGTGCTGGGATTACAGGCATGAGCCACCGTGCCTGGCCTTCCCCACCATTTTCTAAGAGGGTCACGAGGCATTCCAGCTCATTCTTGTGGTTCCTGGAGTTCTGGTCCATATGCCTTCCATACCACCTACTTCTTCCCACCAGTCCTAGCCTAGCCTGTCCTGTGTTCTTGGCAGTGGGCAGTACTCCTCCCACAGGATCCTGGAGCAAGCACTGCCTTTGCAGTGAAAGTATTTATGCGCTATCATCACTACCTCCGTCAGTATGCAAGCGTCACCGTTGCTACTACAGCTAATCTACAAGCCCCACCATCTCCACCTCCACCAGTTTCTATTAAACACATAGGTACACCTACTATGTGCTGAGCCTGGGGTTACTCAAAGGAGTCAGACAATCACTGCTCTTCAGGAAACTGTTCTGGTTGGAAAGGCAGACACTAAAACTATTGTCTGAAGGCAAGTTCTGGGATGGTGAACACGGGGTGCAGGGGAGCCCTGGGGTGTGATCAGTACTATATCAGAAGGCAGCACTAATGTCTGTGGGGCCTTCATTAAGGAAGCACTGAGCTGGGGGAAGAGGGGGTGCAAGGAAGACTTCATGGAGGAGCAGCATGTAGAGCAGGGCATTGAGAATGAAAAGGCACCTTTCAGGCCAAGGTGGAAGAGGGGATGGCAGGTGTGAACGCCTGGAGTTGTGTGCTGGAGGGTGGCAAGCAGTTTTGTGTGGTTGTAGCTCTGAGAAGAAGATTCTCATCTCAGAGATGAGGTCGGAGATGAGGCTGAACTGGTGGGCAGGGGCAGCTCCTCCAACGCTTCTTGTGAAGGCCAAGGAACCTGCCACACTTCAGAAATCCTTTGAGCCTCTTCACATACCTGTCCTCACTTAATTCATGCCAAGAAATTTAGACTTTATCCTTGGGTATTCCCTCTACTCCCCCATACTAACTGTTCTTTTTATGGGCCCCAGTTTCCCTATCTATATAAATTCAGGGAATTGGCTAGCTGATCTCCGAGGTCTTTTTCAGCTTTGACACTAGGACCATTTTCTCTGTGCAAAGTGTACACGCAGCTTGGTACACAGTGTATGCTCAATGAATATTTTCTATGGGTGAATAACTTGCCAGCCTTTCAAGGACTGCACTGTTGTCAACCTGAGACTCTAGCAAGAGAAGGGCCTCAGAGAGAGTTGGGTTTAGCTTTGACTCTCACATTTTGCAGGGAGGGAAGAGGGTTTGCTGGAGCCATCGGGCATAAGAGGTAGCACGGTATAGTGGAGGGGCTTGTTCTGGTGGCAGGAAGGATAAGCCATGTGGGGTCTAGAACTGAGGGCTCTAGACTTCCAGCCCAGTGCTCTCTCTGCTCTACCATGTTGCCTCTAGTTGGAGAGACAGGGCAGAAGTGATGGTAAAGAAGAGTTATTGCCCAGGCAATGGGGCCCTGGGCAGGTCCCTCAGCACAAGGACACCTGTGATGAGGAGACAGAGGTGGGAGCGCCAGGCAGCCTAGAAGGCTTTTCTTCTCTCTGTTTTTAATTTTTCACTCTGTCACCCAGGCTGGAGTGCAGTAGCGTGATCTTGGCTCACTGCAACCTCTGCCTCCCAGGTTCAAGCGATCCTCCCACCTCAGCCTCCCAAGTAGCTGGGATTACAAGCATGAGCCACCACGCCTGGCTAATGTTTTGTGTTTTTAGCAGAGATGAGGTTTTACCATGTTGGCCAGGCTAGTCTCGAACTCCTGACCTGAAGTGATCTGCCCGCCTTGGCCTCCCAAAATGCTGGGATTACAGGTGTGAGCCACAATGCCTGGCGTTTTTAAAGAAAAAAAAAACATGCACACACACACACACACACACACACACACACACACACACACACACACACATATATATATATATATATTTTGGTTTTTTTTTTTTTGAGACGGAGTCTTGCTCTGTCACCCAGGCTGGAGTGCAGTGGTGTGATCTTGGCTCACTACAACCTCCACCTCCTGGGTTCAAGCGATTCTCCTGCCTCAGCCTTCTGAGTAGGTGGGATTACAGGCATGTGCCACCAAGCCTGGCTAATTTTTGTATTTTTAGTAGAGACAGGGTTTCACCATGTTGGCCAGGCTGGTTAAAAAAATATTTAACAGGCCGGGTGGTGTGGCTCACGCCTGTAATCCCAGCACTTTAGGAGGCCAAAGCAGGCATATCACCTGAGGTCAGGAGTTTGAGACCAGCCTGAACAACATGGTGAAACCCCGTCTCTACTAAAATTACAAAAATTAGCCGGGCATGGTGGTGCGCACCTGTAGTCCCAGCTACTCGGGAGGCTGAGGCAGGAGAATCGTTTGAACCGGGCAGGTGGAGGTTGCAGTGAGCCGAGAGCGTGCCCCTGCCCTCCAGCCTGGGTGACAGCGAGACTTGGTCTCAAAAAAATAAAAAAAATAATAAAAAAAGGACCTACCTTACACAATTGTGGATAAAATGAAGTAATGCATGAAAGCGGTTAGCACAGAGCCTGGCACATAGTAAACACTAAGTAAAAGGGTGCTACTATTTTGAACACTGTAACTACAGAAATACAGTCAGTTCGATACATTTGTACACACAGGCACGTGACAGTCACGGGGAGGTGGCTGGTGGGCTCTAGCGGCAGCAGGGCTGCGGATCCGCGTTCTCCCAGCTCCATTGCACTCCTCAGAGCGGTAGCCTCTGGGCTGAGAGAGTGGGCAACCCGCCTGCCCCACCTGGACTGGCCAGGCCTTCCCCTGTGCGCCCTAGGCTGGGCGGCTCAGCCGGTCTCCCAGGTCCCGGGAGGGGCGGAGCCGACGGGATGCGCGCCAGGCCCCGCCCCTCCTCCGGGCCCGCCCCCGGCCTGGCCATTGGCCGCAGAGCTCGGGGGCGTGGTCGAGCTGGGGCTGGGGGCGCCCGCGGTGCCCGCCCGCGAGTCTCGCTGCCTCCCTCCCGGGGCTGCGGGCCCGGCGGCCGGGCTGGCTGGGCCGCGCTTGGGTTCCCGCGCCGGCTCCCGCACCCGCAATGGGGAACTCACACCACAAGAGGAAGGCCCCCAGCGGTCCCCGGGTCCGCAGCTTCTGGCGGTTCGGGCGGTCGGCGAAGCGGCCGGCAGGTAGGGGCCGGGGTGGGGGCGGGGCAGGCAGGGAGGAGGGTCCCTACTGCGGTCGTCGCCACCGCTGCTGCCCCCTCCCGGGGCTTGGAGGGTGTGAGTGTGGGGGGGTCGGGAATCCCCGCGCAGACCCCACCCCTCACAGGCACACGGAGACACACGTACACGGTAATACCTACGGGCGGGCACACGTACATGTTCGCAGTTTACACAGTCACACGCACAACACCCACTCAAATGTACGGACACGCAGACACAGGATCACATACACCATCACACCCACACTCTCGTACCATCGCAGTAGGACGCACACAGCCTGAGACATAGGTACATGTATACCTATGCATGCGGTTTACACAGCCACACGAACTACACCCACGCGCAGATCCAGACACACAGGCACACAGTCGTTCACACACATCGGTCATGTGGGTACAGTTGCCCAGCGTCTTAGGCACACAGATGTACACACAGGTTCATAACTGCACAACCAACCGGACTCGCATTCAGGCTCACAGCAGACCCTAAGGCACTCGGACACACACGCTTATTTCCCAGATCTTAGCCCCCAACAGGCTGAAGGCTGAAAGTTTGTAGGAGGGAGGGGAGACAAAGGTGGAAGGGAGAAGCTGGAAACCCGGGGCTGGAGTCTGGGGACCGCCTCCATCTGGCGCGATCGGGAGTCGGACTGGTTTTCTTGGCTCCCTCCCTACCCCCACCCGCGCCACCGCGACTTCTCCCCGCCTCCCCCCCTCCCCCGTCCCCACGGTCCCCGAGGTCGCCGCCGCATCTCCCCCTTTCAATGCAGCCACCGAGCTGGAACGCAGCCCTTGCCGGCTGCTGCGGGATCCCTCCGCGGGTCACATTCCAGGCTCCAATGGGGAGGGGAGGGAAAGGGGAAGGCCTCCAATCCCAAGAGATGGGATTCCTGTTTCCCCCAACAAGTGCGGCAGTTCAGGGTATCCCCGAGGGGCGCTGAAGGAGGGGCTATCGAGAGTGCCTAGTTACTGGTGAATCCAGAGATGGGGGAAGGGCAGGGTGATGGTACCATTCCCTCCTCCCCAAGATAGAGGGTCTTCAACATAGGCAGGCACTTTAGCGATACCTGTTGGTCTGGGGGAGTGAGGAAATCCCAGAGGAGGTGGAGTGAAGGGGGCCCTGCTGTGGTGGGAGAATCTACGGGTGTATTCCCAGGATGGCCCACATTCCTAGAGATTCCGAACCGGAGCTTGATGATCTCATCGCTCCATGGAGGGGGTGGTGGAAAGAGCCTGGGCTGGGAAGTGGGGGACCTCTCCTCTCAATGAGGCTGTGGAATAGGCCCTGGTGACCTTGAGCAGATTCCTTTCACTTGTCTGGACCACTCTGGCTCCTACAGGGGTTCTGTCTGTGAAATCAGGGGCCCTAGGTGACTTCTTGGGACACTTACTGTTCTGGCTAGCCATTTCATGGATGACGAGACTGAGGTCCAGGAAAGAGGGACTTGTCCAAGGTCATTTGCCTGTGGTGGTTTGAGGTAGTAATATAATCAAAATGACAATAAGAAAAGGGTTAACTAAGTTCAGTTAGGCTCTTTGAGGATTTCTCAGAAGGTAGGTGTTGATGAGAATCTCCAGGACCTTCCAGCACTCTCCCTGCCCCAGCAGTCCTGAAAGCCCTGTCTGTGCCTACCTGTCTCTCCTAGAATCTGCACTAAGGGGGCAGGGCTGGGGCTCTTCATCTGTCCTCTGATGGTCGCTCGGATCTGATGGTTTCCTAGGAACTAACTGTGGGCCCAGACTTGTGACCATTTGTGATGGAGGAGAGAGAAGATAAGAAGGCTGTGTTTATAGTCTCTTGCCTACTGGCCCTTGAGGAAGTGGCCTGGGGCTTCCAGCAACACTTGTGAGCTTCCAGTTCCTGCTGCAACTTATGGGTCAACTCAAGCTTTAAGGCGTTCTGAAAAAAATTAGAAAGCAATGTCAAGACAACACAGAAATTAAGTGTGAGGGGCTAGGAAATATTCTAGGCAATATATCAAAAGCCTTCTGGGTTGGGGTCAGCTTTAGAAAACTGAGGAGATGGTCCTAATTTGTCTTTGAAGTAATCACAGGATTGAAATTAGTCCTAAATTGTTGGTTAAATGAGAGAACCAGGGATTTGTTTCAGCTGTGGGGTATGGCCGTGAGTAAAGGCATGGAGTTGAGGTCAGGCGAGGTGGTTTATGCCTGTAATCCCAGCATTTTGGGAGGCCGAGATGGGAGGATAACTTGAGCCCAGGAGTTTGAGAGTAGCTTGGGGCAACATGACGAGACCCCCCCCCCCCGCCCATTTCTACAAGAAATAAAACAGTATCTGGGCGTGGTGGCACATGTGCCTTTGGTCCCAGTAGCTTGAGAGGCTGAGGTGAGGGGATTACGTGAGCCTGGGAGGTCAAGGCTGCAGTGAGCCGATCGTGCCAGTGCACTCCAGTCTGGGTGACAGAGTGAGACCCTGTCTCCAAAAAAAAAAAAAAAAAAAAAAAAGAATGGGCTGGATGCAGTAGCTCACACCTGTAATCCCAGCACTTTAGGAGGTTGAGGTGGGTGGATCACCTGAGGTCAGGAGTTTGAGACCAGCCCAGCCAACATGGTGAAACCCCGTCTCTACTAAAAATACAAAAACTAGCCAGGCGTGGTGGTGGGCACCTGTAATCCCAGCTACTTTTGAGGCTGAGGCAGGAGAATCACTTGAACCCAGGAGGTGGAGGTTGCAGCGAGCCGAGATTGCGCCACTGCACTCCAGCCTGGGTGACAAGAACTCGACTCCATTTCAAAAACAAAAAACAAATGGAGTTGAGACTGAGCATGGAGGTGGGAGGGAAAAGTAGCTGAGGGTCCTCTTGAGGTTCCATTGTGAATGTAAACCTCGGTACCTTTGGTTTTACTTGTGCTGAGGATCCTAAGTCATCCTCGGCCTCAGCCTCTGCTGTGACAAGCCCAGATGGGGACTGGAGCTTGAGTATAAGTACTCAAGTGCCAGTATAAGTACTCATTTCATTAGTCTGTGAGAAGAGGAAGGAGAGAATACAAGGCAGGGAGAGAGGTCTGGAGTCTGCAGGCCACAGGGAGCCAGTGAAGGTGTTTGAGCAAGGGAGGAGTCTACAAAAGTGGGGTGTTAGGAAGATGGCTCTAGGGTGGGGGCAGGTGCAGGCAGGACAGGTTGAGGGGTGGGGTGGTGAGAGTGGAGGCTCAGAGACTGTTGCAGTAATCCAGGGGAGAGGTGATGAGGTGAGGGCTGGGGACAGGGTGGGGGTTGTGGGAGTGGAGAGGAGTGGCAGCTGCAGAGACACTTCGGAGGAAGTGGCTGAATTGATAAGACCTGGGATTAACCAGATGTTGAGAGTAAGGGCCAGAGGGAGCTGTGTGGGCTTCTGTGCTTGAGGCTGCTTGGCTGGGAGATGGTAGCAGAGATAAAAATAAGTCCCTATGCTGTCCCTTTACATCAGTTAATTCATTTGTCCTTTGTCCTCCAACAGTCCCACAAGCCACAGGCTATTCTCCCATTTTAGAGATGAGGAAGCTGAGTTCGGAGAAGTGAAGTCACTTTCTCAAGGCCACACAGCAAGGAGATGGCTGAATCTGGATTAAAACTCAAGCCTGTCACATTACAAAGCCTGTGCCCTTAATCAGTTTAGGAATAGAAGGGTGTCATCTTATGACACCCTGCACGTCCTCTGGGCAGAGAAAGCCTGCGGCCCCGGCCCCGGGGGATTTGGACTATGTAAAGAGGACTAGTGGAGGAAGCACTGTGGGGAGGGTTAGGGGTTGAGGACTAAGCATTAAAGCCTCCAAGCGCTTAGAGAGGAAGCAAGTGGGAAGGGGAAATCAAGACTCAAGGAAGCGTTGATCCCGCAGATCAAATGCCCTTGTAAGGTAGAGAAGGGTGAAGGTGTATGAGGTGAGGCCTCCTGACTGCTGGAAAGATACTGTAACCTGCCGGGATTGTTTGGTCTTGGCACTCAGGGATCCACCCAACTCTCCCCTTCCCAGGCTAGCTGAGCACTCGGTCCTGGGTAGGTTGGGGAATGGTGGTGGATGTGAATTGGTAACCCAGGAAGACCCGCCCTCTTCCTTTTCCCATGCGTTGCACTGTCAAGCTCACACACATGGCCCTCCTTCTGGTTGGATTTATTGTTCCCATTGTGCACATGGGGAGACTGAGGGAAGGGACTGCTGGAGTCAGACCATCTGGAATTCTTTTCATCCTTCCCCCTGCCTGTAGACCTGGAGGTTTAACTTCTTGGAGTCTGGGGTCTTTGGTAGGTTCCACAGCTGGACAAGGCTCCCTCCTCCATTCCCCCCATGTCTCGTCCCCTTTCTTGTGGGGAGACTTGTGATCAACTGCTTGGGTGACTTGCTTGTGGGAGCCCCGGGCTTCCAGATAAGAGGCTGGTCCAGCTCTCTCTGATCCCAGGGATCTGAGATAAGCGGAATCTCCTTGCTGCCCCAGGCCCCGACTCAAGGAAGGGAAGCACTGACCCCCCTTCCTTCTAGGGGCAAAGTCATCCATGGTGAGGGCTCTTTGAAGATCATCTCTCCAACCCCTGCCACATCTCAGATGAAGAAACTGAGGCCCAGAAAAGCACAGTACCTGGCTCAGGATCATGTTGCAATTAAGGGGAAATGAAAGCTCCAACCTAGGAATCCTCACTCCAGGGCAGTGAGATCTGGTCTGGGCCTGGAATTCCCTTCCTTCCCAAACTGAGGGGTTAGGGCTGCCACATGGAGGGGTGTCACTAAGGAGAGATAGGGAGCTGATGTCAAGTGTTCCTTATCAGACCTTATCTTAATGGTCCTTAACCTTACTTGAGATTTGAAGAGAGCTGGAGTGGTGGGGAGAGGAGGCTGCTGGTGGCATAGGAAGAACATGATTTTGCAGCCAGTCAGAGTTGGGCTCACATCCTGCCTCTGCCATTTCTAGCAGTGTGACCTTGGGCAAGTCTCTGACCCTTGGGGTCAGGGTTTACACTAGATTGTGTGGCTTTCTTTAAGGTTCCCAGGCACTCTGTGATGTGGGTGTTAGTCCCACCTTACAGATGAGGGGACTGAGGCCCAGAGAGGCCAATTCCTTCATCCAAGGCCTGGAATCCAGACCTCCTGATTCCCAGCTCTTTCTTCTCCTTACTCTGTGGTGTCTGCCTCTGGCATCCATAAGATGGGGATAATCATGCCTTGAAGGAACTAAGGAAAGGGCTGTGGAAAGTTAGAATTGCGCCTTGGCTGAAAGGGATTATTATGTCATTGCTGGGAGCAAATACTGGCCCAGAAACTCATTAGGACATTTATTAATATTATCGTAGCTAATTCCTCCGTGCACTACTGCCTGTTCCCCCAGGGCACCCTGTGGGATGGGCTCCTCCCCTCCCTGCTCTGGGCACTCCCTGCCCCCCATTATTTACCTTAGAACCGGCCTGTCAGCTCTGTCCCTGCTGGGGTGGGGCTGGACACCAAGGGAAGGAAGGAGAGGGATTCCGGCACAGGTGGGGTGCAGAGCCCCTACTTTCTTTGGGCAGAGATTGAGGTCGTGCCCCTCCCCCAACTGCCCTTACCCATTAACTTTCTCAGACTTAGGATCACTAAGGTTGTTGGAGTGAGACCCAGGTTCAACCACTCCCTGGTTGGGTGACCTTGAGCAAGTTAGTCACTTTCCCTTGAGCCTCCTGGTGCTCATTTGTAAAAAGGAAACCACTCCTGCCTTTTAACTTTCTTGTTAGGTGTTCTGCGAGACAGTAGAAGAGAAAGTGTTTTGAGAACCGTAAAGTGCCTCCACCTGAAAGTTTGTTATGCTCATTTTCCTTTGTCTTGCCTCTTTGGGAATAAAATCTACATTCTGGTTTCTGCTTCTGCTTCTAGAATGTGTAATGGTTGGGGAGCGGGGGCCTTCGTTTGTCCACCTGTGCAGTGAGGGGTTGAGGCTAAGGGCCTCTGAACACCCAGCATTCTGGCTCATGGGCTGGCCAGGGACAGTTCAGACAGGAGTAGGGAGTTGGGGGCTGGGTTGGCTTCAGAGGGTTCGGCCTCCTGAGCAAGGCCACCTGGACAGCTGTGCCCTCCCCCTTCATTCCTCTCCCCTGAGTCAGGCCTGCCTGGCTGTGGGCGCGCCACCACCCCCGCCCCTTGCTCTGGAATGGGGCAGGTTGAGGCCTCACCCCATGGAGGATGTTGCCAAGACAGTGCGTGCGCATGCGCGTGGCCTTGGGAGGCAGTGGCTCCCTCCCCGATTCTTCCCTTTCCCCAGGCTTAGGAAAGCCCCTGAGTAGGGGCTACACACACCTGTTTTTCTGTACACACAGCCCCTTGGCAGGCCCTGTGTGGGTCTGTGCGGTCGCTCATGGGTGAGGAAGGCAGGGACTAGGGTGGCTTAGGTGTGCTTTATGGGTGTGTGTGTGTGTTTTTTTTTTTTTTTTGTTTGAGACCGAGTGTCACTCTGTCACCCAGGCTGGAGTGCAATGGCGTGGTCTTGGCTCACTGCAACCTTCGCCTCCTGGGTTCAAGCGATTCTCCTGCCTCAGCCTCCTGAGTAGCCGGGATTACAGGAGCTCGACACCATGCCCAGCTAATTTTTGTATTTTTAGTAGAGACGGGCTTTCACGGCGTTGGCCAGGCTGGTCTTGAACTCCTGACCTCGCGATCCACCCGCCTTGGCCTCCCAAAGTGCTGGGATTACCGGTGTGAGCCACCGCACCCGGCCATGTGGGTGTGGTTTTGAGAGTGCCCACCTGCGGAGGTGGCCCCAGTGGGACGCTGCCTGCTGCCTGAGTCTCTGCCCTGGTAAACTGTCTCTGAGTTGAGGAGCCCGCAGGTGTGCTTCCCGGTGTGCCCTCCGTGCTGGGGGCGTGGCCACCAGGAGCAAGGTGTCTTCTCAGATCCAGGAAGCCTCCTCCCCCAGGCATGTTGGGGATGGGGGTGTGGTATGGGATGCTTCCCTCATGGCCTCAGCCCTAGGCTGCACCTCTGGACTGCCAGGGGCAGAAATCCCTGGAACAAGGACTCTAAGCGTGGCTGTGGGCAAGGTCTTTCCACTCTCTGGACCTCAGTTTCTTTGTGAAGTACCCCTCCCAGTCACCTGAGACTCAGGTTGCTGAGCCCCTCCCCAAGCGAGCCACAGGTGTATAGATCTGGGGTGACTCGGAGAGGCTGCGAGCTCTGACTTGGGTGGGGAGGGGGAGGGGTGTCGCTGGGGCAACCAGATGTTATCAAGTGTAAGCCCTTGGATCTCTGGGAATTTGCAGCTGTGGCCCTGACTGCCAGCTGTGGGCCTGGGACCTTGATGAGCTGATGTTCCTCCACCCCCATCTTGGCAGGAGCTCAGCCCTTAGTTTCCCTGGTTAGAGGGTAGCTGAAGATGACTGTCCTGTGTGGTGAAAGGCTCCAGTTTTAGAGCCAGCCAGAGTTCAGGAAGTCACTTAGCTCTCTGAGCCTCGCAGGCCCATGATCAATTACTAGGAAAGTACCTTCCAGTACCTGCCTCGAAGAACTTTTGTAAGAGCCATGAGGACAGAGACTACGTTTTGCCTTTCACCACGACCTGGCATGGTGCCTGGCATGAATTAATCACCCTGCAAATGTCGGTCTACTGGTCTTTTCTGTTTGTGTGAGACTGATAAGAAGAGTGGGTGGGTGGGTGGATCTGGCCTAAGAGGGGAAGAGTGGGGAAGGTAGGTGGTCGAGAAACCTCCAATTTGTAGGGATGATGGGGTCCCATGACCCTTTTTCAGAGGGGAGATCAGGTTTGTAGCTGGCACAGTGCACAGAACGTGGCTTTTGGATTCAAGTTGTTCTGAGTGAGAATACTGCTTTGCCATTTACACCATGGAGGCCAGAGAGGGCAGCTTTATAATGCTTGCTCCCTCTGGTTTCCATTTCCTCATCTATAAAATGGGAATAAAAGTGCCTACTTCTTAGGATTATTGTTTAGATCTCATTGATTTGTTGATGTGACTATTCAGCTCCACAAATGTTTGTTCTCTGGAGAGCAAGATCTCAGCTTGTACTTGAGTAGTCTCCAAGAGGCCAGTGTTAGGGTGGCAGCAACTGGGGAAGGAACTGCAGGGGGGTCGTGTTGCTTGGGAGCCTCTGTGAATTTTTAGTTCCCTAGGGACTCAGAGAGAAAGATGCTATGACAGAGAGGTGTCCTTAGGCACGGCTGGTGGGATACTGCACAGATACATATATATAGTTCACAGACTCTCTTTCACAGTCTCTGCTATGTTTTTTAGAGTTATCAGGGGAATCTTTTTTTTTTTTAAGCTTTATTTTTATATATTTACTTTTTTTTTTTTAGAGACAGGGACTTACTGTGTTGCCCAGGCTGTAGTGCAGTGGTACAATTATAGCTCACTGTAACCTCGAACTCCTGGGCTCAAGCCCAGCCTCCCAGGAAATCTTTTATTTATTTTTTTTTTTGAGACGGAATTTTTTTGCTCTCTTGCCCAGGCTGGAATGCAATGGCTGCGATCTCGGCTCACTGCAATCTCTGCCTCCCGGATTCAAGCGATTTTCCTGCCTCAGCCTCCCAAGTAGCTGGGATTACAGGCGCCCGCCACCGCGCCTTGCTAATTTTTGTATTTTTAGTAGAGACGGGCTTTCACCATATTGACCAGGCTGGTCTCAAACTCCTGACCTCGTGATCCACCCACCTTGGCCTCCCAAAGTGCTGGGATTACAGGCATGGGCCACCACGCCCGGCCCGGTCTTGAACTCTTGACCTCAGGTGATCTGCCCACCTCAGCCTCCCAAAGTGCTAGGATTACAGGTGTGAGCCACAGTGCTAGCCTGGAATTTTTTTTTTTTTTTTTTTTGAGACGGAGTCTCTCTCTGTCACCCAGGCTGGAGTGCAATGGTGCAATCTCAGCTCACTGCAACTTCTGCCTCCTGGGTTTGAGCAATTCTCTCACCTCTGCCTCCTGAGTAGCTGGGACTACAGGTACACACCACCACCATGCCCGGCTCATTTTTGTGTTTTTAGTAGAGACAAGGTTTCACCATGTTGGTCAGGCTGGTCTTGAACTCCTGACCTCAAGTGATCCACCTGCCTCAGCCTCCCAAAGTGCTGGGGTTACAGGCGTGAGCCACCGTGCACGGCCAGAATATTTTTTAACAGTGTCACTACCCAGCTGAAACCCTCAAGGCTTATGGGGCCCAGCCTGACCTGTCGCCTGCTCTCCTCTGATTCCGTCTCCTACCATTCTTTCCATTGCTCAATCCTCCAGCCATACTGGCCTCCTCTCTCTTCCTTGAAATCCACCACTCCTGCCTCAAGGCCTTTCCACTTGCTGTAGCCTGTCTAGAAGACTCTTCCCCAGGTACCTGCCCTGACTGGCTCCTCAGTATTCAAGTGTCAGTTCCAATGTCCTTTTCTGTTTATTTTATTGTATTTTATTTATTTATTTTTGAGACAGAGTCTCACTCTTGCCCAGACTGGAGTGCAGTAGCGGGATCTCAGCTTACTGCAACCTCTGCCTCCCGGGTTCAAGCGATTCTCCTGCCTCAGCCTCCCGAGTAGCTGGAATTACAGGTGTGTACCACCACGCCCGGCTAATTTTTTTGTACTTTTAGTAGAGACAGGGTTTCACCATGTTGGCCAGGCTGGTCTCAAACTCCTGACCTCAGGTGATCTGCCTGCCTTGGCCTCCCAAAGTGCTGGGATTACAGGTGTGAGCCACCGCGCCTGGCTGATTTTATTTTTTAAAGATGCCTGTCACTCAGGCGGGAGTGCAGTGGCTCAAACATGGCTCACGGCAGCCCCAACCTCCCAGGCTCAAGCAATCCTCCTGTCTTAGCCTCCCAATATCTGGGACCCCAGCTGTGAGTCACCACGCCTGGGTAATTTTCAAAGTTTTTTGTAGAGATAGGATCTTGCCTTGTTGCCCAGGCTGATCTTGAATTCCTGACCACAAGCCATCTTCCTGCCTCGGCCTCCCATAGTGCTGGGATTACAGGTGTGAACCACCATGCCCAGCCTATTCTTTTCTTAGAGGGGCTTTTCTTGACAACCTAACTAAACCACTCTCCCCGCCCCCCGGCCCCACCAAAGCTTCCTGTTACAGCTCTGGAGTCTTCACTACCCAAAATTACATTGTTAGTTTACCTCATCCATGTATTCATCAAATATTTTTTGAACTCAACTCATAACATGTTCCAGGCACTGATTTAGCCTCTGGGGATAAACTGGTGAACAAGATAAAGTTCTTCTCCATTAACTATAGTCCCTAGTACTAGGTTAACACATGTTTGCTGATCAAGTGAATGGATACAACCATCTTGTTTTTTTCTTTTTTTTTTTTTTGAAATGGAGTCTTGCTCTGTCATCCAGGCTGGAGTGCAGTGGTGGGATCTTGGCTCACTGCAGTCTTCGGCTCCCAGGTTCAAGAGATTCTCCTGCCTCGGCCTCCCGAGTAGCTGAGATTACAGGCATGCACCACCACACCAAGCTAATTTTTAATTTTAATTTTAGTAGAGACAGGGTTTCACCATGTTGGGCCAGGCTGATCTCGAATTCCTGACCTCAAGTGATCTGCCCACCTTGGCCTCCCAAAATGCTGGGATTACAGGCGTGAGCCACAGCAATCTTAAAAAGAGGAGTTATTAGCCTTATTTTCATATGAGATCGTGACTTGTGTGATGGAGCTGGATTTGAACCTCGACCTGACTTCTTTTCCAGTACTTCTCCACCTCACCTCCTTTTTTACTGCCTTCACCCATGGACTGTTTCTTGGCTAATTCTGTTCTCCCTGCCTGGTGATCCAGGACAGAATCACTGACAGCGTGGGGCCAATGTGAAGAATTCCAGGCTAGGGGAGAAGGAGGTCTGCTTTGAAGTCTAGCCTCTGCAAGATTAAGTGTGATCTTGGAGAGTTTACTGTGTTTCTCTGGGCTTCTGATGTCACATTGCCAAAGTAGGAAGAAAGTCCTTTGGAAAGTGTGGGGCTGAACCTATGTATGAGGGGCTGTACTGCCAGCCACTGTGGTTCTGCTCTGGGCATCTCCCTGGCTTCCCAGGACTGTGTCCTGGGACTGGCCCCTGCCCCTCTGGGGGCCTCTGCCCACAGCCTTGCCATCCCACTAGCAGCTCTGGGCTCCTGCCTGGCTGCTGCAGGCTCCGAGCTCTTTCCCCAGGGAATTACGCTAGGCAGCCAGGAGGCTTGCAGGTGGGCACCCTGCCAAGTCTAGTCTGGTAGCCCCTCCACCTACCATCTGGCAGCTGGGACCCCTGCCTTAACTCTGGACTTGCAGGCAGGGTGAGTGATCTGCTGCTGGATTGAGTATCTTCGGTCCTCCTAATCATACTCTACTGGAGCAGAGCACCCACGGACTCCTGGCCTCAGTTGCCTTTCTGTGCCCCTGCACCCCATTTAAGGGGTGGGGTCGGCAGATGGGCGGGATCAGTGGCGAAGGTGGGAGGAGGACATGGAGAGCAGCCCCTCCCCCTCCTCTGTCTGGAGCCGGTGCTCTGCGGCGGGGCGGGAGGGCTCGCATCCCCATAGTGCTGGGTTACAGTGAAGGTACGCCCCGCGCTCTGCTCTGGAGAGGCAGGGTGGGATAGGGAACGTCTCGAGTGGCGCCCGCAGTCATGGTGGTGTTCGTTGGCCGCCGCCTCCCGGCGCTCCTAGGGCTGTTTAAGAAGAAGGGTGAGTGGGTGTGGCTTGGGGGGAGGGGAGGGATGCTCGATGCCTCCCTTTCCCAGACCCTTATGTAGAATGAGGAATCAAGGCTGGGCAAAAGTAATGGGGTGGGGCTGGGGGCTGATAATGAGGCCAGAATCTCCCATCCGGCTGTGCTTTTGTCCAGCCGCTTTGTTGCTGCCTTTGTCTGGGCCCTGCTTGTGGGTTGGGAGGATGGATCCAGGTGTCTCTGACCTTGAAGCCTGCAGCCCTCCCGTGAGACTTGCCTCCCTGCCGGGGTACCCACACTTTACTGGGTACAGCCTCCCAGTCAAGATGTACTAGCCTTTCCTAGTGTGCCGGGGAGGATGGGACGTGGGCGGCCCAGAAGAGAGGAGAGTAGTACCACTGGAAGTTGGGAAGCCTGCTCAGTGAAATCCTGTTTAGAGGCCTGGGAATGGAGAAGTTTTGGAGGGAGGGGCCTGTTCCTCCTTCCTTCTCCTAGGAATTGGGCTTTCAGACCTGGATTAAGACATAGGGACAAGAGTTTATTGGACTTTTGAGGGTTGGGGGCCCCTACTCTGAGTGTGATCCGGGAGTCCCCTCTGGGAACCTGGAGTTGAGTCCAGGGTCAGTCTGACTCCTACTGCTGGGTGACCTTAGGCAAGGCCTTGCCCCTTTGAACCGTTTCCCCACTTGTAAAATCTGGGGATCTCGGGCACTGGTCTGGTTGGATCTGTTGGGGGCCTCCTAGCTCTGACCTGTGGGATTCCTGCAGACTCCCTAGGGCAGGAGCTCTGGCTGTTGACGAATGGGCTGAGGGAGGAGGAAAGGCAGGTTTCTGAACTGAAGACCCTGCTCCTGGAGCATGGCCCTTTAAAGGGCTTGTTTTGTTCCCGTCCCTTTATAAGGTGTTACCAAGGTCACATGACCCTTCCAGCGCTTTTGCTTATGTTGTGGGTTTCATTTAAAGGGGGGGCTGGGGCTGCAAAGTGCTGACACAGCCCCCCATCCCCAGGATTAGATGGCCAGCCCCTCCACAGGCGGGGCTTGTAACAGGATCCTTTGTAATGGATCCCTGGCTCCTCTGCAACAGGGGCCAGGGCCAGGGCCAGGGCCTCCAGGAGAGGGGGATACCTGGGACTATTTCCCCAAGAGAGACTGGAGCTCCCTTGGGCGGGTGGAGGGGCCTGGGTCTTTCTTCTCCCCTCCCCTGCCCATCCTTCCACTAAGGGGCAGCCACATGGGTGAGTAGGGGACCCAGGAGGCTATCTCCTTGGTCTGCATCCCCCCTAGGATTTTCTGGGAATATGGTTGTAACTCATGCCAGCTGTCTCTCCTTCCTGATTTCCCGTGATATCTTCTTCCTGGACCTGGTTCAAGTGGTGGCATGAAAAGAGTGGTTTGTTTTCCTGTGAAGTGGGGTTTTGGGTATGGAGGCGAGAGCAATGTATTTACTATGGGCTATGTGTATACTCGGGATGTTTTTTGTGGGGCTCTGAGTGACGTGTGAGTACATAGTCGTGTGTATACTTGGTTACTGTTTGTGTATATACAGAGCAGGGACTGTGGGTGTTGTGTGTTTACGTGCGGGCTGGGTGTGCTTGGTGTGTGTACCTATGTGTGTTTATACTCGGATGCCCTTTGTTTATATACATGAATGACATCTGTGAGTGCTGTGTACGTACACAGTAGACCTGTGTACCTGTGTGCCCTGTGTGTGGGGCCTTATATGGGGCCCTTTGTGTGGTGTGGGTACTCAGATTTATGTACACTTGGGTGTAGTTTGTGTATATGGGGGCTGTGTGTGTTGAGTGTTTACTCCAGAACTGTGGGTTATGTGTCCAGACTGGGGAAGGGGGCATTGCTTGTATATGCAATGGCCGTGTGCAGTCTGGGGACCATGACTGCCCTTGCCGTGAGACCTGTGCCCCTGCAGGGCCCAGATGCCTTTACCTCATTTCCCTTCCTCCTCCCTCCTACTAGGCTCTGCCAAGGCTGAGAATGACAAACATCTAAGTGTAGGGCCTGGCCAGGGGCCAGGGTCTGCAGTGGATGAGCACCAGGACAACGTCTTCTTTCCCAGTGGGCGACCCCCCCACCTGGAAGAGCTGCACACTCAGGCCCAGGAGGGGCTCCGCTCCCTACAACACCAAGGTAAGCTTCCTCTCCACTCCCCTCCCCTCTCCTCCCTCCAGTGCTGCACTGTCAGCTGTCAAGGTCAGGGGCCTAACCCAACAGACCCTTCTGGTGTCTTCCAGAGAAACAGAAACTGAACAAGGGTGGCTGGGACCATGGAGACACCCAGAGTATCCAGGTGAGCCCTGCCTCCAGCTCAGTCCTGACTCTTCTCTACCTGCTTGACCCCTGGCAAGGATGTCTTGGAACATTTCTGGGTCTCAGTTTCTTTATCACAAAGGGCTACACTAAATGAACCCTGAGGGCTAGTTCAGGGTTGCTCAGTGCTAGGTGATGCTGGAGGGGATCTGTGACTCAAAAGTTCGAGTGGGAGGCTGGGCGAGGTGGCTTACACCTGTAACCCCAGCACTTTGGGACGCTGAGGTGGGCGGATCACTTGAGGTCAGGATTTTGAGACCAGCCTGGCCAAAGTGGTGAAACCCTGTCTCTACTAGAAATACAAAAATTAGCCAGGCATGGTGGGAGGGTACCTATAATCCCAGCTGCTTGAGAGGCTGAGGCAGGATAATCGCTTGAACTTGGGAGGCGGAGGTTGTGGTGAGCCAAGATTTCGCTACTGCACTCCAGCCTGAGCTGGATTTGTCTCAAAAAAAAGTTCCAATGGGGAGCCTTGAGGAGACAGCCCCACCCAGATCTCCTTCTACCCTGATAGTCCTCCCGGACGGGGCCGGATGAAGACAACATCTCCTTCTGCAGTCAGACCACATCCTACGTGGCTGAGAGCTCCACAGCAGAGGACGCGCTCTCCATCCGCTCGGAGATGATCCAGCGCAAAGGTGGATTCATGGGCAGGGGAGAGGGACAGTGGGCTCCATTGGGTCCCAGCATCTGTAGCTTCTTTTCCTCCTTATCCAGTGTTTCACCAGGCTCTCTGATTCAATGAATTCGGGAAACACAGTACCCTGTGTCCTCTTGCACATTCGTGATACACACTAACTATAAAGCAGTTAAGAGTTAGAAAATCTTGGCGGCCGGGTGCGGTGGCTCACGCCTGTAATCCCAGCACTTTGGGAGGTCGAGGTGGGCGGGTCACGAGGTCAGGAGATCGAGACCATCCTGGCTAACACGGTGAATGAAACCCCGTCTCTACTAAAAATACAAAAAATTAGCCTTGCCTGATGGCGGGTGCCTGTAGTCCCAGCTACTTGGGAGGCTGAGGCAGGAGAATGGCGTGAACCCAGGAGGTGGAGCTTGCAGTGAGCCGAGATTGCACCACTGCACTCCAGCCTGGTCGACAGTGTGAGACTCCATCTCAAAAAAAAAATAAAAAAAGAGTTAGAAAATCTTAACTGTTGGAAGCCTGGTGTAACTAACTAGTGCCAGCTGTGTGACCTTGGGAAAACCCTTAACCTCTCTGAACTTCTGTTTGATGTTCTATAAAAATGAGGATAAGTACCCTATTGGAATGAATGCCAAATGTTTAGAATGACGACTAACACGTAATAATATGTTTACTAAATAGTAAGCTATCACTAAAGGGAAATTACCATCATTGACTTAGTAGCCTTAGTCTTACAGAAAGAAGCCTCTAGCTTTGTTTAACCTAGCCTTGCCCATACCTACTTGACTGTGGAAACCATTTCTCGCAGAGCTCTTATTACAAAAGTAGTGCCCTGCAGAATGTGCCTGGAGTCCTTTGCTCTAACAGTTTTTCTCCCACGACTGGCCCCCAGGCTCCACCTTCCGACCCCATGACTCATTTCCCAAATCTGGAAAGTCAGGGCGGCGTCGGCGGGAGCGGCGGAGCACTGTGCTGGGACTCCCGCAGCATGTGCAGAAGGAGCTTGGTGAGGCCTGGGTTAGGAGGGCAGTGGTGGGGTGGGTGGGGAGCCTTGGTCATCCCCTCTCTGCTGACCCCACCTCCTCCCTGTCCCTTCCAGGCCTGAGGAATGAGCGTGAGGCACCAGGCACGCCCCGGGCTCCTGGTGCACGGGATGCCGTACGCATCCCCACAGTGGACGGCCGCCCCCGAGGCACCTCAGGGATGGGGGCCCGGGTGTCCCTGCAGGCGCTGGAGGCGGAGGCGGAGGCTGGCGCTGAGACAGAGGCCATGCTGCAGCGCCACATTGACCGTGTCTACCGGGATGACACCTTTGTTGGCCGGTCCACGGGTACCCGGGCCCCACCATTGACCCGGCCCATGTCCCTAGCAGTGCCTGGATTGACAGGAGGGGCAGGGCCTGCAGAGCCCCTGAGCCCGGCCATGTCCATCTCCCCCCAGGCCACCTACCTGTCGAAGTTGATTCCACATGCTGTGCTGCCGCCTACAGTGGACGTGGTGGCCCTAGGCCGCTGCAGCCTGCGCACACTAAGCCGCTGCAGCCTGCACTCGGCCAGCCCAGCCTCAGTCCGCTCGCTGGGGCGCTTCTCCTCCGTCTCCAGCCCACAGCCCCGCAGCCGCCACCCATCCTCCTCCAGTGACACCTGGAGCCACTCTCAATCCTCCGACACCATTGTGTCTGACGGTTCCACCCTCTCCTCTAAGGGTGGCTCTGAGGGCCAGCCGGAGAGCTCTACGGCTAGCAATAGCGTGGTACCCCCTCCCCAGGGAGGCAGTGGGAGGGGCTCTCCCAGTGGGGGCAGCACTGCTGAGGCCTCAGACACACTCAGCATTCGGAGCAGTGGGCAGTTGTCTGGCCGGAGTGTGTCCCTGCGTAAGCTGAAGCGGCCTCCACCCCCTCCCCGCCGGACCCACTCCCTCCATCAGCGGGGCTTAGCAGTGCCTGATGGGCCATTAGGGTTGCCCCCTAAGCCTGAGCGTAAGCAGCAGCCCCAGCTGCCTCGGCCACCCACCACTGGTGGCTCAGAAGGGGCGGGGGCAGCACCCTGTCCACCCAACCCAGCCAACAGCTGGGTACCTGGCTTGTCTCCGGGTGGTTCCCGGCGCCCCCCACGGTCCCCAGAACGGACACTTTCGCCCTCCAGTGGATACTCGAGCCAAAGTGGTACTCCCACCCTCCCTCCCAAGGGCCTGGCAGGTCCCCCTGCTTCCCCAGGCAAGGCCCAGCCCCCTAAACCAGAGCGTGTCACGTCTCTTCGCTCCCCTGGGGCCTCCGTCTCCTCTTCCCTCACGTCTTTATGTTCCTCCTCCTCTGACCCAGCCCCCTCAGACCGCTCTGGGCCACAGATATTGACCCCCCTGGGTGACAGGTTTGTCATACCTCCTCACCCCAAGGTGCCTGCCCCCTTCTCCCCACCTCCCTCCAAGCCCAGGAGCCCTAACCCAGCTGCCCCTGCTCTAGCCGCCCCTGCTGTGGTTCCTGGGCCTGTTTCTACCACTGACGCCAGTCCTCAGTCCCCTCCCACTCCCCAGACAACCTTGACTCCACTGCAGGAGTCTCCTGTCATCTCCAAAGACCAGTCACCCCCACCTTCCCCACCCCCATCTTATCATCCACCCCCACCACCCACTAAGAAGCCAGAGGTGGTTGTGGAGGCACCATCTGCCTCAGAGACTGCTGAGGAGCCCCTCCAAGATCCCAACTGGCCCCCTCCCCCACCCCCTGCCCCTGAGGAGCAGGACCTGTCCATGGCTGACTTCCCCCCACCAGAGGAGGCTTTTTTCTCTGTGGCCAGCCCTGAGCCTGCAGGCCCTTCAGGCTCCCCAGAGCTTGTCAGCTCCCCGGCTGCTTCGTCCTCCTCAGCTACTGCTTTGCAGATTCAGCCCCCGGGTAGCCCAGACCCTCCTCCAGCTCCGCCAGCCCCAGCTCCTGCTAGTTCCGCCCCAGGGCATGTGGCCAAGCTCCCTCAGAAGGAACCGGTGGGCTGTAGCAAGGGTGGTGGGCCTCCCAGGGAGGACGTAGGTGCGCCCCTGGTCACGCCCTCGCTCCTGCAGATGGTGCGGCTGCGCTCCGTGGGTGCTCCAGGAGGGGCTCCCACCCCAGCACTGGGGCCATCGGCCCCCCAGAAACCACTGCGAAGGGCCCTGTCAGGGCGGGCCAGCCCAGTGCCTGCCCCCTCCTCAGGGCTCCATGCTGCGGTCCGACTCAAGGCCTGCAGCCTGGCCGCCAGTGAAGGCCTCTCAAGTGCTCAGCCCAACGGACCGCCTGAGGCAGAGCCACGGCCTCCCCAGTCCCCTGCCTCAACGGCCAGTTTCATCTTCTCCAAGGGCTCTAGGAAGCTGCAGCTGGAGCGGCCCGTGTCCCCTGAGACCCAGGCTGACCTCCAGCGGAATCTGGTGGCAGAACTCCGGAGCATCTCAGAGCAGCGGCCACCCCAGGCCCCAAAGAAGTCACCTAAGGCTCCCCCACCTGTGGCCCGCAAGCCGTCTGTGGGAGTCCCCCCACCCGCCTCCCCCAGTTACCCTCGAGCTGAGCCCCTTACTGCTCCTCCCACCAATGGGCTCCCTCACACCCAGGACAGGACTAAGAGGGAGCTGGCGGAGAATGGAGGTGTCCTGCAGCTGGTGGGCCCAGAGGAGAAGATGGGCCTCCCGGGCTCAGGTACAGTGGGCAGTGCTAGGGTGAGGTCCCATTGCTGATGATGGGAAGTAGGAATCTGAAGTCCCGCCATGGGGGATTTGTTCTTGGATCTTTAACTTTTCTGGTCTGAGAATGCCTGGGAAGGGCAAGCTGTCACCCTTGCTGGGGCCCAGAGGAGAATGGTGTGTGAGTGTCAGGCCTACTGTGTTTGAATTCCAACTTTGCCTCTTTCCCTACCCTTCCTAGCTACATTGTAAAGTGTGGGGCAGTGACACCTACATTATAGTGTCTGAACATGTGTAGGGTGTCCAGCCCAGTGCTGCGGGCACTGTCAGTAAATCAAAGCGGTAAGAAGGTTGGGTGAGGGTATGCTTTGTTGGGCTCCTAGTGCCAGAACCAAGCCAGGAGGCCCCTTGCTAAGTGTCTCTTATTTTTCTCCCCCAGACTCACAGAAAGAGCTGGCCTGACCACCAGGCACCTCACTGGCACTGCTGACCCATCCCAGAAACACAATCTCAGGGACCCGAGCAGCTCCAAGGACGAGAGGATACAGCAGACACAACCTAATAGAGAGGGCGCCTGCAGCCTTAACCTCCACGGCCTTCGATACTTATGCAAGCCTGGTGTTGCTCCTGTCCTCAGAGTCATCCTGCGCTCATGCCTTTTCCCGAATGGGTTCACCTCTGGCAGTTGCCGCTTCAGTCTTGGCCTTAGCCTCATCTTGAAGTGGGTAGCTGGCGGGAGAGGGTGGCTGCGCCCCCTGCTGGCCCTGAGGCTGCAGAGTTGGGAGCAGGACACCTCACCTGAGTTTCATTTTTTTTCATGTCCAAACCATGCACATACTATAGTCCAGAATCAAAGCACTTTTGAAAAGTGGCTGCATGGCCATCCTCCAGGGCCCAGGAAGTTGCATTCCAAGGGCCTGTTTACATGGCAGCAGAATCCATCCCCGGCAGTCAGCCCATAGCTTGGGACCAGTCTGTGCCCTCCTGCCCAGTCCAGTTTACTCCTCTTGGTTCCTGAAGGTGGCCAAGTCATTGTGTTCCCACAGGCTTCTCTAGGCTGGGGGCAGGTGTGGGGCTGTGGAATTCCAAAGCACAAAAGGTGCAGAGGGGATTGGCCTTCCTGTGCCTCAACTCACCAACCACCCTCCTGCCTTCCAGTTCTGCCAGGTGCTCCATGCTGGGGACAAGTAGGAGACTGCCAGGGCCCAAAGAAATGGGTGAGCAGTAGAGTCATCTCGGGGCACTTGGCAGTGTCAAGCACCTGCCCCTTGCCTCCTTGACCACACTGGGGTGGGTGGGCCCCCAGCACTTCAGAGGCAGGAGCCTTTGGGCTGAGCAAGCACTGAGGAGGTGGATGGAAGGGAGCATCTGGAGGGGGGGAGCTTCCTTGAGCAGTGGGCCCAGGCCTGGCCCTCCACACTTCATTCTCTGACCTTTCTCTCTCCTCATTTCGGTGCATGTCCTTTCTGCAGCTGCCTTTCAGCACAGGTGGTTCCACTGGGGGCAGCTAACGCTGAGTGACAAGGATGGGAAGCCACAGGTGCATTTTACTCAAGTCTTCTCTAGTCAATGAGGGGCACCCAGTGCTTCTAGGGCAGGCTGGGTGGTGGTCCCCTAGGTATCAGCCTCTCTTACTGTACTCTCCGGGAATGTTAACCTTTCTATTTTCAGCCTGTGCCACCTGTCTAGGCAAGCTGGCTTCCCCATTGGCCCCTGTGGGTCCACAGCAGCGTGGCTGCCCCCCAGGGCCACCGCTTCTTTCTTGATCCTCTTTCCTTAACAGTGACTTGGGCTTGAGTCTGGCAAGGAACCTTGCTTTTAGCTTCACCACCAAGGAGAGAGGTTGACATGACCTCCCCGCCCCCTCACCAAGGCTGGGAACAGAGGGGATGTGGTGAGAGCCAGGTTCCTCTGGCCCTCTCCAGGGTGTTTTCCACTAGTCACTACTGTCTTCTCCTTGTAGCTAATCAATCAATATTCTTCCCTTGCCTGTGGGCAGTGGAGAGTGCTGCTGGGTGTACGCTGCACCTGCCCACTGAGTTGGGGAAAGAGGATAATCAGTGAGCACTGTTCTGCTCAGAGCTCCTGATCTACCCCACCCCCTAGGATCCAGGACTGGGTCAAAGCTGCATGAAACCAGGCCCTGGCAGCAACCTGGGAATGGCTGGAGGTGGGAGAGAACCTGACTTCTCTTTCCCTCTCCCTCCTCCAACATTACTGGAACTCTATCCTGTTAGGATCTTCTGAGCTTGTTTCCCTGCTGGGTGGGACAGAGGACAAAGGAGAAGGGAGGGTCTAGAAGAGGCAGCCCTTCTTTGTCCTCTGGGGTAAATGAGCTTGACCTAGAGTAAATGGAGAGACCAAAAGCCTCTGATTTTTAATTTCCATAAAATGTTAGAAGTATATATATACATATATATATTTCTTTAAATTTTTGAGTCTTTGATATGTCTAAAAATCCATTCCCTCTGCCCTGAAGCCTGAGTGAGACACATGAAGAAAACTGTGTTTCATTTAAAGATGTTAATTAAATGATTGAAACTTGGCTGTGGCTACTGCTTCTTAATGTGGGGGGGACAGGGCAGTGGTCTGGGCCCACATTTAGAAGGGAAAATGTTTTGCCTGCTGCACACATTGGACCCAAGTATGGGCCTCTTCTGCCTAGTACTGCCAAAGGGACTGTTAAGGTGTCTTGTCCATCTTCTACCCCCCACCCCCCATTACAGGGTAAAGGAACCCCAGACTAGGTGAGGGGCCAGCAGCTGCCTCACACTTGTGTTCTCTCCTGAGATGGTCCAGCTCACATCCAGACACCCTTGTTCAGACATTTTATTTGAATTTATGACAGTGATGGGGATTTGACTGAGATGCCTTATGGAGAAGTACCCCACCCTCTATGAAGACAGAATCACTCTCTGCCATTCATTCTGCCTGATGCTAACAACACGCAGCTGATTTAGGGAGTGTCCCAGCCTAGCTGGATCAAGGGAAATTCCAGGAGCCCTGGGGCAGGCCCTGGCCCCCAGTGCCAAGCCTCAGAGTAAGCAGACATTGGGAAAGTTGCCAACCACTTGGTAGACCACTAGGTTCTCTGTTTTCCCTTCCCTTTCCTTTTCAAATCCCACAGTTTCCTGTTGGGGAGAAGCTGTAATTAGCCTAGTCCAGGTACCAGATCCCAGCTAGGGGCGCAGCTGCTTGGATAACTCCAAGAAAACCTGGGCACCAGTATTTTTCCAATTATAAGGACTGTGGCATAAATTTTTAAATGAGTTATATTGAAACCAGATTTCTCCAGCTGCCAAGGGAAGAAGGTAGGGCTGGACTCCCTGCTGTGGCCCAGCCCTTGTTAGGGGTTGGTCTCTCACTGCAGCCAGACAGGATGATCCTGGGTTCTGGGGAGGGTAAGCTGCCCCTTGCCGAGTTCTGCACCGAATAAAGAGTCCAAACCCGCTGCTTCCGTGTCCTGAGAGATGGGTAAATGGGTGATGGATGGAGCAGACTGAAGAGACAGCAGATGACTCAGTGGTGGAAGAAGGGGGGAAGATGCTGGGCTGGCTAGCTAATGTTCCCCCCTTTCAGCGATTTACAGGAAATGGAGCCCAGCTTGGTCATGAAGTTGGTTTGCTTCCACTGTGCGATGCACTCCTCAGAAATTTTGAAGTCAGCCTGGACAAGACAGATAAGAGAGATTTTAATGATGGTGGTGGGACTGCAAGAAAACCCCCCCTTTTTTGGAGGGGGGGCAGAGTTTTGCTCTTGTTGCCCAGGCTGGAGTGCAATGGCGTGATCTTGGCTCACCGCAACCTCTGCCTCCCAGGTTCAAGCGATTCTCCTGCCTGAGCCTTCCGAGTAGCTGGGACTACAGGCATGCACCACCACGCCCGACTAATTTTGTACTTTTAGTAGACACGGGGTTTCTCCATGTTGGTCAGGCTGGTCTTGAACTCCTGACCTCAAGTGATCCGCCTGCCTCGGCCTCCCAAAGTGTTGGGATTACAGGCGTGAGCCACTGCGCCCAGCCTGAAAACTCTCTTATATACCAGTAGGGTAAGGTAAGCTGGCTCAGCTTTTCTAAGAAATGTTTGTCAAAAGCTTTCACATTCATCTTTTGACTCAAGTAAGTTCATTTTAGGGAGTTAGTTTAAGAAAATAAACCTAAGTGCAAAGGCTTATGCATGAAGACATCTGTCACATCTGTCACATCATTCTAACAGTGAAAAACCAAATAACCTCAATGTCTAATAAGAGTTTAGTTAGATTGCCGGGCGTGGTGGCTCACACCTATAATCCCAGCATTTCGGGAGGCCGAGGTGGGCGGATCACGAGGTCAGGAGATTGAGACCATCCTGGCTAATACAGTGAAACCCCGTCTCTACTAAAATTACAAAAAATTAGCCGGGTGTGGTGGTGGGGCGCCTGTAGTCCCAGCTACTCAGAAGGCTGAGGCAGGAGAATCACTTGAACCTGAGAGGAGGAGGTTGTGGCGGGCCGAGATCACGCCACCACACTCCAGCCTGGGTGACAGAGTGAGACTCCGTCTCCAAAAAAAAAGAGCTTAGTTAGATTTTGATAATTATGGTAGAATACTATACAGTGCAACCCCTCAATTTTTTTTTTTTTTGGGATGGAGTTTTGCTCTCATTGCCCAGGCTGGAGTGCAATAGCGTGATCTTGGCTCACTGCAACCTCCACCTCCCAGGTTCAAGCAATTCTCCTGCCTAAGCGTCTTAAGTAGCTGGGATTACAGGCATACGCCACTGTGCCTGGCTAATTTTGTATTTTTAGTAGAGACGGGGTTTCTCTATGTTGGTCAGGCTGGTCTCGAACTCCCGCCCTCAGGTGATCTGCCTGCCTTGGCCTCCCAAAGTGCTGAGATTACAGGCGTGAGAGAAATCATGGCCAGGAGGCTTGGAACAGTGGCTCATGCCTGTAATCCCAGCACTTTGGGAGGCCCAGGTGGGTGGAACATGAAGTTAGGAGCTTGAGACCAGCCTGGCCAACATGGTGAAACCCCATCTCTACTAAAAATACAAAAATCAGCTGGATGTGGTCGCAGGCACCTGTAATCCCAGCTACTCAGGAGGCTGAGGCAGGAGAATTGCTTGAACCTGGGAGGCGGAGGTTGCAGTGAGCTGAGATTGTGCCACTGCACTCCAGCTTGGGCGACAGAGCAAGACTCCATCTTGGAAAAATAAATAAATAAATAAAATAAAAATCATGGTCAGGTACAGTAGCTCATGCCTATAATTCCAGTGCTTTGCAAGGCTGAGGCGGGAGAATCACTTGAGTCCAGGAGGTTTACAGGCTTGAGGTTACAGGGAGCTATGATGGCACCACTGGAATCCAGCTTGGGTGACAAGAGTGAGACCCTGTTTCTAATTAATCAACAGCATTTAGTATGACTTAAACCATAAACGTATTATCACTCCAAGCATAGCAAAAGACCAGAAGGAAATAATCACTAATAACATTCTTTAATATCTCTATGTGGCAGGACTAGGATTTTTTTTTCTCCTATATTTTAGATGTTTTCTACCATGAAAATTTATTTTATAGCCAGAAAAAAAGAGATTCACAAAGTCAGCCTAGAAAACCAGGAAAGGAGGGAGTGGGCAAAGCAAATGGCCTCATGCAAGAGGATGGAGAGTAGAAATGACTCTCAGTGTCCTCCAGAAGCACTCCTCTATCTCACTGAAGAAACACGGTATTAACTAGAAAGAGTCACCCATGAGTGTTAGTTCCATGAGGAGAGTCAACTCCTGCTGCTTTATTCATTGAGGTAGCCCAAGCACCCAGAATACTGCCTGACAGCTATATTATGGAATCGGTATTTGTTAAATGAATGAGTGAATGAATTCAGGGATCACTGGGGCAGGCCAGATTTTCATTGTCCAGAAGGCAAGGAGACAATGAGTGCTCTAAACTCAAGATGGGCAGGAGGGACCCTGGGAAGGTTTTGATCCTGGCCTCATCATTTCTTTCTTTCTTTCATTTTTTTTTTGAGACAGAGTCTCACTCTGTCGCTTAGGCTGGAGTGCAGTGGCGTGATCTCGGCTCACTGCAAGCTCCACCTCCCAGGTTCATGCCATTCTCGTCTCAGCCTCCTGAGTAGCTGGGACTACAGGTGTCTGCCACCGCGCCCGGCCGATTTTTTTCTATTTTTAGTAGAGATGGGGTTTTACTGTGTTAGCCAGAATGCTCTCGATCTCCTGACCTCATGATCCTCCCGTCTTGGCCTCCCAAAGTGCTGGAATTACAGGCGTGAGCCACCACGCCCGGCCAATCCTGGCCTCATCATTTCTTTTCTTTTCTTTTTTTTTTTTTTTTTTTGAGACGGAGTTTCACTCTTGTTGCCCAGGCTGGAGTGCAATGGCGTGATCTTGGCTCATTGCAACCTCTGCCTCCCGGGTTCAAGTGATTCTCCTGCCTCAGCCTCCGGAGTAGCTGGGATTACAGGCGCCCACGACCACGCCTGGCTAATTTTTTGTATTTTTAGTAGAGACAGGGTTTCACCATGTTGGCCAGGCTGGTCTTGAACTCCTGACCTCAGGTGATCCGCCTGCCTCGGCCTCCCAAAGTGCTGTGATTACAGGCATGGGACACCATGCCTGGCCCTGCCCTCATCATTTCTGGTGACCCTATGTGGCCTTGTCAGGTATCCTGCCAGGTAAAATGGGGATAATCTCCTATTACAGACTGAAGATCAAATGAAGAAATGTCTGAAGTCCCTGACACAGGGCCTCAAATGATCTGTCGGAGATGTAATGCAAGGTCCTAAGACCCCCATGCTCCTTAGGCACCTTGAATTCAAAAAGGTCTGGAAAGAAGGAGGGAGAGAGGGGCTCAAATGCAGGAAGTCCCAACAGAGAGGGGCAGCTATGGCTTCAGTAACAGGACAGTCTGGGGACACAGTCCAGGCAGCCCAGCCAAGAAAGGGAACAATTACAGCTTTTTACCTGCAACTTCTCGAAGACTTTCTTCTTGGGCTTGAGCTCCTCATCTGGTTGGCCCTTTTCATAGCCCTTCACAAACACGTGCTCACCAGGAGCAGAGCCTGCCGGAGGGTCCAGAGGTTCAACCTGGCGGTTTATCCCTTCTCTGGGAAGACACAGGACAAGAGAAGAGTGAGGCTATGGATGGGTTCCAGTGACTGTGGAGGCCAAAGCAATCCGGGCCTTTACACAGGGGCCCTGATGGGATTTAGGGCATCCTCAGTACCAGAGCCCCAGGAGGTCCTCTTATCTTGCTACATCCCTGCATATCACCAGGGTTACATTAACCCAGGCTATACCAAAATTGTGTGTCAAGATACCAAAATCTGTGTTTCTAGGGGAGGAAGTATAAAATAACGTAGCGAGGACTTTATAGACATCAAAACTGGGATTTGAATCCCTGCTCCACTCCTTACTAGTAGTAAGACTTGGGTATGTACTGGTTTGAGCCCTCCATTTCTATTTTAACAAAATTAACTGTAGGTAAAATGCTTCATTAACAGTACTTGTACGATAAGTCCTTCATGCATCAACTTTTGGCATCAGCAAGGAAGAGGCACGTGTTCTCAGAGCTTCCACCTGGTGTGTGGAAGGACATCATATGGGCTGATTCCCTACTCTTCCTGGCCTCCCCAGGTCCTGTGCCCCACTCCAAGTCCTCACTCACATAGAAGCACACAGAAGCATGCCTTGGGACTCGACTCCTCTCATCTTCTGGGGTTTCAGGTTGCACAGCACCACTACCAGCCTGTCCTGCAGTTCCTCCTTGGGCACGAACTGTACCAGGCCGCTCACCACAGTCCGTGGTTCAGCTTCCCCCACGTCAATCTTCTCTACATACAGGCTGTCTGCATCTGGGTGCTGCCAGGGAGAGACGTCAGGAGGAAGAGGATCATCGTCCATTAGAGAAGCAGCCTGGTGAACTCTTGGATTCCGGAAAGGAGCATCCACTCCTTACAGAGGCCCCTGGAAAGACCCCCTAGAGCTAACTTTCTTTCCACGTCCCAGACAGCAGACAGGAGAATGGGCTCTGATGGTATACTCTGCTCTCAACTGAGGCCAGATTTGAGTAAAGTGGACCTAGATGCTTGTGTTAAGAGGTGGAAGGATCTCTAAGCCATCTGATGCAGGAGCACCAGCATTGATCTCAGGGTGGTTTTGGTGGTTGGGGTACACAGTGAGAAGCAAATCCATGTCGAAGGGAAAAAAAGCCCAGAACAATGGTCCCAGGCCACTGGGTGCATAACCTTCTGTCTCTGGGAAAAAGGAAGTCTTCCCTCCACCACTTTCTGAAGGGGGCAAAGTGGCCCATCCAAGATAAGGCCTGTAGCTAGTCCAGGCAAGCCGATAGGGATCAGGTGAGTCTATCAGACCAGATTTAACAGATAAACAAGTTCCCTCTGACTAACATCCGTCCCCCATGCTGAGTTCCTGGCTGTGTTTGGTTGCATAATATCCACAGGCAACAATCGCAACAGAAAGCCTGATGCCTGGAATTAGACACCTGCACTCTGACTTGCAATATGACCTCAGGATGTTACTTCCCATCTCCAGGCCACGTTTCCTCCGGATGGAAACAGACAAACCTGACCCCAATCTGCCTCTCTGAGATGTGGTGAAAAATGAGTACCTTCTCCACAGTGATGATTTTCCCCACACGGATATCCAGCCGGGATGGGATGACCTCCTCTGGTTCTGAATTCTTGGCAGGGCCTTTGGCCATTGGCTCTGGGAATGAGAAGAACCCCATGAGGTAGAATTCTTCCCTGTGGCAGGTCAGCTGCTGATCCCACCACGTTAAGACACTGAGATTAGGTAAGATTTAGTGTAGAATCCCCAGAGTCTAAACACTGAGTTGTAACTTCTTTAATACTGGGTTGGCAACCTTTCAGACATGACATACCTGATTTTCATCTGTTCTCTCCCTCAATTATTAGACTAGCGGGGAGGGAGCAGTAGTAGCTTTGCCTCCTTTAGGTATTTCCATTCATGCATTCCACATAGAATTTACTGAGTCTTGGCCAGGTGTGGTAGCTCACACCTGTAATTCTAGCACTTTGGGAGGCTGAGACGGGAGGATTGCTTAAGCCCAGGACTTCAAGACCAGGCTGGGCAACAGAGCCAGACTCTGTCTCTTTTAGAAAAAAAAAAAAAAAATTTTACTGAGTTACTGAGTTTTTTTCTGGAAGGGTCGCACAAAGCTATCAATGCCAATATCTTAGCATTACGCACAAGTGGATGGCCAACTAAGAGCCAGGCCCATGCACATAGAAGGAAACTGGGAGAATCTAAAGATAAGCTTCTCTAAGCTCTGCAGGCTCTGCCCAACAGCTGTGTAAGAAACTATCGATACCCTATATACCGGTTGGGTATAATAGGTCTAATCTAATTTCTATCATTTTTCTTTTTTTGAGACATAGAGTCTCACTCTGTTGCCCAGGCTGGAGTGCAGTGGTGCGATCATGGCTCACTGCAGTCTCAACTTCCCCATGCTCAGGTGATCCTCTCACCTCAGCCTCCCAAGTAGCTGGGACTACAGGCATGTGCTACTATGCCTGGCTAATTTTTTTTTTTTTTTTTTTTGGGTAGAGACTGGGTTTTGGTCTCTAACTTTTGGGCTCAAGTGATCCGCCTGCCTCAGCCTTCCAAAGTGTTAAGATTACAGGTGTGAGCCACTGTGTCTGGCCCCGGTCACTATCTTTAATGAAGAGGCAGATTTAACAAACAGACTAGAAGGACCAAAGTATACATCTTACACCAGCAGCTCTCAGCAATGCCGGTACAAAAGGATGTGATCACTTCCTGATGTTAACCAAACCCAAATCAAAATGACTCAAGTTCCATTCTAGGAGCCAGTAGGACATGACATTCCTGCACTTCAGACCCCCTGGGTTGTTGTGCCCTCAATTTAAGACAGGCATTTTTCCAAGGCTCATTGACAAGCTCTCTCTCCTGATGATGTCGGCCCCTCTCCAGCTGGCCTTACTCTGCTTTGAGGGATCTGGGTAGGCAGCGCTGGCCAGTTTTTTCAGGGCAGGGGTATTAAACTTTTCCCGGATTGGATCCAGCAACTTGTTCAGTGCGACTTCAACAGAATTCTTCAGGTCTCCAGGATGTACAACCTGCAGAATCGAACAAGACCTAGTGAGATAAAGTCTAGAACAGGGCACAGGACACCTGAATCCAAAAAAGTAGGATCAAGGGAGTTTTTCCCAACAGTCTTATTTGATCCTTGTGATAATCTTGTGAGGCAGGTAGGAGAAGGGAAAATACATTCAGAAAGACTAACGTGTCCAAAATCCAAGTCTTTTGATTCTGAAATCTATACTAACTTGAGGGTGTTTAGGAGCTGAATGTATTTGTTAGTCTAATTCTTCTAGTCCCTCCATTTATGCTTAGAGTAGGGTCACAGACCAACTGGTATTTACAAGCAGAGAAACATTCACATAGGTAACCCAAGGCCTAAAGATAACCTGAGGGAGACAGCTGAGTAAGAAGAAAGAGGAAGGGCTTTGGAGTTCGACAGACCCAGATTAGATTCCCAGCTAGCTGTGTGCGACTCCAAACTAGGCACATAACCCCTCTAAGCTTTGGCTGCTGCTTTTTCTCTTTTCTTTTTGTAGAGACAGGGTCTTGCTATGTTACCCAGGCTGGTCTTGAACTCCTGGGTTCAGGCAATCTGCCTGCTTCTGCCTCCCAAAGTGCTAGGATTACAGGCATGGGCCAACGTGCCGGGCCAGTGTTGGCTTTGTTACTTATAAAGTGAAGCTAACAACAGCTATATCTCACAGGATGGGGATGAGGGTTAAATCACTGAATGTGGGTGTGAAAATGATGAGAACGCTGCTCGTACATGGTAATAGTTCAGTAATTCCATTTTATTCCTTGTGTCCTGTGACTGCCTTTTCTTTGAGACGGAGTCTTGCTCCGTCGCCCAGGCTGGGGTGCAGTGGCGCAATCTCAGCTCATTGCAACCTCTGCCTCCTGAGCTCAAGCAATTCTCCTGCCTCAGCCTCCTGAGTAGCTGGGACTACAGGCGCATGCAGCCACGCCCAGCTAATTTTTTGTATTTTAGTAGAGACGGGGTTTCACCATGTTGCCCAGACTGGTCTTGAACTCCTGACCTCGTGATCCACCTGCCTCAGCCTCCCAAAGTGCTGGGATTACAGGTGTGAGCCACCACGCCCAGCTGACTGCCTTTTTTATATCTCAAATCTGGTCTGAAAGAATCTTCTAGATATTCTGAGGGGACATCCCTTAGGAATGAACACTTTTAATACAACAAAGCGAACATTTTTGTTTCTGATACTACTTCTTCATTTCCTTGGGAATATTTAATTTTAATAAAAGCTCTAGGGCTGCTGCTGTCCAATATGGTGGCTACTAGCCTTGTGTGGGTATTTAAATGTAAACTGAAATTCAGTTCTTCAACTGCACCTGCCACATTGCAAGTGCTCAACAGCCACATGTGGCTTCTGTATCAGGCAGTACAGATAGGACATATCCATCACCACAGAAAGTACTGTTGGATAACATGGCTGCAGACCTTTTTTCTGAGGAATTTCATCTATTCCTAATTCCCACAAAAGACTTTTTTTTTTTTTTTGAGACATGGTCTCGCTCTGTTACCCAGCTGGAGTACAGTGGCGCAATCATGGCTCAGTGCAGCTTTGATCTCCTGGGCTCAAGCGATCCTCCCACCTCAGCCTTCCCAGTAGCTGCGACTACAGGCATGCGCCATCATGGCTGGCCAGTATTTTGATTTTTTTTTTTTTTTTGTAGAGACAGAGTCTCACTATGTTGCCTAGGCTAGTCTTCAACTCCTGAGCTCAAGCAATTCTCCTGCCTTGGCCTCCCAAAGTGCTGGGATTACAGGTGTGAGCCACCGCACCTGGCGTACATTAACATTTCTAGCAGCTCCATTAAATTGGTTGGACCTGAATTCAGAGTCAATCACAAAACCCCCCATTTTATTCCTATATATGGTATTATCACATCTTCCCTTTGTGACCTGGCCCTGCCTATCTCTCCCATAATCCCCCTCCTCACCTTTTAGACTCTAGTCAGACCAAACCACCTGGAATTCCTCATACATCATGCTGCTTCATCCTACCATGTCTTTGTACAACTTATTCCCTCACAGATTTCCTTGTGAACTCCTATTCCTCAAGCAAAATAGTGCTTGGATAGTGTCTCCTCCACAAGCTTTTCTAGAGTCAGTTAATCATTTCCTCCTATATTATTTCTGGTATATATATATTCTTTTCATTATATATATTCACATATATATTTTCACACATATATTCACATATATACACACATACACACATATGTTAAAAAACACATATAGATATATATGTAAAATGCAGCCAATGAAATGTTTACAAGTCTGCCTCGCCTACTGGACTGAGCATTAGGAGGACTGAACCCTCTGTGTAATACCAGTCCCTAGCATAGTGCCTAACACATGGGCACCTAGTAAGTCTTTTGTTCAAGTGTCTGTTGAAATGAATAGGAGCCTCTATTCTGTCCTTTTATAATTATCTCTTGTTTTTGAATCCTGATTTTGCATCTGTTCCTGAAATACTTCATTTTTGCTGAGTTAGGTCCTTTATTCCAGCCTGCTAAGTCATTTGGAGAGTGATTAAAGCACCAGTATATTAGCATTGTACCATTTGCCTATCGAATCTGGGAACCACCTGAATCCTCATCAAAGCCATTAACAAAATATGCAGCCCTGGAGAGCATAAACAGAGCCCTGGCCGGGCACAGGGGCTCACGCCTGTAATCCCAGCACTCTGGGAGGCCGAGGCAGGCGGATCACCTGAGGTCAGGAGTTCAAGACCAGCCTGGCCAACATGGTGAAACCCCGTCTCTACTAAAAAATATGAAAATTAGCCGGGTGTGGTGGTGGGCACCTGTAATCCCGGCTACTCAGGAGGCTGAGGCAGGAGAATCGCTTGAACCTGGGAGGCGGAGGTTGCAGTGAGCCGAGATCGTGCCACTGCACTCCAGCCTAGGCGACAGAGTGAGACTCTGTCTCAAAAAAAAAAAACCCCACAAAAACACAGAGCCCTGTAGCATATAACTACAAACCTAGCGGGCCAAGATGGAGAGGTCTGGCAGAGTTGAGTGGGGATTATCTTTCTTTTTCTTTTCTTTTCCTTTCTTTTTTTCTTTTTGAGACGGAGTTTCACTCTTGTTGCCCAGGCTGGAGTACAATGGCGCGATCTCGGTTCACTGCAACCTCCGACTCCCAGGTTCAAGCGAATCCCCTGCCTCAGCCTCCCGAGTAGCTGGGATTACAGGTGCGTGCCACCATGCCTGGCTACTTTTTTGTATTTTTAATAGAGATGGGGTTTCTCCGTGTTGGTCAGGCTGGTCTCGAACTCCTGACCTCAGGTGATCCACCCACCTCGGCCTCCCAAAGTGCTGGGATTACAGGTGTGAGCTGCTGCACCCAGCCCATTTTCTTTTTTTTTTTTTTTTTTAGTATCTCATGTAATTTATTGAATACAGAAAGTGAAAAACAGAATGGTTGTATGGGTACTTGAAGAAGTATGGTTTCTACTGAATGAGTACTGCTTTTGTACATCCTAAAGGGACCACTCGTGTGTATAAGATTACAGACATTTACTGATAAGAAATGTTTCCTGAGAAGAGGTGAGACAGAGTCCCTGCCAGGTAAGGAAAGGGCCCCGAGGGATAGAAATCCATCTGTATTAACAAAATTCCTAAGTCAGAAAAGCTAACTGACAAGAAACTTTAACCAAAACTGCAATTTTGAAGGAAAATGGACACTAGTGAGATTACCAAAAGTAGAGCAAAAATAGCAGGCAGCTCACTTTTACACAGAACAAGTTGTTCTAAACAAGTTCTAACAGTCAGCAAAAAATAACAAAATACAGATCTTCATGAAAGGATTCCTTTTCCTTTCATGTTACCTCAGCAGCAAAGTCCTTTTCCAGGTCCACGTAAGCTGTGTAGGTTTTGTTTCCACCCCATTTCTCATCTCGTAGGATCACAAACTCTATAAGGAAAAGGATCCATGTCAACAAACTCATTGACAGCATTCCTAGCTCACATGCATGACTATTCCTAGCCCACATGCATGACTATTTGTAGTTTTTGCCATATATTCTGAACTTTATTGTATGGTATTATTCTTAAATTGGATGAGTGGCACTATTGTATACCCAGCTAGCATCTCAGCTGCTTCAGGGGAAGGCTTGTGGCTTATATCTATTTTGTTGTATTCCTCTAGTTCAACATGTCTGCCCCCACCCTTACTTCTAACACCTCTGCCCACTCCAGTATTCCCTCAGAACCTAGCCTGGTAACGAATATATGGACAATTAAATTACATCCCAACATCATTCATACTTTAATATATAAGAAATCAGAGCAGAGAATCAGGGCAGCCAGTCCCTGAAGGAAGAGTCTGTGACAAATCACAAGTATGATCACAGCACGAACTTTTCTATTCTAGCCTGGCCTCTAGGAAGAAAACAGAGAGTGTTACCGGACTTAAGGGGAAAAAGGACATGCTTGATGAAGGACAGAACCCCATTGTTCTCCACATTTCCTGGCTCACAGAAGGCCTTCTTCAGTTTTTTCTTCACATCCTCCTTCCGATCAAGGAGATCAATCTTGGACTCCTAGAAGTCATAGAACGGAAGAGGACCTCTTGTGGTTGAAAATGAGAATATGCTCAACTAATATAAGTTAAATTTTGTTTTTTCTTCTCTGTCACCCAGGCTGGAGTGCAGTGGCACAATCATGGCTCACTGCAGCCTCAGCCTCCTGGGCTCAAGAGATTCTCCCATCTCAGCCTCCTGGAAAGCTGGGACTACAGGAATGTGTCACCATGCCCAGGTAATTCTATTTTTTGTAGAGACAGGGTTTCATCATGTGGCCCAGGCTGGTCTCAAACTTCTGGGCTCAAGCAACTCTCCTGCCTTGGCCTCCCAAAAAGTGCTGGGATTAAAGGTGTGAGCCACTGTGCCTCGCTAAAAAAATTCTTTTTACAAAGATTTTAACATTAGGTACTTGCAGATATTTTCCTGTGGATGTGGTAAAAATAAATAAATAAAGATTTTTTTTTTTTTTTGAGACGGAGTCTCACTCTGTTGCCCAGGCTGGAGTGCAGTGGCGCCATCTGAGCTCACTGGAAGCTCCGCCTCCTGGGTTCACGCCATTCTCCCGCCTCAGCCTCCCGAATAGCTGGGATTACAGGTGCCTGTCACCACGCCCAGCTAATTTTGTTTTTGTATTTTTAGTAGAGACAGGGTTTCACCGTGGTAGCCAGGATGGTCTCGATCTCCTGACCTCGTGATCTGCCCCGCCTTGGCCTCTCAAAGTGCTGGGATTACAGGTGTGAGCCACTGCACCCGGGCAATAAAAATATTTTAACATTTGGCTGGGCACAGTGGCTCACACCTGTAGTCTTATCACTTTGGGAGGCTGGAGAGTCGCTTGAGCCCAGGAGTTCAAGACCAGTGTGGGCAACATAGAAAAACCTCATCTCTACTGAAAATAAAAAATTAGCTGGGTGTGGTTGTACGCGCCTGTGGTCCCAGCTACTCAGGAGGCTGAGGCAGGAGGATCACTTGAGCCTGAGGTTGAAAGTGCAGTGAGGCATGATCATGCCACTACACTCCAGCCTGGGCGACAGTGAAAAACCACTCACAATCCTGCCATCTAACAAATTAAACTATTTTATTTTTTATATTCTTCTCAGGCTTTGTTTATAGCACACAAAATTGTTATGAATTTGTAGTTGGAGAATAAATGTCTATCTTTTAAGTATTTCTGAGTGGCTACCTGGTCCTTACTTACAATTTTTTTTCTTTTCAGATGGTCTCGCTCTGTTGCTCAGGATGGAGTACAGTGGTGCAATTATAGTTCACTGTAACCTCGAACTCCTGCCATTAAGTGATCTTCTGACCTCAGCCTCAAGAGGAGTTAGGACTACAGGTGTACAAAACCATGCCTGGCTAATTTTTATTTATTTATTTATTTATTTATTTTTTGAGACAGTTTTGCTTTTGTTGCCCAGGCTGGAGTACAATGGCATGATCTCGACTCACCTCAACCTCCGCCTCCTGGGTTCAAGCGGTTCCTCCTGCCTCAGCCTCCCAAGTAGCTGGGATTACAGGCATGCACCACCAAGCCCAGCTAATTTTGTATTTTTAGTAGAGACGGGGTTTCTCCATGTTGGTCAGGCTGGTGTCGAACTCCCGACCTTAGGTGATTCACCCGCCTTGGCCTCCCAAAGTGCTGGGATTACAGGCGTGAGCCACCGCACCTGGCATGCCTGGCTAATTATTTGTTAAAATGGGGTCTCACTGTGTTGCCCAGGACAATCTCAAACTCCTGGCCTCTAGCAATCCTCCTGCCTCAGCTTCCCAAAGTGTTGGGATTGATAGGATCTTGCTTGCTCTGTTGCCCTGGCTGGAGTGTGGTGGCACAATCATGGCCCACTGCGACCTTTGCCTCCCAGGCTCAAGTAGTCCTCCTACCTCAGCCTCCCATGTAGCTGGAACTATTGGTGCATGCCACCATGCCTAGCTAATTTTTAAAATTTTTTATAGAGATGGGATTTTATCATGTTGCCAAGGCTGGTCTTGAACTCCTGGACTCAACCTATCTGCCCACCTTGGCTTCCCAAAGTGCTAGGATTACAGGTGTGAACCACAATGTGTGGCCTACTTATAGTTTTTATGCCATATTATATTCCCAATTATTAGTGGAAACATAATTTAGCAAACTCCAAACTGTTAGATTCTATCCTAATTTTTACAAATTATATATAATGCTACATTGGACATCTTTGCAGTCTTTTCCCTTCTCTAGAATCATTTCCTTAAGATGCCGAAAATTGCTAGGTTCAAAATTGTTTTTTGAAAGGTATCCTAATCAACATTGCTGTCGACAATGTGTGAGGATACTTGTTCACAGCAATCAGCCACACTAAGTATTATATATTATCTACAGCCATTTTTCCTTTTTAGGTAATAGGCTTTGTTTCTTATTTGGAAAGAGTGAGTTCATGGTCATTTGAGTTCAGTGGTTACCAAATTCTAGCTCACATGTGACAGTATATGAATCACCTTTTACTGGGTTCCACCCAAACCTAATGAATCAAAATCTCTTGGGATTGGGCCAGGCATTTTTTTTTTTTTTTTTTAAGACGGAGTCTCACTCTGTGGCCCAGGCTGGAGTGCAGTGATGCAATCTTGACTCAGTGCAACCTCTTTCTCCTGGGTTCAAGCAATTCTCCTGTCTCAGCCTCCCGAGTAGCTGGGATTACAGGTGCATGCCACCACACCCAGCTGAATTTTTATATATTTAGTAGAGAAGGGGTTTCACCATGTTGGCCAGGCTGGTCTGGAACTCCTGACCTCAGGTGATCCACCCGCCTTGGCCTCCCAAAGTGCTGGGATTACAGGTGTGAGCCACTGTGCCTGGCCCTTTTTTTTTTGAGAGGGAGTCTCGCTCTTGTTGCCCAGGCTGGAGTGCAACAGTGTGATCTTGGCTCACTGCAACCTCTGCCTCCTGGGTTCAAGCAATTCTCCTGCCTCAGCCTCCCTAGTAGCTGGGATTACAGGCGCCTGCCACCACGACTGGCTAATTTTTGTACTTTTAGTAGAGATGGGGTTTCACCATGTTGGACAGGCTGGTCTCGAACTCCTGACCTCAAGTATCCATCTGCCATGGCCTCCCAAGGTGCTGGGATTACAGGCGTGAGCCACCACGCAGGCCTTTTTTTTTTTTTTTTTTTTTAATTTGTATTTTTAAAAACTTTTTGGCTGGGTGCAGTGGCTCACGCCTATAATCCCAGCACCTTGGGAGGCTGAGGTGGGTGGATCACGAGGTCAGGAGATCGAGACCATCCTGGCTAATACAGTGAAACCCCATCTCTACTAAAAAAATACAAAATAAAATTAGCCAGGCATGGTGGCGGGCGCCTGTAGTCCCAGCTACTCTGGGAGGCTGAGGCAGGAGAATGGCATGAACCTGGGAGGCGGAGCTTGCAGTGAGCTGAGATCGCACCACTGCACTGCAGCCTGGGTGACAGAGTGAGACTCCATCTCAAAAAAAAAAAAAAAAAAAAAAAAAGGGAGAGAGAAAGGGAAGGAAGGAAGGAAATACAGATTCCTAAGTTCCTCCCAGAACTACTTTATCAGAATCTCTATGGACAAGGTCTAATCAACACTTTTTTTTTTTTTTTTAAATTCCCTAGATGATTCTGAAGGTAAGCCATGTTTGGGAACCCAGAACTCAACCTTTCACATCTTTGGATTTCCACGTTCTAATGATCAGAACCAAAGTGAACTTTCCCTCAAGTACACGAGCTCAAGAGGGACTCTTAAATATTAAAAGATATCATAATATTAGTGATATCAAGTATTACCCTAGGAATCAAAATGCTAATTAGTGAAATGCAACCATAGTGCTCTCATTAATAAGGCTGAATTTCATCACAGTCGTATGAACAAAGACATTACTTTTGCTTTTATTTTTTTATCAGCAGCAAAAACCATTAAGTTATGATTAGATCTCATCAGGACTGCTCTGGATCCTTTGATACTCAAGAACCACTAAACTAATTGAATGGTGTAAGGCTCCTTCTAACTCAAATATTGGAGAATTCTAGTTAGCCAGGTCACTGTTCTTTTCAGTCCTCAATCTCTCCATTGAGGCTGAAGATTTCTAAATTCAAGTCTCAGCTGGCAACTTACCTCTTCTGAAGAGCTCATTTTGCTGCCTGTTAATCCTGGAACCATAGGATTCATCAGATGGACCCGTTTTGAATAGCCAAGTGCAGGGAGGTACTGAGAGATTAGAGAAACACACAAAAGCCGATATTAGTCTAAGTTCCTCCTCAGTGCCCTGATCTCATCTGACTTGGCCAGCAACTGAGTAGTTGTTATATTGCTTCCAATCTTTTTATACTAAATATGTAGCTTTGACAGTGACTGTAATTCAAGCGAAGTTTTTTTCCCTACTGCTTTTCTATCAGTATTACATTGTGAGGCTATTGGACTTATGTCACCATAAACAACAATAAAAGCTGGAAATACATAAAACAACAGGGCAAGCCGGGCATGGTGGCTCACACCTGTAATCCCAGCACTTTGGGAGGCTGAGGTGGGTGGATCACCTAAGGTTAGGAGTTCAAGATGAGCCTGGCCAACATGGTGAAACCCCATCTCTACTAAGAATACAAAAATTAGCCAAGCGTGGTGGCAGGCACCTGTAATCCCAGCTACTCGGGAGGCTGAGGCAGTAGGATCACTTGAACCCGGGAGGCGGAGGTTGCAGTGAGCCAAGATCGTGCCATTGCACTCCAGCCTGGGCGACAAGAGCGAGACTCCATCTCAAAAAACAAAAACAAAAACAAAACAAACAAAAAACAAAACAAAACCCAACAGGGCAGCAAATCTTGAGCGAAGGGAAGTAAGGTGACCACACTTGCCTTGGGCTTTCTCACTGAGGGTATTTCTTTGCAAACCAGGTGCTGATAAAAAGAGACCAAGCAGACAGCGAAAGACTAAGCAGAGGAAACAGCTATTGGAGTTCAGGGCTGGAGGAGGCTAGGGATTGGGATGGGTTCCTCAGCCTATGTCAAAATTCCCCACTGATTTCTTGGCTGACTCATAGCTGTGTATGCACATAGTGAGATACCAGGAAGTCTGGCAGAGAACAGGTTCTGGGAGGCTGGAGACCTGGGCAGAGATTTTGGAGGCTGCACAGTATTGGGGAGACAGAGATGGAAGTTTAGCTCCAATCAAAGTAGAGAAGGCTTTGTGAACACCATGATATTTCAGTTTGAGTCTCTAGAAAGGCCATGCTCTAGGAACAAGGACCACACCACAGGAGTAAAGGCTAAGCTGAAGTAGACGTTCTAACAAAGCCTAAAACCAACCCCTGACAGAACCCAGGTGATAAGTCAGTAATTTAGCAATCTACAGAAAACATAGCATCCTACAAACACAATCCGGAGGGTCTACAATGCATCTATAATCCCTTTGATACACACATACAAAAAAATACTAGAAATGGGAAGCAGAGAAAAGTGGCTGACAGTTAAAATAGCCAATAGAAGCAGATTCAGAAACAATCCAGATATTGCAATAAATAGACCATGATGCCAAAATAACTGTGATTGGTAGGTTAAAGAAAATAAGCAGGGCATGGTGGCTCATGCCTGTAATCCCAGCACTTTGGGAGGCCGAGGCAGGCGTCAGGAGATCGAGACCATCCTGGCTAACACGGTGAAACCCCGTCTCTACTAAAAATATAAAAAATTAGCTGGGCGTGGTGGTGGGTGCCTGTAGTCCCAGTTACTCGGGAGGCTGAGGCAGGAGAATGGCATGAACCCAGGAGGCGGAGCTTGCAGTGAGCTGAGATTGCGCCACTGCACTCTAGCCTGGGTGACAAAGCGAGACTCCATCTCAAAAAAAAATAAAAATAAAAATAAATAAATAAATAAATAAAAGAAAATAAGAGTACATAGGCAGAATAGGCAGGAAAAACAAACCAAAAAGGAAATAAGAAAAGGCAGACAAAATGGATGAAAGAGAATTGTAAAAGACAATTGGAATCTATAAAAAGAATCAAATGGAAGTTCTAAAATGTCACAATACAATACTGGATTTAACAGAAGACACGATTGATAAACTTGAAGAAAGTTCAATAGAACATATCCAAAGTAAAGCACAGAGGGAACAAAGAAAGGAAAACAGCAGAACAGAATATGAGACATGAGTTTTATAAAGTCCCTAGAGGAGAAAGAGAATAAGAGAGAAGCAGTATTTGAGGAAATTATGGCAGACAATTTCCCAAATTTGATGAAAACAAATCCACTGATTCAAGAAGCTCAGCAAAATCTAAGCAGGATAAATACAAAGAAAACTATAGCTGAAAACATCATAGCTGGTCAGGCACAGCAGTTCACACCTGTAATCCTAGCAATTTGGGAGGCCAAGGCAGGCAAAGCGTTTGAGCTCAGGAGTTTGAGACTAGCTTGGCCAACATGGTGAAATTCCATCTCCAAAAAAAAATACAAAAATTAGCCAGGTGTGGTGGCACATGCCCATAGTCCCAGCTACTTGGGAGGCTGAGGTGGGAGGATCATCTGAGCCCAGGAAGTCAAGGCTGCAGTGAGCCAAGATCAATCACTCCAGCCTGGGCAATGCAAGCAAGACCCTGTCTCAAAGAAAACAACAACAAAAACATCATAGTAAAATTGCTGAAAATCAGAAACAAGAAAAAATCTTAAAAGCAGAGAAAAGACATATTATCTGTAAAGGAGAAACAATAAACTTAGAGGTGACTTTTCAGTCGAAACTATGGAAGCCAGAAGGCAATGCAATGATCCTTTAAAAGTGCCAAAAGAAAAATAATTGCAAACTTCCAATTTCATACCCAGTGAAAGAAATTGAAAGATGTTTTCAGATAAAAGAAAGCTGAAAGAACTCATTACTGAAAGAACTGCACTACAAACACATACTAAGTGGGGGCTCTTTAGGTTGAAGGAAAATGAACTCACACAGAAGCAAAGAACTGCAGACAAGAATCAAGAGTATCAGAAAGGGGAAGTAGGGGTAGATATAGATGAAAAGTGACTTAAAAAACAATTACAGGCTGGGCGCAGTGGCTTACGCCTGTAATCCCAGAACTTTGGGAGGCCAAGGTGGGTGGACAGCTTGAGGTCAGGAGTTCAAGACCAGCCTGGCCAACATGGTGAAACCCCATCTCTACTAAAAATACAAAAATTAGCCGGGCGTGGTGGCGGGCACCTGTAATCCCAGCTACTCAGTAGGCTGGGGCACGAGAATCCCTTGAACCAGGGAGACGGATGTTGCAGTGAGCCGAGATCATGCCGCTGCCCTTCAGCCTGGGTGATAGAGGGAGACTCAGTCTCAGAAAAATTAAAAAAAAAATGGTAGTAAAGTCTTTAAGATTTATTTTATTTTATTTTTGAGACAAGGTCTCTCTCTGTTGCCCAGCCTGGAGTGCAATGGTGCGATCTCAGTTTACTGCAATCTCTGCCTCCCAGGCTCAAACAATTCTCCTGTGTCAGCCTCTTGAATAGCTGGGATTATAGGTGCACACCACTGCGTCTGGCTAATTTTTGTATTTTTACTAGAGACGGGGTTTCATCATGTTGGCCAGGCTGGTCTCAAGCTTCTGACCTCAGGTGATCTGCCTGTCTTGGCCTCCCAAAGTGCTGGGATTACAGGAGTGACCCATTGCGCCCAGCCAAGGGATTTAAAATTTATGTCAAAAATGAGTTTTGAGGCTGGGTGCGGTGACTCATGCCTGTAATCCCAGCACTTTGGGAGGCCGAGGCAGGTGGGTTACGAGGTCAGGAGATGGAGACCAACCTGGCCAACATGGTGAAACCCCATCTCTACTAAAAATACAAAAATTAGCTGGACATGGTTGGGAGCCTGTAATCCCAGCTACTCGGAAGGCTGAGGCAGGAGAATGGCTTGAACCCGGGAGGCGGAGGTTGCAGTGAGCCAAGATCACGCCACTGCACTCCAGCCTGGTGACAGAGCAAGACTCTGTCTCAAAAAAAAAAAAAAAAAAAAAAAAAAGATGAGTTTTGCCAGGCGCGGTGGCTCACGCTTGTAATCTCAGCACTCTGGGAGGCCAAGGTCGGAGGATCATGAGGTCAGGAGACCGAGACCACCTTGGCTAACACGGTGAAACCCCGTCTCTATTAAAAATACAAAAAATTAGCAGGGTGTGGTGGCGGGCGCCTGTAGTCCCAGCTACTTGGGAAGCTGAGGCAGGAGAATGGCGTGAACCCGGGAGGTGGAGGTTGCAGTGAGCCGAGATGGCGCTATTGCACTCCAGCCTGGGCGACAGAGCAAGACTCCATCTCAAAAAACAAAAAACAAACAAACAAAAAATGAGTTTTACTCCAACTGTTGTTGGAGGAAAAATGTAGTAAAACTGTTTCTTGCATTGTTGGGCAGTGGTAAAAATATCTAACTTAAACTGTAATAAATTGCAAGGATATGTGTTGTAATCTCTAGGGCAGGGATGGGCAAACTGTTTTAGAAAGGGCCAGTTAATAAAGATTTTAGGGGCTGGGTGCAGTGGCTCACGTCTGTAATCCTAGCACTATGGGAGGCCAAGGCGGGCAGATCATGAGGTCAAGAGATCAAGACCATTCCTGGCCAACATGGTGAAACCCTGTCTCTACTAAAAATACAAAAATTAGCTGGGTGTGGTGGCACGCGCCTGTAGTCCCAGCTACTTGGGAGGCTGAGGCAGGAGAATTGCTGGAACCCAAGAGGCAGAGGTTGCAGTGAGCCAAGATTGTGCCACTGCACTCCAGCATGGGTGACAAAGCGAGACTCCCTCTCAAAAAAAAAAAAAAAAGATTTTAGGCTTTATGGGCCACATATGCTCTTTACTGCTTATTCTTCATCTTTTTTCACAATCCTTAAACAATGTAAAAACCATTCTTAGCTCATGAGTCATACAAAAACAAGGTATGGGCCAAATCCCTGCTTTAATAATAAAAGGAGGTCCAACTAAAAAGTTAATCAAGCAGATACAATGAAATAATAGGCCAGGTGCAGTGGCTCATGCTTGTAATCCCAGTACTTTGACAGGCTGAGATGGGTGGATCATGAGGTCAGGAGTTCGAGATCAGCCTGGCCAACATAGTGAAACTCCGTCTCTACTAAAAATACAAAAAAATTAGCCGGGTGTGGTGGCAGGCACCTGTAATCCCAGCTACTTGGGAGGCTGAGGCAAAGAGAGTCACTTGAACCTGGGAAACAGAGGTTGCAGTGAGCCGAGATCGCGCCACTGCACTCCAGCCCAGGCAACAGTGTGAGACTCTGTCTTTAAAAAACAAACAAAAAACAACAAAAAACAAATAATAAGAAATAATCAAAAAATGTATTTATTTTTTTCTTTTTTGTTTTTTTTTTCAGAGACAAGGTCTTGCTTTGTCACCCAGTTTGGAGTGTGATGGTGTGATCATGGCTCACTGCAGCCAGGATCACACCTCCTGGGCTCAAGCAATTATTCTGCCTCGGCCTCCTGAATAGCTGGGACTACAGAGGCGTGCCTGGCTAATTTTTTATTTTATTGTGGAGACAGAGTCTTGCTATGTGGCCCAGGCTGGTCTCAAACTCCTGGGCTCAAATGATCCTCCTGCCTCAGCCTCCCAACGTGCTAGGATTACAGGCATGAGCCACAGTGCCTGGCCCTCAAAAAATTTATATTGTGGCTGGGTGCAGTGGCTCACACCTGTAATCCCAGTGCTTTGGAAGGCTGAGATGGGTGGATCACCTGAGGTCAGGAGTTCAAAACCAGCCTGGCCAACATGGTGAAACCCCATCTCTACTTAAAAATATAAAAATTACCTAGGCATGGTGGCAGGCACCTGTAATCCCAGCTACTCGGCAGGCTGAGGCAGGAGAATCGCTTGAACCCGGGAGGTGGAGGTTGCAGTGAGCCGAGAGTGAGCCATTGCACTCCAGCCTGGGTGACAATAGCGAAACTCAGTCTCAAAAAAAAAAAAAAAAAAAAAAAAAAAAAAATATATATATATATATATATATATATATATATATATATATATATATATATATATAGTAAGCATTTCTGTATTCATTAACTATATCAAAAAACTAAGCCAGGCACAGTGGATCTCACCTATAATCCCAGCACTTTGGGAGGCCAAGGCAGGAAGACTGCTTGAGCCCAGGGGTTTGAGACCTGCCTGGGCAACACAGGGAGGCCTCATCCCTACAAGTAATTTTAAAACTACCCGGGTGTTGTGGCATGCACCTGTGGTCCCAGCTACTTGGGAGGCTGAGGTGGGAGAACTGCTTGAGCCCAGGCTGTCGAGGCTGTGATGAGCCATGACCGCATTACTGCACTCTGGCCTGGGCGACAGAGTGAGAACTTGTCTCAAAAAAAAGACAAGAAAAAGAAAAAGATGCTGGGAAATGCGAACCAAATGCTCTGTGAAAGGACAGTAGTTCCAACTGGTAATGCCTCTCCTTGGAAACTGGGCTATTAGGAAAGGAGTAAATCCAACAGGTGCGGGAGCAGCTTCCTGGTTGTCACCAGGCACATGGGCTCTGGAGTTTGAAAGATCTGGGTACTAATAATTCCTGCTCAGTTACTAACTGTGTGATATTGGACAACTTCTTATCTTCTATCCTCAGTGTTCTCATCTGCAAAACAAGGAGAATATTTACCATACACTATGACTAGTGGGACTGACACATCATAGTTCAATAAACACAGCTGCATACCTCTGAGGTGCAAGTGAAAAAAGACAGGAAAGCAGACACTCACCTTCTCTGCAAAGGTGAAAATCTTTCTCTGATCAATGCCTCCAAATTGGGCATCTACTTTTAAATACTCTTCATCCAAAGCCTGTGGAAAGAAACACATGAACATAAACATCTACTTTATTTTTTTGAGACAGAGTCTCGCTCTGTCGCCCAGGCTGGAGTGCTGTGGCGTGATCTCGGCTCACTGCCACCTCTGCCTCTCAGGTTCAAGTGAGTCTCCTGCCTCAGCCTCCCGAGTAGTTGGGATTACAGACATGCACCACCACGCCCGGCTAATTTTTTGTATTTTTAGTAGAGACAACGTTTTGCCATGTTGCCCAGGCTGGCCTTAAAATCCTGAGCTCACCTTGGCCACCCACCTTGGCCTCCCAAAGTGCTGGGATTACAGGCGAGAGCCACCATGCCCAGCCTAAACATCTACTTTATTTCTTCTATATGGGTCTGAGAAATCAGAAACTTTAGGAAATTACTAGATTTTTCAGAAGGTAAAGCCAAGAAGAAAATAAACAGCAGTCAGCTTCCCTCTTGGCCTCAAAAGCTGCAAAGACAGTTGCTGAGTGTTTGCGGTGAACATTACTCTATGTGGATGTCATGGGATAAAAAAATAAGAGTAGTCTCTGCCCTCAGGATATGCAGAATCCTGCAGGGAGGGAGAGAAGAAGAAAACAAACCATAGTCATGCCAAAGGTATTCTACTGAATAAGGTGGCCTGTGACAAATGAAATATAAGTAGCATAAAGAAGTCCTGTGAGAATTCGGGAAAAAGGTAAGACTGAACTAGAAAACAGTGACTGTCTGGGTGCGATGGCTCACGCCTGTAATCCCAGCACTTTGGGAGGCTGAGGTGGAAAGATCACTTGAGCCCGGGTGTCTCTCCAAAAATAAAAAACAAACAAACAAACAAAAAGAAATTAGCCAAGTGTGATGGTGCGCATCTATAGTCCCAGCTACTCAGGAGGCTGAGGTAGGAGGATCACCTAAGCCCAGAGAGGTCGTGGCTGCGGTGAGCCATGATCGTGCCACTGCACCCGAGCCTGGGAGACAGAGTGAAGCCCTGTCTCAAAAAATAAAATTAAATTAAAATAAATAAATAAAACAGTGACTGTCACTTATGACATGCCAGGCCTGCTGCCAGCTCCGTGGATGGTGAGATAAATCAGACCCAGACTCTCCCTTCAAGAAGCCCAATTATCCAGCTGGGGAGAGACATGTAAACAGATCATTTCAACTCAGCGTGCTAAGGGTTAACCCAGATGTTCATATAAGGAACAGTGTTGACATAAAAGAAGAAATTATCTCTATTTAGTAAGATGGGTGTGGAGAAGTCTTCCTAGAATCAGATTGTGGGCTAAGCTTGGTTTTGAACAACATATAGATGTTTTTCACCATGCAGAGGAAATAGAATGTGAGAAGGCACAGAGGTGTGAAGTGTTTAGGGAAATTTTGAGTGATTCAGTCTGCAAAAGTACGAACTTCAAGGGAGGTGGGAAGTAGTGACTGATGAGGTTAGAAAAGTAGGTAAAGACCATGAAATGTCATGCTAGGGTGCCTAGTGTTATCTTGGCCAATGAAAGGTTTTAAGGAGAGGAGAAATATGACCAGCACTGTAGGAAGATCTCAACAGTAACAGGGCAGGGCAGAGACTGGAGACTCATGGGTTGGAGACAAAGTGAATGCCTCAAAGGCTATTGTGAAAGTCTAAGTGAGAAATATCGATGGACAAAAGACAATGAGGACGCAGAGCAAGAATGAATTTAAGACATTTTAAAAAAGTAGAATCGATAAGATTTAGTGCATAATTGGCTGAAGGGAAGAGGAAGAGAAGGCTGAACAAGCAGGAACAGTCTAGAACAGCATTATCCAACAGAATCTTCTGTGGTGATGAATATATTATATGTCTGTGCTGTCCAATATAGTAGCTAACCAAGAACTTGATATATAGCCAATGTGACTAGAGAACAAAAATTTCCATTTTATTTAATAGCCACATATGACTAGGACTAGAGGCTACCACATTAGACAGTACAGACCTAGTTTTTTCTTTCTTTCTTTTTTTTTAGAGATGGAGTCTCACACACACAGAATAAAACAGAGATGGAGTCTTGCTACGTTGCCTAGGCTGGTCTTGAACTCCTGGCCTCAAGCGATCCTCCTGCCTTGGACTTGGGATTATAGGCATAAACCATGGCGCCCAGCCAACAGTGCAGAACTAGCATGTCTCCGGGTTTTCTTTTTTTAAGATAGGGTCTCACTCTGTCACCCAGGCTGGAGGGCAGTGGCATGATCTCGGCTCACTGCAACCTCCACCTCCTGCGTTCAAGCGATTCTCCCACCTCAGCCTCACAAGTAGCTGGGACTACAGGGGCATGCCACCACACCTGGCTAATTTTTGTATTATTTGGCAGAGATGGGGTTTCACCATGTTGGTCAGGCTGGTCTTGAACTCCCAACCTCAAGTGATCTGCCTGTCTTGGTCTCCCAAAGTGTTGGGATTACAGGTGCCAGCCACTGCGCCCAGCTCCAGGTTTAACCTTGGAAAATATCTCTTTGAGGTGACAAGGGAAAATTTTATTTTCTCATATCAAGCATTATAAAGGGCTAGACGTGTTGGCTTACGCCTGCAATTTCAGCACTTTGGGAGACTAAGGCAGGAGGATCACTTGAGGCCAGGAGTTCAAGACCAGCCTAGACAACATAGTGAGACCCTGTCTCTACAAAAAATTTAATTAAAAAAAATTATACAGATATACAAAGAAAAAGTGAAGTCTATCCATATTTTCATCCTGCCTTCACAAGGTAAACAGTATCAACAGCTTGGTTTGTACTTTTCTTTTTTTTTTTGGAGATGGAGTCTTGCACTGTCTGTCACCCAGGCTGGAGTGCAGTGGTGCGAGCTCCGCCTCCTAGGTTCATGCCATTCTCCTGCCTCAGCCTCCTGTGTAGCTGGGTCTACAGGCGCCCGTCACCACACCTGGCTAATTTTTTGTATTTTTAGTAGAGATGGGGTTTCACCATGTTAGCCAGGATGGTCTCGATTTCCTGACCTCGTGATCTGCCCGTTTTGGCCTCCCAAAGTGCTGGGATTACAGGCGTAAGCCACTGCACCCGCCTGGTTTGTATTTTTCTACCCTTCTCCTTGCTCGTACAAATATATGTGCACACAAAGGAAACAGAAGGATGTTTCTGTTAAAACATGTATTTGTTTTAACAGAAAATAGGATCATGCTCAAATTTATTTTCACATATCGCTCTGAAGTTTATTTCCTTTATTAAGATTATGATAAAAAGGATTATGATTAATATAAAGATGTATGAGATGAACAATGTCTTAAAGGACAGACAGGTAGAGAAGGAATTATAATGGAAGAAGTAAAAGAGCTTCCCAGGAAGCGGGGAAGGAAGACGAGAGACACACAGGAAGGCCTATAGGTTGGAGAAGGAATAGAAAATGCATATATTTAACTGGTGCCAGGAGAGAGGTTTGTGTACAGTACAGGCATACCTCAGCGATACTGTGGGTTCAGTTCCAGACAACCACAATAAAGTGACTCACTTGGATTTTTTTGTTTCTCGGTGCATATAAAAGTTGTGGTTACACTATACCGTAGTCTATTTAAAGTGTGTAATAGCGTTACATCTACAAAAACAACGTACATACTTTAATTTGGTTAAGGTATGGCTAAAAATGCTAACGATCATCTGAGCCTTCAGCAAGTCATAATCTTCTTGCTGGTGGAGGGTCTTGCCTCCATGTCTGATGGCTGCTGACTGATCAGGGTGGTGGTTGCTGAAGGCTGCAGTGGCTGTGGCAATTCCCTAAAATAAGACAACAATGAAGTTTGCCACATCAATTGACTCTCCCTTTCACGAAAGATTTATCTGGTGCAGGTGATGCTGTTTGATAGCATTCTGTCCACAGCAGAACTTCTTTCAATATTGGAGTCCATCCTCTCAGACCCTGCTGCTGCTTTATCAACGAAGTTTATGTAATATTCAAAATCTTTTGTTGCCATTTCAACAACGTTCACAGAATCCTCACCAGTAGTTTCCATTTCAAGAAACCACTTTCTTTGCTCATCCATAAGAAGCAATTCCTCATCTGTTCAAAATTTATCATGAGATTGCAGCAATTCAGTCACATCTTCAGGCTCCACTCCTAATTGTAGTTCTCTTGTTATTTCTTTTTTTTTTTTTTTTTTTTTTTGAGACGGAGTCTCGCTCTGTCGCCCAGGCTGGAGTGCAGTGGCGGGATCTCGGCTCACTGCAAGCTCCGCCTCCCGGGTTCACGCCATTCTCCTGCCTCAGCCTCCCAAGTAGCTGGGACTACAGGCGCCCGCCACTACGCCCGGCTAATTTTTTGTATTTTTAGTAGAGACGGGGTTTCACCGTTTTAGCCCGGATGGTCTCGATCTCCTGACCTCGTGATCCGTCCGCCTCGGCCTCCCAAAGTGCTGGGATGACAGGCGTGAGCCACCGCGCCCGGCCTGTTCTCTTGTTATTTCTACCCCATCTACAGTGACTTCCCTCACTGAAGTCTTGAACCCCTCAAAGTCACCCATGACAGTTACCATCCACTTCTTCCAAACTTCTGTTAATATGGATATTTTTACTTCCTCCCATGAATCACGAATATTCTTAATAACACCGAGAATGCTGGATCCTTTTCAGAGGTTTTCAGTTTACTTTGCCCAGATCCATCGGAGGAGTCACTATCTATGGCAGCTATAGCCTTTTGAAATATATTTCTTAAATAGTAGGACTTGAAAGTTGAAATCACTCCTTGATCCACGGGCTATAGAATGGATGTTGTGTTAGCAGGCATGAAAATAACATTCAACTCCTGAACATCTCAAGCTCTACAGAAGCTCTCCATCAGAGCTCTTAGGTGATCAGGTGCACTGTCAATGAGCAGTAATGTTTTGAAAAGAATCTTTCTTTTTGAGGAGTAGGTCTCAAAAGTGGGCTTAAAATGCTCAGTAAATCATACTGTTAACAGACGTGCTACTATCCAGGCTTTGTTGTTCCATTTATAGAGCTCAGGCAGAGTAGACTTAGCATAATTCTTTTTTGAGATGGAGTCTCACTCTGTTACCCAGGCTGGAGTGCAGTGGTGTGATCTCACCTCACTGCAATCTCTGCCTCCTGGGTATAAGTGATTCTCCTGCCTCAGCCTTCCGAGTAGCTGGGGTTACAGATGCGCGCCACAACGCCTGGCTATTTTTTTTTTTTTTTTTTTTTTGAGACAGAGTCTTGCATTGTTGCCCGGGCTGGAGTGCAATGGTGCGATCTCGGCTTACTGCAATCTCCACCTCCCGGGTTCAAGCGACTGTCCTGCCTCAGCCTCCTGAGTAGCTGGGACTACAGTTGCGCACCACCATGCCCGGCTAATTAATATTTTTAGTAGAGACGGGGTTTTACTATGATGGCCAGGCTGGTCTCGAACTCCTGACCTCGTGATCTGCCTGCCTCGGCCTCCCAAAGTGCTGAGTTACAGGTGTGAGCCATCATGCCTGGCCTAATTCTTCTTTTTTTTTTTTTTTTTGTAGTTTTAGTAGAGACCGGGTTTCACCATGTTGGTCAGGCTGGTCTCGAACTCCTGGCCTCAAGTGATTTGCTCACCTCGGCATCCCAAAGTGCTGGGATTACAGGCATGAGCCACCATGCCCGGCCTATTTAGCATAATTCTTAAAGGCACTAGGATTTTTGGAATGTAAATGAGCATTGGCTTCAACTTCAAGTCACCAGCTGCATTAGCTCCTAACAAGAGAGTCAGCCTGTCCTTTGAAGATTTGAAGCCAGGAATCAACTTCTCTCTAGCTACGAAAGTCCGAGATGGCATCTTCTTCCGAAAAAAGGCTATTTCATCTACCTTGAAAATCCATTGTTGAGTGTAGCCACCTTCATCAATGATCTTAGCTAGATCTTCTGGGTAACTTGCTGCAACTTCTACATCAGGGCTTGCTGCTTCACCTTGCACTTTTTTTTTTTAATAGTATTTATTGATCATTCTTGGGTGTTTCTCGGAGAGGGGGATTTGGCAGGGTCATAGGACAATAGTGGAGGGAAGGTCAGCAGATAAACATGTGAACAAGGGTCTCTGGTTTTCCTAGGCAGAGGACCCTGCGGCCTTCCGCAGTGTTTGTGTCCCTGGGTACTTGAGATTAGGGAGTGGTGATGACTCTTAACGAGCATGCTGCCTTCAAGCATCTGTTTAACAAAGCACATCTTGCACCGCCCTTTATCCATTTAACCCTGAGTGGACACAGCACATGTTTCAGAGAGCACGGGGTTGGGGGTAAGGTTATAGATTAACAGCATCCCAAGGCAGAAGAATTTTTCTTAGTACAGAACAAAATGGAGTCTCCCATGTCTACCTCTTTCCACACAGACACAGTAACAATCTGATCTCTCTTTCTTTTCCCCACATTTCCCCCTTTTCTATTCGACAAAACCGCCATCGTCATCATGGCCCGTTCTCAACGAGCTGTTGGGTACTCCTCCCAGACGGGGTGGCCGCCGGGCAGAGGGGCTCCTCACTTCCCAGACGGGGCGGCCGGTCAGAGGCACCCCCAACCTCCCTCCCGGACGGGGTGGCTGGCCGGGCGGGGGTTGCCCCCCACCTCCCTCCTGGACAGGGCGGCTGGCCGGGCGGCGGCTGCCCCCCACCTCCCGGACGGGGCGGCTGCCGGGCGGAGACGCTCCTCACTTCCCAGACGGGGCGGCTGCCAGGCGGAGGGGCTCCTCACTTCTCAGACGGGGCGGCTGGGCAAAGACGCTCCTCACCTCCCAGACGGGGTGGCGGTCGGGCAGAGACACTCCTCAGTTCCCAGACCGGGTCGCGGCCGGACAGAGGCGCTCCTCACATCCCAGACGGGGCGGCGGGGCAGAGGTGCTCCCCACATCTGAGACGATGGGCAGCCGGGCAGAGACGCTCCTCACTTCCCAGACGTGATGGCGGCCGGGAAGATGCGCTCCTCACTTCCAAGACTGGGCGGCCGGGCAGAGGGGCTCCTCACATCCCAGACGATGGGCGGCCAGGCAGAGACGCTCCTCACTTCCCAGATGGGGTGGCAGCCAGGCAGAGGCTGCAATCTCGGCACTTTGGGAGGCCAAGGCAGGCGGCTGGGAGGTGGAGGTTGTAGCGAGCTGAGATCACGCCACTGCACTCCAGCCTGGGCAACATTGAGCACTGAGTGAGCGAGACTCCGTCTGCAATCCCGGCACCTCGGGACGCCGAGGCGGGTAGATCACTCGCGGTCAGGAGCTGGAGACCAGCCCGGCCAACACAGCGAAACCCCGTCTCCACCAAAAAATACAAATTGCAGGCGTGGCGGCACGCGCCTGCAATCCCAGGCACTCGGCAGGCTGAGGCAGGAGAATCAGGCAGGGAGGTTGCAGTGAGCCAAGATGGCGGCAGTACAGTCCAGCCTCGGCTCGGCATCAGAGGGAGACGGTGGAAAGGGGAGAGGGGGAGAGGGGGAGAGGGGGAGAGGGGGAGAGGGGGAGAGGGAGAGAGGGAGAGAGGGAGAGAGGGAGAGCCACCTTGCACTTTTATGTTATGGAGATGGCTTTTTTCCCTTTAAATGTCATGAACCAATCTCTCAGCCTTCATAAAACTGAAGACAGGGCCTTTCTCTAGAGTAGGCTTTAGATTAAGGTAACATTGTGGCTGGTTTCATCTTCTATCCAGAGCACTACAATCTTCTCTATATCAGCATAAGTGAAACTTATGTCTGTTTCTATTTTTCAGGTGTTCACTGGAGTAGCACTTTGAATTTCCTTCAAGAACTTTCCCTATGGATTCACAACCTGGCTATTTGGTGCAAGAGGCCGAGCTTTCCGCCTGCCTCCGCTTTTGACATTCCTTCTTCACTAAGCTTAATCATTTCTAGGTGTAGATTTAAAGTGACAGATGTGCGGCCGGGCACGGTAGCTCACGTCTATAATCCCAGCACTGTGGGAGGCCAAGGTGGGTGGATCATGAGGTCAAGAGTTCAAGACCAGCCTGGCCAAGATGGTGAAACCCCATCTCTACTAAAAATACAAAAAAAATCAGCCGGGCATGGTGGCAGGCGCCTGTAATCCCAGCTACTCGGGAGGCTGAGGCAGAGAATTGCTTGAACCCGGGAGGCGGAGGTTGCAGTGAGCCGAGATTTCGCCACTGCACTCCAGCCTGGGCGACACAGCGAGATTCCGTCTCAAAAATAAATAAATAAATAAAGTGAGCTATGTGTGACTCTCCCTTTCAACACTTAGAGGCCATTGTAGGGTTATTAATTAGCCTAATTTCAATATTGTTGTGTTTTAGGAAATGAGGAGGCCAGGAGAGTGAGGAAATGGCTGGATGGTAGAGTAGTCAGAACACACACAATACTTATTAAGTTCGTTGTCTTATACGGGCACAGTTTGTGGTGCCCCAAAACAATTACAATATTTAACATCAAAGGTAACAGATCGCATATCACCATGCAGATATGATAATAATGAAAAAGCTTGAAATACTGTGAGAATTACCAAAATGTAGCACAGAGACACGAAGTGAGCACATGCTGTTGGAAAAATGGTGCTGGTGGACTTGCTGTACACAGGGTTGCCACACACCTTCAATTTGTAAAAAACACAATATCTGCGTAGTGCAGTAAAGCAAAGTGCAATAAGATATGCCTGTCATCAAACCAGAGCAGAAAAGGTCATCGGGCCACTCCATCCCCCTTAAGTACCTGCAGTCCGGGGTATAAGAGGCCACTCAGCAAAGGGTGCTCCACCTGCTTTACCACCTCAGCTCCAGCCTTCTTGGAATCGTGCTGTGTGACCACGGAGGAGAGTCTGTACACATCTAGTGTGTACTCTCTGAAGAGGAAAGGAAGAGGGGACAGCTGTAAACCTGGGCCTAGGCCTCAGTTTCCTAGGAAATCTAAAGCACATTAATTTACTTCCCTAACCTTAGTGTAACCAGGGATCTCGGTTTTAAAAATATATTTTAATCACCAACTTTCTTCTTCTTTCCCTCCCTTCTGGCAATGCATGCTTATTTAATTATGTTCTTGCTTAAGAAATTTCAGAGAGGAGGGTGAGGATTCAAAAACTACCTATTGGGTATTGTGCTGATTACCTGGGTGACAAAATTGTCTGTACACCAAACTCCTGTGACATGTAACAAACCTGCACATGCACCCCTTGAATCTAAAATAAAAGTTGGAAAAAAAGAAATCACAGAAGCTAATCTTGAAACAAACTAGGCATGGAGCCCAGACTGCAGAATCCTCCTGCTCAGAGGGAGTCTGGAACGATTAGTCCATCACCATCAGTCTGAAGTCAAGATAACACCAACCATACCTCCTGACAGGCAATTATGCAAGACAGCCATCAGAACAAAGACAGACAGACCCTGCATTCTCACCACTCCTGCATGTCTCCCACACCAAGTCTCCCTTTAAAAACACTATGGTAACATTTAGAATTTAAGATAGTACTTTAGAACACTAGTTCACCATCTTCTCGGTTTGTTGGCTTTCTGATCAAACCTGCTTTTCCTCCTACCAACCCATATCTCTTGTGTCGGGCTTTCAAGTGGCCGGGCAGCCAAACCTGGGTCCAGTTACATTAGGACATTCAAACAGAGCACTGCCTGGTAGCTTCTAAAATGTGATAGACCTATCTTCTCATCTAAAATATTACTTTATTTTTATGTTTTTCCTTTTATTTTTTTTTTTGAGACAGGGTCTCACTCTGTCACCTGGGCTGGAACACAGTGGTGTGATCACAGCTCATTGCAGCCTCAATCTCCCTGGGCTCAGGTGATCCTCCCACCTCAACCTCCAAAGGAACTAGGACTATAGGCATGTGCCACCACACCTGGCTAATTTTTCTATTTTTTGTAGAGACGTGGTTTCCCCCCATTGCCCAGGCTGGTCTGGAACTGCTGGGCTCGAGCAATCTGCCCACCCCAGCCTACCAAAGTGCTGGGAAAACAAGCCACAGTAGCGGGCTTGTTTTTCTTTTTAAAAGAGGGCTTCAATTAGTATTTTTCTTCACTTCTGGAAAACGTTCTGCCATTATCTCTTGAAACACTGCTTCTCTGCCATTCTCCTTCAGTCTCTTCATTTGGAATGCCTTTTCAACTGATATCAAAATTTCCCAATCTATTTCCATGTTTTTTTGTTTTTGAGACAGGATCTTGCTCTGTTGCCCAGGTTGCAGTATAATGGCACAATCATAGTCACTGAAGCTTTGATCTCAGCTCAAGTGATCCTCCCACCTCAGCCTCTCAAGTAGCTGGGATTACAGGTGCATGCCATGATGCCTAGCTAATTTTTTTGATTTTTAGTAGAGATGAGGTCTCGCTACGCCCACTCTGGTCTCGAATTCCTGAGCTCAAGTGATTCTCCTGCCTTGGCCTCCCAAAGTGCTGGGATTACAGGCATGAGCCACTGCATCCAGCAACCCCCACTCCCCCACCATTTTTTTTTTTTTTTTGAAACAGAGTCTCGCTCTGTTGCCCAGGCTGGAGTGCAGTGGTGCGATCTCGGCTCACCACAACCTCTGCCCCGTGGGTTCAAGCGATTATCCTGCCTCAGCCTCCTGAGTACTGGGATTACAGGCGTGCACCACCACACCTGGCTAATTTTTGTATTTTTAGTAGAGATGGGGTTTCACCATGTTGGCCAGGCTGGTCTTGAACTCCTGACCTCAGCCTCCCAAAGTGCTGAGATTACAGGCGTGAGCCACCATGCCTGGCCCTAAAGTCATTTTTGTATATAGAAAAGTATCAAGTGACTTTGAAGCAAGATAACTTTATTTATCCCACCTTCCCATATCCCAAATTTTCTTAAGTTCTTGGAGAATAAAAACCATGCCTGTGTTCTTCACAGGTATAACTCCAGTGCCTAGACTAGTGTCTCGCACATAGCAAGAATTCAATATATATTTGCAAGACTCACTCCCTCACCTTATTCAGGTTTCTGCCTAATGTCATTTTAGTAGAGAGGGCTTCCCTAACCAACTCATTCAAATTGAAACCCCCCGCTTCCTGAAAACTTTCGCTACCCTGGCCTGCCTGCTTTGTTTCAGCTATCGCCATCTGATACACATATAACTCATTATTTACTGTCTGTATTTCCTTGCTGGAATGTAAGCCCCATTAAGATAGGGACTTTTGTTTTGGCTTACTTTTGCATATCCAGTATCTAGAACAGTGCTTATCATATACCAGGGGTTCCATAAAGATCTGTAGATTAAGTGTAAAAATGAATAAAATTTCAGGTACTCTACGAAGGCTGTAGATTCAAAGATGTTCATATGCTTTATTTATTCATTTCTTTTTCTTTCTTTTCTTTTTTTTTTGAGATGGAGTCTCACTCTGTTGCCCAGGCTGGAGTGCAGTGGTATGATCTCCACTCACCGCAACCTCCACCTCCTGGGTTCAAGTGATTCTCATGCCTCAGCCTCCCGAGTAGCCGTGATTACAGGTGTATGCCACCACGCCCAGGTAAATTTTTGTATTTTTAGTAGAGATGGGGTTTCGCCATGTTGGCTAGACTGGTCTCAAACGCCTGGCCTCAAGTGATGTGCCCACCTCAGCCTTCCAAAGCATTGGGATTACAGGTGTGAGCCACCATGGCTGGCCCTATTTTTCTTTCTTTCTTTTCTTTTTTTTTAGAGATGAGGACTTGCCATGTTGGCCAGGGCAGTCTTGAACTCTTGGCCTCAAGCAATTCTCCCAGCTTGGCCTCCCAAAGTGCTCAGATTACAGATGTGAGCCACCCTGCCCAGCCTATATGCTTTATTTAAAGCCCTAATTGTATCAACAGTGAGGAATGGTAAAGAAAATTATATTAGATGCAGTAAAAAGAGAAAGTTACTAGTAAGCAAGAGATCTGGGTTCACATCCTGACTCATCTACTTACTAGATGTATAAACTCAGGAAAGTTAAATCTGAATTAATTTCCTTAGCAAAATAATGCTTACTTTAAAAAGTTGTTCTAAGGGTTTAAATGCAAAAGTGACTAATAGAGCGCTATGTACTTATAAATGCATATCTGAGGTTAAGAAAGAGTAAGTTAGGCTGGGCGCAGTGGCTTATGCCTATAATCCCAGCACTTTGGGAGACCGAGGTGGGCGGATCACCTGAGCTCAGGAGTTAGAGGTCAGCCTGGGTAACATGGTGAAACTCTGTCTCTACTAAAAATACAAAAATTAGCCGGGTGTGGTGGCGCATGCCTGTAATCCCAGGTACTCAGGAGGCTGAGGGAGGAGAATCTCTTGAACCCAGGAGGCAGAGGGTGCAGTGAGTCAAGATCGCGCCATTGCACTCCAGCCTGGGCAACAAGAGCAAAACTCCACCTCAAAAAAAAAAAAAAAGAGTAAGTTAAACATTAGGACACGAAATATCTATGCTAACATTCCAAATATGAACAAAACTCACAAAGATAAAAAGCAATAACAATTGTTGGGGCGGTGAGAAATAAGTGAAATATTTTTCTTTCACATTTCTTTTATTATTATTTGCTGAGGCTGGAAGAGAAAGGGAGGCTGAATTGTTCACCATCACTCTCCCATATGCTGTGAGTTCTGCAAGGCCAAGGACTTTGTTTTGGTTACGTTTATATTTCCAGCAAATAGGACAGTATTAAGGCATTTACTAGTCAGTACACTTCTGATGGATGAATTACAAGGACAATGAGGTTTTAATGGACAAAGTTTTAAATGGTTCTTAATAGGTCACGCCAGACAGCTTCTAATCTAAATGTAAAGAATGCCTGGACTCCACAGGCCTGTAATTAGCTAGAAGCACCAGAGCCACAAGGAGGGTGGATGATCAAGCACTTACTTGCTGAGCTGGTAATCAGTGCCTTTGATGAACTTGAGCTTCTCCAAGGGCACACCAATGCTCTCCAGCATTGCTTTGATCACATTCTCATAGTAACTGACTCGGAGTTCTAGAAGTTCCCATGGGGCTTTCATGTTATCCAGGTATGCGTGGAGGTCCGCAAACAGAATTGTTACCTGGACAAGAGATAAGGGGCCACCAAAATGTGAATTTGTCCAATTACCTCCAACCTGTCTCCTCCAGCCCCACCCTGTCCTTGTTAAGTCTCTCTTGGGTCTCCCTTGGGTCATTCCCCAAGGGCTTATAGCATTAGTTCTTACCTCACACCCTGCCTTTAAGAAGTCTGCAATCTTTGACATGGGCACAAAGTAAGCCACATGTGGTTTGCCCGTGGTTGCCGTTCCCCAGTAAATTTTAAGTTCCCGCTCCTTCAGTATCTCCTTCAGCTTCTCTTCCCCCAGAACCTCCTATTGTGGAAGCAGAAGAGTTAGTTTAATGTCAGTGCCTCACCTTGCTCATCCTTTACCATGTGACAAGGAAAACAACAGCATGTGTCAGTGGAGATCCAGGCTCAGAGCCATCAAGGAGGTCCAGCCATGTTCTCAGTGCAGATGTGATACCCTACCTTGTTTTAATCTGAATTGACTCTCCCTTAGCTGAGAGAGCCAGACAAACTCCATTTTGGCTCCTTCACTTGTAGCCCCTTGCAGCCTCTTACCCACCCCCCTTCCTCAAGGACTTAACTTGTGCAAGCTGACTCCCAGCACATCAAAGAACGCAAATAACTGATAAGATATTGTGGAAAGCTATAGCCGCAGTTCCCAGGAATTTGCCCAGTTGATATTACCCTAAGCCCCAGCATTTGTGTCTGGTTGATGGTACCCAAAGCCTCCGCGTCTATCACCTTGTGATGGATTTAAAGCCCCTGCGCCCGGAACTGTTTGTTTTCCCGTAACCATTTGTCTTTCTAACTTTTTTGCCTGTTTTACTTCTGTAAGATTGCTTCAGCTAGGCTCCTCCTCCCCTTTCTAAACCAAAGTATAAAAGAAAATCTAGCACCTTCTTCGGGGCGGAGAGAATTTTGAGCACTAGCCATCTCTCGGTCGCTGGCTAATAAAGGACTCCTGAATTCATCTCAGAGTGTGGCGTTTCTCTATAACTCGCTCGGTTACAACGCGGAGAGCCAATGTAAAGTTGGTGCTGCTGCTAGTATCACCCTTGATGTTGGGGAGTGGGGACATGCCCCTAACTGCATCTTTGCCTGCAGCAGCTACCCGTAAACCAAAACTAAACTTTAAGCCCCCCAACTGTCGGAATGGACCCCACATTTTGGCCAACAGGATCCCAAAGAAACTTAAAAAACTAGTTCAGGCCAAGGCAGGAAGGAAGGGTCTGACATGCCTCATTATACCCTTCTCCCTTTGGAGTATATTTATTCATTTTTTTTTTGAGACAAGGTCTTGCTATGCTGCCCTGGCAGGAGTCCGGTTGTGCAAACACAGCTCACTGCAGCCTTGACCTCCAGGCTCAACAATCCTCCCACTTCAGCCTTCCAAGTAGCTTGGGGCTACCAGCACATGTATGCCTGGCTAGTTTTTTCAGTTTAGTAGAGAAGTCTCACTATGTTGCCCAGGCTGGTCTCGAACTCTTGGCCTCAAGTGATCCTCTGGCCTTAGTCTCCCAAAGTGCTGGGATTATAGGCGTGAGCCACCCCACCTGGTGATCCTCTGGAGTTTAGACACAACTGACCAGCATGAACATTAAAACACAGATAGTAAGACTGACAAAACAAACTCTCTGTAGCAATAAGATACCAAATTCCAAACTGATTCTGGTATAGCACCATATGACAGATAGCAGGCCCTAAAGGAAATCAAAGTATTTTACCCCAAAAGATATTTCTTTGACATATTTTGAAATGGCCCTGCAAAACTCTCTTGTGGGGGGAAATTTGCATTCTGTAGAGAAATCTCTTCCCCACACTAAGTCTTTTCTGGAAAGTCTGACACCTTTTAAGGTCAGATAACAGACATTCACCATCAATTCTCTCTGAAGCCAGCTACCTGGAGGCTTCATCTACATGACAAGAACCTTAGCTTCAGCTGGGTGCAGCACCTCACGCCTGTAATCCCAGCACTTTGGGAGGCCAAGGCGGGCAGATCATCAGATCAGGGGTCGAGACCAGCCTGGCCAACATGGTGAAACCATCTCTACTAAAAATACAAAAATTAGCAGGGCATGGTGGCAGGCGCCTGTAATCCCAGCTACTCGGGAGGCTGAGGCAGGAGAATCGCTTGAACCTGGAAGGTGGAGGTTGCAGTGAGCCAATATTGCACCATTGCACTCCAGCCTGGGCAACAAGAACGACACTCTGTCTCCAAAAAAAAAAAAAAAAAAACCTTGGCTTCCACAACCCTCCTTATCTTAACTCAAGCTGACTTCAATTCTTCAGGCAGAGTTTAACTCTTTCAATCAATTGCCAGTCAGGAAATCTTTGAATCCACCTAGAACCTAGAACCCCCACCCCCTTTCTGGGCAAACCAATGTATACCTTACTTGTATTGATTTATGTTTTTGCCTGTAACTTCTGTCTCCCCAAAATGTATAAAACGAAGCTGTAACCCAACCACCTTGGACGCATGTTCTCAGAACTTCCTGAGGCTGTGTCAGGTGCCATGGTCTTTAACCTTAGCAAAATAAACCTCTAAATTAATTGAGACTTGTCTCAGATACTTTTTGTTTTTTCAAGATGGAGTCTCACTCTGTTGCCCAGGCTGGAGCACAGTTCTGTGATCTCCGCTTACTGCAACCTCCGCCTCCAGGGTTCAAGTGATTCTCCTGCCTCAGCTTCCAGAGTAGCTGAGATTACAGGCGTCCAACACCATACTCAGCTAATTGTTTGTATTTTTAGTAGAGATGGGGTTTCACCATGTTGGTCAGGTTGGTCTCAAACTCCTGACCTCAAATGATCCACCTGCCTCAGCCTCCCAAAGGGCTGGGATTATAGGTGTGGGCCACCACACCTGGCCTCAGATACTTTTTGGTTTACATGCCTCTAACTCACTCTCCTTCCTTTCATAGCCAATTTCTTGTAACAGTTGTCTCTTCTTTTGGGCTCCATTTCCTAATCTCCCATTCCAATTTTAATTCCATACTACATCATACTACTAAATTCCATATCACATCACACATAATCTTGCTAAGATCACAGAAGACCTTCACGTTGCTAAATTCAGTGAGTATTTTTTAGTCCTCACTCCCTCCCAGAAGCATTCTCCTCTTTTGGTCTCCTTTATTTTATTCTTAGTTTTCCTCGTCTCTGCCTGCTTAGCTTTCTTTGCAACTGTTCTTATTTTTCCTAGTCATTAAATATTAGCAATCTTTGGGGCTCTGGTCTTTTGTCTTCTTACTCTACAGTCTCCTTAACTGATCCCCTTCAGTTGCTTCAATTACTACTATGAGCCAGTAACTCCCAAATCTCCTGCTTACGCCCATACACAGAACCGTGTTCTTGTTATCAACCCAATCATTCAAACTCAACGTGTTCAAAATAAAACTCATGCTCTTGACTTCTTACTTCACTCCCCAACCATCTTTTTCACTGATAGTTTCACTCCTACTACAGTAAATGGTACCATCATTTAGAGTTGTTCAAGGACTCCAAAACTGCTCTTCAACCCTCCTATTTCTCTCTGCCTCTACATCACCACCCAAATCCAGGCCCTATCAGATCACACCAGGATTACCGTAACATTCTCCTAACAGGTCTCCCAAATCTACTCTTACTCCCTCCAATCCAAGTTCTTTTTTATTTTTTTGAGACGGAGTCTTGCTCTGTCACCCAAGCTGGAGTGCAGTGATGCAATCCTGAGTCACTGCAACCTCTGCTCCCGGGTTCAAACGATTCTCCTGCTTCAGTCTCCCAAATAGCTGGAATTACAGGTGCCCGCCACCAGGCCAGAGAAATTTTTGTATTTTTAGTAGAGATGGGGTTTCACTATGTTGGCCAGGCTGGTCTTGAACTCCCAACCTCAAGTGATCTGCCCGTGTGGGCCTCCCAAAGTGTTGGGATTACCGGCATGAGCCACTGCGCTTGGCCCCTCCAATCCATGTTCTAAAAGGTAGCCAGAGACAGTCTTTTAAAACTCAAAAACTTCTTTAAAACTCATTTTCCTTTTTACAAACCTTTAATGATTTCTTTTTGTCCTATGACAGTATTGGAAAAATTCTAACAGGCCAGTGTACCCCGATAAGAGGTTGTAGTGTTTCCTCAAGTTACGGTTTTGGGAGGCTGTCAGAAACCATGATAGACTGCTGGTTTGAATCATGTTTTACCAGGACTTGTTAAACTCCTGTGCTCCAAGTCTTTTGGCAGCTGATCCCGCATGCTCAAGAGCACCCCTGACAACGTGGACACTTGGAGGGTTCTCACCATCCAAGAAGATGTCACATTACTTAGCCTTTAAAACCTGAGTGAGGCCGGGCACTGTGGCTCACTCTGTAATCCCAGCACTTTGGGACGCCGAATTTGGCGGATAACTTGAGGTCAGGAATTTGAGACCAGCCTGGCCAGCATGGTGAAACCCCGTCTCTACTAAAAATACAAAAATTAGCCCGGCGTGGTGGTGCACGTCTGTAATCCCAGCTACTCAGGAGGCTGAGGCAGGAGAATCACTTGAGCCCAGGAGGCAGAGGTTGCAGTGAGCTGAGATTGTGCCATTGCACTCCAGCCTGGCCGACAAGAGATAAACTCCGTTCCAGAAAAAAAATCCCCAAAACAAAAAACCCAATTGAGTCAATTCTAATAGTTTTGTGTATTTTTAGTCTCCAACCAGCACTATTTTATGGAGAGAGAATAGGAAACAAAGAATCTAGCTAGGGGAAGCGTGCAAAAACCTTTGGTTAAGACTAAGTTGTAAATGGAATAACCCAAATGTCCATCAACTGATGAACGGATAAACAAAATGTATATCCATACAACAGAGTATCATTCAACCATAAAAAGGAATGACGTTCTGCTAGGTGCAAATACATGCATGAACTTTGAAAACATTATGCTAAGTGCAAAAAGTCAGACACAACAAACATATTGTATGATTCTAGTTACAGGAAATGCCCAGAATACGCAAATACCTGGAGACAGAGAGTAGATTAGTGTTTCTCTAAGGCTAGGAGTAGTGGGTAATAGGTAGCGTCTGCTAACGGGTGCAAGTTTTATTAGATAGTGTGATGGTTGTGGCCGGGAGCCGTGGCTCACGCCTGTAATCCCAGCACTCTGGGAGGCCAAGGAGGGTGGATCACGAGGTCAGGAGATCGAGACCACCCTGGCTAACACGGTGAAACCCCGTCTCTACTAAAAATACAAAAAATTAGCCGGGCGTGGGGGCGGTCACCTGTAGTCCCAGCTACTCGGGAGGCTGAGGCAGGAGAATGGCGTGAACCTGGGAGGCGGAGGTTGCAATGAGCCGAGATTGGGCCACTGCACTCCAGCCTGGGCGACAGAGCGAGACTCCGCCTCAAAAAAAAAAAAAAAAAAAAAGATAGTGTGATGGTTGCACAACCTTGTGAACATACTAAAACCCACTGAATTGTGCACTTTAAAAGGGTGAATTTTATAGTATGTGAAGTACATCTCTAAAAAGAAAAAACAGAACAGGCTGTGTGGCCCAACTGATTTATCACTACTCTTAGAAGGAAGCCCAATTTAAAATTGAACAGAATAAGGCCTGCAAGGCTCCCGTGACTTGGTCCCTGCCTACCTCTCTTAAACAAATAAATAAAATGTATACTATGTAGAAACAATAACAAAAAAAAGGCAGAGCAAGGTATGGGGCAGTTCTGGTGCCAGAGGGTTTGTTATTTAAATAAAGTGGTCGGAAATCATGCGTCGCTGATAAGGTGACAACAGTCAGAAGCCTGAAAAAGTTAAGGGGTAAGCAATATAAATATTTAAGTGCTTCCTCATAACTTTGCTCACTCCACTCCAGCTAAATTTGCCACAATTTCTGTTTCCTCCATCTGAAATGCTCTCCCTCCTTATTCTTCCATTCTTCCTCTGGTTCACTTCTACTCCTGTAGTTCTTGGTAACAAACGGAACATTTGTGGAGTGAGGGGGGGGGATCCATTTCCTTCAAGGCGCAGTTTGGAGGTCACTTCCTCAGGGAAGCCTTCCCTTCTCTCTTTCCCTTTAAAGCTCCCAGTATAGCATCTTCCAGTACTTACTTGAACCGTAATGGGTCATTTTTAACGTCTGATCCCCTTCAGACAAGCTCTGGCAGGCCCTTGACGTATCCCCAGCGACTAAGCACCACGTCTGGCACTTAATAGGGGGGTGGAATGGGAGTCCTGGATTCAAAGTTTGGCTCCAACACAAGACAACTGGACGCAAGAGGTGAGCCCACTGTGATTTCTGGGGAACCCAGGGAAGGGCTGCTTGATTGACTGACCGACCAGCAGTGAGATCTACAGGCTCTCTCAGAGCTGCGCCAGCGCCGAGTCCCCGGCCCCACATACTTAGAACCCCGTAATGGGGCTCAAAATCACTGAACCTCGGGCTCCTAATCCCCAACGGCGCATTTCCAACCCCCAGGCCTGACCTGCAGGTTCCGGGTGATAAGGTGCAGTTTCTCTTCAGGGCTGGGAGCGTCCCCCATGGCTCCGCTACCCCTGCTTCCCCCGCTCAGCCCGGCACCAGAGCCCCTTCCTGGGTCACCGTCGCCGCCGCGTGCCGGGAACTGTCACGCGAGTCCAGCCAGGTTGCATCAGCTGGGCTCGGCGCTCCGCTTACTCGGCCTGGACCCCTCCGGCAGCGGCCGGAAAAAGTGAGGAGCAGCAGAGAGTCGAGCAGGTCGATGAGACGGGAAAAGGTGGAGCCAGTGGGCACGGTGGGCGGTGCGGAGGGCGGGGCTGAGGCGCCTGAGCGGGGCACAACCCTCCTAGAGGCGGGACGGTTTCCTGCCAATCACTGCTGGTTTGCCCTCCCCCTGGTGTTGGCCCGGCTGACTCGGGGTAGGGGAGGTCGGGGAGGGGGCGATAAAATGGCGCAGGGGGCGGAGTGAGGCGCAGTCGTTCGCCCAGGCTTTGGCCCGGCTTCCGGAGGTGAAGAGCGGGAGGGACGAGGGGGTCGGCGTTACCCGGCTTGGAGGGGGATGGGGGCGCCTGTTGCTTCTCCAGGGGGTTGCGCACGCCGTCCGCCCCTTGGAGGGATTGGGAGGCCCACGCCCTGCTGCGAGAAGGGCGCGTTCTAGCTCCTGAGGTGATGGCGAGGGAATGTCCCTGCCCCTCCACCTCCAAGTCGGCGGGCGACAGATGCCCCTCACCCCGCTGAGGAAAAGGGAAGCTCCCTGGTCGTCTTGAGAGTCGGGGAGCGCCGTCTGCAGTCCCCTGCCCAGTGGGGGTGGGGGCCGCCTCTGTCCCGGCCGGCTCGGCGGGAGGCTGTTGCTGGCGGGAAGATAGCCGCGGGCTTTTCTGCCGCGTCTCGCGGGTGGGGGCAGGAAGAGGACGACCCATTCCCTGGGGAGATCTGAGGACGGTGGTCCCCGGGAGAGGAGCGCACAGCACAGGCCTGCTGAGGGGCGGGTTTGCCCCTACTGGGGGAGGGGCGGGGAGAAAACTCTCGCTTCTCCCGCTTTCCGCCGGGAGGCGGGAATTCGCGGTGTCCCCGGGGGAGGGAGACGCAAAGGCCCTTCCTGGAAGGCGACACCGTCCCGGGCCGTTGCATTTGTGAGAGAGAGCCAAGGCAGTATCCTCCAAAGGTTGGGCCTGGGCCACCCTTTCTCCGGCTCCTCAAGGGCTGGAGGCGGCGTCACCAGTTACTTCCAGGGCAAGAGGGAAAGCAGTTATTACCTCAGTGGGCCCTGGAAAGGTCCTAGAAGTGGTTGAATTGCCCACGGCCTGCCCTAACCTGATCTCCGGTGTTTTGTGTATTTATTAGGGACTCCAAGCTCTACCAGACCTGCCTGAAGTGTTTTAAAGCACATTTTCTTTTTGAAAAGAAACCTGTTGCTGCAGCTTAGCGCATCTGTTCTCTGTGTCCATGTGGGAGGAGAATCCTGGCACCCTCATCTAGTGAAATGTTACCTAAAGCAAAGATTTGCAGCCCTGGGTTGTTTTTTCCGTCCTGCAGTGTTTTTAGTTACTTCGAAGGAATTTGCAAAACTGTTACAGATAATTTCAGTTCTTTTTGATTTTTTGTAAATGTTGTGCCTATTTTTTATGGAGTGATAAAGCCTGCTGAGTGCGTTTCGTGCTGTGTGCTTCACATGTATTGCATTTGGGAAAGGTTGGAAATCAAAGGCCAGGGGGAAGTCTTGTCCACTGGAAATAATCTCTGCTCTTGGCTGTACCTGTCAGACCCTGCTTGGTAATGGTCTTGACTTTAGAGCTTGAAAGAGGATGTGGGCTTGCATCTGGTGTTGCAGTTTTAGTGGCCTCAATAAAGTAAGGCTTTGTGCTCGAAGGCAGTAGGTTTTCTGAGGTGAGATAAAAATAGAAAGGGAACCAGTTTCTGAGGTTGCAACCAGGAGGTTCGAGAACAGAGAGGGGGTGGTAAACTGAAGTGTGAAGAAGGGGGTGGACAGGTGAGAGAGATGTGGAAGGACAGAATGGGGTCACAGAAAGGATGGGGTGTAGAGGAACTAAGAAATAGAATTAGAAGATCGGAAAAATATTCTTCCCTTAAAAATGAAGGGATATGGCCAGACATGGTGGCTCACGCCTGTAATCCCAGCACTTGGGGAGGCCGAGGCCGGAGGATTGCTTGAGGCCAGGAGTTCAAGACTAGACTGGCCAACATAGCAAAACCCCATCTCTACTGTAAATACAAAAATTAGCCTAGCATGGTGGACGCCTGTAATCCCAGCTACTGGGAGGCTGTGGCATGAGAATCGCTTGAAACTGGGAGGCAGAGGTTGCAGTGAGCCCAGATCACGCCACTGCATTTCAGCCTGGGTGATTGAGTGAGACCCTGTCTCAAAAATAAAAATAAAATAAAAAAATAAAGGGGTCCCCATATTTTAAGTGGAGGTTACCAGACAAGTGCTAAGAAAGGTGGTAGATGGTAGACAGAGAAGTAAGCAAGCCTTCTTTTGACAGAGAAGTAATAAGTAAGGCTGTCTTTGGAATTTCACTGAAGAACTTCAGTTTTATATGAGGATTTCCCCCCTTGCACATTCATTAAATACCATGTTTTTTTAGTATAGAACTTTTAGGTTTAGAGTACTTTCATAAACATCCTATTTTTTCTCATGATAATCTGTGTTTGAAGTTAACAGTATTTACCCCCTTTTTAGATGCATGTTCTCATCTGTATTGAAGTTCAGAGACTTGAAGTGAATTGCTGAGGTCCAGTACCTCTATAAAGGATAGTTCAGTGAACATTAATTTGCATAATTTGCCGGATATTTCAGATGTCTACCTAGTCTGGTCTTCAGTGACAATATGGTTGAGTGCTGGATTAAACTAGATAAGAGTAGAGTATATTAGATAATTTCAAGCAGGGTCTAGGGGAAATTCCCTACCAGTTTAGCACTCTTTTTTCCTACCGTTCCTATGCTTTTTTTTTTTTTTTTTTTTGAGATGGAGTCTCGCTCTGTCACCCAGGCTGGAGTGCAGTGGTGCGATCTCAGTTCACTGCAACCTCCGCTTCCTGGGTTCCAGCGATTCTCCTGCTTCAGCCTCCCAAGTAGCTGGGATTACAGGCATGCACCACACACCCGGCTAATCTTTGTATTTTTAGTAGAGACAGGGTTTCACCATGTTGGCCAGGCTGGTCTTGAACTCCTGACCTCAGGTGATCCACCCACCTCAGCCTCCCAAAGTGCTGGGATTACAGGAATCAGCCTCTGCGCCTGGCCCTATGCTTCTCTTAAGACTCCAGGGATCGGGGCAATGATGGTGGTGGGGTGAAATAATAACTATGGCCACCAGTTATTTGTCTCTTATGCCATGCCTCTAGTGTGCCACATTTATGTTCACGATCTCATTTAATTCTTGCCACAACCCTATCAGGTAGGTACTGTGATATATGAGGACATTTGATACTTCACAGAGTATAATCATTGTATCTTTCCCATTGACTTCATAATTTTAAGATGTTTTTATTATTTCAAGCATATAAAAAAGTATAGTGGCTGGGTATGGTGGCTCAATGCCTGTAATCCCAGCACTTTGGAAAACCAATGCAGAAGGATCGCTTGACTCCAGGAGTTCAATACCAGCCTGGGCAACATAATGAGACTATGTCTCTACAAAAAATAAAAATAAAAAATTAGCTGTGTATGGTGGTGTGTACCTGTAGTCCCAGCAGCCCTGGGGTTCAAGGCTGCAGTGAGCTATGATCACGCCACTGTTTTCTGCCTGGGCAACAAACCTGAGACCCTGTCTCAAAAAAATAACAATAATTTAACAGTGTAAAAGTAACATAATGAACATTATTATACCTAGCATGCTGCTTTGTCTTAGGTTGCCATATTTGTTTCAGGTCTCTTCTTGCTATTTTTTTTTCCTTATTTATTTATTGTCATGTAGCCTAAGATGAGATATTGTTTTCTTAAGAAATAAAACATTGGCCGGGCGCGGTGGTTCACACCTGTAATCCCAGCACTTTGGGAGGCTGAGGCGGACGGATCACGAGGTCAGGAGATCAAGACCATCCTGAATTCCGGCCTTTCATGCATATTTTAATAATTTTGTGATATATGTATCCATACATAATACGTGGTATTGTGGCTTTTTTGTTGTTGTTTTTTGAGACTGACTCTTGCTCTGTCACCCAGGCTGGAGTGCAGTGGCGCGGTCTGGGCTCACTGCAACCTCTGCCTCCTGGGTTCAAACAGTTCCCCTGCCTCAGCCTCTCGAATAGCTGGGGTTATAGGTGCGCGCCACCAAGCCCAGCTAATTTTTGTACTTTTAGTAGAGTTGGGGTTTCACCAGGTTGGTCCAGATGGTCTCGAACTCCTGACCTCGTGATCCGCCCTCCTCGGCCTCCCAAAGTGCTAGGATTACAGGCGTGAGCCACTGCGCCTGGCCTGTTTCTTTTTTCTTTCTTTCTTTTTTTTTTTTTTGATACAGTTTTACTCTGTCACCCAGGCTGGAGTGTAGTGGTGCGATCTCTGCCCACTGCAACCTCCGCCTCCTGGGTTTCAGCGAGTCTCCTGCCTCAGACTTCTGAATAGCTGGGGCTACAGGCCCGCGTCACCATGCCCAGCTAAATTTTCTTTGTAGTTTTAGTAGAAATGGGGTTCCGCCATGTTGGTCAGGCTGGTCTCGAACTCCTGGCCTCAAGTGATCCGCCCAACTTAGCCTCCGAAAGTGCTGGGATTACAGGCGTAAGCCATCTCGCGTATTGTTTTTTTAATAAAGTAATTGCAGGGGGAAAAGATCTGAAATTTTTAGATTAAAATACACATAAGACATTATCAGCCAGTCACATTGTATGGACCTTACTTGGATACTGATTATTTTTTAGCCTTAAAAAAAAATATGACATAAGATAATTGGAAATCTGAACTGTATATTTTATGATAAGGAATTCTTGTTATTTACAGATGAAATGATACAATGCCTGGGATTTGCTTCAAAACAATCTGGTAAAGGTGGGAAGTGGATGGGGCAAGATTAGCTATGAGTTGATAGTCATTGGGGTTGAGTGATGGGTATGTGGTGGTTCATTATACTATTATGTTACTTATGTATATGTTTTACTTTCTTTATAATAAGTACTTTTGAAAATGAGGAAATGGCCGGGCGCGGTGGCTCACGCCTGTAATCCCAGCACTTTGGGAGGCCGAGGCGGGCGGATCACCTGAGGTCAGGAGATCAAGACCATCCTGGCTAACACTGTGAAACCCCGTCTCTACTAAAAATACAAAAATTAGCCAGGCGTGGTGGCGGGCGCCTGCAGTCCCAGCTACTCGGGAGGCTGAGTGAAGCAGGAGAATGGTGTGAACCCGGGAGGCAGACAGAGCTTGCAGTGAGCCGAGATCGCGCCACTGCACTCCAGTCTGGGCTACAGAGCTAGACTCCGTTTCAAAAAAAAAAAAAAAAAAAGAGGAAGTAACATCAGACATCAGAAAGAGAATGGTTTGTACAAATTAAAATTATCTCCTCCTCTCTATATATACCATATATATGGTATTGTTTTGTATACTTTTGTTCCCAGATCTATTGGAACATAAGAAGCTCAGAAAAGCCCATTTTTTTGCATCTGAATGTCATGTTGTGTAGGAATTGATTATTGCAATGGTTACGAAGGATATTGGTCCTATTAAGGTGGCTTAAAATATTTTTTCCAAGAGACCAAAAGCCCTCTTTGGTCTTTACTCTTGCACAGTTTGTTATAGATTGTACTGAATTTAGAAGGCCTGAGTTTGGATTCTAGCTCTGCCATTTGCTGACCAATCCTGTGCAAGTCTGTCACAGATGTAGTGGGAAAAACATTGCATTTGGAATTAGACCTGGGTTTCGATCCTTGTTCTAACATTATTAGCTATGTATACTCAGTTAAGTTACTTCATGCTTCTGAACTTTAGTTTCCCAAGAGGGAAAAATCTATTGAACTCTCCATTTGGCCAACCAAGGGCTTGAACTAGACCTTTTGTAAGGAGTTAGAATGGGGGGCAATGGCCCAGAAAGGGCATCTAAGAAATGTAGCTGCTTAACCCCAGTGCCTGTGATAACCTGTCTGACAACCATAAATTTTCTTAAGTCAAAGAATGTTTTCCATACTAAACTTTTTTTTCTAACTGCTTCCTAAAGAAATGAATAACTCAGTCACTAATGCAGAGAAATTACTTTTCATAGAGGCAGCTGCTTCAACACCTAGAACTCTCAACAATTGCTGGAATATAGTATTGGTAAAATAAAATAAGTTTTAGCAGCTCTAGGTTTAAATACAACAAAATGATTTCTTTGATAAGATTAATTTTACAGAATTGTGTTGAGAGGCTAAGTTAGAGTCGTAAAATGTGTCTCAGAGCACCTGGTTTATAATAGGTATTTAGTATTTCTTTTTCTCCCATTTCATTTCTAATATGAGTAAGTTTAACTAGGTCCCTTCTAATTCTAGAACTCTATAATCCCTCCCTTTGCTTCTCTTTCTCTAGTACTTTATTGTCCATACCATTTTATATTATCTCATGTTGGTGTTTAATTTTCAGTGTTGTTTCTCTAGCAAGATTATACATTAAGATTATACATTACGTATTATACATTATGAGGGCAGGAGCTATACCTTGATTTGTTGGAAATCATAAAGAGACATATGCAGCTTGTGGTGTGTGATGATTGTAGCTCAAAAAATATCTTCTAAAAGAATGCATGAACTAGGCTGGGTGCAGTGGCTCACGCCTATAATCCCAGCACTTTGGGAGGCCGAGGCAGGCGGATCACAAGGTCAGGAGATGGAGACCATCCTGGCTAACACAGTGAAACCCCATCTCTACTAAAAATACAACAAATTAGCCGGGCGTGGTGGCGGTCACCTGTAGTCCCAGCTACTCGGGAGGCTGAGGCAGGAGAATGGCGTGAACCTGGGAGGCGGAGCTTGCAGTGAGCCAAGATCGCAAGATCGTGCCACTGCACTCTAGCCTGGGCAACAGAGTGAGACTCCGTCTCAAAAAAAAAAAAAAAAGGAATGCATGAACTAAAGTTAAAGCTCAGGGTGTGGTATGGAGGGTCATGGAGTAGGGGAAATTTTATAGTTAACAAGGCTACAAGTACTTTTCCAAATTTTTGAGTTCAGTATTTAAGCATTTCTTATACTTCTCAGATATGTGAAATACTAGCATTTTATCACCTTTCCCATCTGGAAAATAATTATAGATTAGGTCTGTCATTAGCTGTTTAAAAACTAGGTTTTAATTATACAACTAACTAAATATTCAAGTAGAAAAGTAAAATGATACAAAGTCCAACCTTGACCTACCTTTATGGTCCCTGCGAGTTATAATAGTCATCAATTTTTGTTTGTATCTTTTTTTTTTTTCTTTTGAGACAGGGTCTTGCTCTGTCACCCTGGCTGGAGTGCAGCGATATGATGACTGCTCTCTGCAGCCTTGACCTCCCATCCTCAAGTGATCCTCTCACCTCAGCCCCATGAGTAGCTGGAACTATAGGCGTGTGCCACCATGCGCCGCTGATTTTTCTGTTTTTTTGTAGAGACAGCATTTCACGTTGTGCCCAGGCTTGTGTTTGTATCTCTAATGACCTTTTTTTTTTTTTTGCATTTTTTCTATACATATATATATATATATATAAAGATTTGTGTGTGTGTGATCATGATTAATTTTTAGATTTTTGGTGGAACCTTAGACATTGCCTAGCACCCCTTTTCCATCCCTTTCCCATTTTGTAAATGAGGAAACAAGTCTAAATGGTCAAGTGGCATACCCAAGTTATTGGAGCTGGCTAGTGATACAACCAGGACTACACCCCAGGTCTTTGGACTCCCATGCCAGTATTCATCCTACTAAAGTAGATGATAGTCTTAAGAAAGTACAAATTGTTGGGAGGAACAAAACTAGTTTGCTTAGTTGCATAATTTTTTTTTCTTTGAAGATTTCTTTGGTGTGCTTGACTCAGAAAATCCAACTTTCTGGTATTACAAAAAAAATCAAGATTAAAATTAATACATCGAGCACCTTAAAGCATAATACAGTTGACTTTGTAATTAGCAGAGTTGAAAGTGATGAGAAGATCCTCTAATTTTCTTTTTGCCTGCAGGAAGGTGGGAGTCAATCATTTTGACAAGTCTCCTGAAAGGAACAGCTAGCAGGAACTGAAACCTTTTTCCATTTGGTCTCGTGGCAAAGGCAGAGATTGCTCCAGCAGCTCCACACAGTATGGAAGACAGTTATTTACCTTCTTGTGTTCTCGAATTTTGTTTTATTTCAAAAGTAATACATTTTTGTTTTGTGTTAAAGTGTAAACTGAATATTCAGACATTTTACATAATATACATTTGTTTTGTTTGTATGTTGTAGATATCATTCCATGATAGTACATACAGATCTACTTCATTGTGTTTTTAAATAATTGAAAAGTACTCCATAGCACAAACATACCATGATTTACTGAACAGTTCTCTTGGTAATAGACATTTAGGTTGCCTCCAGGATTTGGCTACTTTGAACATCCATGTATATATATATGAAGTTCTAGAAGTGAAATTGCTGGGTCAAATGGTGTAGTCAAATTACTCTTCACAAAATATCGTACTGACTTAACGCTTTTACTGATAGTGTGTGAATGCTCGTTTCTCCACATCCTCACCAATCCAGATTATCATGGCATCTTAATTATCACCATTTTGATAGGCAAAAGTATCTCATTGTTCTAACGTGTATTTCCATGTTTCTGGTAAGGTTAAATATCTTAAAATTATTTCTTATGCTACAAGTCACAGTGCAAAGATTTTGAAATACTAGAACATTACCCACATATAGTGGACTGGAGTTGGTATAAGGTTATTTTCTCTTCCTCAGTGAAATTGTCTCTTATTTCTCCAGAAATGATGTGCTCACGGGTGCCCTCTGAACAGTCTTCTGGTACCTCTCTCTTGCCTAAAGACGGTGCCCCATTTTCTTGGGATTCCTTGGATGAGGATGGATTGGATGACTCCTTGCTGGAGCTGTCAGAGGGAGAAGAAGATGATGGTGATGTAAATTACACAGAGGAAGAGATTGATGCACTGTTGAAGGAAGATGACCCATCATATGAGCAGTCTTCTGGGGAAGATGATGGTGGGCATGTTGAGAAGGGAGAAAGAGGGAGTCAAATTCTACTTGATACTCCCCGAGAGAAAAATTCATCGTACAGCCTGGGACCAGTAGCTGAGACTCCTGACCTCTTCAAACTACCTCAGCTAAGTACATCAAGTGGTCATGGACCAGCTCATACTAAACCATTAAACAGACGCTCTGTACTAGAAAAGAATCTTATAAAAGTAACTGTTGCACCATTTAATCCAACAGTTTGTGATGCTCTGCTTGATAAGGACGAGACTGATTCGTCCAAAGATACTGAAAAACTCTCTTCCCTTGGAGAAGAGATGAGAGAAGATGGTCTTAGCCCAAATGAAAGCAAACTTTGTACTGAATCTGAAGGGATCAGCCCCAATAACTCTGCCTGGAATGGGCCCCAGCTCTCTTCTTCAAACAATAACTTTCAACAGACTGTCTCTGATAAAAATATGCCTGACAGTGAGAACCCTACGTCTGTATTCTCTCGGATCTCAGACCATTCAGAGACTCCTAATATGGAGTTATCCTGCAGAAATGGTGGTTCACACAAGTCAAGTTGTGAAATGAGATCTCTGGTTGTTTCCACCTCATCAAACAAAGTAAGTATATTTTATTCAAGGTGAAGAGAAAAATGAAATTATTTTTATTCAGATGTATAGCAGAGTTTCCATATACCTGCTATCTCCACACATACACAACTTCCCCTGCTGTGGGCATCCTACACCACAGTGGTACATTTGTTATAATCTGGCAGAGCTTTGTATTCAGACAAATTGGGGTTTGAATCCTGACTAGCACTGTGACCCTGGGCTAATTATTTAGCCTCTATGTTTCCCCACATTTCTTATCTAAATTGGAGTAAATAATACTTCATAGTATAATAAGGATTAATGAAATAATGTATTTATATCACCTGGCACGTAATATTAAATTACCCTCTGTTGAATAATTACTAAGATGGTAATTCTGTTATTTTTCTTGTCTTTGGGCTTCAGCCTATGTCTCAATCTTTATTGCCATGCTATATATTAAGATACAGCACTAGCTCTGAATCAGCCATGAAAGAGCTGAAAAATCTTGGGCAATTTATCTAACCTTTTTGAGCCCGATTCCCTATCTGCCAAATGAGTGTAATAATCCCTGCCACGTAGGGTTTCTTTTTTTTTTCTTGAGATAGAGTCTTACTCTGTCCCTCAGGCTGCAGTGCAGTGGCACGATCTCGGCTCACTGCAACTCCCGCCTCTCGGGTTCAAGCAATTCTCCTGTCTCAGTCTCGAGTAGCTGGGATTACAAACATGCACCACCATGCCCAGCTAATTTTTGTATTTTAGTGGAGACGGTGTTTCACCATGTTGGCCAGGATGGTCTCGAACTCCTGACCTCAGGTGATCCACCCGCCTTGGCCTCCCAAAGTGTTGGGATTATAGGCATGAGCCACTACACCTGGCCAGGTTTTTTTTTTTTTTTTTTTTTTTTAAGATTACAGAAAAAGATTACAGTTATCTCATTTGAAGCACTACTGTTATACGTGGTACACAGTAGTGTTCACGAATAGGCTTTTGTAGCCTTTAGTTAAAAAATATTTCCATAAATAGTGTTTTCAGTGCTTTTCTTATAACTAAGAATCACCTTTCCTTTTGCATTCCTTTTCCTCAAAAAAGCAGGATGTTCTTAACAAGGATTCTGGGAAGATGAAAGGCCATGAGAGAAGACTAGGCAAAGTCATTCCTGTTCTACAAACTAAGACCAGGTAATGTAAAGTATAATTAAATATTCTGATTTATTTTGGTTCTCTTCAATTTCTTTCTTCCCCTCTCCAGTTTCCTCTTAGTGCAGGGAAAAAAATCCCTACTCCAGGAGTAAGCAAACTTGAAGTTCTAGCACTACCAACTATGTGACTTTTGGCAAGTCAATTAATCTCTTACCTCAGTTTTTATGCATGAAATAAGGCTAATGATGCCTCCTCTGCTGCTTGACAGGGTTATTTTGAAAGCAAAATAGACATATTAGCGAAAACACTACAAAGGTAAGATATCTTCTCCTGTGCATGGGGCAGCCTGGTCACATATATGATAAGAGGTTAGAATAATTTTAACGAAAATGTTAAAATACAAGTAGTAGAAAATCATTTTGTTGTCCCTCCCAACTTGCATACAACTACCCTTGCGGAAAAATTCCAGTAGGGGTTGCAAATTTGCGTCATCTTTTCAATTTATTCTCTGGTTGCCAGGAGATGGCAGTATCTTTACATGGTCCTTTTAAATTGAATCTACTAGAAAAAGCTTTTTTTAAAATGTTGGATCAGATTAGCTTCCTTACAGTGAGATTTAAAAAAATTCTTTTGATTATACATTTATTACATTAATTTTGCTTAAAAAATTTAATTAGGCCGGGCGCGGTGGCTCACACCTGTAATCCCAGCACTTTGGGAGGCTGAGGTGGGCCAATTGCTAGAACTCAGGAGTTCAGTACCAATCTGCGCAACATGGCAAGACGCCACCTCTACTAAAAATACAAAAAAATACCCAGGTGTGGTGGTGCACACCTGTGGTCCCAGCTACGAGGAAGACTGAGGTGGGAAGATTGCTTGAGCCCAGGGGACAGAGGTTGCACTGAGCCGAGATCATGCCACTGCACACCAGCCTGGGAGACTGACCTTGTATAAAAAATAAAATAAAAATTTAAATTATTACAAACAAGGCTAAAGTTTCCTTTGACTATCATCCCGAATCCCAGTTTCCTGGTTTTTTATTTTGTTTGCATAATTGAGAGAAACCTTGTGAATTGCTTACAATGTAAGTGATAATCAAAAGCTCACAACTCAGGCTACTTGGGACAGTAATAAATTTGCAATCTCAATATTCTCATCCACTGATTCTTTAGTACAGTCAGTCAGTATGAGTATGGGCCAGAAATTGCTCTCACCAAGGTCACCATTGCTCTGATGGCCAGATCTAGTGATTCTTTTCAGTCTTTATCCCATTTAACTTTTCAGTTTCACTCTAGAAAGCTATTTTCTGACTAACCTTGAATTACTCAATAAATACTTTCTCTAGGGACTAGTAATCTTCACCTTTCTATTCCTTGTTAGCAGGAGGTTGTATCTATTTCCTTCTCTTCGTCTTTTTTTAAATTATTTGATTTTTTTAGAGACAGGGTCTCACTCTGTGGCCCAAGCTGGAATACAGTGGTGTGATCATAGCTCACAGCAGCCTTGAACTCGTGGACTCAAGTCATCCTCCCTCCTCAGCCTCCTGAGTAGCTAGGACTACAGGCACATGCAGCCATGTCCAGCTAATTTTTTAAAAAAATTTCTTGGGTCTCACTGTGTTGCCCTGACTGGTCTCAAATTCCTAGCCTCAAGCAGTCCTCCTGCCTGATACTCCCAGAGTGCTGGGATTACAGGTGTGAGCCACCACACCCAGCTTCTCTTCTTTTTCTCTTGATTCCATACTCCATTTTAGTTTTTTTTGTGTATGACTAATACTGTCCTCTGCCTCTCGATCATAAAGATAATTTTGCCTCTGAAACTTAGTTCTAATCAATCAGCAGTATATCACTTCTCTCTACAAAACGCTATATTCCTGTTTCTAATGGGCTGTTTTTCTTTTTTCTGGTTTGCTTTATTCAAGGACTAATGTTCCGACGTTTTCACAGTCAAATCTAGAACAGCAGAAGCAGCTTTATCTCAGGAGTGTCATTGCTCATATAGAAGACCCAGAGGACACTAACCAAGGTAACATGGTACCCAGAGAAAGGCATATAAAACATGTGATGTGACTTTCTCTTTCCGGTGTAACAGCTTAAACTGGGAGATTGTTTAGAATTTTCTTAAATTCTTGAGAAAGATAACTTCCTTACTTAAAAGATTTTCACTTAAAAGGATTGCCTAACCAGATAATTCTCGAAGTGGTTTGGTTAACCAGTTTTAGAGAGGGATCTAAGCACGTTTACAACAGTACATGAAAGGTGCCTCCCTCATGGTTGAGGGCTTTAACCCAGACCGGTACATTTTTGCTAGGGATTTTTTTGTCTGAAAAATAACGGAAGTGGATGACCAGGTGCTGCTTACTAATCAGTGGTTTTTAAAATTTGAAATGTTTTATTTCTCCTGTTACCTTCAGCATTTAAAAGCAGGCATTTCAAACACCATTCTGCATTTTGGCTTCTGAATAAAAGCTCTTGAAAGGTTTGGCTACCTTCCAGATCCTTCAAGTTGTGTTCTCCCCACTTCATTAGAAGATATTGCAAACCAAAGTGACTAGATTCTTTCTCCAGCTCTCAAGAGAGTACAGTCCATGTTATCATTCAGCCTGAACTATTGGCTGATGGGAAAGCTCCTAAAGGGGAGACTTACGGGAAGAACTGAAGGTGAAGAGGTTAGAGAGGTTTTATACTGATAAAAGAATCACTTATTAAAAAGATCACTCCAGGCTAGGCATGGTGGCTCATGCCTGTAATCTCAGCACTTTTGGAGGCAGAGGCAGGCAGGTCATTTGAGGCCAGGAGTTTAAGACCAGCCTGGCCAGCATGGCAAAACCCCATCTCTACTAAAACTATAAAAATTAGCCGGATCATATTCTTTTGGGAAAAAAAAAATTAGCCAGGCGTGGTGGCACATGCCTATAATCCTAGCTACTCAGGTGGCTGAGGCACAACAATCACTTGAACCCGGGAGGCAGAGGTTGCAGTGAGCCAAGATCATGCCGTCGCACTTTAACATGGGTGACAGAATGAGACTCTGTCTCAAAAAAAAAAAAAATCACTCCATATTCTGTCATCTTCATTCATTCAGCAAACTTTCTCGAGTATTTCAGTCGTGGTAGTTTTGAAGATAAGGAATTGGAAATGGAAATGTAAAGAGGAGTAAGATAGGGTCTTGGCCCTCTGGGAATTCATAGCCTAGAGAAGAAGATAATTATACTGCAGTATTGATTAGAGTTCTAATAGAATTACATATAAAGTACAGTAGGAGCAGGGAAGGAGCCCTTCTGCTTGTGTTTGGGAAAAGTGGAAGATGGGGAAGGAGGATGCCCTAGGTGAGCTCCACAGAGAAGATAATTAGTTTAATTACTCTAAGATCTATTGTAAATCACTGGGGAGGGTTTTAGGAGAATTTTTGGTCCTTTTGCAGAGGAGACTCTTCTTTCTTTTGACAAATCTTGAATTATGTAGTAGTTTTTCTTGTTTGTTTTATAAGATTATGATGAGACATCAGTCAGAAGAATTTTTTATCCCGTATCCTTTTATTTTTCACTGAATATTTCATAAGCAACCAAATATTACTTACACTGATTTCTTAGCCCTCTGCTTGTGAGATCCCTTTGCTAGAACTATTTTAGGTCTGATAGAAGTAGAGAAACCTCTCCTCTCCACCTCTCCCCCCATCATTGGAGGGGCAAATTTAAAAGAAACCTGTCTATATTCAAGCTCTGTGGAACAGGCCTAGTCATGTCATTGCTTTTCCCTCTGTGAGCTGACTCCTTTTTTTATATCCTAGGCAGTTGACACTGATGATATCCAGTTATGTTTTCTCTCATTTGGAGCATTTAAATAAAATTTCCCAAGAAAAGCAAAGAGCAGCTGTTCACACTATAACATCATTTTCAATCTTTTCCCCATTCAGCAGTTCCTTTCCCAGTATTACCACAACAATCTATATCCCATGAAGAATAGCTAGAATAACTATAGTGAATAGGCAGCATACTTTAGTGGTTGAGAGAGTAAAGTCTAGTCTAGAGTTAACATCTGGGTTCACATCTTGGCACCACTGCTTACTGGCTGGGTGAGCCATTAAATATTGATTTGTAAAATTGGGATAATGACAAGGCTTAACTTACATGAAAATTATACGGGTATAAAGCATAGAACAGTACCTAGCTCTAGTAACTAACATTTATTGAATAGTTGCTGTTACCAGCAAGAAAGGATATTTTTTCATACTGAAGTTTTTTTTTTTAGGTAAAATAGCGTTATATCTAGTGTTTGTTTTTAAATCACAGCCAAAAAATACTGGAAACAGCTTTGATAAAATGTTGATAAATGAAGGTGAGTGGTGAGTACACTTTCTACTTTTGTGTATATTTGACAATTTCCATAATTAAAAAGTTGTTTTTTAAGCACGTCTTTTAGGGCATTCATTTTTTTCAGCATTACAAATTACTCTAAAAATTTCACAGACCTCTGGCACTTCCTTCTGCCTTCCAGGAACCCAGTATAATATGAAGTTTTTCTATCACTTCCCATTGCCCAGTATTCCTACATCCAAAATCATAAGATTTGTATATACCTTATTGCAAGGGCGGGGGTGGTATGTTCTTCACCTTTCCTCCATTTGTATGTGAATTATAGTGCAGCCAGAAGCACAAAAGGGGAGCGTAGTACTTCTTGTCCTCCTTCCTTTTGAGATGTTTATTGCATTTAACCTTGAAAAAGTGTAATTCTTCAGGTTATCAGACACAGAGAAATTAGTAAGGAGTAGATTCAAATGTAGTTCTTGCCAGTTCAGTTTGAATCCTCTCCATTGGGTTAGTTATCTCTTTTCACTTTATCAATAATGTATATATTATTGATGTAGAATGTAACAAAGTAAATCATCCTTCAACTCCATTATTCTAATGTAAGTATAATCTCTTTAGTTTAGTGCCCCATGGGTTTTTTTTTTATAATAACACTTAAAAAGAAATACCAACAACTTCCTTTCTGGTATCCCTGCAAATGGAAAACTTTCTATGAAATTATAAGTACTTAAAGTAGAAAAGGATCATTAAGAGCTTCTCTTTAATCTCCTAACACATAAGTCTGTTCTATATATTTTTGCCAAGTGACCGTTTAGCCTTTGCTTAAAGTTCTAATAATGCAAAACGCATTACCTCATAAGGCAGGTCATTCATTGCTTAGAAAATTTTAGTTGTTAGAACGTTATTCCTTACGTTGAGTCAAACGTGGCTTCCCTATAACTTCTAGTGGTAGTTCCTAGTTCTGCCCTCTAGCATCATGAAAAATAACTTTGTTCTGTCTTTCATTTTTTATTATTTTCTTTTTTTTTTTTTTGGAGACAGAGTCTGCTGCCCAGACTGGAGTGCAGTGGCGCGATCTCGGCTCACTGCAGCCTCTCCCTCCCGGGTTCAAGCGATTCTCTTGCCTCAGCCTCCTGAGTAGCTGGGACCACAGGCGCAGACAACCACACCTGGTTAATTTTTGTATTTTTAGTAGAGACACGGTTTCACCATTTTGGCCAGGCTGGTCTCGAACTCCTGGCCTCAAGTGATCCGCCCACCTTGGCCTCCCAAAGTGCTGGGATTACAGGCGTGAGACAGCACCCAGCCCATTTTTTATTCTTTCAGACATTAGAAATAATGATTCTCTCTCCTACAAAGAAAAAAACTTAAAATCACCTATAAATCTATCCTGCCACCTAGAAATAACAAAATTAACATTTTGATAATTATCTTTCCTGTAAGGTAGAATATATACAGGGAAATTACATATTAATAGTTTATAATCTGCTTTCTTTGTACTTAATGTATTTTAAGGACCTTTTCATGTAAAATATTTGAAATTAAGATTTTTAATGATTACAAAGTATTTTATTATATAATTTATTTCATCTTGGTAAATTAGATTGTGTCCATTTTCATTAGTAATGCTGCAGTGAACATTCTGGTCAATAAATGTTTATGTACAATTCTTATTTCTATAGGATGAATCCCTAGAAGTGGAATTGCTGGGTAAAGTATATAAACATTTAAAAAACTGTTACATGTTACCAGATGGTCCTGCCCCAAAAAATTGTATTAATTTTTAGTGTCACCAATTTGATAGGTAAATTTTAACATATTTTGTTTTAATAATTGGTCAGGTTAAATGTTTTTTGTTTATTGATAATTTATATTTAATCATAATTTTTAAAAAATCATGTAATATATATTCCATATTCCAATTTCCTTAGTTGTCCCAAAAATATATTCTTGTAACTTTGGTGAAATAGCATCTAATCAAAGTTCACATTTAGTTATTGTCTCCTTAATCTCTTTTAATTTAGGTCACTTGTTTTATAGATTGTCCCACATTCTGAATTTTGTCTGTTTCTTGTGGTATCATTTAATTTGTTCCTCCATTCTCTGTATTTCCTGTAAACTAGAAGCTGGGTCCAGAGGTGGGATTAGATTCAAATTAAGTGTTTTTGGCAGGGATAATTCCTAGGTGCTATTGTGTATTCATCCTACACTATACCCTACACTATATCCTTCTAATCAAATCAGCAGGCATATATGACACTTAATGACAGGTTGTTCCACAAATAGTAATACTAAGTTTGTTAAGGTGTTAACTGCCATGTCTTCCCATTGTAAAGTACATTTACCCCTTTTTAATTAGTAAATTATCTGTGGGGTGATGCTTTGGTACCATGTGAATATCCTGTTCCCCAACAACTAACTGTTCACCTAATTGCTTGAGCATTTATTGATGATCCTTGCTTGAATGAGCTGCTGCACTGGGAGTTACATAGAAAATGTTCTTTTTTGGCCAGGCGCAGTGGCTCATGCCTGTAATCCCAGCACTTTGGGAGGCTGAGGCAGATGGATCATCTGAGGTCAGGAGTTCAAGACCAGCCTGACTAACATGATGAAACCTGTCTCTACTAAAAATATAAAAATTAGCTGGGCGTGGTGGTGGGCGCCTGTAATCCCAGCTACTCGGGAGGCTGAGGCAGGAGAATCTCTTGAACCCAAGAGGCAGAAGTTGTAGTGAGCGAAGATCAGGCCATTGCACTCCAGCCTGGGCAACGAGCAAAATTCCATCTCAAAAGAAAAAAATGTTCATTTTCTAAATATATAATTTCTTCTACAGTTATTAACTAGCATTCTTTTGTAAAGATTTTCTATTACTTTACTATTACTATAACCTCATGGATTTTTTTAAAGAATCAATATGTTGTAATCAATTATAGCTACTGTTCTTGGTTTTTCTTTTTGATGCTCAATTTGTCTCAAATTTGATAAATGGGAGCTCCTTCAAGATGACTCTTGTTCCTATTGACATGATCCCATTAATCTTTTTTTTTAATTGTGGTAAAAAAAATACATCTAACATAAAATTACCATCTTAACCATTTTTAAGTGCACAATTCAGTAATGTTACATATATTCACATTGTTGTGAAACATATCTCCAGAACCTCTTCATCTTGCAAATCTAAAACTCTATACCTACACAACAGTTCCCCCTCTCTCCCTTCAGTCTCTGGTAACCACCATTCTACTTTCTTTTTTTTTAAATATGACTACTTTAGATACCTTTTATAAGTGGAATCATACAATATTTATCTTTTTGTGACTGGCTTATTTCGTTTAGTATAATGTCTTCAAGATTTACCCATTGTGGCATGTGACAGGATTTCCTTCCTTTTTAAATATTTTTATTTTTATTTTTTTTCTATTTTTCTCACCACTCAATTTCCTTCCTTTTTAAGGCTGAATAATATTCCATTGTATATATACACACCATTTTGTTTAATCCATTCATCTGTCAGTAGACATTTGGGTTGCTTCCACTTCTTGGCTATTGTGAATTGTGCCACTATGAACATGGGTCTACAGATATCTCTTTAAGACCCTATTTTTAATTCTTCTGGATATATATGCAGAAGTGGGATTGCTGGACCATATGGTAGGTCTGTTTTTAATTTTTTGAGGAACTTCATACTGTTTTTCATAGCAGTTGCACCATTTTGCAGTCCTACCAACAGTGCACAAGAGTTCTAATTTTTCCCCATCCTTGCCAGCACTTATTTTTTTGTGCTTTTTTTTTTTTTTTGAGGCTGGAGTCTCGCCCTGTCATCCAGGCTGGAGTGCAGTGGTACAGTCTTGGCTCACTGCAACCCCTACCTCCCACATTCAAGTGATTCTCGTGCCTCAGCCTCCCAAGTAGCTGGGACTACAGGCGCACTCCACCACGTCTGGCTAATTTTTGTATTTTAGTAGAGATGGGGTTTTGCCATGTTGGTCAGGCTGGTCTCGAACTCCTGAGCTCAAGTGATCTCCCCATCTCGGCCTCCCAAAGTGCTGGGATTGCAGGTGTGAACCACTGTGCCTGGCTTGTGTTTTTGTTTTTGTTTGTTTTTTTTTATAGTAGCTATCCTAAAGGGTGTTAAATCAGTATTCATTGTTTTTGTGTCCCAACTAAGTATTGTTCACTGAAAAGCCAAGTAGTATATTATGGCTTCATTTTCTTTCTTGAATTGTTTATTTTTGTAGAGTTGTTAATTGCTTCAGTTTCTTTCATTAAATTTTTTTTTTGGGAGAGCTTTTTCCTAGAGCCTTCTGTTCTACTGCTCCAATTTGCACTGCTTGTTCTTTAGCCCTGCAACAGAGCTGTCATCCCAGGATTTTCCTCTGCTGCCCTCCTGGGTTGAATCCTGTTTCTTGGATCCTATATCTTCCTCTTTCTTATTTTTGGTTTTAGTAGAGGACATCCTCTGAGAATATCTAAGAAAGGGTGCATAGATGTTTTCTTTGTGTTTACATATCTGAACATGTCTTTATTCTATCCTCATACTTGATTGATAGTTTGATATAAAATTCTAAATTTAAAATCAATTTTTGCTCAGAAATTTGAAGACATGGCCAGGCGCAGTGGCTCACGCCTGTAATCCCAGCACTTTGGGAGGCTGAGGTGGGCGGATCCCAAGGTCAAGAGTTCGAGACCAGTCTGGCCAATATGGTGAAACCCCATCTCTACTAAAAAAAAAACATACAAAAATTAGCCTGGTGTGGTGGCGGGTGCCTGTAGTCCAGCCTGGGCAACAAAACAAGACTCCATCTCAAAAAAAAAAAAAAAAAAAAAGAAATTTGAAGACATTCAGTATTGCTCTTAAGAAGTCTGAAGTCTGTTATAAGTTTAACTTTTATTTCTTTGTATGTCATCTGTCTTTTTCTCTCTGGAAGTTCTTTTTGTTTGTTTGTTTGTTTTTGAGACAGTCTCGCCCTGTTGCCCAGGCTGGAGTGCAGTGGCGTAATCTGAGCTCACTGCAGCCTCCACCTCCCAGGTTCAAGCAGTTCTCCTGCCTCAGCCTCCTAGCTGGGATTATAGGCACCGGCCACCTGCCTGTAATCCCAGCTACTCGGGAGGCTGAGGCAGGAGAATCACTTGAACCCGGGAGGTGGAGGTTGCGGTGAGCCGAGATCGCGCCATTGCACTCCGGCCTGGGCAACAAAAGCAAAACTCCGTCTCAAAAAAAAAAAAAAAAAAGATAATAAGCATATTGGACTAAAAACTTTCTTTGTGCACCTTTGTAATTCCTCCCTTCTGCCTATCTCTGCCCCCTCTAATCCCCAGGCAAGATTGACCACTGATCTAGTGTCTACTGCAGTTAGTTTGCATTTTCTAAAGTTTTATGTGATGGAATCATACACTATGTACTCTTTTGAGTCTGGCTTCTTTGTCTCAAGATAATTATTTTGAAATTCATCCATGTTGCATGTTTATTTCTTTTTATTGCTGAGTAGTATTCCATTATATAGATTTATCCCTAAGTGAATGTTTACCCATTCACTTAGATGGGCATTTGGCTTATGTTCAATTTTTGGCTATGACAGATAAAACTGTTAGGAACATTCATGCACAAATCTTTGTATATATATGCTTTTATTTTTCTTAAGTAAATATCTAGAGTAAAATGACTGGGTCATACGGTAGGTGTGTGTTTAACTTTTTGAGAAACTGCCAGCTGGGTGCGGTGGCTCACGCCTGTAATCCCAGCACTTTTGGAGGCCGAGGCGGGCGGATCACGAGGTCAGGAGATCGAGACCATCCTGGCTAACACGGTGAAACTCCGTCTCTACTAAAAATACAAAAAATTAGCTGCGCGTGGCTCCTGTAGTCTCAGCTACTCGAGAGGCTGAGGCAGGAGAATGGCATGAACCCGGGAGGCGGAGCTTTCAGTGAGCCGAGATAGCGCCACTGCAGTCCGGCCTGGGCGAAAGAGCGAGACTCTGTCTCAAAAAAAAAAAAAAAAAAAAGAAAAGAAAAGAAACTGCCAAACTGTTCCCAAGTAGTTGTACCGTTTTTCATTTCTATTAGCAGTTGTATGAATTCCGGTTGCCCCCAGCCTTACCAACAATTGGGTATGGTCACTATTTTAAAATGTTTCCCCCAACTTTTTAATTATAAAATACACATAATATACACATAACCATCTTTTTAAAACCTCTTTATAAAAACGTTTTGGCTGGGTGCAGTGGCTCACGCCTGTAATCCCAGCACTTTGGGAGGCTGGGGTGGGCAGATCACCTGAGGTCAGGAGTTCAAGACCAGCCTGGCCAACGTGGTGAAACCCCGTCTCTACTAAAAATACAAAAATTAACCAGGCGTGGTGGCAGGTGCCTGCAATCCCAGCTACTCTGGAGGCTGAGGCAGGAGAATCGCTGGAACCCAGGAGGCAGAGGTTGCAGTGAGCTGAGATCATGCCATTGCACTTCAGCCTGGGTGACAAGAGTGAAACTCCGTCTCAAAAAAAAAAAAAAAGTTGTAAGTGTACATTTCAGTGGTATTAAGTATATTCATATTGTTGTACAGCCATCACCATATCCATTTCAATAATTTCTTGGTCTTGCACATCTGAAGCTTTGTTTTTTATTTTTTTAAAGATGAAGGTCTTGCTGTATTTCCCAGGTTAGGCTCAAACACCTAGGCTTAAGCAGTCCTCCTCCTCAGCCTCCTGAGTGTCTGAGACTACAGGCACACATCGCTGCACCCACTACAAATCCATAGCTCTATACCCATTAAACAATAACTCCCCATTCCCCTCCCCCTTGAGCCCCTGACAACCACCATTCCACTTTATGTGTTTATGAATTTGACTACTCTAGGTACCTCACATAAGTGGAGTCAGACAAAGTGGTATTTGTCTTTTCGTGACTGGCTTATTTCACTTAGCACAATGTCCTCAAGATTCATGTTTGTTGTTGCATGTGTCAGAATCTCCTTCCTTTTTAAGACTTAATAATACAGCATATGGATACCACATTTTGATTATCCATTTATATATCAATGGACACTTGGTTTGCTTCCACCTTTTAGCTTTGTGAATAATGCCGTTATGCATATGCATCTACACGTATCTTTTTGAGACCCTGCTTGCAATTCTTACATACCAAGAAGAGAAGAGGAATTGCTAGATCATATGCTAATTCTATTTTTATTTTTATTTTTGACATGGAGTCTAGCTCTGTCACCCAGGCTGGAGTGCAGTGGCACAACCGTAGTGCAGTACAGCCTCAAACTCCTGGCATCAGTCTCCTGAATAAGGTTAAACTACAGGTGCACACCACCATGCCTGGCTAATTTCTTTTTATTTTTAGAGACGGGGTCTCACTGTGTTGCTCAGGCTGGTTGTGAACTCCTGGGCTCAAACTATCCTCCCACCCCAGCCTCTTGAGTAACTGGGATTATAGGTGTGTACCACTGCACCCAGACTATTTTCTTTTACTTATTTGTTTTTTGAGACAGGGTCTCTGTCACTGAGGTTGGAGTACAGTGGTGTGATCTTGATTCACTGCAACTTCTGCCTCCCAGGCTCAAGCAATCCTCCCACCTGAGCCTCCCGAGTAGCTGGGACTACAGGCTCACCACCACACCTGACTAATTTTTTGTTTTGTTTTGTTTTTTTGAGATGGAGTCTTGCTCTGTTGCTCAGGCTGGAGTGCAGCGGTGCAATCTCAGCTCACTGCAACCTCTGCCTCCCAGGTTCAAGCGATTCTCCTGTCTCAGCCTCCTGAGTAGCTGGGATAACAGGTGTGCATCCACCATATCCGGCTAATTTTTGTATTTTTAGTAGAGGTGGGGTTTTACCATGTTGGCCAGGCTGGGCTTGAACTCCTGACCTCAAGTGATCCACCCACCTTGGCCTCCCAAAGCACTGGGATTACAGGCTTGAGCCACCGCACTCGGCCTAATTTTTTGTATTTTTGGTAGAGACCGTGTTTTACCATGCCACCGCACCTGGCCCCCTATTTTCTGTTTGTTTGTTTATTTTATTTTGAGGCAGAGTCTTGCTCTGTTGCCCAAGCTGGAATGCAATGGCATGATCTTGGCTCGCTACAACCTCCCCCTCCTGGGTTCAAGCAATTCTCCCTGCCTCAGTCTCCCAAGTAGCTGGGATTACAGGCACCCGCCACCACGCCTGGCTAATTTTTGTATTTTTAGTAGAGACAGGGTTTTGCCATGTTGGCCAGGCTGGTTTCGAACTCCTGACCTCAGGTGATCCGCCTGCCTCGGCCTCCCAAAGTGCTGGGATTACAGGTGTGAGCCACCACGCCCGACCTATTTTCTATTTTTCAATGGGAGTCATCCTAATGGGTGTAAAGTGGTCAGTTTTTATAATTTTAGACTTTCTAATATATGTGTAGTGATATCTCATTGTAGTTTTCATTTGCATTTTCCTAATGAGTAATAATGTTGAGCATCTTTTCATGTGCTTATTTGCCACCTGTATATCTTCTTTGGTGAAGTATTTTTTGCTCATTTAAAAAATTGGATTATTTTCGGCCAGGCGCGGTGGCTCAAGCCTGTAATCCCAGCACTTTGGGAGGCCGAGGTGGGCGGATCACGAGATCAGGAGATTGAGGCCGTCCTGGCTAACACGGTGAAACCCCGTCTCTACTAAAAATACAAAAAAAGTAGCTGGGCATGGTGGCGGGTGCCTGTAGTCCCAGCTACTCAGGAGGCTGAGGCAGGAGAATGGCGTGAACCCGGGAGACGGAGCTTGCAGTGAACCGAGATTGTGCCACTGCACTTCAGCCTGGGCGACAGAGCAAGATTCCATCTCAAAAAAAAAAAAAATAAAAAAAATTGGATTATTTTCTTATTACTGAGTTTCGAGAGTTCTTTAAATACATGTTCCAAATGCAAGTTTCTTTGCCAGATAAGTAATTTGGAAATATTTTCTCCCAGTATATGCCTTGTCTTTTCATTCCCATAAGTGTCTTCTAAAGAACATAATTCTTAGTTTTGATGAAGTAAGTTTGTTTATTTTTATTTATTTATTTATTTTTCTTGGTAGTCACTGGTTATAGTAGATGAAGTAAGTTTAATCAGGTTTTTAAAAATTTTATGGGTGGGAAGCAGTGGCTCACACCTGTAATCCCGGCACTTTGGGAGGCCAAGGCAGGCAGATCACCTGAGGTCGGGAGTTTGAGACCAGCCTGACCAACATGGAGAAAGCCCATCTCTACTAAAAATACAAAATTAGCTGGGCGTAGTGGCGCATGCCTGTAATCCTAGCTACTCGGGAGGCTGAGGCAGGAGAATTGCTTGAACCCGGAAAGTAAAGATTGCTGTGGGCCGAGATAGCACCATTGCACTCCAGCCTGGGCAACAAGAGCAAAACTCTGTCTCAAAAAAAAAAAAAAAAAAAAAAAATTACGGATTATGCTTTCATGTGGTATCTAAGAAATCTTTGCTTAAAAGAAAAGGCCACAAAAATTTTCTCCTATGTTTTTTTCTAGAGGTTTTATAGCTTTAGGGATTACATTTAGATCTATGATCCTTTTAAAATTTATTCTGTATGTAGTGCAAGATATGGATTAAAGCCTGTAATCCCAGCACTTTGGGAGGCTCAGGTGGGAAGATTGCTTGAGCCCAAGAGTTTGAGACCAGCCTGGGCAATGTGGTGAAACCTTGCCTCTACCAAAAAAAAATTAAAAGGTTAGCCGGGCATGGTGACATACACCTGTAGTCCTTGCTACTCAGAAGGCTAAGGCAGGAGGATTGCTTAAGCCCAGAAGAGGGAGGTTGCATTGATGCACCACTGCACTCCAGCCTGGGTGACAGAGTGTAAGACTGTCTCAAAAAAAAAAAAAAAAAAAAAAACATATATATATATATATGTATATATATATATATACACACACACACACACACACACACACACACACACGTGGGAATGTAAGGCTTATTTTCTTGGCACATGGATATTCAATTGCTTCTTTACCATTTATTGAAAAGACTGTCCATTCTGCATTGAATTGCCTTTGTACCTTTGTCAAAAATCATTTGTCTCTAGAAAAATCAGGTTTCCAGGAAAAAAAAGACTAATGTGTTCCACTAGTGTTCTTATTTTTCAGTTGTGTTGGCTTTTGTAGATTCTTTGCATTTCCATATAAATTTTAGAATTAGCGTATCAATTTCTTAAGGCTTGGTGGGATTTCCATTGGGATTGTATTGAGTCTATATAAATAAATAAAACTGAGAGAGAATTAACATTTTATTTTATTTTTTTGAGATGGAGTCTCACTCTGTTGCCTAGGCTGTCGTGCGGTGGTGCGATCTCAGCTCACTGCAACCTCTGCCTCCGAGATTCAAGCAATTCTCCTGCCTCAGTCTCCCAAGTAGCTGGGATTACAAATGCCTGCCACTACACTCAGCTTAATTTTTTTATTTTTAATACAGACAGGGTTTCACCAAGTTGGCCAGGCTGTTCTCGAGCTCTTGACTTCAAGTGATCAGCCCTCCTCAGCCTCCCAAAGTGCTGAGATTACGGGTGTGAGCCCCCGCGCCTGACTGAGAATTAACATTTTAATATTGAGTGTTTTGATTAAAGTCTTCTCTAATTTCCTTCATAAATGTTTTGTAGCTTTTGTACAGTCTTGCACATCTTTTATCCAATTTATCCCGGAGTGTTTCATATTGTGATGCTTTTGTAAAATGATTTAGTTTTTAAAATTTCAGTATCTGTTCATTGCTATTATATAGAAATGTAATTGATTTTTGTGTCTTGGTCTTACATTCTATAACCTTCCTAAATTCTTTTATTAGTTTTAGTAACTTTTTAATAGATTTCATCAGGTTTTCCCTGTAGGTTATCTTATTGTCAGCAAATAAAGAAATTTTTACTTGTTTCTTTCTGACTTGGATGCCTTTTATTTTCTTTTCTGGTGCTGCCTAGAACCTCCAGTTAAGTACAAATGAGATCTTTTCTTTTTGTTTGTTGTTGTTGTTGTTGTTGTTGTTGAGACAAGAATCTCGCTCTGTTGCCCAGACTGGAGTGCAGTGGCGTGATCTCAGCTCACTGCAACCTCAGCCTCCTGAGTAGCTGGGACTACAGGCATGAGCCACCACACCCGGCTAATTTTTTTTTTTTTGAGATGAAGTTTCACTCTTCTTGCCAGGCTGGAGTGCGATGGCACAATCTCGGCTCACGAAAACCTCCGCCTTCCATGTTCAAGCGATTCTCCTTCAGCCTCCTGAATAGCTGGGATTACAGGCATGTGCCACTGTATCTGGCTAATTTTGTACTTTTAGTAGAGACAGGGTTTCTCCATATTGGTCAGGCTGGTCTCGAACTCCCGACCTCAAGTGATCCGACCACCTTGGCCTCTCAAAGTGCTGGGATTACAGGTGTGAGCCACCGCACATGGCCTAATTTTTTGTATTTTTAGTAAAGACGGGGTTTCACCATGTTAGCCAGGATGGTCTCGATCTCCTGACCTCATGATCTGCCCGTCTTGGCCTCCCAAAGTGGTGGGATTACAGGCGTGAGCCACCATGCCCGGCTGAGATCTTTTCCCATCCCCTTGTTGACTTTTTTTTTCTTTTTTTGAGATGGAGTCTCGCTGTGTCACCCAAACTGGAGTGCAGTGGCTCGATCTCAGCTCACTGCAGTCTCCGCCTTCCAGGTTCAAGTGATTCTCCTGCCTCAGCCTCCCGAGTAGCTGGGACTACAGGCGCCTGCCACCATGCCTGGCTAATTTTTTTGTATTTTTAGTAGAGACAGGGTTTCACCATGTTGGCCAGGCTGGTCTTGAACTCCTGACCTTAGGTGATCCGCCCACTTCGGCCTCCGCAATTGCTGGGATTACAGGTGTGAGCCACTGTGCCCAGCCAATTTTTTGTATTTTTAGCAGAGGTGGGGTTTTGCTATATTGGCCAGGCTGGTCTCGAATTTCTGGCCTCAAGTATCTGCCTGCCTCTGCCTCCCAAAGTGTTGGGGTTACAGGTGTGAGCCATTGTGCCCGAACCTGTTACTGATTTTAGAAAAACATTTGGAACTGGGCACGGTGGCTCATGCCTGTAATCCCAGTGCTTTGGGAGGCCAATGTGGGAGGATCACTTGTGCCTAGCCTAGGTTACAGAGCAAACCCTGTTTTGTTACTAATTTTTATGAGATGGGGTCTGGTTCTGTCCCCCAGGCTAGAGTGCAGTGGGGCCATCACAGCTTACTGCAGCCTCTACCTCCTTAGCTCAAGTAATACTCTTACCTCGGCCTCCAGAGTAGCTACAGGCACGTGCCACTATGCCTAGCTAATTTTTAAATTTTTTTGTAGAGATGGTCTCCAGCTTTGGCCTCCCAAAGTAATGGGATTATGAGCATGAGCCACCATGCCCTTCCTGTTTTCTGATTTCTATTCCGAGATAGAGATATATATAGATATCTATAGATAGAGATATATATCTCTGTATAGATCTATAGAGAGATATATATCTCTATATATCTATATATATATATCTTTTTTTGAGATGGACTCTCGCTCTGTTGCCCAGGCTGGAGTGCAGTGGCGTGATCTCGGCTCACTGCAAGCTGTGCCTCCCGGGTTCACGCCATTCTCCTGCCTCAGCCTCCCGAGTAGCTGGGACTACAGGCACCCCCCACCATGCCCGGCTAATTTTTTTGTATTTTTATTATTTATTTATTTATTTATTTAATTTATTTTTGAGGTGGAGTCTCGCTGTTGCCCAGGCTGGAGTGCAGTGGCGCGATCTTGGCTCACTGCAGGCTCCGCTCCCCAGGTTCACGCCATTCTCCTGCGTCAGCCTCCTGAGTAGCTGGGACTACAGGCGCCCGCCACCTCACCCGGCTAATTTTTTGTATTTTTAGTAGAGACGGGGTTTCACCACGTTAGCTGTGTTAGCCAGGATGGTCTCGATCTCCTGGCCTTTCTTTTTTAAAAAATAGAGACAGTAGCCGAGTGTTGTGGTGGCACATACTTGTAGTCCCAGCTACTTGGGAGGCTGAGGTGGGAGGAACCCTTGAACCCAGGAGGCTGAGTGAACCAATGTCGTGTCACGGCACTCCAGCCTAGGTGACGGAGTGAGACCCTGTCTCAAAAAAAAAAAGTTAAATAGAGATGGTATCTCACTGTTACCCAGGCTAGTCTCGAACTCTTGGCCTCCCAAAGTGCCACAATTACAGGCATGAGTCACCATGCCTGGCCTTGTTTTCTAGCTTTTTAATGTGGAAGATCAGATCATTGATCTTGAGAACTTTCTATTTTCTCTAAGCATTTTAAGCCATAGGCTCCCCTTTAGGCACTGCTAGCTGCATCCCACACATTTTGATATGTTTTCATTTTCTTTTTTTTTTTTTTTAAGATAAAGCCTTGCTCTGTCACCCAGCCTGAGTGCAGTGGTACAATCATGGTTCACTGTAGCATCAACCTCCCGGGCTCGTGATCTTCCTACCTCAGCCTCCCAAGTAGCTGGGACTACAGGTGTGTGCCGCCAAGCCTGGCTAATTTTTTGTATTTTTTGTAGAGATGGGGTTTTGCCATGTTGCCCACGCTGGTCTCAAACTCCTGGGCTCAAGTGATCTATCCACCTCGGCCTCCCAAAGTGCTAGGATTACAGGTGTGAGCCACTGGGCCTTGCCTTAATTAATTTATTTTTTTATTTTTTTTTGAGATGGAGTCTCACTCTATCACCCAGGCTGGAGTGCAATAGTGTGGTCTTGGCTTACTGCAACCCCCACCTCCTGGGTTCAAGCAATTCTCCTGCCTCAGCCTCCTGAGTAGCTGGGACTACAGGTGCATGCCACTACACCCGGCTTATTTTGTAGTTTTTTAGTAGAGATGGGGTTTCACTGTGTTGGCCAGGCTGGTCTTGAACTCCTGACCTCATGATCTGCCTGCCTCGGCCTCCCAAAGTGCTGGGATTACAGGCATGAGCCACCACGCCTGCCCTCCTTAATTTACTTTTATGTTTAAAGTAAATGTCTTATAGAGAGCATATAATTGGTAGCTGGGTCTTGCTTTTTTTTTTTTTTTCCAGTCTCACAATCTCAGTCTTTAATTGGAGCATTAATCCATTTACATTTAATGTACAATCCCATATGGCTGGATTTAAATCTGCCATCGTGTTACTTGTTTTCTATTTGTTTTTTGTTTCCACTTCCATCTTTCCCTGACTCATTTAATTTTTGTAGTATTTTTTAGTATTCCATTTTATCTCCATACTTACTGCCTATACCTCTTTGTTGTATTTTTATTATCTTATTAAATTTATTATTATTATTATGGAGATGGGATCTCACTCTGTTGCCTAGGCTAGAGTGCAGTAACATGATTATAGCTCACTGTAGTCTTGACCTCCTGGCCTCAAGCAAGCCTCCCACCTCATCCTTCAAAGTGTTGGGATTACAGGCATGTTATTTTTACTTTAAACAGTAAATTATCTTTCTTTTTTTTTTTTTTGAGACGGAGTTTCACTCTTGTCGCCCAGGCTGTAGTGCAGTGGTGCGATCTCAGCTCACCGCAACCTCCGCCTCCAGGTTCAAGCGATTCTCCTGCCTCAGCCTCCCTAGTAGCTAGGATTACAGGCATGTGCTACCACACCTGGCTAATTTTGTATTTTTAGTAGAGACGGGGTTTCTCCATGTTGGTCAGGCTGGTCTCGAACTCCCAACCTCAGGTGATCCGCCCACCTTGGCCTCCCAAAGTGCTGGGATTACAGGCATGAGCCACCGTGCCTGGCCGTAACAGTAAATTATCTTTTAAAGACATCATCTAAATAGGAAAAATAGCCTTTTATATGCACTCACATACTTACATTTCCAGTGCTTTTGATTATTTTGTATAGATCCAAGTTTCGATGTGATATTATTTTCCTTTTTCCTAATGAACAACTTGTAATGTTTGTTGTAGTGCACATCTACTGATGAAGTCTCTCTGCTTTTATTTAGAACCTGTTTATTTTGCCTTCATTTAAAAAACTTTTTATTTTGAAAAATTATAGACTTATAAGAAGTTTCAAGACTCACCTCAGTTGTTTCTCTTTCCTCGGGGATCACAATTTTCAGTAGTCTGAAAGCACTTGTTTCATAATTTTGCCTAGTTTCTAGTAGCTTACAGTGAGAGGTTAAGTCCCCCATTCATCTTAGCTACAAGTGGAAATATCTGCTTTGATTTTTATTGAAGATCATAAACAGCAATGGTTATATAAATTCTGATTCTGAATTTCCCAGTACTGTTGAGGACATTCATATATCATTCAGTATCCCCTGTATCACTTCATAAGTGAATTACATAATAACTCCTGTTTCTTCTACTTTTTCCCTTGCCTGCAAGGAAAATCAGTCAAGATTTCTACTAGATCATCGCAGTTTTGTTGACCTAGAGGTGACACATTTGCATTCTTGCCTTCTACTTATTTTTTCTTTTCATTTATATTTTATTAATCTATTTATAAAAGCAGTAGCCCATGTCCCCTGTAGCACATTTTTTCTTTCCTTCTCTCTTCATTCCCTCCCTGGTATTAAGTACTTTACATTGCATGGAATAGAGATATTATGATAGCCTTTAAGTAACTGAGTTTAAGGATTTACAGGAAAAGATGATTAGATGAGACTTTTCACCAGGTCTCGTAGTGAAAAGAATTAACCGTAGAGCCGAACTACACGCTCCGTCAGAAATGTGTGCCTCTAACTAGGTGCTGCAGCTCACACCTGTAATCCCAGCACTTTGGGAGGCCAAGGTGGGTGGATCATGAAGTCAGGAGTTCGAGACCAGCCTCGCCAAGATGGTGAAACCCCATCTCTACTAAAAATACAAAAATTAGCCGAGTATGGTGGCGGGCACCTGTAATCCCAGCTACTCGGGAGGCTGAGGCAGGAGAATTGCTTGAAACCGGAAGGCAGAGTTTGCAGTGAGCCAATATCGAGTCACTGCACTCCAGCCTGGGCAAAAGAGCGAAACTCCGTCTCAAAAAAAAATAAAGAAAAAAGAAATGAGTGCCTCTGTTCCCTATTGGGATTTTCCCTAATCTAATCTGCTTCTGTGACCAGTACTTTTGCTGCTATTTAGCTATCTCAAGTAACTGTTTTTCCTAGAGCCCTGCATGTGTACTGTTCTCTCTTGTTCTCATTACTAAAGCTCACATTGACATTTCAAAGAAGAGTATCTGATTGGTTTACTTAATGACCTGCTGGTACCAGGCAGCCTTCTAGGTCATTATGTCATTAGCCAGCTGAGAGAGTCTCTGTTCTTTGGTCATGTGCCACACTTGATTGAGTTAGGGTCATGTGGGTGGTAAAAAGTATTATGTCCTATAAAACCTGTCAGAATTGGCATAGCAGGTACTCAGCATTATCCGTCCTCCTCCATTATGATATAAAAATTGATTCACTTTAAACTTACTAAGAACAGTTATTAAACTGGATGTTTCCCCAAAACCAGTCACCTTCATATTTATAGATTAAGATTTAGATGAATTGTTGACGTCATTCCTGAAATATTGGGGGTTTTTCCCTCCTTTATTTCATTCTTAGTCACAAAACAAAGGACAGTCTTTACCACCTTTTTGCCACAACTTAAAATAAACCCATGGTACTGATTGTTGGTCCAAGAAAGCCCATCTGTTAGAGACTATGAAGAGAAGAGAAAATTCAAATGTTCCCATTCTTGTTAGCATCTCTAAATTTGGAGGAAGATGAGGTTCAAACTATAAGCTAAAATGAGGTTTTTGGATTATTAGCCCCACCTGGGTTTGAATCCTGGCTTTCCTGATTTACTAGATGATAGATGAGTATCTTTTCTTTCTTTTTTTTTCTTTTTTTTTTGGAGACAGTGTCTTGCTCTGTCACTCAGGTTGGAGTGCAGTGGTATGATCATGGCTCACTGCAGCCTCCACCTCATGGGCTCAGGTGATCCTCCCACCTCAGCCCCCTGGAGTCGATGGGACTACAGGTGTGTACTACCACACCCGGGTACTTTTTGTAGAGACGGGGTTTCACCATGTTGCCCAGGCTGGTCTTGAACTCCTGGGCTCAAGCCATCCGCCTGCCTCGGCCTCCCAAAGTGCTGGGAAAGTATTTTTTTCTAAGCTTCAGTTTACTTGTGAATAAAATGGAGGTTATAGAGTTTGCCATCTGTGATTGTTAGAATTAAATTGTAGGATACATGCAAAGCAGTTAGCAAAGTACGTAGCACGTAAGAAGTGCTTGATAAATGTTAGCTCCCATTATCTCTAGATCATTAAGTCTTATTCATAATAAGAGTTAGGCTAGTCTAACAATAAGTTAGTTATTAGTGCTAAGGAAAATTAAAATTTTTTGGTACATGAGCTGAGATCTAATTATTGAGCCATTGTTTACAAGAGACATATGGCTATATGATTTTTACTTTCTAATCTCAACTATGAAATGTTGCTCCCAGAAAATTTTTTAAGGAAAGTCAATCCTATGATAGTTTTATATTGTTGGAATTCTGGCTTTGTCATTAGACATGTGACTTTGGGCAAATTAGTTAACTTTTCTGTGCCTCGGTTTCTTTACAGTTTTATATACTTTTGTCTGTAAAGCGGGGAAAATACCTTATAGGATTGTTGTAAAGAATAAATGAGTTGATATATATAAACTAGCACATAGGACAGTGCCTTTATTTATTTATTTAAACAGGCTTGATATATAATGTTATATAAATTGCTGCTGCTGGATTTGATTCCTAGAAGTTAAATATTTGAATATTAGGCCCCTTTGGCTAACTGGCTATTCTTCTCATCATTTAATGTGAATAGATATGTTTTTAGATTTATTATCTTTAGTTTCCATTGCCAGATTAATTTTCTAAAATGCAGGTGATAAGAAATGAGTGAGCTGAAGGACATGTTCTATAGATAATCTTGTGGTTCCATTTTGATGGACACAGAATTTCCATATATTGCTAGCCCTCCTTTGTGAAGCTTTGGTAGGAAAAATGTATCTTGAAATTTTTATAAAGCTGATTCTCCCCTCCCCTGCCTCCCACTGAAATGTCCTTTTTGGGTGACCACAGGGAGTGGAGTGCTAGCGAGGTGAAAGTGGGGTATTGGAAAGGCAATTTGAATTGAGACCTTTGATTTTAGCTTTACAAATCCAGCAGGTAAGGAATTTTCTAATCAAGAGTTACTTCCCTTCATGAGGAAACTCATTTCTGATTTATTTTTCCTTCTCAAGGAGTGACAGTAATGCCTTTTCTTTCCATGAATGAGATTGAACATTGTTTTTATCATGTTTATTGATCACTTGTAATAATTTTGCAAGTTGTCTATTCATGCCCTTGACCTTTTTTAAAAAATAAAGAGACTGTAGATAAAGGACATTAAACTTTTGCCAAGTATGTTTCAAATATATTTTTCATTTTGTCAATTATGTTTCATTTGGTCGTGCTTTTTTAACAGTAGAGAAACTTTTAATGAAATCTATAAATTTTTCCTAAAAAGTGTTATGGTTAGAAAAATATTTGAGTGCCATAAAATGTCATAGTTTATGTGTGGATGGATCCATTTAATAAACGTTTTTCCTTAAAATTTCACAGGATTTGCAGAGTCTTTGCAAGCTAACATAGACCTGAGGTGCTAACATCATAATAGCTACCACTCACTGCACACACGCTGTGTGCCATAGCAATGTGCTAGGTCTTTTACGTTCAATATTCCTAAAACTCAGCTTCAAGCTAAATTGTATTATCTGCTTTTCATAGATGAGTAGTGAGCCCTGAAGAAGTGAAATAATTTGCCCAGGGTCACAGAGCTAATTGATGGATTGGAATTTTAACTCAACTCTGCCTAACTCCAAAGTATACAGTATACTTTCTCTACAAAGCTCTACTTTTTGAGGCTTCAAATAAATTACATTTATCCTAAAAGTGACATTACTTTTACTAGAACTTGAAAATATGAGTCTGTAGCCTACTGAGACTGCTTTTGATTCCCGAAAGCACAGTAGATAAGGTAATGAAAAACATGTAAACGAGCTGAAAAGTCTCCACTGTCTAGGGCTTTGATTTTCAAAGTGTGCTTCTCAGCTGGGCATAGTAACTCACGCCTGTAATCCCAGCACTTTGAGAGAGCAAGGTGGGTGGATCACTTGAGGTCAGGAGTTCAAGAACAGCCTGGCCAACATGGTGAAACCCTGTCTCTACTAAAAATACAAAAATTAGCCAGGCATGGTGGCAGGCGCCTGTAATCCCAGCTACTTAGGAGGCTGAGGCAGGAGAATCACTTGAACCCGGGAGGAGGAGGTTGCGGTGAGCCGAGATCACACCACTGCACTCCAGCCTGGGTGACAGAGTGAGACTCCATCTCCCACCCCACTACCCACAAAAAAAAGAAAAAAAAAGTGTTTCTTAGACCACCAGCATTAGCATCACTTGGGAATTTGCTTGAAATGCAAATTCTCAGGCCCTACCCAGATCTGTAGTTTTCTGATTATGTATAATCAGAAAGTCTGGAGGCTAGGCCCAGCAATCTGTTTTACAATACCTCCAGTTGATTATAATGTATGTTAAAATTTGCGAACCACTGGTCTAGGGAAATTATTTCCTAACTAGTGTTTTATTTCTGCTTCTATTGAGTTTTAGCCTAAGTCTCAATCGTTGAGTGCAAAATTAGCATTATTGCATAGTGGCAAGGACATGGAGTCACACAGGAGCTAGTTGAATCCTGGGTCATCAAGAATTTCAGGGCCATGCATGGTGGCTCACACCTGTAATCCTAGCACTTTGGGAGGATCATTTGAGGTCAGGAATTGGAGTCCAGCCTCGCCAACATGATGAAACCCCATCTCTACTAAAAATATAAAAATTAGCCTGGCATGGTGATAGGCGCCTGTAGTCCCAGCTACCCAGGAGGCTGAGGCAGGGGAATCACTTGAACCCAAGAGGCAGAGGTTGCAGTGAACCGAAATCATGCCATTGCACTCTAGCCTGGACGACAGAGCAAGACTCTGTCTCAAAAAAAAAAAAAGTATTTCAGGCAAGTTCACCTCCCATAGTTTCCCATCTTTGAAATGATATTAATAACATCTATCTCCATGTAAGATTTTTTTTAGAATTAAGTAAGATAATATGTAAAGTGTCTAGTACATTGCTAGGATCCCAGGTGTTTGAGAAATTGCATCTAGCAATTTTTCTTGTTAGCAAAGAGCGCCCACCTCCATCTGTTCTAAACTCCTCTTGTTTCTTGAATGTATTTGCTGTCTTTTGTCTCTGGGGCTTTGTATTAACTGTTATCTTTTGGCATCCAACCTCCTACCCCTCTTTACCTCACTAATTTTATACATCCTTTAGATCCCTGCTATAGTTACTCCCCCTGGAGGGGGCTTTCCCTAACCCCCACCCCCCCAGTCTCTATAGCAGTCTGTATTTCTATCACTGCATTTATCACACCACTTTGGAATCATCTGTCTCCTGTATAAACTTCATTGAGGTAGTGTCTTGTTCACTGCCATATTCCTAGGGACAAGTAAAGTTCCCTGTATATTGTAGGAGCTAAGTGTTGAATGAATGAATGGTGGCTGCTATTATTGCTTCACCTTCACCCTCCAAGAGTAATCTCCCCATTCTGGTTTATAGTTTCTGTGCTCACTGCTTGTGATAATTGTAAGTATATATTGTTGAGAACAGTGCCTGTTTTCTCTTTCCCTGAAAACACATACTTTGACGTTGGCTGACGTAGTTCACTCAGCTGTTCCTAACCACTGATCCCTCTGTATCACAGGTATCTCGGGGGAGCTTTGTGCCTTGATGGATCAAGTTCATCATATGCAGCACTCAAAATGGCAGCATCCTTCGGACCTCACCACGCGGTGAGTGGGTGATTAGAAGAAGATGGAAAAGGGTAGAATGGCTGGGCGCGGTGGCTCACACCTGTAATCCCAGCACTTTGGGTGGCCAAGGTGGGTGGGTCGTTTGAGACCATCCTGGCTAACATGGTGAAACCCCATATCTACCAAAAATACAAAAATTAGCTGGGTGTGGTGGCAAGCATCTGTAGTCCCAGCCTCAGGAGGCTGAGGCAGGACAGTTGCTTGAATCTGGTGGCGAAGGTTGCAGTGAGCCAAGATGGTGCCACTGTACTCAAGCCTGGGCGGCAGAGCAAGACTCCGTCTAAAAAAAAAAAAAGAAAAGGCGGTGGGGGGGGGGCGCGTGAAATTTGGCTGCAGGAGGAATGTAGTGGGGAGTAGGGGTTGGAATTGTTTAATTCAAGAGGCAGGGGGAAAAAGTGATGCAGTATAATGGAATAAGAACTGGACTGAGGCTGAGCACAGTAGCTCACGCCTGTAATTCCAGCACTTTGGGAGGCCAAGGCAGGAGGATTGCTTGAGCCCAGGAGTTCGAGACCAGCCTGGCCAATGTGAGACCCCGTCGCTACAAAAAATACAAAAACTTAACTGGGCATGGTGGTGTGTGTCTGTAGTCCCTGAGAGTGCCTGAGAGAAAAGGATTGCTTGAAGCCCAGGAGCTTGAGGCTGTGATGAGCAATGATTGTGCCACTGCACTCCAGCCTGGGCAACAGGGCGAGACCCTGTCTCAAAAAACAAACAGACAAAACAAAAACTGGACTGAAATTCAGGAAACCTGAGTTCTAATACTAGCTTTGCAACTTGGTGTCAAAGGACCTTCCTAATTCTGAAATCTTCTGGAATTTTTTTTTTTTAAGACTCAAATTTAGTATTACAGTTTTCTGGATTCTTGATGCAGTGTGGCTGTACAAATTTATTCAGTTACTTTGATTCAGATACTCAAAAACCTTGGAATCATCTTTTACTTTTTTCTCTCTCACCCCATATTCAGTCTATCAGCAAATCCCATAGGTTCTGCATATACAGTTGTCCTTGGTATTCATGAGGGATTAGTTCCAGGACCCTCTCTGGATACCAAAATCCACAGATGCTCACGTTCCTTATATAAAATGCCATAGTGTTTGCATAACCTGTGCACATCCTTCCATATACTTTAAATCATCTCTAGATTACTTATGATAACTAATACAGTATAAATGCTATGCAAATAGTTGTTATACTGTATTGTTTAGGAAATAATGACAAGGAAAAATGTCTATACATGTTCGATACAGATGGAACCATTCATTTTTCTTCTTTGAATATTTTTGACCCATGGTTGGTTAAATCCATGGATGTAGAACCCATGGATATGGAGGGTCAGCTGTATATCCAAAGCCTAACTATTTCTCATCATTTGACCTGGATTGTTGCAAGTCTCCTAAATGGCCTCCCTGCTTCTGCCCTTGCCAGTGCACTGTTCACAACTCAGCAGCCAAAGAAAGAGATTCTTTTAAAGCATAAATCACATTTGCTCAATATTTCCCAGTGGCTTCCCATCTCACATCTTCCCATTCTCGTAATCCCCTACAAAGGCCTATATGCTTTGGCCTATGCTCACCGACCTCATCTCCTAATACTCTTCCTCTTGCTTCAGGGCCTTTACAGTCATATTCCCTCTGTAGTTGTCAAAATCATAGCATTTCTCAGAAGGAAAGGCAGTGTAGTGTAATTGTTAATAGATAAATTCTGGAGTCAGATGTGAATTCAAATCCAGTTCTGCTTACTCTACTCTATGACCTTGGGTAAATTATTAACCTGAGGCTCAATCAATTTCCTTACCTATACAAGGACTTAATGAAAATACTAGTAGGATTGTCACAGTATTAAGTGAGGAGAGGTATTTAAAGAATTCAGCAAGTACTTGCATATAGGGATAGATAAATGTCAGGTACTGTTACAGTTATTTTCAACCCTGGCGACTACTCATAATTACCTGTGGAGATATCTAAAAATACAGATGTTTGTATCCTGATTCCAGGTATTCTAAGTCATTAAGTCTGGGAGGAGGGAGAGGCCAAGAATCCATATCTGTATTTGTTTTTTCTTTTTCTTTTTTTAAATTTTAGAATGCGTATCTTCAGAAAGCTTCCTAGATTATTAGGAGCACTTTCAGAGTCAAAAATGGGATCAGATTATCTCAGAGCGTCTTGCTCAGAACTGCAGCCCAGCACATAACTAAATGAGACTTTTAAGAAATTTTACTGTGAGTCTGTGCTGTTAATTTTTCAGTCTCTAAACTCACATGATGACTTACCTTTCTGGGAATTTATTCTAATTTTAACTGCTGTGTCCTGAGCAACCTTGAGCTGTGTCAGACAATGAGGTCCTTTTGGAGGTACAGGTGTGATGCAAACAATAAAATATAGATCCTATCCTAAATTCTTCTGGAGGAATAAAATGGTTTTTTTTTTCTCCCCTACTTAAACATTATTCTACATTAGTTTTCCTTAGAATATTGTGTATATGGCACATATCACCATAATACCTATGGGAATTAGGTGGCTTTGGGAGTTGGAAAGAAATAGCACTTACGGTGTGGTGTTCATATAAATGAAATAGTATAAAATTTCTAAAATTGTGAGAATTGAAATATAAAATTAATATCTGATTTCCAAAAGTAAAGATCTTCTTAAAATTGTTGTGCTGGCCTTTTTTTGTGTACAAATAGCCATTCTAGTTGAAATAGCCTTCCTGTTTGTACTCTCCCTCTCTCGATAGAAACTACGCCCGCCGACAGAAACATCTGCAAAGATACAGTCTGACTCAGTGGGTTGACAGGAACATGCGAAGCCACCATCGGTTCCAGCGTCTCCCAGACTTCTCGTACAGTTAATTTGTGTCATCCCATCAGCAATGAAGGTCCCTATCCAGGGTCCTGCTTGGAGCAGCATTTCATGTTCTTTTGCTGTTTTGTGCTTTGCCGATTTTGGATTTTATTTTTCACAAAATTTTTATTTAAAAAACTCGTCACCTTTTGGAAATGCCCATTGCCGACTTGAATTTTTTTGTATGAAGTCCCTCCTGATTTTGTGTGTGTGTGTCTGTGTTTAAGCAAGCGTTCGGTTGGTATAGTTTTTTTTTGTTTTTTTAATTTAAATTGAAGGTAGCTGCCTCCTGAAAGCCAGCATTAAGCCAGAACACCCAGGTTCAAGCAAAAGACCCACCTCTCTGCAGAGGCAAAGTCTACTTTCTGGTACCTCAAAGAAATCATTGTTCAATCTTCCATAAGGAAGAGATTCTTTACCAGGCTGTGAGCCAGTGTTAGATAACTTGTGAATGGATATAAGTTACTTTTAACAACCCCTCTTACTTTTTTATTTGAATCCTCTGAATACCTGTCAGTATTTTAAAGTTGGCAATCCAGGACATTATAAGTAGGATGGAGCAGGAGAAGAATCCTATTGAAAGGACAAATTAAAATAGTAAATCCTCTCCTCTCCCTTCTGTAGGTACTAGCTGCCTTGATTTTTTTTTGTGGGTGGGGGGGATTTTTTCATTCCTTATTGAACTTATTTTGCACAATAGTGTTTACAAATCTTATACATCTTACTTTGACAGAAGACTTATAATACCTTGTGGTCTTGAGACTGGTTGTCTCCTTTGCCTTTCTTCAAGGATTTTCCTTTTTCTTTTTACCCCCCAGTGACCACTCTGCTCTTTAGGATTCTAGTGGCAGTATTCTTGTAACCTGTTAGACGTGGATATACCTCTTCAGGATGGCCTCCTTGCTGTCTTTATTGAAGAGCTGCCCACCCAGAGTCTTGACTCTAGGGCAGGCTAGTGCTATTGTGGTGTCAGTTGATATTTAGTTTCATTTGCTGAACCCCAAATTTGAGTGTTAGTTAGGGAGCCTCCATTCTGTGGGAGAGTGTGGAAAGGCACTCTTTTTTCTCCATATTAGTTAACAAGAGGTGTCTTTAGGCCCTGGATGTTACCATCTCATTTGGTCAAGCCCCTGATACCTAGTTTCACATGGATGCTAACGTGGATGTAATATAGTTGTGACAGCCTATGCACAAAAGCATTACCTGATCTTAAGGTTTGGTATTCTAACCAAAGTTGACAGACTGTGCGTCTGTCTTAATGGATGTCTTAGGAGTTGGTTATTCTCTCTTTTTTTTTTGAGACGGAGTTTCGCTGTTGTTGCCCAGGCTGGAGTGCAATGGCGTATCTCCACTCACCACAACCTCCGCCTCCTGGGTTCAAGGGATTCTCCTGTCTTAGCCTCCTGAGTAGCTGTGATTACAGGCATGCGCCACCATGCCTGGCTAATTTCATATTTTTTAGTAGAGACAGGATTTCTCCATGTTGGTCAGGCTGGTCTTGAACTCCTGACCTCAGGTGATCTGCCCACCTCGGCCTCCTAAAGTGCTGGGATTACAGGCATGAGCCACTGCACCTGGCCGGTTATTCTCTCTTTACAGATAGCTATAGACATCATTTTAGGAAGTGTTGCAGTCTGGCATTTGTGCTATTGTTCATTCTCTGTGAAGGCTGTTCATAGTTGCTATAGCCTGTGTTTAGTTTTGTGATTTCATCAATCCCATCTTTCTGTGTGAGTAATGCATTCTAAACATCCTACCCCACTTTAGAAACGGACGTGGGGAACGCTTGGTCATTTAAGCCAACAATAAATTTAGGTGAATGTCCCTAAGTGTTTACTGTTTTTATCCAGTCAAGGATTTGCTTTTCCTTGAACATTTGTTTTAAATTCTGGGGCCAAAATGCAAAGGAGAAGTTCTATTCAAAGGCAGTAGTTGAAATCTATTATTTTAGTTAGCCTACTTGGCATTTACTACATCGGTCACTTCTCCAGGCTGCCCTAAATTAGGTTGATGGAGTGAGACATGCCAAACATCCACCTTTGGGACCATAGCATAGTTAAAATTAAATGTAGTTGGAATAGCTAGCATTGCAGCTACAGTAGGGAACTGTAGTCTAGTTCCCTACAGAAAACCCAAGGAGTGAAGGGACAGGATTTTGCCTAGGCAAAAATCTAAGACTCGTGCCCTCCTGGTACATGGGGTTTTAAGACTGAATGTGTAATAGGAGCACTGCCTTTGCCAAATCAAATGAGTGACAGGTTAACTAGAAAATGTGACAATCACATTTCCTCTTAGCTCAAATAATTCTGTTTTTCCAAAGCTTTAGCAGCTTAATTAAATCTGTTGGACTGGGGGAGGAGAGAGCTGTTCTCTAGTGGTTAACATGGTATTCTTTAAGAAGAAAAAACAAAGCCAAAGAAAACTCATTATCTGGCATGTTCGCCTTAAAGATGGTACTGGGTAGAATCTGGAGTTTTCATCTCTTTTCAAAGCTGCATATCTCTTATATTTGGTATTGGCCTCTAAGTCTAATATTGCAGTTGGAATTCTTGCTGTATTATTTTTTAAGCAAGTGTTAGGTGCATTTAACTGCTTTCTTCATCCATGACGACATTCCCACCATGGGGGTCTTGACAAAGCAGAGTAAAAATATGCTGTTTACATTGTTTACTTACAAGTAAGGAGCCTGAAATAACCTGTAGTTTCGAATGCAGGCCCTGATTTACTGGCGTTGTCAGTTTCAATTATGAAACTGAAGTTTGGTGCCTCCTCTTTATCATGTTTTTTCCCTTGTAGCAGTTGTGTTTAATGTCATTAAAAAGAAATAAAAGTTCTTTGTCAGTGACATATGTACTGTGGCGGTCTGTCGTAGGCTTCGATGGAGGGTTATTTGCCTTCTTCCTTTGCGTAGGTAGGTTAGTGGGGTGGGGAGGGGGGCGGCAGTTAGTAGAATGTGGTACTGGAAAGGCGAGGGTGCTTGCTCCCTATTCTTTTGAAGGTAAATTACAGTGTTGAGAAAGGTGTTCTAGCAGTTAAGAAATGTTGAAATTGATTGGGATTTGCAGCTACATATGGTGCATGTCAGGAGCCTGACATAGGGAGAGCCTGAAATATCATTATGCCTCAGTTTTTGCAGAGGGGGAAGATGGCTCAGCCGTGATCAGGCAGGCATTGCCTTTTATTCCTTCCCATGGCTGTGTGATTGGCCTCCCTATCTCTGCTTCTCCAGAGCTAGCATTGATTGTGGAAGAAGCCATGCTATCCAAGAGCATTCTCTCTTTGAAGGGGATGTAAGAAACCAGAATCAGTGGTACAGAATTGATGGTTGTTCATAACCCAGTTTCTCCAGAAACTGCGGCTTCTAAAAACTGGGTGAAGGTTGGATAAGCGTGGGTAGATGTGGGAGACACAGTGTTCCTTAGATCCCTTTCGTGAACCAAAGCTTCTTAGACTTACCCCCAGAAGCAAGGAAAAAAGGGAAGGCAATAATAACTTGTCACCTATATTAGCCAGTGCTTTAAAAATCTGAGTTCATGCTGAGAAAACAAGTAGCAACATGTTTAGCCATGCTATCTGGCCTGCTGTGCTATAAGTTTTGTCTATAAATTCTAGACAAAATATAATATTGAGTCCATGCAAAAGACTCAATATAAGTTTGCTAAGTACTCAGCAACTTGACATTCTTGTCTCAATCTGAGGCACTCTCCTTAACCTATGCATATCTGTTTTGTTCCTATCAGGTGTAGATAGGATCTTTTGTCCATTTTACATTACGGAAAAGTGAAGAGGAAAAGGAGAGATGGACCTTCTCCAAGAGGAAGGGGGTCATTCTCTAATTAGCCTATTTTGAGCTTTTATAGGAAGAAAAAACCCAACCACCTAAAGCTAGAAAGTGGAGTTCCCTGCTTCTCTTAGTAATGTTCTGCTTTTCTAAGAGAAAACAATTATTCCTAAGCTGATTTTAGTGTATGCTTGCTTTGTATGCCAGAGCACCTGTCAGGGAAAAAAAAAAAAAAATTCCACTTGTCACAGGAAGTATCAGCTGGTCAGTGGTGGAATTCCTAAATGAATAGGCTCCTGCCTTGTCCTTCCTCCCCACCTGTCCTCCCCCTGTGACAACTGGGACATGCCATAGACGGAAAATCTGGCCCTTCCCAGCACCCATTGAAAGGGGGTGGAATATAATATTTTGGATAACCTTTAAAGCAGTCTAAGTGATAGTCCTGAAATATATCACTAAGGAACTATTTGTTTTGAGACAGCGTCTCACTCTCTTGCCCAGGCTGGAGTGCAATGGCGCGATCTTGGCTCACTGCAACCTCTACCTCCTGGGTTCAAGTGATTTTCATGTCTCAGCCTCCTGAGTAGCTGGGATTACAGGTGTGCGCCAACACACCTAGTTAATTTTTGTATTTTTAGTAGAGACAGGGTTTCACCATGTTGGCCAGGCTGGTCTTGAACTCCTGGCCTCAAGTGATCTGCCCCACCTTGGCCTCCCAAAGTGTTGGGGTTATAGGCGTGAGCCACTGCACCTGGTTAGGAACTATTTGTGTACAGTTTTCCTTCAACTTAACTTCAAGTCACATTTGAAGGTTTGGTAATATTTTGTATGGATGGAGCTTGATGGAGCTGGGCAAGGGAGGAGGGTGAGCAGGGTGTCCCATTTATAGAAGCAATTTGTTCTTGGAGGCTACTTAAATGCACATTCCAGTAACCATCAAATAGGTTTAAAGAGAGTCAGAAATCTAAAGCTCATGTTAATGGGTTGGTGAGATTTTGCACATTTTTGTAAAGGGTTGAACCAAAACTCTTAAAAATGCATTCTTGAGAAGGCCCATTCTGAAAAACTAGGGGACAAGAGTAGGAGGAGAAAAGGACTCTTGCCTCATAGAAACACTCACCAGTCTGTCTTCCTTCCCTCAGACCCTGAGGTTTCCCTCGTGCTCCTAGGAGGATGCACCTTGGCTCCTATTGTAGGAAGTAGGTAGAGTCTGGGAATCTTCTAAATTCTGTTTTTGGCAGATAAGGACACCACGACCTAACCTCAGAGAATTAACTTGCCTGAGGTGTTAGGTGATTACAAGGCAGGGTCTCCTGTCTCTCAGACCAGCATTTCTCCCACAGGCCTGTGGTAGTCTCCAAGTGAGGTCTCTTGGTCTCAAAGACCTGCCTGTGCCTTTCCACAGTTGTGAGAAAATGTCCATGGATCTATGTGATGGTGGTGAAAGGATCACATCCCAAGTCTAGCTGTGTAGGGTTCGACTTTGCAACTACAGTGGATTCAGGGAAGGCTCAATTGTTATACAATTGGGAGTTTAGGGAGGTAATTAAAGGGAATGGAGTTTTATCTAAGCCAAGAGTGTTACCTCCTTTTCTCTCATACCCTTTATGATGTACCACAGGCACAGATTAAGTTGAAGACTGGAAACCCCCATTAGCAGAGCTCCCTGAGCCCCACTGACTATACTATACCTAGTGCTGATTTGGGGGCTTTTCCATCATTTGGCACTAGATGGGTACAGAGGGCCTAGGAAGTACCTCTCTGAGGTTTGGCTTAGAGTCGGTGTGCAACTCAAGTTTCCTACTTTGCTGTGCAGCCTCTAAACCTTCTTTCCCTCTGCTTTCAAAACCTACAGCAGTCAACTCTAAGCCCTGCTCACCGGACATTTTCTCTCCAAGCTTCTTCCTGGCTCTGGACAGGAATGTTCGAGGTACCCCATTTACTGGTTTTTGCTCCTTGGCTAATGTCATCATTACTCTTTCAGCCTACTGTTGGGATCATAATGGTGTTCCTTTAACAGCCTAGAACAGCACGCTGTGAATACTGAGCTGCAGAAAGCAGCTTTTGCTGTTCCCCTTCACTTCCTTCCTTACCCTGGGGAGAAACAAGAATTGTATTCCTTTGGCCAGGAAAAGCACCCAGCCCCATCCAGAGGGGAAAACCCTTTGTTTTAAAAACTAAGTACCAGCCTGCATACCTATCTAGTGAGGCAGCCCAAGCTTGGTTTGGGGGAGCCTCAGTAATAGGATGATGGAGCAGCTATTTTCTTCTCCTACACGTGCACCCCCATCTGTTTGAGATTTCCCTTCCAACTCCAGCTTGGCTGGCAGGCATGTCCCTAAGAAGCTGCAGGCCAAAATGGAGAGAAACTGACTCCCTCCTCCACACATCCTGACTTGCTGCCAATTGCCAGAAAAAGAGGGCAACATTTGGGCATTTACCAGAAGACAAGGATGTGCCTTTTCATTTGTCTTTTTATTTTACATTTAAAAAGTGGTTATTGCTCTAAGTGGATCAGAGGTAAGGACCTCTCCCCTAAGGAGCCTTGGCCTTGCAGCCCCATTCAGCAGGGATGGAAGTCACAAGACAATGAGTGGAGCCTCATGCCCTCCCATGAGGAAGCCCTTAGTATTGCTGACATCTGCCCTTTATCCTGTCTCTCCTCCCCAGTGCTGTCACACTTGGGCAAAGCAGAGTGGTGGCAGACCCAGCCTTGAGAGCTCTTGTAGACCGGAAGGAAGGGGCGGTCATTGGGTGATGGCTTCTGGCTCTCTGGCTTGGGGACCAATGCTCTTATCATTCATTTCAACAAATATTTACTGAGTACCAGGCTTGCACTAGGTGTGGTTCTCCCACACCCATCCTTGACCACCAATGGAAGATGCAGATGTCCACCTCTTCCCATGCAGGCATCTGGCAGCCGTAACTCGTCAGTCCTAGGGAAGAGTCTACCTTCCCTCATCAAGCACCATTTTTTTAAACCAGAAAGGGGCAGTGGAGAGAGAGACCTGTCACCTCACACCACTCAGGCTCTAAGGAAGGACATGAGGACCCTGGGTAACTTTCATGGAACCCTGGATGAGATGGCAAGATATGAAGACCCCAGAGGCCAGTGGTGATAGCCAGAGCTGCTCTTCCTGTCCGTGGTGAATGGCTCAGGCCTGCCTTCCAGCAGCTTCTACTCCAGAAGGGGTGTTTTGGTAGCCCCCAGAATGCCAGCTGTGATGTGACTTTTCAGTTGTCCAAGCTAGCATTTCTGAAACTCCAAGAGATACTTCCTAAATAAATTGGACCAGTACCTTCCAAACTGATGATCTTTCAGTCATAAGGGTCAAAGAAGATAGAGGATGCAGGCAACCAGCTCAGTCTTCGGGGGAATTTCTCTGCCCTCTAGAATGCAGCCTTCTGATTTTTGTTTTCCAAAAGAGACAAACCAGGTAACATCTTACACGCTTGCAAAAGTGTGCATCACACCACAAACATGTCCTTGATGGCTGGATCCAGAAAAGGCTTGATGGCAGCCATGATCCTGCCTGGCAGGCAGCCCCACAGCTTCTCTGATGTTCCTTGGTCTGAAAGACACAGCTTGAGTCAGTCCTTGTGCTTGTCATCTCCCAGGGCTTTGTGCATTTTCTCAAAGAGGAAGCCAGTCCAGGAGAGGCGAGGAGGCAGAAGGCTGTGTCTCATGCAGCTTTGCCTTTTCCAGAATGGGGCCAGGCCTTTTAGTTTTGTGGCTTATTTTTATTTTTTTGCAGAATTTGGGTTTGTAGTGCAGCCTCCTTCATCTGACTAGGACAAGGAGAAGAGAGAACTGTGCAGCTAGCTGTGCCTCCTCCCCACTGCTGCAGTTGTCCCTCTCCCTGTGCCCGTGGGCCTGGGGACCAGCTGAGAAGAAAAATGGAATCCTTCTCCCTGCAGACAGGCAGTCACGCTTCAATGATGTTCACTGAGGGCTTGTTTGGAAACTGGGAGGAAAAAAATGAGAGAAGCAGCCAGGCCTAATTGTGAATAGCCTTCTTGCAAGGCTGGAAACAGGACAGAAGAAGGAAGGGAGCAGCAGCAGGGCTGTAGCCTAAATAAGCCAAGCTCTTGTCCCTTGTGGAAAGAAAAGAGAAGCCCTGCCTGGATGTCTTGTCTTTTTGCCTTTTCAAACCCAGCCTTCAGCCTCACTCAACTGAATGGCCAAGACTGGGTCCTGGGCCCATGGCCCCTGGCACCCAGTCTACCCCCAGCAGTCATCCCTCTGAGTGCAGCCTCAGCCACTGACATTGTTGAGGTGCTTCTGGAGATGGGAGTTAATAAGAGGCTTCAGGAAAGTGCGCCAGAGAGAGGACAGTAAGCCAGAGGGTACAAGGAGATGGAGGGAAGAGATGTAGAGAGGGCCAGATGTTTGTTGGATAATCATCATCAGAACCATGAGATCCTCTCACATTCTCTACTGTCTGTCTTCTTAGCTGCTGAGGGCAAGCACTGAAAAGGTTTTCATATCTGTTTTACAGAAGAGGAAATGAAGGTACAGCGGTAAAGCACCTGCCCAAGGTCACAAGGCACAGCAGGAGCAGGAATGGGCCAGACACCCCACTCCTATTGTCCCGCGCCAACCAAGAATTCTGCCCTCCCCACTCACTGCTTTTTTTTTTTTTTCTTCAAATCACCACTGGCCCCTGGCACCCTGCAAAAGGAGAGGATCCAAAATCAACTTGCAGTGTCCCTGTGTCACACAGGCAGCAGCCAAGTCTGGCTCTGCCCAGCTGTCGCCATGCCAGTCCCCGAGCTGACCCCCTCTGCAGTCCAGGGATTACCAGAGCATGAGGCACAGGGTGGCCCACCCAGGCCCAGGTCTTGCCCTCACCTTGCTGCGGAGAAGCCCCCCGCCCTGGTGCTCTGGTGTGCTGGTTTCTGATGCACTCTTGGTTTTTTCCTTGTTGTTATTGGGTTCATTGTCCTTGATGATGTCATACTGGCGGCAGAAGAGGGCAATGACACCTGAGGGGGGACAAGTGAGCAGTCAGAGGCCAGAGCCTGGGTTCCTGCCTCCCCTGCTTCTTTCCCACTAGTGCTTGCCAATGGTCTCTCCAGATTGTACCTCACCTGTACTACTGCAGCACCCTCCCTCTGCCCTCTGGCTCCTGTTTTCACCTGTGCCCTCACCAACCACCCCTTCACTGCTGCTAGGCTGATCTTCCTACAATATGCGTCTGATCATACCTCCTCCTCTCCTTTCCTTTAAACCTCTGACAGTGGCCAGGCACGGTGGCTCACGCCTGTTAATTCCAGCACTTTGGTTTTGTTTTTTTGTTGTTTTGAGATGGAGTTTCGCTCTTGTTGCCCAGGCTGGAGTGCAATGGCGCGATCTCGGTTCACTGCAACCTCTGCCTCCCAGGTTCAAGTGATTCTCCTGCCTCAGCCTCCCGAGTAGCTGGGATTACAGGTATGCGCCACCACGTCCGGCTAATTTTGTATTTTTAGTAGAGACGGGGTTTCTCCATGTTGGTCAGGCTGGTCTCGAACTCCCGACCTCAGGTGATCCGCCCACATTGGCCTCCCAAAGTGCTGGGATTACAGGTATGAGCCACCATGCCCGGCAATCCCAGCACTTTGGGAGGCCAACATGGGTGGATCACGAGGTCAGGAAATAGAGACCAGCCTGGCCAACATGGTGAAACCCTGTCTACTAAAAATACAAAAATTAGCTGGGCGTGGTGGCAGGTGCCTATAATCCCAGCTACTCAGGAGGCTGAGGCAGGAGAATAGCTTGAACCTGGGAGGCAGAGGTTGCAGTGAGCTGAGATCAGGCCACTGCACTCCAGCCTGGGCAACAGAGAGAGACTCTGTCTCAAAGAAAAACAAACAAAAAAACCTCTGACAGCTCCTGTTTTCCTTGAGGGGAAAATAGAAACAATAATAGCATTTGTTGAGCTCGTGCCAGGCCCTGTGCTGTGCACTGACATATTCTATCTCACTTAATCCTCACAACTCTGTGAGGATACCTATTATTATAATTCCCAGGGTACAAGTGAGGACACTGATGCAGAGAGAGTTTCACTAACTTAACTCAAGGTCACACAGTGGTGGAACTAGGACATGAACTCCAGGGCCTGCAGTCTGTTAAATGTTTAGTTTTATCAAACTAATAATACATGAACAGAATGTTTTTTAAAAGTCAGACAGTATTAAGGCAGCCAACTCCAGTCCTTCTAGGTGTTTTCCCAATTTTACCTCTATATTTAGAATGTTATTTCTTGATCTATTTTAGAAGTCTGTTGACTTCCAAACATGGTAGATAAAGCATAACAACTTCCTCTACTTCCCTCCCTATTATCCTAACAAAATTACATCACAATTTTGGGTTAATTCGCTATGTTTATATTGTTATGATTATATAAATACTGTCTGTGCCAAATCTAATAACGCACCATAAGCAAACCTCCTCTTTTGTACAACCCTTTGTTTTTCCCTCATTTTTCCAAGTGCCTGTTTTTCTGTGTGCCTAAGGAGCATTTTTTTCCCAAATGCTTCTACAATACAGCCTGCCTTTCTCAACCACCATGGTAATAAAGCTTTAGCATGGTATTCAAATCCCTCAAAAGACTCCAGTCTGCAGCCTCACCATCCTTTACTCCCCCACGTTCTACCTTCTTTCTTGGATTGCAGCTGCCCTGAACCAGACTGAGCTTACTTTGTTTCTTGAACACACCATGCCCTGAACACTATTCCTCTTTTGGCTGCTTGGTGAACTCCTATTTATCCTTCAAAGCTCAATTCCCATGTTATCTCCTCTCTGTGTTTTTCCTGATTTCTAACCCACAGTTATTCCCTCTCCTCTGCTCTCCTACATGGTACTATCATAGCACTCATCACACTGGATTATAGTTTAAGTTCAGCCCAAGAAAATGAAAAAGAAAAAAGAAGAGTAAACGAAAAGAAAAAAGAAAAGTTTGGGCCTGGCTTCGCCCAGATAGTTCTTTGCAAGCAGAGGGGTCTTCTTAGTCATGATTGTAGCACTACTGTTTGGGCTGGAGTGATTGTTCAGTAAATGCTGGTTGAATTGAGTACAAAGATGAATGAAACTTGGCCTTTACCAGCCTGGACAACATAGCAAGACCCTATCTCTACAAAAAATAAAAAATTAGCCAGGCATGGTGGCACATGTCTGTAGTCTCAGCTACTCAGGAGGCTAAGGCATGAGGATCACTTGAGCCCAGGAGGTCAAGGCTGCAGTGAGCTATGATTGCACCACTGCACTCCAACCTGGGTCTCAAAAAACAAAACCTTTGTCTCAAAAAACAAAACAAACAAAAAAAAACTTGGTCTTCATTCTCAGGGAGCTCACAGACCACAGGTAAAGGAGAGACATGAGCCGAACGAACTAACACAAGGGCTAAAGAGAGGGTTAAAGAAGGGCTAAAGAGAGGAGTGAACAGTATGCGGTGGGGGTGTGGAAGCAGGAGGGCCATTCTAATGGATGGATTGAGGGAGTTTTCACGGTGGCTGTCTCACAGCCATGGTGGCTGGGTCTAGAAGGGTGAGTAGGTTAGGAGAATGTCCCCAGGCCAGGCAGTGACTTCCCCTGAGCTTCCCAGGCCTGGACCCCTGGAGGCACAGCACCCCAGAAGAAAAAAAGGCTGTGGCCATGACCAGAGGTAAAAGGCCTGTGGAAGTGTCCAGCCCCAAGAAGCTGAACCTCTTCTGAGGGAGGGCGAAGGCAAGTACTCATCTAATCCTATAAGGCAGCTAACAATATGCTGGTTTTTTGGTGAAGAGTGAGGTAGAGAAGGGGTCAGATCTGTTTCCCAGAACTGTCGTTGGCAGGACTTGGAGACTTTTCACCTTAGAGATGTCCAAACCCCTTACCCTTTTTTTCATGAGAGAAGGGGCTGGTCAGAGTCCTCCATTTCCCAGAATCTGAGGGAAGAAGAAGGTCTCGGAGGCCAGACTCACCTGCCCACATGAACAGGACCACGACGATGATCAGCACCTCGCCTGTCCGCAGCTGTTGGTTCCTCCCCATCTCTTTCATGGTTACCTCATCTGCAGGGAGAGAGACACTAGATCCAGCACTCCTTTCCTCCCTCAGCCACTCCTCTAGGGCCAAGCCCAAGACAACAGTGCTGATTTCTACAGGTGCCCACACATCTAACATACATTCTAGAATGCACTGATGGCTACTTGGGGTGGCAGTGATAGGACCAAGTCTAAAGGGAGTTTATATGCTCAGCGTCTTGTCAGGGACTAGCGTGAACCCTCTCTCAGGTACTGCTTTACTTGCCAGCAGGGGATAAGGGGGAGGAGACAGAGCTTTCCTCAAGCCACCCACTGGTCTGGTCCTGACCACCCCTCACCCCACCCCATTCCTCTTAACAGTGACCCGGGCCTGCCTTTGTTCTTGGAGGCCATCTTCTCAGCCTCACGCGGGGTCTTGAAGAGCACAGGCTCGCTGGCTGGGCTCTGGCCCTGAATGGAGATGGCCTGCACGTGGACTATGTACTCCGTATCCTCCTCCAGGTCCCAGAGGGCACATGAGCGGGTGGTGGTGTTCACCTCCTGGATGAAGCGCAGCATCCGCACATCCTTCTTCTGCAGACAAGCGCCGGTCACTGCTGTCAACACTCGGTGACCAGCCCCGCTCCTGCCCACCTCCCAGTGGTGACAAAGCCTTTACATACACAATCTTCATCATTCCATCACCTCCGCTATCAATATCTCCATTTTACAGGGAAGGAAACAGGTTCAGAGAGGTTGGGGAAGTTGCCCAAGGCCACACATCTAGTAAGCACTGGAGCTAGGTCCTAAATGCAGATGTCTCTGAGATCAAAACCTTAATTTCTGTGTTCCACTTGAAAGTTCCCAAACCCTCCCTCACTGACTGATTCTCTTCTAGAGAATTTTCAGACATATGTCTGAATGGGGCCCCAATTTTCAGACATATGTCCAAATTGCTGTTCATCTCCCTTGCCCCAAGTTCCTATTTCCTTTCTATTTCTCCATCACCACCACTGCCACACTCCTACCCCCATCTGCCACTACTGTCTTGATGTGTCCTTCCCTCCTAAGGACAGTGGAGCATTACCTGCTGGGAGATGGCAAATCCGATGACAACCTCATCCTCCAGAACATCCCAGCTCACCACTGCAGAGTTGGCCTTGAGGTGCCTGACGGTGACGTTCACTGGGGCTGAGGGACTGTCTGGGGGACGGGGAGGCACCTAAGCCTGAGCATCCCCTATTGTGAGGCCCAGACCCACTGTCTCATAAGTAAGAAGGGGAAACCTGGGGAAGGCCATGCAGGAGGGGAAGGAAGAAACTAAGGCCTCAAGTGGGGTCCAGTGACATGGCTCTCAGCTCTTCAGTGGGTTGAAGAACCAAGCCCAAGAGGCCCCAGGCTCCTCATGACTGGGACGGAAGCCCCTGCTGGCCACAGGCCGGCCCCATGAGGGGTCCAAGGCTCAAAGTGATGGGCCTGGGCCGGGGCCCTATCTAAGGGATGGGTGGTTAGAGTTGTGGAGAGAGTTATGTAGGGGACATAGGTGGACAGAAACTGAAGGTTAGCTGATGAAAAGCAGACAAAAGGACTCCCCAGTCCAGTGCTCTTTTGACAATACTGCCCTGTCCAATGAGTGACCTTGCGCGAAGGAGAAAGACCCAGAGATCGAGAAGTGTCAGGCTGGGGTGAGCCCTGGACTGGGAGTGAGGAGAACAGAAGTATCCTCAGAGCTGTGGTGGCCCAGGCAGAATAAAGCCTGCGGAAGAGTCTGTGTGAGCCTCTTATCCATGCTCTTCCAGCCCCAAGATGCAGGTGGGGAGGTGGCAGGGGAAGATGGGGTCACTCAGAGCAGGGCCCCTCCATGGCGAGTGGAGAGGAGAGAACAGGTAGGGGAAGAGGATGAATGAGGAATCACTCCAGAAGAGACAGGAGGGAAGTGGGGGTGAGAGTGATAGGGATAGTGGGGGTCAGTGAGGAAAACCGTCCAGGAGAGGGGCAGTGCAGTCACATAAGGCTCAGTATCTTCCAAGGGGCAGGTGCAGCACGGGGCAGAGCTGCGCCTGAGCAGCACCCCTCACCCCACAGAGAGTGAACTTGAGACCCAGGGGGCTGGGCCTGGGACCTGAGGGAGACAGAGCCAGACATGGAGGGGGAGGTGGAGAGACAGGACACAGACAGGTGGTGGCAGACACAGAACCAGAGGACAGAGAAGTGGGGCATCTGAGAAAGACAGCTGCGAGAGAGCGCTCCCCGAGCCACGGAGGGAGAGATGAGCCGGGCAGCGGCAGCCAGGAGGGACAAAGACAGAGTGGCAGGAGAGGCTGGGCAAGGACGGGCCGGCCCCATGGGGCAGGCCAGACACTGTACCAGATCAGGGGTGCCGGGGCCCACCCCACGCCCTGCGCCCTCAGGTGCCAGCCCCCATCCCCTTCACACGTGCTCCTGCACAGCGGGACCCCATCTGCCCCTGCAGAGTTGGCTTGCAGGGCTTTGAGAGGTCCTGGGGACACAGAGAGAGGCCCAGGTGGGGGAACTGGTGTCCTCAGCTGCTCCCTGGGTCAAAGAAGGGAGCTAGGGAAGCTGAGGCAAAGACCTGGGGTTAGGGGAATGGGATTAGGGGACTGGGGACCACAAGACCCTAGGAAACCCAGGGCTGAGGTGACAGGGGAGATTTGGAAACTGAAGGACAGGTCTGGGGGTCAAGGAGGTAGGAAGACGCTGGGGGCTGGGTTAGGGGAGCAGTGTTTGGGCCGAGACAGGAGTCCCTAGGGGGCAGAGAAAGGACCAGGGGACTCCCAGGTAGCTGGGCTCGAGAGGAGCCTGCCCCGGCGCCGGCCCCCCGCCCCGGGCCCCCTTACCCGCCTGCACCAGCGCGAAGCAGACGCAGCCCAGCCACAGGCGGAGCGCGGCGCGGGCGCGGGGCGGCCAGGCGCTCGGCGACCCGGGGTGTATGGTGGCTCCTCCGGCCGGCAGGCCCGGGGCGGCGCAGGGGGACGCGGCTCCGGCGCCCGGCGGCCGCTCGCGCTCGCGCTCCGGCCCCCGGCCCGGCCGGCCCGGCCGCTCCGGCCGCCCTGCGCCGCCCCGAGCCGCCTGCATGTCGGCTCCGCGGACAGCGACTCCCGCGCGGCGGCGGTGGCGGCGGCCGCGTCCACGTCGGGCGCCCGGGGGGCGGGGCGCCCCCGCTGCGGGGAGAGGTGCGGGGGCGGGGTGAGGACCGGAGGGCGCCCCCACTCCCGCCCCCGCTGCCTATTAGGTCCTCTGCCGGGGAGGAAGGGGCTTCGCGGACCCACGGCTCCCGCCCTCTCACCGAGCGGGAGCCCAGCGGGGTTCTCCGCGCCCCCGCCGCGGTCACTCTCTCTCCCGTGCACAGCCCTGACTTGGCTGCCGCTTTCTGCCCTTTCCCAGGGTAGAGAGAGGACAAGTGCCACCGAGATGCCCGTTTGTGCCCCCACCCCTAAGCGCGCCTCCCTTCCCTGGGCCTAGGGATCCCCTCATTCCACGGTAGACCCGAGGCCTTGCGGCTGGGGCAGACGGGAGCAGAGGGGAGAGATCACAGTAAGGCTGGGGTGAGCAGAGAGTGCTAAGTGGACACTAGGGCTCCGTGTTTCCAGTGGGGTTGGGAAGAGGCTGCTCTGTCTCACTGGAGAGTCCAGCTCTGTGACCCCAGGCCAGTCCTTTTCCTTCATTTTCATCCCCATAGTGAGGGCAGTAATGAGCGTCTACCAGGGGCCAGATACTATGCTGAGCTTTCTTTGCATTATGTGGCTTAATTCTCAGGGCAACCCTGTAAAGTCATACTCTGCACACTTTGCACAGGAGGAGCCTGCAGCTTGGACAGGCTACTTGACTTGTCCAGGGACCCGCAGCAGAGCCAGGATTTGAACACAGGCTGATCTGACTCCCAAAGCTGTGCTTAACTGAACTGTCTCCCCACCCAGAGTGACTTCACCCATCCGGAGATTCGTGAGACTCTAGAATTGGCCGGGGCCAGCTCCTCCCCAGCCAGAAAACAGTCTGCAGCAATCTCTAAGAGCATCTCTGAGAAGGGGAGTGGCTCCAGCCCCCTTCCCTCATCTCAGCCAGAGAAACAAGGTGGAGGAGAGAGGCATGGACCAGGGCTCAGGGCCTTTTGTCTCAGCAAGAACCCCTGAGCCCCCTCCCACGACTATCCGAAATTCCACTACTAGCGGGGCATTCCTTTGGGTCTTAAAGGTTTTCCAGAAGCCCTGGAAGGGCTAATTTTCTTTGGAAAGGAGACGTCTTGCAAAGTTCTGCCACAGAAACGTCTTCAGGGTCTTCCTCTCCATCCCCCTGGTTTTACATTAAGGAAGTGAGGTCTACCGATGGGAAGAGCTTGGTGCAGATTCACACAGTGGGTCAAGAGGAGCGATAGACAACCCTCCTCTCCTTATGCCCACCCAGGACTCCTTCGCTGGCCCTGTGTTCCTCCTTGGTCACCTTGGAAGGGGTGAGATGGAAGCGAGCTTAGGGGCTCTTGTTGAGCAGCAGAATTTTCCTGCCCATCCCCTCAGTGCCCCCAGACCTGCCCCACTCGGCAGGGTGACACTGCCCAGCCCTATCATTTCCCCCGCCACATACCTTGTCCTGGGAGAGCCTCAGCTGGGACCTCGACCCGTTTGGGAGAAGAGCCCCGGAGCCAGAGCACCTCTCTCTCTCTTTTCTCTTTGCTCTCTTTCTCTTTCTCTCCCCTTATTATCTTCTCTCTCTTTCTCCCCGCAGCTGCTGCCTGCCCCACCCCACCCGGCCCCGCCCCACCAGCTGCAGCTTAGCCCCTAGGGACCCCCCACCCCCCATCCATCAGACAGGAAGACAACCAGGAGGCCCGCAGGAGCAACTGGAGCCTCTTCAGGCCTCCAGCACAGGAACCAGCAGGAAGGAGAGGGTTCAGTTAGAGGACACAGAATCTACTCCCGTCCCTGCAGGGGAGAAAAGGAGGGAGGGTCCTGGTGGGGTCTTGGCCTCCAGTCCAGCGCTGGGGAAAGGGGAACCTTGGCGCCATCTGCTGGCCTCTTTGGGTAAAACCTAGATAGATGTAGGGCATTGGGAGGGAGGAGATGGCAGTGCCTGAGGGCTTGAGAGAGAAGGCGGCTGAAGGAGGGGGCTTGGAGGATTTGGAGAGTTGTGACTGTGGGGGTACAGCCTTCTCAGTCCTCATGATGCATGGGGTGCTTGGGCCTTAATTCTGGGGAAAGCCCTGGTGCCTGGAATCTGGCAGCCAGTGAGAGCTGGCTGGGAGGATTTAGTGGAGCCCTGGGTGAACTTGGGAGGGAGCTGTCAGAAGCAGCCACTGCAGGCCAGGGCGCTGGCTCACGCCTGTAATCCCAGCACTGTGGGAGTCCGAGGTGGGTGGATCACCTGAGGTCAGGAGTTCGAGACCAGCCTGGCCAACATGGTGAAACCCCGTCTCTACTAAAAATACAAAATTAGCCGGGCATGGTGGTGTGTGCCTGTAATCCCAGCTACTCTGGAGGCTGAGGCATGAGAATCATTTGAACCTGGGATGCAGAGGTTTCAGTGAGCTGAGCACACCACTGCATTCCAGCCTGGGTGACAGAGAAAGACTCCATCTCAAAAAAACCCAGCCACTTTATGTACCCCATCCCTTAGCGCAAGGCTTACGATGCAGTTGGGGCTCATTAAATGATTGTTGACTGTATGGAAAAAAAATCATTCTTCCATCATATGTTTATTGAGCACCTATTATGGACCAGGCCCTGTGTAATATTCTGGAAACACAGCAGTGAAAGAATGAGTGAAACCATGAGGACCTGGGTAGGGACTAAGGGTGCGCCTCTGTCCTCCCAAGCTGCACTCACTGGGCTTCATTTGGAGGACTCCACAGAGACCCCCTTGAGGGCTGGCCGGTCACTTACACATTGACACCTAATGGGGTCACCAGCATTTGGACCCTCCTGCGTGTCCAGAGTCTCAGCACCTAACTCAGGCTGCAGGTGCCCAAGCCAGCCCCGGGTACCCATTTAGAATAGGAAGTTTCCTTTTTATAGCCTAGGATGGTCATGGCCCCAGTCAAGGATGGTCACTAGACACCCCTCACCCGCCCTGCAAATCACAGGAAGAATCAGGAGGTCAGGAGTTGCTTTGGGGATATAATAATTGAGCACCTACTTTATCCATGTTATTGTTTTATTTTATTTTGAGACGGAGTTTCATTCTTTTGCCCAGGCTGGAGTGCAGTGGCGTGATCTTGGCTTGCTGCAATCTCTGCTCCCCAGGTTCAAGTGATTGTCCTGCCTCAGCCTCCTGAGTAGCTGGGACTACAGGTGCCCACCACCATGCCTGGCTAATTTTTTTATTTTTAGTAGAGACGGGGTTTCATCATGTTGGCCAGGCTGGTCTCGAACTCCTGATCTCAGGTGATCCACCCACCTCAGCCTCCTAAAGTGCTGGGATTACAGGCGTGAGCCACCGCGCCCGGACTTTATCCATGTTATTTTGAGTCTTAGGCTGGTATGTGTCATTAACTTCCATTCCATATCAGGAAGCTGAGGATCAGAGAGGTAAGGGGACTTGCCCTGTGTCACACAGCCAGTGAACTATAGAGACATGTCTCAAATTAAATTATGCGGCTGCAAGTTGAGGGCTTGATCCAGTCTGCCTACCGTATCCCCTCACCTCTAAGGACCTCTGAGGACAAGGATCCAGGGCTCAGGGCTCACCAGAGGACATCACATCAATCTCCTTCCCTGAAGGGCTCAAGGGGACTTATTGCTCACAGAGGCAGTTGCTAATCCCAGGGCCAAGACAAGGGACCCCCTACTCACCCAACACTTTTCCCGTGCTGACACATTATGTACATAAGGGAAGACTCTTTGAATCCTCAGAGGAGTTGGAATTATACCCATTTTACAGATGAGGAAACTGAGGCTTGAAGAGAAGAAGGGGCTTGCCATGGGTCATACAGCTGGGAGACACTGATCTAGCCTCTCTAATCCTCAAAATCCCCATCATGGCAATGATGAAGTCAGGCCAGTTTAGTATTTCCTGAGTGCTGGTGGTGCTGAGGACATAGTGATGAACCAGACTGGTCCTAGTCCTTAGGGAGTTCTCATGGCCGGGGAAGAGGAGAGAGATGCTCTTAAAATACAAAGAGGGGACTGCCTTCTGGAATAGGAGGCACCTGGGGCCTACAGGGACAGAAAAGGTAATTAACTTGAGAGGAAAGCAGGAAGGGCTTCTGGGAAGAGGTGATGCTTGAGCTTAATAAGTACTGACAGTCAGGTGGAAGTTAGCCAAGTGAGAGGAAAGAAACAGAGGGAAAGAGGAATCATTAGCCCTGAGGTCTGGAAAAGTGGAGTGTTTCTGTGGAGGGAAAGCAGGAGAGGCAGAATGTTTATGTGGGCGTTTGCTGTAGGCTCTGAGCTGTGACATTGGGAGCAGGAAAAGTAGAACTAGATTGGAAAGATTGTTCTGAGCTTGCAAGAGAAGCTGGGGCTAGGAAGGGCTTTATTTATTCAACAAACATTTATTGAGCACCTACTAACTGCCAGCAGCATCACAGCTGTGACCAAGACAACAGGGTCCCTGCCCCATGTGAATCTCATATTCCAGGGGGAGAGAAAAGCAATAAACAAGTGAGCTGATGACCAAATGAAATATCTTCAGAGACCGAGAGTGGCTATGAAAACAATGAAGTCATGTGGTGGAGAGTGGCTGGGTGGGGCGACGTTACATGGTGTGGGCTGAGGGGGAGTCACCTGAACTGACACCTGAAGGCAAAGGAGGCAGCAGCACACAGCACAGGAAGGGAGCTCCAGCCCCAGAAGAGCAAGTACCAAGGCCCTGGGGCAGGAGCAAGCTTGCATGTTGGGGAAACAGAAAGAAGCCAGTGAGCCTGGAGCTTTATAAGCAAGAAGGAGGCAGTGAGGGCAGGTGGGATTGGATAACACATGCCTCCAGGTGTGGAAGGGAGGTTAGGTTGATCCCACTCACAATGGGAAGCTTCGAGGGGAGATGAGATGGGATGTGATTTGCATTTTAAAAGGCTCACTTTGCCCGCTCCAGTGTGCAGGCTGGATGGCAGAGAACAGGAGTGGGGGGCCAGGTGCCCTGTGAGGAAGCAAGGAGGGTGCTGCGGTCTCACGGCCAGAAAGGATGCAGTGTTGGCCTGGGTGGTGGCAGGGGACAGAGAGAGAAGTCGATGGAGGATTTGGGATGTTTTTTTTTTGTTTGTTTTTGTTTTTTTTTTTGCAGGAGGAGCTGATGGATCAGACATATAGGAGGAGATGAAAAGGAAGCAGGGCAGAGGTCAGCCCTCCAAAGTCCAGATTCTGAAGCCAGAAACCCCTGGCTGGGTGACATAGGGCCAAGTAACTCTAGCTTTCTGAGCCTAAAATGCCTCCTCTGGTCAGGGGTGGAGAAGAGGAAGAGAGAAAGAAAGAGGTAGGAGGACGGGGGCGGGGGGTGGGGGGGATGGGGAGGGAGGAGGACGGGGAGGGGGGAAGGGAGAAGGAGGAGCGGCAGAATAGAGCCTTCTAATCGGGTAAAGGAGACCTCCTCAAATCTCTTCAGTTCTTCAGAGTCTACACAGGAAGGCTCCCATCCAACAGCACTCAGAGAGGTTGAGAATCTCACCCAGTATCACAAAGCCAGTCAGTGGCAGCTCCAGGCCTCAAAGCCTGGACCCTGGCTTTGCCTTTGGAGACAGATTCTCAGCTGCACACCAGTCACCCAGATTCCTCAGAAACAGTGGGGCCAGAGGCCCCATTTTAGAGGCTCAGAGTGGAAGGCAGTGGAAGAGGTGGAGGCAGCTAGGGGAAGATGAGAGAGGGGTAGAAGGACAAAAGCCTGGGAGTGAAGACTGCCTTTACGTTCACTCCTCAGCTCAGCCCCAGACTGCCGGAGTGACCTTGGCATCTGTTCTCACTGGCGAACAGCGGCCATCCGCAGTGAAGGTCTGACCCTGAGTCTCCAGGGTCGGTCCACCTCCCACAACCCAAGTCCACGGAGGACCTCCCTCGTGGCTCTGCACAGCCTGGGCACAGCCAGCAGAGGGCGCCACCTCAGCCACAGTGAAGCCCACATTGCCCCAGCGCAGGAACAGCCCCAGGAGGAGGCCCCGGCTGGCAGAGGCTGCCTTGCCTGCTGCTTAGCTCTCAGGAGGTCAACTCCCAGGCGAGCCGACCACAGACGCAGCAGCCAGGTAGAGCCTGCATCTTGCTGCCTCTGCCTGTAAACATGTCTCTGAACCTCTCTGAGCCGCAGTTTCCCCATCTATAAATGGGCCTAACAATAGTGCCTGCCTCATAGGGTTCTGTGAGGAGTCAATGAAGATCAGCCACATAAGGGCTGAGTTCCTAGCAGCTGCCATTTTTATTAGCAGTAGTGGCAGTTGTATCATATCTTAAAGCGCCTGACACAAAGTGTGTCCAATCAGTGGTAGCTACGATGACGACAAAGATGATGACGAGGATGTTGCAGGGACTCGGTCATTGCTTGTCTCAAATTTCCTCACCAGGGTGTATCCAGTGCCTGCCAACCTGGGATGCCTCTAGTGAGGGGCATTGCTGCCTTCCTGGCAACACTGCCAGACCATCCTTTTGCTGAAAATTGCCTCCTGGAAGCCATCCCCCTACCTGGCCCACCCAACTCCCCGCTCAGGATGATGCAGCTGGCCCAGCCTCTGGCCTCAGGCCCCTTTGTTAAAAGTCTGCATGAGAGGTCTCAGAGAAGGCTGGAGGACAGATCCAGCAGCTGGACTCATCCCTTTGCTGGAAGGGAAGGGAACCCGGGTGGCTTCCCAGGCAGGAGATTCTCAGTGGGTCTTGTTCTTGCTGCTCAAAGTTCCTTTTCTGCACACTGGGAAGAAATAAGTGAAAGAAAAAATCCCTGTGTTGTCTAAACCTCCCCTCATACCTCCGACCCAGGAATGGCTGGAGGCTGAAGAGGGAATATGATGGCCCAGAGTGACAAGCCCAGGAATGCTGGCATTCTAGTTGGCTCTGGTCCCACCTGCTGCCAGACACACCCATCTGTGTTTGTGGGTCCCGGGGTGAGTGCTTATGGGTCTGGCATCAAGGGGTCTGGTGAGGAAGGCAAGAGTCCAAGGCTTGGAGCCAAACAGTTTGGGCTCACACATTGGCTCAGCCCCGCACTACAGTGTGACCTCTGGCAAATCACTCTCCTGGCATCCATCCCAGCGTGGTGTTTGGGGAACACAGGAGATGTTACATGTGAAGAGGAAAGCGCAGGACCTGGCACGTGCTAAGTATCTATAAATGTTGCAGTGGGTATTATTATAAAGTGCAAGTCCCTCATTTCCCCGAGATGCTCTCTGCATCTGAGTGGGCCAGGGTGGCTGTGGGAGTGGGTTATGTCAGGCAGGATGATGTTCTGACCCACTTCTGGGTCAGCGGGCCAGGGCTTGAAGCGCCATGCCCGTGCCTGCATTTGCAAGGGTGTGTGTGTGTGTTTGGGAGGAGGAAGGGGTGTGCATTGGATGTGCATGTGTGCAAAGGTGTGCATATGCTTGTGTGCATGCACCAAAGGCTGCCCCATCCCAGGCATTCCTGGGGCAAATGCATACTTGCAGGTACCAGTGCAGTCTCCCAGCAGTGATTCAGGAGGCCCTGCTGTTCACTGTTACTATGGAAACAATGAGGCAATCCTCAGCCTCCGGTAGATCCTAAGGTGCCAGGAATGAGAGCTGGCCTGGTCTTCCCAGGGAGGGAGACAAATTGGGAGCACAGGGTTCCTGGGATAGGGCAACCTCGGACTCCGGGTGGGGTTCTGGAACTCTGGGTACCCCTGGACCCTCTGGGAAGTCTTCTCACTCCTCCAAGGAAGCCTGGCCCACTGGAAAGAGCTCGGAGACAGAGCTGGGTTCTAGCTTGCCTCTGGCTCTAACCCCATGCATAGTCTCAGGGAGGGAACTGGGGTGCCAGCAGCAGTCTAGAGCTGGGGTGTGACCTTTCCTCTCACTAGGGCACCTGCCGGCAAAGCTGTGTGAATGTGTATCCCAGAGCCCTGAAGTGTCACGGAGCAGCCTCCTTCACATGCACTACCCTCCACAGTGTCTTGTAGGTTCCCCACAGCAGCTCTGCAAGGGAGGCAAGGCTCAGCTACATGCACAGTCCCTCCGCCCCCAGAGCCACACCACACAGGTGGCTGGGAATTCCAACCACTTTTCTGGGTCATGAGGAGCAGGCTGGGAGGAGAATCCCCCAGGGCTATGGGCAGTGGATGCAGCGTTCAGCCTGGACAACCCCAGCAGAGCTGGGCCGCTGGAAGGCTTCTGGGAGGCAAATCCCGGTTTAGGGGGCACTTTTTAATTTTTATTTCACTTATTTATTTAGAGACAGGGTCTCGCTCACTGCAACCTCCATTTCCCGGGCTCAACAATCCTCCTGGCTCAGCCTCCTGATTACACACCCAGCTAATTAAAAAAATTTTTTTTTTGTAGAGATGGGGTCTCACCATGCTGCCCAGGCTGGTCTCAAACTCCTGGCCTCGAGCAATCCTCATGCCTCGGCTTCCCCAAGTTTCTTTCTTTTTTTTTTTTTGAGAGCAATCCTCATGCCTCGGCTTCCCCAAGTTTCTTTCTTCTTTTTTTGAGATGGAGTCTCGCTCTGTCTACCAGGCTGGAGTGCAGTGGCACAATCTCCGCTCACTGCAAGCTCCGCCTCCCAGGTTCACGCCATTCTCCTGCCTCAGCCTCCCGAGTAGCTGGGACTACAGGCACCTGCCACCAGGCCCGGCTGATTTTTTGTATTTTTAGTAGAGACGGGGTTTCACCGTGTTAGCCAGTCTCGATCTCCTGACCGCGTGACCCGCCTGCCTTGGTCTCTCAAAGTGCTGGGATTACAGGGGTGAGCCACCGCGCCTGGCCCGAGGAAGTTTCTTTTAAAATCTTAATTTGGGGCTGGGCTTGGTGGCTCACGCCTGTAATCCCAACACTTTGGGAGGCAGAGGCGGGTGGATCACAAGGTCAGGCATTCGAGAACAGCCTGGCCATCATAGTGAAACCCTGTCTCAACTAAAAATACAAAAAATTAGGCCAGGCATGGTGGCTCACACCTGTAATCCCAGCACTTTGGGAGGCGGAGGCGGGCGGATCACCTGAGGTCAGGAGTTCGAGACCAGCCTGACCAACATGGAGAAACCCTGTCTCTACTCAAAGTACAAAATTAGCCGGGCGTGGTGGTGCATGCCTGTAATCCCAGCTACTTGGGAGGCTGAGGCAGGAGAATCACTTGCACCTGGGAGGCAGAGGTTGCGGTGAGCCGAGATCACGCCATCTCCAGCCTGGGCAACAAGAGCAAAACTCCATCTCAAAAAACAAACAAACAAAAACCAAGAAGCCAGGCATGGTGGCGCATGCCTGTAATCCCACCTATTTGGGAGGCTGAGGCACGAGAATCACTTGAACCTGGGAGGCGGAGGTTGCAGTGAGCTGAGATTGCATCACTGGACTCCAGCCCAGGTGACAGTGCAAGACTCCGTGTCAAAAAAAAAAAAAAATCTTGGCCGGGCACGGTGGCTCATGCCTGTAATCCCAGCACTTTGGGAGGCCAAGGTAGGCAGATCACAAGGTTAGAAGATCGAGACCATCCTGGCTAACACGGTGAAACCTCGTCACTACTAAAAAAAAAAAAATACAAAACAATTAGCCGGGCGTGATGGCGGGCACCTGTAGTCCCAGCTACTCGAGAGGCTGAGTCAGGAGAATGGCACGAACCCAGGAGGCAGAGCTTGCAGTGAGCCGAAATCGCGCCACTGCACTCCAGCCTGGGCAATAGAGCGAGACTCCGTCTCAAAAAAAAAAAATCTTAATTTTGACTCAAGTCTCAAATATCCTCCATGTCCAGGTTTTAATACATTCAGACAGAAGGGAATATAAAGTTAGAAGTGAAGACTCAGCCTCCTGCCCTCCACTCCACTTCCAAGAAGTGACTGGTCCCTTTGCCATGACCCAGGAATGATTTTCAAACGGTCCCGTCCAGGATAGACCAAGAGAAGTGGCAGGATTGAGCTCCCCAGCAATGGAATTATGGAAGAAAGATCTCAATGTTTTGATTACAGAGGCTGTGAAGGGGCCACTTCTAATTGAGGGGAGCAGAAACAGGGCAGGCCTGGCTGGGTGATCTCAGGCAAGTCACTGTCCCTCTCTGGTCAACTCCTGAGGCCCTTCCAGCTATGAGTTGCTTTCACCAGCAAAAAGAAAAGTGACTACTCTGCTGGGCAAGTGTGGCCTGGATGTGACCCCAGATGCTGGCATTACTTCACCCATCCCACCAAGGCCAACTCCCATATGGGAGAGATTAGGGCTGAGAGAGGGTCAGGGAGCCCCTTCATCTGGTGTGGGGAAGATCCTGGTCATCCGGGGCAGGGGTTGCTGGGCTGGTGGGACATTATTAGGGGAAAGGAAGGTAGAGGGAGAAGAGATGGGGTGGAAGGTGAGGGTTAAGGCATGTCTCAGAGAGCCTCTGGTAGGCAGCAGGGAGCCATGGAAGGTTATTAAGCAGGGAGGAAGGTAATCAGATTTAGAGAAACTGATCAGAGCAGGGGAGCTGTGGGAAGGCCAGAGCTGTAATACCAGGCAGATATGACCAGGAAGTGAGTGGCACTGTGGAGAAGAGGGCAGGCCTGAGACCTCCTCTGCTACAATGGGCCGGACTTGGGAAGAAGGCAGGTGTGGGAGTGAGGAAGAGGGAGGGGTCCTAGATGGGGTGGGGCCTCAGCCTCCTTTGGTGGATGGAGGGGGCCCAAGGGCCGGACAGGCTGTGGGAGAAGGTGATGGGGTGACCACTGGCAGGCTTACGTCAGGGTGTCTGCGGGCTTCTGGCAGCAAGTCCCGGAAGTGGCTGGAAAGGCAGGTTTTACAGAAAATGGACCAGAGGGGTTGTTTTTGCCAACTTTCCCCAAAAGACAAAAGGCCATGCCAGGATTTGAACCTGGATCTGTCACCCCGGGAAATCTGTACTCTCATATTGAGGAACCAGCTAAGATGCAGCACTTTCTCTATCTCTTGGGCTCCCTGACAGTGGACTTGGCATGGAACTGGGTGCTTTTACCCAGGAGTCAGGGCTCTTCTTGGGGACCCATTGGAGCCATCTCCATCTTGCAGAGCTCAGCAGCCTCAGGGGCTCTCCCAGCAGGATCTTCAAGCCTAGACTTCTGTTTGGAGAAGGACCACCTCAAGCAGCCCCAGCCTTCCTGATCTCCCAACACCAGGGGTTGCCTAGGAGCCACGTGGAGCCCTGTGAGTACTGACAGCCAACATTAGCTGGGCACTGACTGGGCGCAGGCGCTATGCCAGGCACCTCGCAGCTCCCTCCCTCTTAATCCTCACAGCAGCCCTTCCAGTGCTATTATTATTGTTTCCATTTACAGACCAGGAAACCAACCGAAGCTTCCAGAGGTCAAGGACCTTGTCCCGCTCCTCTACGGGGTGGGTAACGCTGCTGTGTGACCTGGGCTCCGCATATAAAGTGAGGGACTTTGCTTGAGGGCCCCCAGCACCTCACACTCCATCCCTGACTTTGGGTCTGCGGTTCCAGCTCCCAGGACTTTCCCACCTCCCGCCCCAGCGTGCTGTTTCTTAGGGCCCAGCTCCCTTGGGAACAGCCAGGCCCGTCCCCTCCCCCTCCCGGGCTGTGCTCCTGGCAGCTCTGCCGCCCTAGGCTCTGGTCCGGGGGTGGTCCCTGGCAGAGAGGGGGCTGGGCAGAAGATGGGATGCTGGCGCTGAGATGCGGGGTATTCGGAGACCCCCAGGCCCCCACCTCAGAGCCCGCTGTGCTCTAGGCTGGGGTGGGCAGGGCCTTTTGGAAAGGGGTGGCTTGGGGTTTTAATCACTTTTTCAATGTTTGTTTGTGTAATTCAGCCCCGAAATGCTTTTCCCTCCATCTGTCCCACCATCTGCTCCTGTCAGGATTTTCCAAACCGTTTGGGACCAAAGAGGCAACAAGGTGGGGGATGGGGGGTAGGGGATGGGGGTAGGGTGGCTGGGCCTCTGAGGGGGCTGGGGAGGGGCCACCTTCACCCACTTCATTGAGAGGTTTCCAGAGAGGGCCTGGGCTCCTGAGTCACACAGAACTGGGTTCAATTTTTTCTTTTTTTAGAGACAGGGTCTTGCTTTGTTGCCCAGGCTGGAGTGCAGTGGCGCAATCATAGCTCAAATTCCTCAAAATTCCTGGGCTCAAGCAATTCTCCCACCTCAGCCTCCCAAGTAGCTTAGACTACAGGCGCCTGCCACCATGCCCAACTAATTTTTGCTTTTTTTTTGAGACGGAGTCTCACTCTGTTGCCCAGGCTGGAGTGCAGTGGCGCAATCTCGGCTCACTGCAAGCTCTGCCTTCCGGGTTCACGCCGTTCTCCTGCCTCAGCCTCCTGAGTAGCTGGGACTACAGGCGCCCACCACCATGCCCGGCTAATTTTTTTGTATTTTTAGTAGAGACGAGGTTTTACCATGTTAGCCAGGATGGTCTCGATCTCCTGACCTCGTGATCCAACCCCCTTGGCCTCCCAAAGTGCTGGGATTACCGGTGTGAACCATCGCGCCTGGCCAATTTTTGCATTTTTTTGTAGAGACGGGGTCTCACTTCGTTGCCCAGGCTGAACTTGAACTCCTGGCCTTCAGTGATCCTCCCTCCTCAGCCTCCCAAAGTGCTGGGGGTATGGATGTGAACCGCCACACTTGGCCAGAACTGGGTTCAAATTCTGACACTGTTGCTTTCTTGCTGTGTTACCTCAGACAGGTGACTTTACTTCTCTGAGCCCCAGTTTTCCTATCTGTAAAATGGCAGTTAACATTATTGATTCCTCAGAATCATTGAAGATCCAGTGAGGTGACGTGTGCAGAGAACTCTATACACTATAGGTGCTTGAGATATCACGTCTCTCTCTCTCTGGCATCCCAGGAGCAGTTCTGTCCCTCCCTTGGTAGTGCTAGAGGAGGGTAGTCGGCCCTGATTTATGTGCCCTCTCCTGCCTCCTCAGATGCTGGGGACTTCCCCTCCCCTGGAACTTGCTCGCCCTTCCATGGACCCTGCCACTGCCTGGCTCTCTCAATTACCTGCCTCTGCTTCTACCCCACCCCTGCCTCTCCCTCCTTCTGGGTGCCTCAGTCTGAGGTGGGAGGGACTAAGTATCACCAGCAAGGACACAGCCCCACACACAAGAGGCTTCCAGGGTCAGGAGGCCTCATTCATTCATGCTTACATCACCTGTCTGAACTCTCTGCTCAGAAAGGGGAAGAGACTTGCTCTGGGTTGTCCAGATCGAGGGACCCAGGCCCGCTGCCCAGCTGCCCCTCAGCCCCCCTTTTCATGGCCATATCTTAGAGCACTAGGGCTTGGACCAAAGGCCGTGTTGTGCAGTGTGGGGAGCCCTGAACCTTCTTTGGCTGTTGGGGGGTGGGCTTGCAATGCTTCTTAGTCCCTCTGAAAGGTGCAGGTGGCTGATGGGAAGTAGCAGCAGAACCCACTAGGGCCCACACTCTGCCTCCAGAACCACCTACACAGTCTAGGTGCAGGGAAAGACAAAGGCAGGAGGGGCTCATGGGGATGCGAGACATGGCCTTGCCTTCCAAAACCCCTATCTACTGGGGAGACAGAACACAGACTGGGGGTCCGAAGGCAGGGCACCAGAGTCACCCTCAAAGAAGAAAGGTGGTTGGTGGTGGGGGTGGGGAGAAGTCAGCCCCTGAGGGGGTGAGCCTGCAGGAGGCTGAACTGGGGAAGTGGGGAGAAGGCAAAGAGGGAGCTGAGCAGCCCAAGATGGGGATAAACTGAGTCCCCCAAGGATAAAGAGGAGGATCCAGACCACTCAGGAGAGAGAGGAAGGGGTGATGGGGGAGGGGGCTGAGGAGGTGAGGGAGGGTGGGACCGTCTCCCCGACCCCAGCACAGCTGGCCCCCCAGGCCTGGTGGGGAAATGGGAGGGAGCTTGCCACTGGAGGGCCCTGGGGTGGGGGCTGAGCAGCGAGTCTCTCCCAGCCCCCAGGTCCTCACGCAGGAGGCAGCTGGGAACCACCCACGCTCATCTGGTGTCTCTCACGCCTCCACTGGGGGTCCCAACATCAGAGCCAAGGCACACAGTGAAGCCGGTGTTCCGGAGAGCCCAGCTGTCCCCACCCCACCCCGGCTCCTCAGTTCCTCCAGCCGAGACCTCCCCACCTGCCTCCAAGCAGGAGGGACTAAGGCTAGACTCTGAGGACTTGAGAGGCTCAGTCTGGGAGCCTGGAGGCGGAGCCCTGGGGTGCCAGGAGGGGCTGAGCTGCCGATGCTGAAGAAACTCTGGGCTGGGAAGGGCCCTCTGGGCAGATGGCAAATGCTGCCGGCTTTACCTGCGAAGTAAATCCAGAAACCAGACCCACCCCGGCCATCTCTCAGCCTGAAATGGCCCCTTCTCCCACCTTGCCCCCAACTCCTCAAAGTCTCTTCTTGACATAATAACCCAAGGAAGCTGTCCACATGGAGGTCACACCCTCTCACTCTGCTCAAAGCCCCCCAGGACTTCCCATCTCATCTGGAATAAAAAGCCTAAAGTCATTGTCATAGGCCCCAAGGCCCTGGATGGCCCCAATGGCAGTTACCATTCTAACTGCCACACCCAAATCCCAACGTTTAAAAACACATGTCTAATATCGACATGTATATTGTGTCCATTGTTTATTGTCTGCGCCTGTAGTCCCACTATCTAGACAGAACAATGCTGGCCGCAGAACTAGTGTTTTATATGTATTTGTGGAATGAATGGATGAGGGCGCACACACTGGAAAAATCACTTAACCCCTTTGAGCCCATTTCTTCATGGGGACAATAAGGACCAACCCCTAGAAATGGAAAAAGGACAAAATCTCAGCCCAGCATGCGGAGAATGTTGCTGAGGCTGGGGGCAGGAGGAGCTGGGCTAGGGGTCATCGACTCTGGAGAGGAGCTGTGCGGTCGGCAGGCAGTGGGTAGGTGCCACAGGATCCCCAGGCAGATGTTCTGCCCTCCTGTCATGGCCTGCACAATCAGAGGCTGGGGAGGGAGGAAGGGAGGGGGTTTCCTTGATTGGAAGGGGGAGTGGGAGGAGCAGCTGACACCAAAGTTGGGAGGTGGGATTAATTCTGAGAGGGGGGTCGGGGTGAGGTCTGGAGTGGTGGGTTTGACATGGGGGCCGGCTCGCCAAGGTGGAGGTGGGGAAGGGGGCGTGTCTGGTCCCCTACCCCGAAGACCTCAGTAGCTGGAGGAATGGGCGCTCCACGCTCCCAGCTCCGTTAGTTGGGAGTTGAGGCGCAGGAGCAGGGAGGGTGCCCAGGGTGCCAATTCGGCCCTCGAAGCGACGTGCGGCTCAGAGCCCAGGTGGGTATGGGGAAGGAAGCGGGGCGGAGTGGCCTGGGATCGCCCCCGGCTCAGGAGAGAGACCTCTTGGCACTACCGTGTCCCTCCATTCCGGCCACCAGAGCCGAGGTGCCGAGGAGAGGGGCGCCGCGATCCTCCTCCCCGGGCAGGGTGCTCCCTCGAGGGGGACCGGGGAACTGAGGGCGTCCCCTTCTCTCCGGGGCGGGGGTGGGGGGCGGAGCCCAGCGCGCCGCTCCCCAGCCCCCAGGGCTGGCGGGGACCCCCCCAGGGGAGGGGCTCCGGGTGAGCGCTGCGGGGCGTCTCCCTCGCAGTCCCGCCCGCCCCTCCTGCCGCCCCTGCCGCGCGCGCCGCAGCAGCGCCGCCTTCCCTGCGCAGTCGGTGTCTCCGCGTCGCTGGGTGAGTGGGGGCAGCTCCAGCCGGGGCCGGGGGATGAGGGCAGGGGGTTCCCGGAGCTGGGGGCCCACGTCCAGGGCTTCCCAACACCGCCGCTCCCGGGCTTCCCGGGAATCCTTGCCCCGGGTGGCGGGGGCGCTGGGGACTGGGAAGCGCGCGGTGCTCTCCAGGGTCCTGACCGCCGAGTGGCCGGCCCCTAGGAACCGCGTTCGACCGCCCTGGAGCGCCCCCTCCAGGAGGGGCCACGCGCCGGGCGCTGTCCTAGTGCTGAGCGGATGGAGGCGGGGGCTGGGGGACAGAGCTGAGGGAGGTTTGGAGCGGGTCCCCGGGGCTGGCTTCTCAGGTCGAGCTGAGGGGGTTCTTCCCATATGGGGGACTGGAGGTCTTTGCGGGCAGCTGAATCTTCTTGCAACCGGGAGGGGCAACTCCGAGGGTGGCAGGGCCCAGGGGGCACTGGAGGAGCTCTCTTGCTCCGCGCATCTCTCTGCCCCCACCCCGGTGACCCAGTTCCTTGGACCTTGAGGAGGGCAGTGCGGGACATGCCCCAGCCCTTCTCATTTCCTTAGCCCTTTCCCACTCACTTGTCCGGTGGGTCCTTAGCCTGGGCCATAAGAGGCTGGTCTAGAAAGGAGGGGCACCAACTTACAGAAACATGCATGTGACACACCGCCGAGGACACACACGGGTCCTCCAAATGGCCACACGGGCTCATTCCCTCACGCTGTGACGGGTGCATACCTGATCACATGCACATCTGAGGCACATGCAGGGACATAGATGGAAAGACACGGCAGGCAAATGCAATGCAAAAACCAGCGGCACACATCATGCATGAGCACATGCACTCACAACACACCCATTCACATGTGTGCAGAGCTTCATGCACATGTATGCACAAGGAGGCCCCTCCTTGCCCTAAGTGGGTGGGGGTCACCTGCACACACGCCTACATCCTTGTGCAGAACTGGCTGGCTGTTTCCTCTTCATTGCCTTCTACTCAGCCTCCACAATCTAACCTGCACTCAGGGGACCTTTCAGGACTAGATGAAGGGTAAGTGTTGGGGAGGCTTGGATGGGCTTGGTGGGGGGTCTCCTTGGAAAAGGGGCCCCGAGCAGGTCTGGGAAGGTTTGCAGCTCCCTCTCCTGGGACCTGGCAGCACCCCTGGGAAAACAGAAGGAAAACAAAGAAAAATGGCAAGGGTGCCTGAAGGTCCCACGTGCAGCTGGCCATGTGAGAGGTGTCGGCATGCGAGTTGGCGTGTGATGGCATGTGTGAGACATGTGGGGTCGTGGGCTGGTGTGTCTTGATGCACAGGGTATGGGAGTTGTGCGTGGTGCCATGTGTCGATTCGTGTGAGTTGTGGAGCAGAGGGAATGTCGTCATGTGTGGAGGCATGCTGACCCATGGGTGGGCGTGGGCTGGTACGTGAGTGGCATGGGATCCAGGGTGTGGATCTGGTGAGCTATGAAGCATACAGTTATCGGTATACATTCATTTGCACAGTTTTTGCATGAGTTTTGTGGCACCTGGGTATATGTAAGTCATTTTTATTTATTTAACATTTATGTAGCACTTATCTATGCAGCCATGGTTCTAAGTGCTTCACACATATTAACTAATTTAATCCCCAAAACAATCCTCTTAGGTAAGTACTGTTATTACCCCACTTTAAAGATAAGGCAGAGAGAGTTTAAGGAACTTGCCCAAGGTCACATAGCTGGTAAGAGGAGGAGCTGGGATTCAAACCTAGGTGATCTGACTCTGGAGCCCACAGTAACACCTCCCTCTGCTGCCTCTTGTTGGGCACACCTGTCAGAGGGAGAACAGGGCAGTGTCTGGGCTGCGGGTATATTCAGTGCTGAGCAGGCACATGTGAGGCAATGAGAAGGCAGTGGGTAGGACGGAGGAGGATCAGAAGGTTTTTCTGCACCTCTGTGGGCAACTCTAGGAGTCAGCCTCATAATGCCATGGCTGTGTGACCTGAAGCAGCCACCTCACGTCTGTAAGCCTGCCTTCTCATCTGTAAAATGGGGCAAATCCCCATACAACCTGTTGCGAAAGTGAATTGGTGTGCATTTGTGAAGGCTTAGTGGCTGGCACCTAGAAGGGCCTCAGTAAATGTGAACCACCCTTCCCTTCCTCCCTCTCCCAGGAAAGCGTATGGTCCAGGGAGATGGTGTGGAGCATGGCATAGATACAGGATGCCTGGGTCTAGGCTGTGTGACCTTGGGCCAGTTCCTCTCTTTCACTGGGCCAAACAAGAGGCAGGGATGGCTGTTGGCAGGGGGGCCCATCTGGAGCAGTGTCTAGTAGCCAGGAGGGCCTGATCACTCCTCTCTGCCCTTGACCCCCTTGGGGACCCAGGTGGGACTTGGCTCGGCGGCCATGGGCAAGCAGAACAGCAAGCTGCGGCCCGAGATGTTGCAGGACCTGCGAGAGAACACAGAGTTCTCAGAGCTGGAGCTGCAGGAGTGGTACAAGGGCTTCCTCAAGGACTGCCCCACAGGAATCCTCAATGTGGATGAGTTCAAGAAGATCTACGCCAACTTCTTTCCCTATGGTGACGCCTCCAAGTTTGCCGAGCACGTCTTCCGCACCTTTGACACCAACAGCGATGGCACCATAGACTTTCGGGAGTTCATCATTGCGCTGAGCGTGACCTCGCGCGGCCGCCTGGAGCAGAAGCTCATGTGGGCCTTCAGCATGTATGACCTGGACGGCAACGGCTACATCAGCCGGGAGGAGATGCTGGAGATCGTGCAGGTGGGCCCCTGGGCCCCTCAGAATGCCAGGCACAGGGCCCGGCAGCTTGCACCCACCACCCCTTTTGATCCTCTCAGCAGACCTCGTAGGCATGTGGTGGCAGGGGATATTCTTGCAATCCCATTTTAAAAATTGTTTTTAGGAAATATTTCCCATTTAAAGAAAAGTTGAGAAAACTCCCCTATACCCTCTACCCAGATTCACCAATTAACATTTTCCCACAGTTGCTTCATCATTATCAGTGTGTGTGTGCGTGTGTGCACACTAGTGTGTAACATTTTCTTGCTGTTCTGAACATTGGCCCTTTACCCCTGGATACATTAGGATATATTTCCTAAAAATAAGCACATTCTCTTACATAACCCATAATATGATTACCAAAGCCAGGATATTTAACATAGAAACAATGCTATTATCTAATCTACCAACCATATTCCAATTTTGCCAACTGTCTCCATAATGTTCTTTATAGCATTTTTGGCCCTGACCTGGGGTCATGCATTGCATCTAGTTCTCATGTCTCTTTAGCCCCCTTTAATCTGGAATAGCTCCTCATCCTTTCTTTATCTTTTATGAATTGACATTTCTGCAGAGCACAGTCCAGCTATGTCTAGTTGATCCTCATTTACACCAGAGGAAACGGATGCTCAGAGAGATAAAGGCACTTGCTTGAGGCCACACAGCCTGTGTGAGTGGGCCATCTGGCACCACTGTCTACATTCCATCTGGATACCCAGCCATCTTCTAACTAATTGATTGAGGGCCCACTATGAGCCTAGCATTGAGTGAGGTGCTCATGAGCTCAGTGCGTGCTTACAACAACCCCATGAGGCTCAGAGAGGTGAGGTGATGTGCCCAAAATCACACAGCACATAAGTGGAGAAAAGCTCTGGCTGGCCACTACTTAGAGCTGTCTACTGAGAGGGCTCTGGACTCATAGCCAGGAGGTCTGGCTTCCAGTTCTGGAAGTGGCCTTCAATCTTAGGTTGCTCATCTGTACGCTCATACTGACTTCACAAGGAGATTTAAGGACCGGATATAAATGCCTTTTGTTAGTACAAGTTTAAGTGTGCTGCATGTTAGCTTTATTTCAGAAACCACCCATCCCCTCAGCCCAGCCTTGAAGATGGCCAGGGCTCTGGCTCTATTTTATCTGCCTTTTTCCTAAGGCTTTACACATTTTTTCACCTGTAAAGTGGGGGTGTTAATCCCCTGCCTCACAAGGCTATTGCAGGGATAGAGTGAGATAAGGACTTGAGCGGAAGGCTTGGCATATAATTGGTACTTGGTAGACATTAGCAATTGTCTGTTATTATTTTCTCCTCTGCACATCCTCTGCTCTAGCCAGAAGGGCCTTTTCAGCATCTTTGAAATGTGCCCTGACTAATCCTGTCACGCAGCTTTGCACAAGCTCTTGCCCCCTTTCCTTCTGCATCTCTGAATCCTTTCCCTTCTGGTCCCTCAGCTCCACAGACTGCTGCCCCAGCCACTGCTGGACTCTTGACTTTGGCTTCTCCTCTTGCTAAGGTCTGGGTCTTCTCTCCAGGTGGAGATGTGATGCCCTCCCCATACCTATGGCTAGAGAGGGGAAAGCCCTAATGTTTGCCATGGACTCCTGTGAGCCAGGCATTTGACTCTTTAGTTGCTTGATGGTAGGGGGATCTGGGGGTCCTGATGGTAGGGCCAGGTGGCCAGAATGGTGGAGGATCACCCGGACATGGACAGCAGCTGGGTACTGACTATCTGAAGGAATGTTGGCATTTTACCACTTAGTGTGTTGCACTGGTGTGTACTGGTAAACCCCAGTCCTGCTGGAGCCACCACGCCCGGGTGTCAGTCAAGCTAGACCCATTCCCTGGGCATCCTCAGGACCCCTTTCTGGTGGCCTCTGCTATCCAGACCCTGGCTTCTTTTAGGGCGGCCCGGGGGCCCCAGACAGCTGGTGCACACAGAGCTCTGCAAGCCCCAGTGCCTGATTAATGACAAGTTGGCTCCCATGAAACCATGAGTAAGCAGCAATTCCAGACAATTAGTTAGGAGGCCCAGGAGAAGGCTATCACAGGGTTACTGGTCACTGGCCCAGTTCTTCTCAAGACCCAGCCCTCTGCCAGGTAATGGACACACTGGAGAGGAAGAGACTGCGCCTCTTGGGGCTCCCACTCTGGTGGGGGAGACAGATGTGTAGGTCACACTGACAAGCTCAGTGACAGGGGTGTAAAGGTGTCATCTGGGAACCAGGGGACTACTGAGTGGCAGGGAAGACTTGAGGATGTGGAGGATGAATAATGACTATAATATGAGCTGCTGTTTACTGACCACCCACTCTAGCCAGCCACGGTTCCTCACACATAATCTCATTTAATCTGAGGAAACTGAGGCTCACAGATACATATATGTCCAAGGCTACACAGTTAGTGAGTAGTTCAACCAGGACACCACTCCAGGTCCATCTAACTTTAGAAACTTGAGACTACCAGACCCCTCTATTCATGTGCTGGTCAGACAGGTAGTGATATCCAGTCACAACTGTGGCTACCATTCATTGAGCAGTTACTACAGACCGGGTCTAATGCTAAAGGCCCTGCTGATTATCACCACCCCACACTGCCCAAGCATCCCTCCAGCAGCTAAGAGGGAACAGGTACAAATCGAGTCTCTGCCATCAATTTCCTTCTGAGCCTCAGTTTCTTATCTGGAAAATGGGGATCATGATACCTGTTTTTCAGGGCTTGCGTGAGGTTTAGAAATAGTGCATGTGAAGTACTTGGCACAGAGCGGGCCCCTGATAAGTGGTACTTAGTATCGTTATTCCAGGCAAAGACTGTAAATGCTGGAGAATCTGAAGGGCCAGGGGTGTTTGGCTGTTGGCAGAATCACCCAGCCAGGGGAGACCTGATGGAGGAGGGTCAGCAGTGGACAGATTGTAAAGCGTCTTAAATCCCAAGGGCTGAATGGTTTGAACTTGGTACAGAGGGCAGTGGGAAGTGCCAATGGCTTTTAAATAGGGAAGTCCCTGCCTGGTCCCAGGTTCTGGGGATATGGGCATTAGCTAGACGTCCATGTTTGCAGGAACAACCCTGCAAAGACATAATTACTTCTGGAGAGATGTCTGCAAAGGAAAAGTCCGCCAGGCTCTGGGCCCATATGCACCCTGACCCAGCCTGGGTTGGAGAAGACCTCGCTAAGAAAACAGCTTGTAAACTGAGCCCCAAGGAGAAGTGGGAAGCAGCAGCAGGAGCTGGGTGCAAGGCGGGCCTAAGAGGAGGCCTGTGTGTGACGGGAGTGAGGGGGTGGTGTGCAGGCTGGGGACGTAACAGTGGAGATCTGTGTTCGGAAAGAGCTTTCAGAGGCAGCATGGGGGACAGACCCGAGGGACAGAGGCTGGAAGAGACCAGTGTGGAGGCTGAAGCTGGATCTGAGGCAGCAGAAGTTTATGGGATGGGAGAAGGGAGGCTTCTTGGAGGAAGTGTCGGTCGGGTAAAGCTGGAAGATTGAGGAGACAGGTTCGGTCCTTGAGCTCCAAGGCACTGCGACCCAGGCTACAGGCCAAGCCCTACGTGCTCTGTACATTTAGCGCAAGAACTCTCTTTCACGTCGCCTCGGGAGCTACTGCACGTGGCGGCTGCCGCCCTCTGCCCAGCCCAGCCTAGCCAAGCCTGGCGGTCCCTGCCCGCTGCAGATGCTCATTTGCATTCATTTGCATACTGTTCCCCGCCCCTCTGGGCCCAGCTGCCTCTGGCCCTCCAGCCCGCGCCGCGCCCCCTGCCGGCAGCAGACGGCCCCGCAGCGCAGTGCCGCCCCCTTGGCCCGGCGCCCCCTTTCGACCACCGAGCGCGGGCCGCCCTGGGCCCGGGTGCCAGCCCGGTACTTACCCCCGACGCGCGTGCCCCGGGGCACGCGCTCCTGAGCCCGCCGCTCCAGGCCCTCCACTGTCGGGCCCCGGTGTCCTCCAACATCTCTCCTGACCCCTGCGCCCGCTCGGAGCTTCCACCTGCGGCGCCTTTGCTCCTTTCCCACCCAGCCCTCCAAGGGAGCGCGGCAGGGCCCGCCCGATAGCCCTCTCTTCTGGGAGGCCTTCCCGGACACGCCTTCCCGAAGCCCTCGGCTCCCCACGCCTCCGTGATTCCCCACTCCACCTTGCCCAGGCGGGGGCAGCAAACGTCAGAGAGCCCGGGGGCGCCTCTGAATCTTGCGGGTGGGGGCTCGGGCAGGCTCCTCTCACTCCCCGCCTCCCCTCCCGCCCCCAGGCCATTTACAAGATGGTTTCGTCCGTGATGAAGATGCCGGAGGACGAGTCGACCCCGGAAAAGAGGACTGAGAAAATCTTCCGCCAAATGGACACAAACAACGACGGTGAGGGGCAGGGGCGGGACGGGGTGGACGGGGCGGGCGCCTTTCCCTCCCTCCCTCCCTGCCTCCCTTTCCCGCTCCGCCTCCCCTCGCTAGGCTGCCGCCTCCTCCCCCATCACCGCTCCCCTCGCCCTGCAGGCAAGCTGTCCTTGGAGGAGTTCATCCGCGGGGCCAAAAGCGACCCGTCCATCGTGCGTCTGCTGCAGTGCGACCCCAGCAGCGCCTCCCAGTTCTGAGAGGAGCCAGGTTCCCCTTCCTCCCTCCCTTCACCGGCCCCCTCCCGGCTCTTAGCTTCCACTCCCTTGTGTGTATTCTGGCTGGGGGCCAGATTGGGGAAGCCCTTCTCCCCGGGTCTGCCCTGTGGGGGGCTTCCGGAAAAGGGAACCCTGCGGTACCCCCAGGCCAAAGCAAGTAAGCGGTTAGCACCCCCCAATCCCAGAGGCAACAATAGAGACACAGGCTGGGTTGGTCTGCCCCTCAGTCAGGCCCCCTTACCCACCCACCAGCCCCAAGGCCCGACCCCTCCCCCAAAGGGGCAGTCCCCTTCTTGCAGGTCTCAGCTTGCGGGGTGGGGGGAGTCATGCCCAGGGGAGGAGACTTTTTATCTGGAGGGGAGAGAAGGATTCTAGGGGTGTGGAGTTGGAGAAAGAGGCTTCCTTGAGCCACCCTTCCCACCCCAGCCCTTGCTGGTCCCTAGGCCAAGCCACCAAGTGAAACCTTCCAGGATACTAGCCCGCCAGCTGTGGGCCCCAGAAAGCCAGCCTGCCTTTTAGCACTTGGATACACACAGACCCACGGAGCTCTCTGTGTTTGGCCTCTCACACACACACAGGCCCATAGACAGATGGGCAGATGCACCCAGAGCCCCATGCACAGTGTCCTGCGTGGGAAAGAGACACGGTCCCCCTGGCTGAGCCCCTGTCCTCCCCTCTGTCCCCCCAACCGCCCCCCCTGCATGCAGCCAAATGGAGCATCTCTGTTCTTTTTAATAATTTCAGAATAAAGTCTCATTTCAGTGCAGTGGGCTGGGTGGTGGGGGAGAGGGTTGAAAGCCCCACTTGGGTCCCCGAGGGTCCATTGAGCCCTCTCAGGCCAGCTCCAGGAATCCTGGCCTGGTCACAGAGCAGAGTTGCTTGCAGGGTCCTAGTGGCCATCGGGCCTGGGCAGGACATCATCTCTCAGAGGGTCAGAGGCTCAGAGCTGGTGCAGCTCAGCAGGTCACGGCCCTCCACCAGCTCTGGGTTCTCCCGCATCTGCAGAGACACAGGAGGCTGCCAGACCCACTGGTTCTCAGCCTGGGTCTCCTCCTCCAGGACATCCGGGAAATGGAAGGAGGTGAGGGCTGGAAGGCTCTCTGGGGGCAAAGGGGCATCACTACCCACTCCACTGCAAGAGCCAGGCCTGACCTTTGCAATGCCCTCAGTGCGAGCCCAGACACCCCTGCCCCTCCCTCAAGACTCATCCTGGGCCCTAGGAGAGCCAGGTGTCAGCTGTGTGACTCTGCTGGGAGATCTCACCTCTCCCAGCCTCCAGGCCTCTCCCTTTGCTCCTGGGGAGAAAACTTCTGCCCCATTTCTCAAGGTGGGGGCCCATACATAGGGGTGGGGCAGAGCAGCTTGGGCACCCTGGCAGGGGCTCCCAGGAAATTCGGGGAGTCAGGGCTGTGGAGGGAACTTACCATGTGGTGGCTGCTTTTCCCCCACCAGGGCCTCAGCTCCAGCAGCTGGTGGGTGAGCTGAGCACAGCGTACAGCAAACACGTTCTCCGCCACGCAGAGCACTAGGGCGATGCCCCAGAGGCACAGGCTGGAGCTCTGCGGGGCATGGGGCAGAGATGGCTGGCTGGAGTTGGGGGTGGAGGGTGGATTCCAAGAGCCCTTCCCACCCGTGCGAGGGCCTGGTGCCCCTACTCCAGGCCTAGGTACTCACATAAATGCGTGTGGGGTCGAAGGGACAGTCAGGTGCGAGGGCCAGTAGTTCAGAGCTCCCAAAAGTGCAGGCAGCCAGCAGTGCCTTGCCCTGGGTGGCAAAGGTCATGGCGATGGAGGCCAAGAGGCCGAGGGCACAGGTCAGAGAAAGGAGAGCACAGGCCACGCTCGAGCTAAACACTGTCCAGCGCTGGACGGGGGAGGCCACTGGTCAATGGGCGTCGTGCTTGGCCCCCATGGGCAGCTCTGGCCTCCCTGAGGGTCAGCCTTACCCTCTCCAAGGAGGCCAGGCCCTTGGCGGGTGGCTGCTGCCCCTACCCTTCCCTCACAGCCCCATCCCAGGAGGCACCACGTACCAGGGGGGTGCTAGGGAGGTAGCGTGACAACACGATGGCTGCGATGCCTGAAGTGATGACCTGTAGGGAAGGCTCAAGTCAGCCCTGACTCCTTGGCTGGAGGAACAGGGGCAGGGGGATCAGGGCCACTCTGGGATAATGATCTCACCGGCGCCAACCATTGCCCTCCAGACTCCCCCACCCCTCACCTGCTGCTTAGCCTGGGCCTCACATCTCCATCTGCCTCCTCATAGTCCAGCCTGACATGATGTTTCTAAAACAGTCACTCCCTCTCTACAACCTTCCATGAGTCCCCACTCCTAAGCCTGTGTCTCAAGCAGGTTCATGTATCCTGGGGCCACCGGGGCATGCCAGGGTATGCATGGGACACCCCTTTCTGGAATGAAAAAGATTGTGGAAGAAACTAACCCAGTTAGCAAGGAACTAAAATCAAAATTGTTACATTGAAACAAACCAAGACATGTTATGGAGTAGAATTTTAAATCTCTGGGAGTATTTTCAATGATTCCAGGCTCTCAGTGACCAGATCCCAGCCCCAACCCTGTTGGCTTCTCAGCCCTACCTGGGCTACCTTCCTCCCTCACTGCTCTGGATGTGGATGCCCATACACAGCCTGCTCAGGACACTGCCCATGCACCCTCTCACCTTCCTGCTCCTCTGCCCGTGTGGATCCTGCAAGCCCTGCTCAGGTTTGCACACGTTTCCCTAACCAGCCTCGATCCCAAGGGGTGGGGCTACCCCACAGTTCAGCCCAACAGCTGCCCTCTGGATCTTTGGGGTCCACCCAGCCAGCCTTCCTCCTGATGTTCCTCACTGGACCAGGCTTGGGCCGGACCCATCTGAGGCAGGTGGTATGACGGGGTCCTGGGTTCCAGGCCTAGCATGTCTTTAGTTCACATGAGAGCCACAACAGAGTGCCTCATCTCTGTGGGCTTAGCCCCACTCTGCAGGATGAGCTGACAGAAAGGACACTGGTTTTGGTGTCAGACACAAATAGTTTCCAATCTGGTTTGGCTTCTGTGTATCAGCAGGAGGTTGGGTGAATCCCTGAGTCTTGGTTTCCTCTTTTGTGAAACAGGTATAATAATGGCCCCCAGTTGCTGGGAGAAGTGAGGATTAACCGAGTAAGTGAGGGGAAGGCTGAAGTGGTCCAGCTCAAAGTCCATCCTGGTGGACCTCCTCGCCCTGAGCTCACTGCCTTCCCTGCCTTCCTCACAACAGTATTAGAGGAACTCCAAGGACCCTGCACACATCCGCCCATCCCAGCCCTGTCCCACCAACAGAGCCTCTCTTTCTTGCTGGGACCTATGACTCCCATTCTCCCAAGCCTTGAGGCCAGCAGGCTGTCTGAGCTTTATTTTGCAAGGGAGGAACAGGCCTAGAGAGAGAAATAAGTCCCTCAGCCAGGAGAAGGCAGGGATGGAACTCAGACACTGATGTGCGGGAGGATCTTCCCCCGAGGCTGTGGCCACTTGTGCTGACCGGCAAGAAAGAGCTTTAGAAACTTGAGACTACCAGACCCCTCCATTCATGTGCTAGTCAAACAGGTACTGATATCTGGTCACAACCGTGGCTACCATTCATTGAGCAGTTGCTACAGACCGGGCCTAATGCTAAGCTCCTGCCAAATTGGTTTTCTCAGAATCTCCAGAACAGATCTTAGTCATTTCCACCTCCAACCTTCCCGTCTCCCATTCTCTGTACTCGGAATGCCATCTCAGCTTCCTTTCCTGCCTATGCTAGCCTCAGCATGCCAATATGTAGGTTCTGGTCATGGCAGCCTGTCTGTGAACTCCTGCTCATCCATCAATACCCAGGTCAGAGGCCTGCACTCTGTGAAACCCTCCGGCACCCTCCCAAGCTCACCTCCTGCTCCTTTCTTCTGTCCAGTGGTGCTGTGGCTATTCCTCGATGTAATAATCATCCTAGCTCACAGTAGTGGGTGCTAACAACATGCCATGCCAGACACTCTGCTAAGCACTTTGTGTGGATGATCTCATCAGTACCCATTAGGACCCTCAGAGGTAAACACTGTTACCATCTCCATTTGATAGATGAAGAAGTTGAGTGACTTGGGCAGTTGGTAAGTGGCAGACAAAGGGTTAGTCCTTGAGGCTGTCTGCTTACCACCACAGGCTCTGGGTGGGGACCTGTTGAAGACCCTTCAAGCCCCCTCCAGCCTCCTCCCACCAACCACCCTCCCAGCCTGGCCATACCACGATGGCGGAAGTGACAGAGAGGATGTTGACCACGCAGTACTGCAGAGCCACCGCATCTTGAGGGGTGCCCACGTAGCGCAGCACTGTGCCATGGAACAGGGCAGCTGTGATGAAGCTCACATGGCCCAGCACCACCAGCACCAGGCCTGTCTTCATCAGCACCTTCCGGAAGTCGCCCACACTCAGGCCTCCTGTGGGGGACAGCTATGTCAGGGCTGTGCGTGGGGCTTATCCTGCTGGGCAGAAGGGGAAGCTGAGGCCCTGGCCCTAGTGATGGACATTGGGTTCTAAATGTATTTCTGAATGACTTGGAGCCAGTAACTTGTCTTCTTTGAGCCTTGGTCTCCTCATCCATAAAAGGGGTTCGGGATGCCTTTGTGAGAATCCTTGGGACTCTAAGGCTGGACAAGCACACAGGTAGCTCTTAGCAGTAGCACTTGTTAGTGTTCAAGGTCATGAGTGGGGGGCGCTAGCTCAGGTCTCTAGCTCTAGACTTCGAGATCCTCCCACTAAGCTACCCATTCACTGATTCGTGTGTTCACTACACATGTTCACAGAGTGTCTGCTCTGTGCCAGGCCCTGGGGTACGACGGTGAGCTCCACAGTCACTCTCCAGGCCACAAGGAGCCAGAGTTCATTGGGCAGGAATTGGGCCCTGCTTGGTACTCAGATTCACGGATAGGGCCTGGTACACAGCAGATGCTGACACTGCTGCTGAACTGAACTGCCCAGAGCCAGGTGACTTGGGGAGGTAACTCAAGGCTCTGAATCTCCATGTCCCCATCTGTAAAATGGGAAGAAGAACCTTGTCTCTCAGTGGGTCCATGAGGAAGTGGATGGGAAAGTGTGGTGTACCCTGAGGGTACTGGGAAAAGCAAGCTCTCAGTGCAGGGGGAACCTGGCAGGATGGAGTGAGTGGGGGAAGCTGGGATCAAAAGAACACTGGGACTCATTCAGATGCTCTCAGTGGCCAAGTGGCTGCCCAGCCCTACCTGCACATGCCGGCTCCCGACCTGCTGTCTGAAATCTGCCCATAAGTCCTAGCTCTGCCTTCAAGGAGACACACCACACCCCCTGGCCCTGCCAGCCCCTCACTAGAGCCAGCTCTGAGACTTGAAGACTGTGGTCAGGCCCTAGAACTAAACATCCCCTTCTTTAGCTGCTTCTGATGGGATGTGACTCTGAGTCCCTTCCTAGACCTCCCTCTCCTCATCTGTGGTAGAGCGGTTTGGTCATATTTAATATACGGTAGCTCTGCAGCTGAAAAAAAAAAAAAAAAAGAAAAAAAGAGGCTGGGCACAGTGGTCATGCCTCTAATCCCAGCACTTTGGGAGGGCAAGGTGGGAGAATCACTTAAAGCCAGGAGTTCAAGACCAGCCTGATGAACATAGCAAGATCCCATCTCTACCAAAAAGATAAAAATAAAAAATTAGGCAGGCATGGTGGTGCATGCCTCTAGTCCCAGTTATTCAGGAGGCTGAGGCAGAAGGATCTTCTGAGCCCAGGAAGTGGAGGCCACAGTGAGCTATAATCGTGCCATTGCACTCCAGCCTGGGCTACAGAGCCAGAGACCCCGTCTAAAAAAAATGAAATCTCTACACTGGACGCTCTGGGACATCTGTCTGAAGCTGTGCCAAGAGACAGTCCCCAGGGAGCAGGAAGGGATGGGGCTATTCAGTCACAGACTTGCTGTGTGACCATGCACCAGCCCCTCCCCTCTGGGCCCCAAGTTCCACATCTATAAAATGGGGAGGCATTGGTCCAGCCAGTGTCTGAGACCCCTGGAGACTGCAGGACCCTCTGGAGCTGAACCAGGTCTAGCAGAAGCAGAGGGCAGACGATGGGCTGGACAGGCACCATGAGACTGGAATAGCATTGTGAAGATGGACTGCCAGCCAAGCAGGAAGGGGCATGGCAGCTTCAGCGCAGGAGCCTGACCCACCTCACCCCCTCCACCCACCTACCTGGGAGCTCGGTGTCTACCTTCCAGCTGAGGGCTGGACTCAATAACAACAGCATCCCAGGACCAAGACTTTGGTCAAAGAGGAGGCACGGTGCCAGCATGGGGCTGTGCCTGGAGCACTGGACTGAGCCTGGAGCAGTCCTTGACTTTTTAAATTAAATTGATTGAGACAGGGTCTTACTCTGTAGCCCAGGCTGGAGTGCACTGGCCTGATCGTGGCTCACTGAAACCTCTGCCTCCTGGGCTCAGGTGATCCTTCCACCTCAGCCTCCTGAGTAGCCGGGCTAAATTTTTTTTTCTTTATTTAAATTTTTTGTAGAGACGGATTTCACTATGTTGGCCAGGCTAGTCTCTCCTGGACTCAAGCGATCCGCCTGCCTCGGCCTCCCAGAGTGCTGCCTCCCAGATGAAGCCCAGCTGGCTTCATTTGTCTTACCACTGTGGGAGCGCATAGCAGCGCAGCCGGCAAGGTGCTAAGCGCTTTACTCTTAGAAGCTGCCCTCATCCTCATAGTAGTCCTAGGAGGTGGGAACTACTGTCCCCCTCTTACAGACAAAGAAACTGAGGCTCACAAGGTCTCTCGGCTAGACAGCGGGGATGCCCCAGGACTCTGCTGCCCACAAGCAGCATCACCGTGCCCAGGCAGTGGAAGGAGGGGGCACATTAGTCCCGCTCCCCCGCTGCTGATCCTTTTTGCCCACGGCTTTCCTTCCTGGCCTCGGGAGAGTGGAGAGTATGTAAGTGGGAGCCCCTTGTAAGGGTGGGGAAGCTGAGGCCTGGCCCCGGGGTCCCTTCTGGGTAAGATGGGGCTGCTCTCTCCAGCGTCTCCTCTGCCGCCCACCCGGGGGTCCCCGAGGGCAGTCGTGCGCCTCCGCAGGAAAGGCAAGAGAGGGCGAGGGTAAGAGACGCTACAGCCACATCGAGAAGACACCCGCAGCGCTCCTCCCCTCCATTTCACTGCTGGGGAAACTGAGGCCCAGAGAGGAAAGTGACCCGACCCCGGCCTCGTAGTAAGTTAGAGGCAGAGCAGGTGGCCTGGCCCCCTGGGGGCTCGGGTTCCGGGCTCAGTGCTCCGCTCCTGTGGGAGGGTTGGGGTGGTTCGGGGCCTCCCGCGCGCCCCCAGTCGCTCACCGAGGCGCAGACACATGTCGGCTCCGCGCTGGTCCCGCCCCCGGCTTCAGCGCGGCTCCCGAGGCTGCGGGCCGCCGGGGGACCCTGCTCCCATCCCGCTGGCCCGTCGCCCGCGCGCCCCGCACCGTCGCGCTCGCCCACTTCCCGCCCGGAGCCCGGGGCTGGGCGGCGCCGGACCGGCCTCCCTTCCCGTCACCCCCCGGGCCGCCCGGCCCCGCAGCGCCCCCGCGGCTCGTGCCCCTCCCGGCCGGTCGGACCGGCTGAGCAGCCCATGGCCCGCCCGCTGAGTCAGGCGCCGCCCCGCCCGGCCCGCCCGGCGCCGAGCCGCCCTCCCTCAGCCCACCGGCGGCGGCGGGCCCGCTCTAGAAAGGGAAACTGAGGCTCTGAGGAGCCGCCCCGCGCGGGCCCGCGGCAAGTTGGGGGTTGCCGGCGTAGCTGTGGTTACCGTGACTTGGGTGTGGCTCTTGGGCGGAAAGCCCCCGGGCCCAAGGCTGGGACGGAGAGGGGCAGCAGGGGCAGTGAAAGAGCTGCTGGGGATTGGGGTCTGCCCCTGCCTGCTGTGTGACCTCAGGCAAATCGCCTCCCCTCTCTGCGCTTGCCTTTAGCGCCCGCGAGTCTTGTCTTCCACGCTGAAAAAGGCGCTTTAAGTCTCCTTCTTAGTCGGGAGGGCCTTCAGTTCCGTCCTTGGAAAATCAGGGATAATTCCTGTCCCCGAAGGTCGTGGTGAGACAAAATAGGATACAAAAATTAGGTAAGAAAGCGCTTTCGGCCGGGCGCGGCGGCTCATGCCTGTAATCTCAGCACTTTGGAAGGCCTAGGCAAGCAGATCACCTGAGGTCAGGAGTTCGAGACCTGCCTGGCCATCATGGTGAAACACCCCCGCACCCCCCCCCCCGCCCCGTCTCTACTAAAAATACAAAAATTAGCCGGATGTGGTGGGGCAAGCCTGTAATCCCAGCTACTCTGGAGGCTGAGGCAGGAGAATCGCTTGAACCCGGGAGGCAGAGGTTACAGTGAGCTGAGATCTCGCCACTCCATCTCAAAACAACAAAACAACAACAACACGCTTTGGAAACTCTCCAGACTGTCTGTATGGACAAAGTGTAGACCTAGCAAGAGCACATAGTAGGAGCTTTATTAGTACTGCTCTGGGTTGCTGAGCCCTTTAATGTGTCAGGATGGACCCCAGTGAGGTCCCTTGTTAGTCTCAGCATCCCTTTGGCATAGGTACCATTCCTGCACCTTTGGGCTCAGAGACCACAGACCACTCACCCAAGACCACCAGCTGGAAGTGGTGGAGTAGGCAGGAGCCTGGAATCCCCTTGGGTCTCTGTGCCCAAGTTCTGTAGAGTGGCCACACCGTGGCCACCTCCCTGGGCTCTTTCGGTCCTTGGAGGCACTTACTATGGGAACTGGGCAACATCTGTTCACAGCTTGCCCCACTTACCCCACTGGGCAGTGTCCCAGAGGTCAGGGGCTGGCTGGCTGTCTCTGGGTGCTTGGTTGGAGCCTGTCCTGGGGGCTGTCCACTGTCTGTGTGTCTTTCTGCACACCTGTGCTGACACCTGCGGCGCTGTGTGTGTTGGGCAGTTGGGTCAGATGTAGAGCCTCTGGAGTTTGGAGAACGCATTAACACCATGGGAGGAAGTGGAGCCATTTCTCCTAGGAAGCCCCCCGGGGCATCCCATCTGGTAACCCCCCAGCAGAGCTGCTTCCCTGTCACCTGCTGTCTGAAGGGGGATAATGTGCAGGGAATTCCGGGTGGGGAGACATATTTGTCAGGTGGAAGGGAAGATGGGGGCAGTTTATGAAGACATCGGGCTGGCATCGGAATGTTGATGTCCTCAGACAATCTTTTAGTAGGGCAATTTGGGTAGTACTTACTCATATTATAAATGTTCAGACACTTGTGGCCGGGTGCGGTGGCTCATGCCTGTAATCCCAACACTTTGGGAGGCCAAGGTGGGCGGATCACGAGGTCAGGAGATCGAGACCATCCTGGCTAACACGATGAAACCCCGTCTCTACTAAAAATACAAAAAAAAAAAAAAAAAAAAAAAAATTAGCCGGCGTGTTGACGGGCGCCTGTAGTCTCAGCTACTCAGGAGGCTGAGGCAGGAGAATGGCGTGAACCTGGGAGGTGGAGCTTGCAGTGAGCCGAGATCGGGCCATTACACTCCAGCCTGGGTGACAGAGTGAGACTCCGTCTCAAAAAAAAAAAAAAATGTTCAGACACTTGTAACTGTGGCCCAGAAATTCCATTTGTAGATCTTTATCCTACGCACCAGAGTGCAAAGATATGCATGCATCTAATGGTGTTTGTGGACAAACTGTTCCTAATAGCAAGCAATGGCACCAAAGTGATAACCAAGAGCGATGCAGGAGAGTGACGGGAAGGATTTTGCTTTTTGTTTTACACATGGCTGTATGGTTGAAGTTGGAGTATTAGAATGAATTCATGCCTTGGTTTTGTTGAAAAGAAAGGAAGGGCCGGCCTGGCGCAGTGGCTCATGCCTGTAATCCCAGCACTTTGGGAGGCCAAGGCAGGTGGATCACTTGAGGCCAGGAGTTCGAGATCTGCCTGGCCAACACAGCAAAACCACCATCTCTACTAAAAATACAAAAATTAGCTGGGCATGGTGGCAGGCGCCTGTAATCCCAGCTACTCAGGAGGCTGAGGGAGGAGAATCCCTTGAACCCGGAAAGCGGGGGTTGCAGTGAACCGAGATTGTGCCACTGCACTCCAGCCTGGGCAATAGAGCAAGACTCTGTCTCAAAAAAAAAAAAAAAAAAAAAAAAAAGAAAATAAAAGAAAAAATAAAAAGAAAGGAAGGGCCCCTTCATCACCACTGCCCTGCCCTCATTCCACCAACAGCTTGTGATGCCAATGCCCATCTCCCAGGGGCTGCCCCGGAGAGCACAGGTGGTCACTGCAAAGCCGATGTCAAACCTCATGTGTGTGCATGGATGTGGCTTCTCTATCAGTCAGTGTCAGGCAGTCCTCTTTACTCTAACCCCTGCTGGAGCCTTCTGGAATTAGGTTGGGGACCTTTTAAATGCTTTTGTTTCCAGATGCATAGATGATGATTCTCTTTTATCCTTGGAACAACACAGAATTAAAGATAATCACTCCATTTTACAGATGAGAAAATTGAGGCCCAGAGAGGTAAAGGACTTTTTAAAGACCCTACAACATATATTGGTGGTAAAGCTGAGACTTGAACCTGGACCTGTCTGACTGTGAGGCTGCTCCTGACTTCTGAGTGTGTGTGTGTTGGGGGTGGGGAGAGCCACAGTCCCCAGGAGTGTGCCTGCCCTCTGGGACCTCTGAGGAAGGAAAACTTTCCACCTGCTTCTCTCCAGACCATAATTTCCCAGCCGTCAGCCAACCTCAGTGGTCTGAAGCTATTGCCACTTCTTTTCCTCATTGCCATGTGGCCAAAGTCCATCAGTGCCAGCTACCTGGCAAGCCTTGGCCTCTGTTCCACCCCTCTGCATGCTGGCCTGAGGTTCTGGAAAGAACTCCAGGTCTGAGCTCTAGTTCCTTATCCTCCATCAACTCACTGTGATATCCTGGCAGCTCACTGCCATTTCCTGGGCCTCAGTTTCCCTATCTGTCAAATGGGGATAATGATTTTCTTTCCAGGTTTCCCAGATTTTTTGAGCCATCAATGACTTGCGAGATATGAAAGTTCATTGGAAGCTATCCAGAGAAATACAAATAGCAATTATCTTCCTGGTACATTTAACAACCAGGTGTGGCCCGTGCACTTAGCTGGGAGCTGGATCTCCCCAGGGCAGGGGCTCCCAGGGGGCTGCTTAGCTGGGAAGGTGGGTTCAGGCTGCCAGTCCTTGTGCATCCCCTCCTCAATTTAAAGAAGGTTGCCATCCCTCCCTGATTTTAAGAACTGTTCCTCCATGTAAGTAAAGCCATCACACACAACTGTACCAGATTCTAGTTTATGTATGTATATACCTGTATATAAAACTAAAAACCAACTGACCATGCTTGTCTGAGAGAAGAAGAGGCAGTTAAAGGAGACTTTCACTATAGCTCTAAAGTTTTTTTTTTTTAAAGCAAATATGACATGTTTACAGTTATGGATTCTAGATGGTGTGAATAGGAGTGTTACATTAATTTTTGTATTCTTTTACATGTCTGGAAAAAAAACCCATTGTAGAAAAACTGAGAGAAAAACAGAAAAGTATAAAGCAGAAATCAGGCAGGGCACAGTGGCTCATGCTTGTAATCCCAGCACTTTGGGAGGCCAAAGCAGGTGGATCACCTGAGGTCAGGAGTTTGAGACCAGCCTGTCCAACAAGGTGAAACTCCATCTCTACTAAAAATACTAAAATTAGCCAATGTGGTGGCAAGTGCCTGTAGTCCCAGCTACTTGGGAGGCCGAGGCAGGAGAATCGCTTGAACCTAGGAGGCAGAGGTTGCAGTGAGCCGAGATCGTGCTACTGCACTCCAGCCTAGGCGTCAGAGCGAGACTGTATACCTCCGTTCACATTTTTGAAGTTTTTTGTGCCTTTCTTTCTTTCTTTTCCCCCTCCCTTCCTCCGTTCCTCCCTTCCTCCCTTCCTTCCTTGCTTTCTTTTCTTTCTTTCTTTCTTTCCAGATGGAGTCTTGCTCTATCATCCAGGTTGGAGTGCAGGTGCCATCTCGGCTCACTGCAACCTCTGCCTCCTGGATGCAAGTGATTCTCCTGCCTCAGCCTCCCAAATAGCTGGGACTACAGGCAGAAGCCACCATGCCCGGCTAATTTTTGTATTTTCTAGTAGAGACGGGGTTTCACCTCTTTGGCCAGGCTGGTCTTGAGCTCCTGACCTCAGGTGATCTGCCTGCCTTGGCCTCCTAAAGTGCTGGGATTACAGGTGTGAGCCACAATGACCCCCCACCCCCCGCCTCTTTTTTTTTGAGACAGAGTCTCACTCTGTCGCCCAGGCTGGAGTTCAATGGCTCAATGTCGACTCACTGCAACCTCTACCTCCCAGACTCAAGCAGTCCTCCCACCTCAGTCTCCCAAGTAGCTGGGACCACAGGCACATGCCACCACACCAGGCTAATTTTTTTTTTTTTTTTCCGTAGAGACAAGATCTTACTATATTGCCCAGGCTGGTCTCGAACTCCTGGCCTCAAGCAATCCTCCCACCTCAGCCTCCCAAAGTGCTGGGATTATAGGCGTGTGCCTGGCTTTATGTTTTGTTTTGTTTTGTTTTCTGTGCGCATATGTTATCTTTTTCTTTCTCCTCTGAGACTTCTGCTGCCTGGCTCTACTCTGCTGTGCCTCCCCATCACCTTCATCTTCTATCTTCCCTGTCACCTCCCTTCATCCATCCGGGACTTGGGTTTCTGTCCTAATATCCTGCTCATCCGTGTGAATGTCCCAGGGCCCTTCCTTGCCATCCTCAGTGGCCTTCACATGACTGTAGCTATTCTCTCCAGAGCCACGCCTAGAACAGCCTTCTCTGAAATCCCAACCTCAAGCATCACCAAGTTCTCCCCAGCAGCATGCCCGTATTCAGACTCCCCATGCCGGCCCCTTCTGTTTTCTTCCATTCAGTTAGCCCTGTCCTGGCCTCTTCACCACCAAGCCTAAACCACAGGGTTGAGCGTCTGAAGTCCAGCTCAGTTGTCCCAGTGAGAGATGAGGCCTGTAGGGGGACTTGGACTTGGACCAGAATGGTAGCTGTCAAGATGGAGAGAGGGGAGATTTGAGATATGTAACTCATATGCACATTAACGTCAGAAGAGCACTGTTCTAAGTCCTCTCACCTCCATAGAATTTTTTTTTTTTTTTTTTTTTCTGAGACGGCGTCTTACCCTGTCACCCAGGCTGGAGTGCAGTTGGCACCATCTCGGCTCACTGCAACATCCACCTCCTGGGTTCAAGCGATTCTCCTGTCTCAGCCTCCTGAGTAGCTGGGATTACAGGTGCCCACTACCACGCCTGGCTAATTTTTGTATTTTTAGTAGAGATGGGGTTTCGCCATGTTGGCCAGGCTGGTCTTGAACTCCTGACCTCAGGTGATCCACCCACCTCGGCCTCCCCAAGTGCTGCGATTACAGGTGCAAGCCACTGCACCCGGCCCATATAAAAAAATTTTAAAAATCAGTATAGAATCAAGCAGGGTTAAAAGAAAAATAAATAAAATCAATCCTCTCCCTCCTTATTCCTCCCAGCTCTACAAGGACTCTCCATCCCTCATCCTCTCCCTTTCATCTGCTTTCGTTCCTCAGCCTACAAACTCACCCAAGTCTCTTTTGTCCTAAAAAGCACAACCTCCTCTTGACCCTCTTTACATTCCTAGTTACTGCTTTTTCACTTCTTTTCCTTTCTCCCTGCAAACCTCTGGAATGAGTTATCTTTATTTGCTGTCTCCACCTTCCCAACTCCCACTTCCTCTTCAGTTCATAGCAGCGTGGCTTCAGCTTCAGCAAAAGAGTCGTTGCCAGGGTCACCAGTGACTTCTAATTTGGCTAATTCCGATGGAAGCATTTCAGTCCTTAAGTTGTTATTATTAGCCACTCTCCCTGCATCTCTTTCTGGAGCTTCCTCCTGCCTCTCTGGTTGTTCCTTCTCAGTCTCCTTTTGTGGACTTTTTGTCATCAGCTCACCCTTGGAATTCCTAGTTTTTCTGTGTATCCTTTCTGCTTCCTTTACTTTTCCCATCAGTTGGCTTGTGCACTCTCACAGCTCTCCTTTTATATGATGAGTGTCAAATCACTATTCCCAGACTAGATTCTCCTCTTAGCATTGGACTCAGATATCCAACTACCTTACCTTTCCACCTGGGTGTCCCTTCACCACCTGAAGCTCAGCAGGCACAAACTGATCACTTCATCTTTCCCCCCAAACTGTGTTTTCCTATCTCAATTGGTGGCGTCGTGATGTACCGAAGCCCAAACCTGGGAGTTGTTCTTTACTCTTCCCTTTCTTTCTACATAAAGTCAATCACCAAGTCCCGTCCATAAATATTTATGTAATGAGTGACTTCCTCTTTGTCTCTGCCCTTGTTCATGTAGCGTCTCTTTGCCCACCAATTATTTTTCCACACTACTGAGTAATCTTCCTTTTTTTTTTTTTTGAGACAGAATCTCACTCTGTCTGCACCCCAGCCTGTACCCCAGGCTGGAGTGCAATGGGGTGGTCTCGACTCACTGCAACCTCTGCCTCCCGGGTTCAAGCGATTCTTCTGCCTCAGCCTCCTGAGTAGCTGGGATTACAGGTGCCCGCCACCACACCCAACTAATTTTTGTAATTTTAGTAGAGACGGGGTTTCACCGTGTTGGCCAGGCTGGTCTCGAACTGCTGACCTTATGATCTGCCCGCCTCAGCCTCCCAAAGTGCTGGGATTACAAGCATGAGCCACCGCACCCGGCCACTACTGAGTAATCTTCTTAAGTATAAATCAAATCATGATATTCTTCTGCTTAAAACCAGTAACATGAGAGAAATGAAAGGCCAGGCACACTGCCTCATGCCTGTAATCCCAGCACTGTGGGAGGCCAAGGTGGGAGGATCATTTGAGTTCAGTTTGAGACCAGCCAGGGCAACATAGGGAGACCCCATCTCTACCCTCCCTCCCCCACGAATTAGCTGGGTGTGGTGGCACCTGTGGTCCTAGCTACTTGGGAGGCTGAAGTGGAAGGACTGCTTGAGCCCAGGAGTTCACAGTGAGCTAACAGAGTGAGATCTTATCTCTTAAAAAAAAAAAAAAGAAATTAAAGAAGACCTAAGTAAATAGAAAGACATCCTAAGTTCATAAATTGGAAGACTTAATATCATTAAGATGGCAATTCTCCCAAATTGATCTACAGATTCAATATAATCCCTATCAAAATCCAAGCTGCTCTGGAGGGAGGTTGAGAGAGGGGTGAGAGTTGAAAAATAACCTGTCAGGTACAATGTTCACTATTTGGACACTGGGTACAATAGAAGCCTGATCCCCATCAGTATGCTATATACCCATGTAACTACAAGCACATGTACCCCCTAAATCTAAAATAAACTAGTTAAAAAATAAAAACTGCCTTTTTTTGCAGAAATTGGTAAACTGATCCTAAATTTATATGGAAATACAGAAGATACAGAATAATCAAAACAATCCTGAGAAAGAAAATAAAAGTTGAAGAACTCACACTTCCCAATTCTAACTTACAATAAAGTTAAAATAATCAAGACAATGTGGTACTGACATAAGGATGGACATATGGATCAATGGAATAGAACTGAGAGTCCAAAAATAAAGAAACCAGAAATAAACGAGGAATAAAAATACACACATGGTCAATTGATCTTTTTCTTTTCAGTTTTTTGGAGACAGGGTTGCTCTGTTGCCCAGGCTGGAGTGCTATGGCTTGATGATAGGTCACTATAGCCTTGAATTCCTGGGCTCAAGCAATCCTCCGCCTCAACCTCCCAAGTACCTAAGACTCTCGGTGCATACTACTGCGCTCAGCTAATTTAAACAATTATTATTATTTTTTTTTTGTACAGACAAAGTCTCATTATGTTGCCCAAGCTGGTCGCAAACTCCTGGCTTCAAGTGATCCTCTTTCCTTGGCCTTTCATAGTGCTGGGATTACAGGTGTGAGCCACCATGCCTGGCCTTGGTTAACTGAGTTTTGACAAGGATGCCAAGATGATTCAAGGGAGAAATAATAGTCTTTCAACAAATGGAGCTGGGACAATTGGGTATCCCATGCAAAAGGATGAAGCTGGACCCCTAACTCATACTATGTACAAAAATACACTCAAACTGAATCAAAGACCTAAATGTAAGAGCTAAAACTATAAAACTCTTTTAAGAAAACATAGACGTAAGTCTTTGTGACCTTGGATCAGACAATGATTTCTTACTTATGACACTAAAAGCACAAGCAACCAAAGAAAAATAGGTAATTATGATTTCTTTGAAATTAAAAACTTTTGCGCTTCAAAGGACACTATCAGGAAAGTAAAAAGATAACCCATCAAAAATATTTGCAAGTCATACATCTGATAGACATCTAGTATCCAAAATACACAAAAAAGTCTTACGATTCAACAACAAAAGGACAAATAACCCAACTGAAAAAGAGGCAAAAGATTTTAATAAACATTTATCCAAACAAGAAACATAGATGGCTAAGAAGTATAGGAAAAGATGCTCAATATCATTCGTCGATAGGGAAATACAAATAAAAACTACAATAAGATACCACTTCATATTCACTAGCATGGCTATAACCAGAAAGACAGACAATAACAAGTGCTGGTGAAGATGTGGAGAAATTGGAACCCTCACATACTACTGATGAGAATGTGAAACAGTGCGAGCACTTTGGAAAACCATATGGCAGTTCCTCAAAAAATTAAACATAAGCCTGGGCCACATAGTGAGACCCCATCTCTACAAAAAAATTTAAAAATTAGCCAGGTATGGGTGATATGCAGCCGTGGTCCCAGCTCCTTGGGAGGCTGAGGTGGAAGGATCACTTGAGCCCCGGAGATCAAGGCTGTAGTAAGCCGTGATCCCACCACTGCACTCCAGCCTAGGCGACAGAGCCACCCTGTCTCCAAAAAAAAGAAAAAAAGAAAAAAGAAAAAACGAACAAACATAGAGTTATCATATGACCCAGCAATTTCATTCCTAGGTATATTCTCAAGAGAACTGAAGACATATTCATACGAAAATTTGTATATGAATGTTCAGAGCAGCATTGTTTACGATTGTATCACCACAACCAGACAGGAACCCACACTCTCTGCCTTCTTCCCTGTTACCATAAATGAAGTCCTCTCGCTACTTTCTAAGGCTAACTCTCACCTTGTCAAGGGCTTTGCTTCTGCAACTACATGCTTTTTCTCCTGCAACACCAGATAATCTCTCTCTCTCCAATAGAGCATTCCAATCAATACATAAACATGTTATATATTTACATCTTAACAACACAACATGAAACAACAAAACTTCCCTTGACTCTACTTGCCCTCCAGCTACTACTGGTTTTCCCCACTTCATTCCTCCTTCCTCAAATCTCATCACTCTTCAACCCACTCTCTTTAGGCTCCCAACCTCACCACTCCACTGAAACTGCTCTTATCAAGAATGCCAACATCTTTCATGCTGCCAAATCCAGTGGGCACACTAGTCTGTTGTCACCTTAACCTGTCAGCAATGGTCAACCAAAATGACCACTTTCTCCTGCTTAAAACATGCTGCTTTTTTTTTTTTTTTTGGAGAGTGAGTCTTGCTCTGTTGCCCAGGCTGGAGTGCCGTGGCGCGGTCTTGGCTCACTGCAAGCTCTGCCTCCCGGGTTCAGGCCATTCTCCTGCCTCAGCCTCCCCAGGAGCTGGGACTACAGGCATCTGCCACCATGCCCGGCTAATTTTTTGTATTTTTAGTAGAGATGGGGTTTCACCGTGTTAGCCAAGATGGTCTCAATCTCTTGACCGCATGATCTGCCCGCCTCGCCCTCCCAAAGTGCTGGGATTACAGGCGTGAGCCACCATGCCTGGCCTGAGACTCTGTCTTAAAAAATATATGTATAGATAGATAGATAGATAGATAGATAGATAGATAGATAGATAGATTTTTTTTTATCTACAATTAGTTGAATCCACAGATATGGAGGGCCAACTTTATGTATCTCCAGCTCTGACTTCCATGTTCCAAATGTGTGTACCCAACTGCCTACTTGTCATCTCTACCTGAATGCCTAATGGCCATCTGAATGTAAAACCCCCAAGAAGAGCTCTTAGTTCCATGCCCCTGAATTCATTCTTCCTCTTTTCAGTAATTGGCACTATCATCTATATAGTTGCTCAAGCCAAAGGCCTAAAGGCCATTAGTGATTCCTCCCTTTTTCTCGTTCTTTACATTCTATCCACCTGCAAGTCCTGCTGTTCTAGTTCCAAAATACCTATGAAATCAAACAGCTTCTCTCCATTTCCGTCATCACTCCCTTCATCCAGCAGCCTCCTAACTGGTACCTCTACCTCCACCTCTACAATTCATTTTCCATGTAGCAGCCAGAGTGATTTTTCAAAAACATCAATCAAGTCATATCAATGCCTGCTTTTACTGGGCTCTGTAAGTCTTCACCAAGGCCCACAATTTCCAGCATGCTCTGGCTCCCACCCACCTCTCTCATATCGTAGCCCTCCAGTCCCCTCTTTAATTACCACACTTCGGCCACACTGCTGTCTCTCTTTTTCTTTCAACACACCCAAGTGGTTTCCATCTTAGGATCTTTGCCTTTGCATCCCTCTGCCTTCAGTACTCTGCCCTCAATCCTCACTGAGCTTTCTGTCTCACACAGACTCAATCAGTGCTGTTCAATAGAACTTTCTGTAATGAGGGAAGTGTCCTTTATCTGCACTGTACAATATGGTAGCCACTAGCCACATATGGTTATTGAGCACTTGAAATGTGCCTAGTGTGACTCAGAAACTGAATTATTTGATTTAATTTAAATTTAAACAGGCACAAGGGAGAGTGGATATCATATTGAACCACTGAAGATAAATTTCCCATAAGCCATTCTCTATTAAATTATCCTGTTTTATTTTCTTCAAGGCACATTTCTGTAGATGAAATAATCTTATTCATTTATTTATTCATTTTCTGCTTCTATCTACAAGAATTTTGGTTCTCTGAGAGCAGAGGCCTTACGGATCTTGTGTACAGTGCACCACCCAATACTCAGAGCCTGGAACTGTCAGGAATGCGGTAGACACTTGATAAATATTAACTGATGAATAAAGCATTACATCAGCAGTTCTCCACATGTGATCTGCAAAGAATAAAGCATTACATCAGCAGTTCTCCACATGTGATCTGCAAATTCCCGAAGGTTCCAGGACCTTGAGAGGGTCTGTGAAGTCAGTTATTTTCATAATAATACTAAGACCTTATTTTGTATTTTTTTTTTTTTTAAGAGATGGAGTCTCGCTCTGTCGCCCAGGCTGGAGTGCAGTGGTGCGATCTTGGCTCACTGCAAGCTCCGCCTCCCAGGTTCACGCCATTCTCCTGCCTCAGCCTCCCGAGTAGCTGGGACTACAGGCGCCCGCCACCAAGCCTGGCTAATTTTTTTGTATTTTTAGTAGAGACGGGGTTTCATCGTGTTAGCCAGGATGGTCTCGATCTCCTGACCTCGTGATCTGCCCTCCTCGGCCTCCCAAAGTGCCGGGATTACAGGAGTGAGCCACTGTGCCCGGCCTTTTTTTTTTTTGAGAGAGAGTCTGGCTCTGTCGCCCAGGCCGGAGTGCAGTGGTGTGATCTTGGCTCACTGCAGCTCCACTTCCCCAGTTCAAGTGATTCTTTTTTTTTTTTGAGATGGAGTCTCACTCTGTCACAAGGCTAGAGTGCAATGGTGCAATCTCAGCTCACTGCAACCTCCACCTCCCGGGTTCAAGAGATTCTCCTGCCTCAGCCTCCTGAGTAGCTGGGATGACAGGCGCGTGACACCATGCCTGGCTAATTTTTGTACTTTTAGTAGAGACGGGGTTTTACCATGTTGGTCAAGCTAGTCTCGAACTCCTGACCTTGTGATCCACCCGTCTCAGCCTCCCAAAGTGCTGGAATTACAGGCGTGAGATACCGCGCCAGGCCACCTTCCTCTGAAGTCTTGAACCCACAAAGTCATCATGACAGTTGGCATCAACTTCTTCCAAACTCCTGTTAATGTGGATTTTTTTTTTTTTTTTTTTTTTTTTTTTTTTGAGAAGGAGTTTCACTCTTGTTGCCCAGGCAGGAGTGCAATGGCATGATCTCGGCTCACTGCAACCTCCGCCTCCAAGGTTCAAGCAATTCTCCTGCCTCAGCCTCCTGAGTAGCTGGGATTACAGGCATGCGCCACCATGCCTGGCTAATTTTTGTATTTTTAGTAGAGACGGGGTTTCTCCATGTTTGTCAGGCTGGTCTTGAACTCCCGACCTCAGGTGCTCTGTTCACCTCGGCCTCCAAAGTGCTGGGATTACAGGCATGAGCCACCGTGCCCGGCCAGTGTGGATATTTTGACCTCCTCCCATGAATGATGAATGTTCTTAGTAGCATCTAGAATGGTGAATCTTTTCCAGAAGGTTTTCAATTTACTTTGCCCAGATCCATCAGAGGAATCAACGTCTATGGCAGCTACAGCCTTTTGAAATGTATTTCTTAAATAATAAGACTTGAAAATCAAAATTACTCCTTGATCCATGGGCTGTAGAATGGATGTTCTGTTAGCAGGCATGAAAACAACATTACTCTCCTCACACCTTTCCATCAGAACTATTGGGAGACCAGGTACATTGTCAATAAGCTGTAATAGTTTGAAATGGATCTTTTTTTTTTTTTTTTTTTTTTCTGAGCAGGAGGTCTCAACAGGGGGTTAAAATACTCAGTAAACAATGCTGTAAACAGATGTGCTATCACCAGGCTTTGTCATTCCATTTATAGAGCACAGGTGGAGTAGATTTAGCACAATTCTTAAAGGTCCTAGGATTTTTGGAATGGTAAATGAGCATTGATTTCAGCTTAAAGTCACCAGCTGCATTAGCCTCCAATAAGATAGCCTATCCTTTGAAGGTCTGAAGCCAGGCATTGACTTCTCCTCTCCAGCTATGAAAGTCCTAGATGACATCTCCTTCCAATAAAAGGCTGTTTTGTCTACACCGAAATCTGTTGTTTAGTGTAGCCACATTCATCAATGATCCTAGCTGGATCTTCTGGATAACTTGCTGCAACTTCTATATCAACACTTGCTGCTTCACCTGCATTTTTATGTTATGAAGATGGCTTTTTCCCTTAAACCTCATGAACCATTCTCTGCTAGCTTCAAACTTTTCTTCTGCAGCTTCCATCTCTCTCTCGGGCTTCACAGAATTGAAGAGAGTTAGGGCCTTTCTCTGGATTAGGCATTGGTTTAAGGGAATATTGTGGCTGGTTTGATCTACCCAGTCCACTCAAACTTTCTCCATATTAGCAACAAGTCTGTTTCACTTTCTTATCATTCATGTGTTCATTGGAGTAGCCCTTTGAATTTCCTTCAAGAACGTTTTCTATGTATTCACAGTGGGGCTGTTTGGCGCAAGGGGCCTGCCTATCTTTTGGCCTGTCTCGGCTTTCAACATGCCTTCCTCAGTAAGCTTAATCATTGCTAGTTTTTTTTGTTTTTTTTTTTTTTTTGAGACAGAGTCTCCCTCTGTTGCCCAGGCTGGAGTGCAGTGGCGCAGTCTCGGCTCACTGCAGGCTCCGCCTCCCAGGTTCAGGCCATTCTCCTGCCTCAGCCTCCCCAGTAGCTGGGACTACAGGTGCCCGCCACCACGCCCGGCTAATTTTTTGTATTTTTATTAGAGATGGAGTTTCACCGTGTTAGCCAGGATGGCCTCGATCTCCTGACCTCGTGATCTGCCCGCTTCGGCCTCCCAAAGTGCTGGGATTACAGGCATGAGCCACTGTGCCTGGCCATTCATTGCTAGTTTTTGATTTAAAGTGAGAGAAGTGTGATTCTTCCTTTCACTTGAACACTTACAGGCCAGTGCAGGGTTATTAATTGGCCCAATTTCAATATTGTTTTGACTCAGGGAATAGGGGGGCTCAAGGAGAGGAAGAGAGCTGGGGGAACGCTGGTCAGTGGAGCAGTCAGAACACACACGATATGTATCAATTAAGTTCTCCATCTGATATGTGCGTGGTTCATGGTGCCCCAAAATGGTTACAGTTATGTGCTGCGTAATGATGTTTCAGTGAACAATGGACCACATTGTGGTCCCGTGAGATCCTAATACTGTGTTTTTACTGTACATTTTCTATGTTTAGACATGCAAATTATTACCATTGTATTACAACTGTCCACAGTATTCAGTACAGTAACGTGATGTACAGGTTTGTAACCTAGGCACAATGGGCCATACCATATAGCCTAGGTGTGTAATCGGCTCTACCACCTAGGTTTGTATACTCTATGATGTTGGCACAACAACAAAGTTGCCTAATGATGCATTTCTCAGAATACATGCCCATTGTGAAGCAACACATAACTGCATGATAGTGACATCAAAGCTCACCGATCACAGATCACCATAACAGATACAATCATAATGAAAAAATTTGAAATATTGTAAGAATTACCAAAATGTGACACAGAGACATGAAGTGAGCATGTGCTGTTGGAAACATGGCTCCGATAGATTTGCTTGATGAAGTTGCCACAAACCTTCAGTTTGTAAGAAATGCAATATCCGTGAATAAAAAAATAAAGTGGAGTGCAATAAGAGGGCATGTGCCTATACGCCCACCTTTTCTAGTTATCTGTGTGAGACTGAATTTCTTCATACGCTTCAACCAAAACACCATATTTCAACAGATCAAATGAAGAAGTAGATATGGAAATTTAGCTGCATTTCATTAACCCAGAATTAAAAAGATTTGTAAAAATGTAAAACAATGCCATTTTTCTCACTAATTATTTTGTTTGGAAATGTAGGGGTTTTTTTAAATTTAACAATGTTTTATTTATGTTAACATTAATTTAATGAGTCTTTTTATTTTTAAATAAATATTTTAAAAATTCTTAATTTTAACTTTTTTCTTTTTAAGACAGGGTTTCACTCTGTTGCCCATGCTGGAATGCAGTGGTGTAATAATGGCTCACTGCAGCCTTGACCTCCTGGACTCAAGAGATCCACCCACCTCAGCCTCCTGAGTAGCTGGGACTACAGGTGTGCACAACCACGCCCAGCTAATTTCTATATTTCTTGTAGGGACAGGGTTTCGTCATGTTGCCCAAGCTGGTCTCAAACTCCTGGGCTCAAGTGATCTGCCCACCTCAGCCTCCCAAAGTGCTGGGATTACAGGTGTGAGCCACCATGTCTGGCCAATTTTAATTTATAATATGGCAAATATCAATAATAAAACCCACATAAACAAAAGCTCTTTTAAGTCTTCAATAATTTTGTTTTGAGATGGAGTTTCTCTCTTGTCACCCCGGCTGGAGTGCAATGGCATGATCTCAACTCACTGCAACCTCCGCCTCCCGGGTTCAAGCAATTCTCCTGCCTCAGCCTCCTGAGTAGCTGGGCTTACAGGTGCCTGCCATCACGCCCGGCTAATTTTTTGTATTTTTAGTAGAAACGGGGTTTCACCATGTTAGCCAGGCTGGTCTTGAACTCCTGACCTCAAGTTTTCTGCCCACCTCGGCCTCCCAAAGTGCTGGGATTACAGGCGTGAGCCACTGTGCCTGGCCTTCAATAATTTTTAACAGCATAATAGAGTCCTGAGATCAAGAAGTTTGGGAGACACTGCTATAGATAAATACTAATAAGCTTAAAATACCTTGATGCATTGGTGGAGGGAAAACAAGATAATTACAAATAAGCAACCCCATTTGGAAAACGGGAGAAGGAGAACACTCAGTGGTCCACGGTGTGCATTACATGAAGAACAGCAAGTATTTCCTGCCTCAATAGAGCAGGGCCAGTCTGGCTGCTTTACCTTGGTGGAGGGACTCCCCTACCCACTGTAATTCTGCGGCCACACCGTAGAAGGGTTTTGAGGATTTCCTGTGGGTACTCTTTGGGGCCAAGACATTGCCTTAGCGGTTGATCAGCAGTCACAGGCTTCCACTTGCCAGGATTGGGGTTTCTCTGGCAAGACCACTCTATTAAAAGATGTGTAAGTTTAGCCGGGCGCAGTGGATCACATCTGTAATCCCAACACTTTAGGAGGCTGAGGCAGGAAGATCGCTTGAGGCCAGGAGTTCAAGACCAGCCTGGGCAATGTAGTGAGACCCTGTGTCTACAAAAAGTAAAAAAATCTGGCATGGTGGCACACACCTGTAGTCCTAGATACTCAGGAGGTCAAGGCAGGAAGATTGCTTAAACCTAGAGGTCAAGGCTGCAGTGAGCCGTGATTGTACCACTGCACCCAGCCTGGGTGGTAGAGTGAGACCCTGTCTCTAAAAAAATTTTTAAAATAAAAATAATAGTAAAATAAAATAAAAAGACATGTAAGGTTTCTGACTTATTTGCATTTGGGTAAGACCATGGGCTAATAACTGAGTCAGAAGAATTGTAAATTATGGTCCCTGAATCTAGACTTTGATCTTGATTTGCTAGGGAGAGGGAGGATGTCTCTCTTAGCAACGGAAACCTCCCAGTACTCAGATCCCTAAGGCTTCTGTCTTCACCTCTGCCTTGGAGCAATGTGAACACCAGGCATGGGGGTGGGGGCACAGCTGGCTGCTCTCACTGTGTGGAAGGCTCTTTACATAAGGGTCATTTTCCTCTTAGTGGGACAGGTCAGAAGGGCTTGGGAGGGGTGTGTTTCCTGCCTCCCTGCCTTTGCTCCCATTCACTTTAACTTTGACATGAACAGATGAGCAATTTTGTTTTTTTGTTTTTTTTTTTTTTGAGACAGAGTCTCCCTCTGTCGCCCAGGCTGGAGTACAGTGGCACGATCTCGGCTCACTACAACCTCCACCTCTCAGGCTCAAGCAATTCTCCTGCCTCAGCCTCTCGAGTAGCTGGGATTACAGGCAACTGCCATCATGCCCAGCTAATTTTTGTATTTTTAGTAGATACTGGGTTTCACCATGTTGGCCAGGCTGGTCTCAAACTCCTGACCTTGTGATCTGCCCGCCTTGGCCTCCCAAAGTGCTGAGATTACAAGCATGAGCCACCGTGGCTGGCCAAGATGAGCATTTTCAGTCCTGCAAAGCACACGATCATCGGACACTGAATCAGCTTGGATTGTTGGCTATGGGCAGCCTCTCTGAGCAGAGCTGTGGGAGCACAAGCTCAGGGGCCAGGCTGCCTGGATTCAAGTTCATAGCTCAACGGCCATCTAGCTGTAAGACTTTGGGCAATTATTCTGTGCTTCAGTTCCTCAAATGTAAAATGGAAAATAAAATAGTACCCACTTATTTATGTTATTTTAAGGATTACATGGGCCGGGTATGGTGGCTCACGCCTGTAATCCCAGCACTTTGGGAGGCCGAGGTGGGAGGATTACTTGAGCTCAGGAGTTTGAGACCAGCCTGGCCAACACAGCGAGACCCCCATCTCATTTTATTTAAAAAGAAAAGAAAAATAATAAATGAATTAATATGTGTAAAGGTCTTAATATAGTGTCTGGCACATAGTGAGTGTCTCATAAATGTTAGCTTTTTTTTTTTAGACGGAGTCTTGCTCTGTCGCCAGGCTGCTGGAATGCAGTGGCGCGATCTCGGCTCACCGCAACCTCTGACTCCCTAGTTCAAGCGATTCTCCTACCTCAGCCTCCTGAGTAGCTGGGACTACAGGCACGTGCCGCCACGCCCAGCTAATTTTTTGTATTTTTAGTAGAGATGGGGTTTCACCATGTTGGCCAGGATAGTCTTGATCTCCTGACCTCGTGATCCACCCACCTCGCCTCCTAAAGTGCTGGGATTACAGGTGTGAGCCACCGTGCCAGGCCAAATGTTAGCTTTTATTATTATTTTCTCTGCAAAATTTGTCTATTTCTGGACTCTGAATTGAAGATTTGGGAAAATAGCCAGCACATTGACGTATTTCTGTGAAGCCCTCTAAAGTTCCCACCTCTGCTGGGTGCATGATCTGAGTTTCAGGACACTCTGGATGTGCAGCTGCATCTCAGGGTACACCCGCCTCCCAGCCTGGGATTGGGAAATCCTCACCATTCTATAACCCACCTCAACTCAGCCAACTCCAAGTGTGAGGGGCCAGCACTAGGAGTATCCCACTTCCTGTATTAGTCAACTTCTTTAGTTACAGATGACAGAATCCTAACTGAAATGGGCTTTGGATAAGGGGAAAGACATTTGTTGGATTATGTTACTGAAACGTTCAGGGGCTTTAGGCATGGTTAGATCCTGGCATTAAAATGATGTCATCTAGTGTAATCAAATGGTGTTTCTTTCTCTTTCTTTTTCAATTTCTCAGCTCCACATTCCTCTGTGAGTTGCAATATTAGGTAGTCTCTGTTCTCTGGAAGATTCATGCTTACATCTTCTCAGCTTAGGAACCCCAGGAGAAAGCAGTCTCTACTCATTTGGAATTCCAGGCAATTCAGGTTTGCTTTGGTTGTGTTCTTTAGCCTTGTAACATCTCAGAGTGATGTCACATGTGGCCTCAGAGGACTGAAACCGCACAGCAAGGAAGGGGAGGAGAAGACTGATATTTATCAGCCATCTGTTTTGGAACAGGCATTTTATATCTTCTCATTCTGAAGACCATCCCTTTTGAGAAGGAAACTCGTTCTTTTTTGTTTGTTTGTTTGAGACAGAGTCTCACTCTGTTGCCCAGGTTGGAGTACTGTGCCTCAATCTCAGTTCACTGCAACCTCCGGGTTCAAGCGATTCTCCTACCTCAGCCTCCCGAGTAGCCGGGATTACAGGCGTGCACCACCAAACCCAGCTAATTTTTGTATTTTTAGTAGAGGCGGGGTTTCACCATGTTGGCCAGGCTGGTCTTGAACTCCTGATCTCCAAGGCCCGCCTCAGCCTCCCAAAATGCTGGGTAATCCCAGGCATGAGCCACTGTGCCGGCTACTTCTTTTTTTGATCTAGCTATGTGATTCCCAGAAAAATCAAGGGCCACGTTTGGGTATGTTCTCGAGCTCCTTTAGGTATGCAAGGAAGAGCCAGGCTCAGAGGACTTTCAGTGATGGTGGCTACAATAAGGACACAGAGGAAGTGAGGTTATTGGGGAAGCCCTCTCAGCAGCGTCCAGCAAGTCCCCGGAGAACAGGAACTGGGATAGACTTGTGCTCTGGCCCCATGCCCTCTGGGCATGTTCCCAGCATCGATGTCTCCCATACCAGACAGTCTCACACAGGCATTGGCCTCCATCACATCCAGCTTGTCCAAGGCAGCAAATGGCTCGGGCCCAAATCCTGTGTCCAGTCAGCTACAGTGAGGTTGGCAGGGCTGGCCTCATTGGACTTACGTGACCTAGATCACAGTGATTTCATGAAGCCAGGTCAGCTCAGGTCCACTGGCCTCAGGAGGCGACTGAGGGAGCTGTAGGCACTCGGCCTCGTGGTTTTTATGTCTTCCTCCTTGTGCCTTCGTTTCCTTCTTTGTCGAATGAAGGCGTTGGACTGGTCGATCTCAAAGGTGCTTTCAATTCTGGCTTTCTAGGAGTATATTATTATTATAGTTTGGCCGCACATCAGCTCTAACAAAATGACATGCCATAGCCTCTCTTTGAGGACACTGTATCCCATGGTGCTATTTATCATCGGGGATCAGTCACAGGAAACAGAAGTCACTCTAATCGAGCAGAAAGGGATTTAATACAGGGAACCAGACGCTTAAAAAAATGGGGCCAGGTGCAGTGGCTCATGCCTGTAATCCCCAACACTTTGGGAGGCTGAGGCGGGTGGATCACCTGAGGTCAGGAGTTCAAGACCAGCCCGGCCAACATGGTGAAACCCCATCCCTACAAAAATACAAAAATTATCTGGGCATGATGGTGGGTGACTGTAATCCCAGCTACTCAGGAGGCTGAGGCAGGAGAATCACTTGAGCCTGGGAGGTGGAGGTTGCAGTGAGCCGAGATCGCACCATTGCACTCCAGCCTGGGAGACAGAGCAAGACTCTGTCTCAAAAAAAAAAAAGAAAAAAAAAAAGCTTGGGGGCGGGAAGTAAAAAGAATAGTTGGGCTTGGCGTTGTGGCTCACAACTGTAATCCCAGCACTTTGGGAGGCTGAGGCGGGCAGATCACTTGAGGTCAGGAGTTTGAGACCAGCCTGGCCAACATGGTGAAACCCTGTCTCTACTAAAAATACAAAAATTAGCTGGGTGTGGTGGTGGGCACCTGTAGTCTGAGCTACTTGGAAGGCTGAGGCAGGAGAATCGCTTGAACCCGGGTGGTAGAGGTTGTAGTGAGCTGAGAATGCACCACTGCACTCCAGCAAGACTCCATCTCAAAAAAAAAAAAATAGTTGGAAGGACTGGAGGAGTGGGCTCTAGGATGTTTTCAGGAATAACTCCCAGAATCAGACTCTGCAAATTGGGCCCCAGAATAGCTACTAACTCTGGCACAATTGGGAAGGTGATGAGTCAGGAAATGACTACTAGAATTGTTGCACTGAAGAACACACCAGGTGAAAAGACTGCCCACAGATGGGAGAAAATATTTGCAAATTATATATCTGTTCAGGGACTTACATCCAGAATATATAAAGTCTTACAACACAACAACAAAGACAAATAACCCAGTTAAAAAGTGGGGAAAGGTGGCCGGGCGCGGTGGCTCATGCCTGTAATCCCAACACTTTGGGAGGCTGAGGTGGGCGGATCACAAGGTCAGGAGATCGAGACCATCCTGGCTAACATGGTGAAACCCCGTCTCTACTAAAAATACAAAAAATTAGCCGGGGGTGGTGGCGGGTGCTTGTAGTCCCAGCTGCTTGGGAGGCTGAGGCAGGAGAATGGTGTGAACCCAGGAGGCGGAGCTTGCAGTGAGCCAAGATTGCACTGCTGCACTCCATCCTGGGTGACAGAGCGAGATTCCGTCTCAAAACAAAGACAAAAACAGAAACAAACAAACAAAAAAAAGTGGGGAGAGGATTCAAAGAGACATTTCTTCTAAGAAGACATACACGTGGCCAATGAACACAGAAAAAGATGCCCACCAACATGTCATAAGGGAAACATGAATCAAAACCACAATGAAATATCACTTCATACTTACTAGGATGGCTATAATAAAACAGACAAAAAGAAATATCCATGCTTACATCTTCTCAGCTTAGGAACCCCAGGAGAAAGCAGCGGTTGGAGGATGTGGAGAAATTGGAACCCTTGTGTGTTGCTGGTAGGTAAAATGGTGCAGCTGCTGTAGAAAAAAGTGTGGCAGCTCCTCAAAAAGCTAAACGTAGAATTAACACAGGACCCAGCAATCCCATTTCTGGGTATATTCCCAAAAGAATTGAAAGCAAGGATTTGAGCACCAATATTTATAGCAGCATTATGTACAACAGCCAAAAAGCGGAAACAACCTAAATGTCCATGAATTGAGGGATAAACAAAATGTGGTATATCCATACAATATCCATGCAATATACAATGAAATATTATTCAGGCCAGGCACAGCGGCTCTTGCCTGTAATCCCAGCACTTTGGGAGGCCGAAGCAGGTGGATCACTTGAGGTCAGGTGTTCGAGACCAGACTGGCCAATAGGGTGAAACCCTGTGTCTACTAAAAATACAAATATTAGCTGGGCATGGTGGCACGCACCTGTAGTCCCAGCTACTCAGGAAGCTGAGGCAGGAGAATCACTTGAACTGGGGAGGACGAAGTTGCCGTGAGTAGAGATGGTGCCACTGCACTCCAGCCTGGGCAACAGAGCGAGACTCCGTCTCAAAAAACAAAAACAAAAACAAAACAATGAAATATTATTCAGCCACAAAACGAAGTACTGATACATGCTACGACATGGATGAACTTTGAAAAACACTTGCTAAGTAGAAACCAGACACAAAAGGCTACACATTGTATGATTCCATTTATACAAAATGTCCAGAATAGGAAGATTTATAGAGAAAGTATTAGATTAGTGGTTCTGGGGCTGGGGAGAAGGGGTAGTTAGGACTGATTGCCAATAGGTTTCTTTTTGGAGTGATGGAAGTGTCCCGGAATTAGATAGTGCTCATCACCCAGAGCGATTTGTGCCTCAGCGGGAGGAGGGGGCTACCTCCTTCTGCCATGGCCCCAGTTGGGAGGCGATGGGCGGACAGCCCACAGGGGACATAGTCGAGGAGACAAGGGAATATTGTAAGCGAGCAGGAGGGTTATAAGGCGGCGGAACTGGGTGAGGGAGACTTTCCTCTTCTTCAGAAGGAGGCAATACAGGAGGAGCCAAGCTGGCTGAGAGTCGAGGCGAAAGTGAGGTTTGGCTCAAAAGGACCTTGGAGGTAGAATTATGAATGGTTCATGAGCGGAGCCATGGAGGAGGGCTCCGGACCAAACTCAGCCATTGATCAATGTAGGGAAACCGATCGGGGTGACTGGGAGTTCCAGCAACTACCCGCCACACAGCCTGGACAATTGCGAGGTTCAGTGACCCTTCTGGGGGCCACCCGGCTCCAAACTTTGGCCATTCTACTTCACAGAGTGTCCGGAGTTTGCCTTTTTTAAGGTAGACCCCATAATCCTCTGAGAAGCCTAGAGAGAAATTTTGTAACATACATTGGAGAGGGCTCCAATCTTTACGAGGCCGGGAAGAAGAGTTTCTCATTCTAGAGGCAATTTAACAAGGTTTGAGAAGAAATATTAAACCCAGCACGGACAGAGAAATTTACAACCTGGGGGGCTGTAGTATCGGAAGAACAGAAGTATTATAACCAGAAGAAGCAGGAAAACAACTATAGTCCAACACTTCTTGCCACATAAGGACTGTCTCTTTAAGCTTTGAGATCTAGGGGGAGGACAAGAGGCAGGTCCGAGGTCAGTGGGACCAATGTGATCCCTCACTCCTCCTTGACCTATAGCCTAAATATTTTTGGTGTCTCCACGACTGGGAGGCAAAAAGTTCAAACTTGGCCTTTTCTTTTAAGGGTTTAAAAAGGGAGAGTAGAGCCAAATCTTGGGGGCGCTGGACTTGCTGTGACACAGGAAAACGAGATGTGCGGGGTAAGGGATGGGGATGTGGAGGAAAGGGGCCACTCGGATCTTCTGAGGCTGGGAGGAGCTGTGCCGGGCAGCGCTGGGTCCCCTGTGTCGCCAGGACGACTCTGTGGTCCCCCGCCCCGCCTCCAGGCCCCGTCAGGCACTGCAAGCCCGGCTCAGAAGCCCAGCCCGGGGCTAAGGTCACCACAGCAGGCCGGGCCCCTGCGTTCCGAGCCGGGTGTGGACGCGCTGGTGCTCAGGGATGTCAGGGGTTTTGACCCCTGAAGGCGCAGGAGTCAGGCGCCCGCGGGGGTCCCTGGGGGAGGGGGTCCTGCGCCGTCCCCTCCCACTCCTCGCCTGCAGGTCGGGGAGCCTCTGCCGAGGGAAAGGAGGCTGTTGTGTAAACTGGTGGAGGCGCGCCTGGCCCCTGGGCCCGGCAACCCGAAGAGACACGCCTGAGACCTCCTGTGTTAGAAAATCTGCACTCAGGACTTTGAAGAAGTCCTTGCCCAGTCGTCTTGGGCAATATCAACGACCAGACATAAGAAACTTAGACAGACACCAGACAGGACAATAGACACTAAACAAGACAATAGACACTGGGGTATATAAACAATTATGACAATTTTTATAGACAGACAAGGGGAGGGGGTCCCGTGATGGGATCAGTCAGATGCCCGCCTGGCTGCTCCCCCTGAGGGGACTTAGGCTCCTCTTCGCATTGGCAGACCGGTATAAACCCCCGGCTCAGATGGAGCTATGCCAGATGCTGCCTTAAGCCGTATGAGGTCGCCACGGAACAGTAGGTGAGGGCCCTCTCGAATTCCGTAGCTTTCACGGTGGAGCTACAAACTGGAAATTCAAGCGCAAGCCCTTGAACTCCACATACATGCACTGATTCACACAGAGTTTACAACAGGTTTTTTTTTTTAATTCCCGTTCTAAAACAGAGGTCTCCAGGAGACCTGAAAGAAGAAGAGATAGAGAAAGAGGGAGGGAGGGAGAGAGAGGAGAGAGAGAGAAAGAGAGAGAGCGAGAGAGAGAAGAGAGAGAGAGAGAGACAGACAGCCTAGACTTAACGGAGAGGCTGGCCTGCCAGAAACCAGGACTCAGTCCTCCAGCGTCCTAGAATATGGACAGAGTCACGGGAGGGCCCTCGTCAGGGCTGCTTCCCTCTCAGAGAGACACAGAGGCGCCTAACAGAAAACCAGGACTCCGTCCTCCAGCGTCCTGGAATGCGAGCAGAGTCAAAAAGGGACGGCCTTCATCAGAGCCACTTCCCTCCCAGAGAAACAGAGTCAGATCTGACTTACCTTCCCGGGACTAGAAACTGAGGACTTAGGAGTTGAATTTTTTGTGGGCACACACCGGTGGTCGATCCGTTCCCCTCCGGAAGATAGGGTCTTATGGGGCCCTGGAACGTCTTCAGGTGGCGCCTCCCCTGTAAGTCCGCCGTCTGTCCGGGGGAGCCTGGAACGAGTCGGGCTCTCACCCAGGGGCGAATTTCTCGCTGGGGCCTCCAAATGTTGTAACCAAGCGAGTTATAGAGAAACACCACATTTTGAAACTAATTCAGGAGTCTTTTATTACATGGCGACCGAGAGATGGCTAGAGCTCAAAATTCTCTCGGCCCCGAAGAAGGGGCTAGATTTTCTTTTACACTTTGGTTTAGAGAGGGGACGGGGAGCCTAGCTGTAGCAATCTTACAGAAGTAAAACAGGCAAAAAAAAAAAAAAAAAAAAAAAAAAAAGTTAAAAAGACAAATGGTTACAGGAAAACAAACAGTTCCAGGTGCAGGGGTTTTAAATTCATCACAAGCTGATAGGTGCGGGGGCTCTGGGTGCTATCTGCTGGACACAAATGCAGGGGCTTTAGGGTACCATCACCTGGGCGAATTCCTGGGAATCGCGGACATAGCTTGCCACAGTACCTTATCAGTTAATTGCACTCTTTGATATGCTGAGAGTCAGCTTGCACAAGTCCTTGAGGAAGGGGGTGGGTAAGGAGCCCTTGATGTCTTGCAAAGGAAGGAGCCAAATGGAGTCCATCTCGCTTTCTCAGCTAAGAGAGAGTCAATCAACTTAATACAAGTTACGGTATCACAAGAACATTTGAAATTTACTCTTCAAATGATGTACATTTGAAATGTACAATCATATACTATTGTATTAGGCCATTCTCAAATTACTATAAAGGAATACCTGAGACTGGATAATTTATAAAGAAAACAGGTTTAATTGGCTCATGGTTCTGTAGGCTGTGCAAGCATGGTACCTGGCATCTGCTTGGCTTCTGGGGAGGCCTCAGGAAGCTTTTATTCATGGTGGAAGGCAGAGCACTTAATACTGGTGAAAGCCAGAGAAATAGAGAGGTGGGGGAGGTGCCACACACTTTCAGTCAACCAGATCTCTAGACTCACTATTGTGAGGACAGCATCAATCCGTGAAAGATCCACCCCATGATCCAATCACTTCCCACCAGGCCCCATCTCCAGCACTGGGGATTACAATTCAACCTGAGATTTATATGGGCACAAATATCCAAACTCTATCAACTATTATTAACTATATTCACCATGCTGTGCAATAGATCTCAAAACAAACAAACAAACAAACAAACAAACAAACGTATTCCTCCTGAGGTCTTGTACCCTTTGACCATCATTTTCCCTATTCCCCTCAGCCCTCAGCCTCTGGTAACCACCATTCTACTTTGTTTCTATGGATTCAATTGTTTTAGATTCTACATGCAAGTGGTAACGTGGTATTAGTCTGTGCCTGGCTTATTTCACTTAGCATAATGTTCTCCAGCTCCATCCATGTTGTTGCAAATAACAGAATTTCTTTCTTTTTCAAGGCTGAATAGTATTCCATCATTTATAAATACATTTTCTTTATTTTTTCATCCATTGATGGGGTAGACTCCAACTTGTATGCGGAATGTTAGCTGCATGGGAGTCTGGGAAATAGTTTTTATCTTTGCAGCCTCTGCAGTATGAGGAAGTGTTTGGAATGGATGTTGAAAGTCAGTTCACCATGTCTACACAGTCTATCTTTTTGGACTTTTAGGGACCTAAATCCGCTCCTTAAAATAAGAGACCCCAAATCCCATCAGTCACATAGCTAGCTGATCCACCCTGGGTGATTATCATTCTAGTTCAGTTACAATTCTACCATAACAGCATATAATCTAAACACTAAATTAACAAGTTACCAACAGTAATACATTTCATTATACTAGGGAAAATATGGGAGGGGAAAATGAGTTAATATCTATAAATTAACACAATAGAGCAAGGAAGAAAATATGAAATGCTAATATAGTGCCCGTTTCTCAGCTTTTCATGAGTTAGTTGTTTCTATTTATATATATTTCTTTCTCCACCATCCAGTCCATGATCCTTCTTCCTCAGCCAGTATATGAACTGGATTAAGTTCTTTATCTGGTGGGGTGACCCAAATCACGGAGGTAGACATTCTCTTAATTTCCACAGGGATTATCTCCTATCCTTAGAACACATGTTTTACCAGGGCATTTGGATACCTGCTACTTCTTGCTTGCAAGATTCCAGACATGTAGAACAATGTTCTGGGAGATGTGAGATGATTAAAGTGCCTGCAGATTAGACTGCAACAGAGCTGCAAGGGTGATATAACCCAGATGCAGGACAGTGTAATGTACTGTTGACCCTGACAGGTGAAAGTAATCTGTTTTTGATGTTTTCTGCTATTTGGGCTAGAGAAAAAAGCATATTCCAGGTCAGTACTCATATTCAGTTGCACGACTGTAGGGGCCGGGGCAGGTGTTGATTTGCTTCATAAAGAGATTATATCTAAAATAACAGCTAAAAATCAAGTCCTGCATAGGCCAAACAAGTAAATTAAATGTGGATATGATAGGAGCCATCATTCCTGAAATTTCTGTCTTTGATGCGGACACTAATATCCATCATTCCCTTAGGGATGCACTATCGCTTTTGGTTTATGTTTTTGGTGGGAAAGGGCAATTTCAAGGGTTCCCTTTGCTCTTCTTACCACAACAGCTTTCACTCCATGAGTCACTCAATGTGCAGATTCTACCAGTCGCCGAGTGCGTCTACTACAACTGTGCCTAAAGGAACTGGTAATGAGTACGTGAGATCGATGCAGGCCAGAACTCCTTTTTATCACCTGACCCCCGTATATTAGTTTGCTAGGGCTCCCATAACAAAGTACCATAAACTGGGTGACTTAAGTAACAGAAATTTATTGTCTCACAGTTCAGGAAGCTAGAAGTCCTAGATTTTGGCAGAATTGGTTCCTTCCGCGGGCTGTGGGGGAGGATCTGTTCCTTGCCGCTCCCAGCTTCTGATGGTTTGCTGGCAATCCTTGGTGTCCCTTGGCCTCTGCTGCATCACCCCAGTCTCTGCCTTCATCTTCACATGGTACTTAGCCTATGTGCATGTCTTTGTGTTCAGATTTCCCCTTTTTATATGTACAACAATCGAATTAGGGGGCCACCCTATGCCAATAAGACCTCATCTTAATTATATCTGCAACAACCTCATTTTCCAAATAAGGGCACATTTTGAGGTACTAGGGGCTAGGACTTCAACATATGATTTTTGGTGGAAGGGACACAATTCGACCCATAACACCATGGAAGCCTCTATTCTAACTAGTGGACCACAAAGGCTTTTTAGGTCTCAGCATTTGTGCTGGCTTAGGGCCAGTTTCCAAGTAATCCCTAAAGGCCTGGGCATTTCCATTTCCCTAAGCACACATGCATAGTTACATGGCTTAAGATCCCTTTGGGGAAAACGAGAAGATTTATGATATAGTTATGGTGGTATTGCTGGGTGCTTCCTCCAGAGTACCCTGCACCCCCTTTTTCAAGGGCTTCAGCTCTGAGAATTGTCTGTAAATCTCCATTTTGGTGACTCAAAACAGGCCTCTATTTGCCAGACCTGAAGATTTGTTTTGCGTTCTATAAGCCAAATAGAACCTTGGTAGGTAACCCATGTATTTCATCACTACAGCTCTGTTGCCTTGGTACTACCCCTTGGCCACTGGCACTGCAGGATCCCATCATCTCTACTGATATCAGGGATTCCTTTACAATGGTAACATCTCTTAGCTTCATTTCCAGCCTAGGGAAGGTACACACTACAAACTTTTCAAGATAAGGTGTTTCCCTTGTTTAAAGTACTTTTCAATTCCTTGCTGAAAGAAATAACCTCTTGGCAATTTTGAAGGGCAAAATTAGGAGGTAAGTAGGTCACACATATGATAAATCTACAAATCAATGTTTTTAGTATCATGTTTTTAAGTTATTATTTGAGACAGAGTCTTGCTCTGTCACCCAGGCTGGAGTGCAGTGGCATGATCTCAGCTCACTGCAACCTCTGCCTCCTGGGTTCAAGAGATTCTCATGCCTCAGCCTTCTGAGTAGCTGGGACTACAGATGCACACCACCATGCCCAGCTAGTTTTTGTATTTTTAGTAGAGACAGGGCTTCACCATATTGGCCAGGCTGGTCTGGAACTCCTGGCCTCAAGTGATCCATCCGCCTCGGCCTCCCAATGTTCCGGGATTACAGGTATGAGCCACCATGCCCGGCTGATTTTTTTTTTTTGAGATGGGGTCTAGCTCTGTTGCCCAGGCTGGAGTGCAGTGGCACGATCATAGTTCACTGCAGCCTCAAATCCCTGAGTTCAAGGAATCCTCCCACTTCAGCCTCCTGAGTAGCTGGAACTATACAGGCACACACCACCATGCCCAGCTAATTTTTTAACTTTTTGTAGAGATGGGGTCTCACTATATTGCCCAGGCTAGTTTCAAACTCCTGGCCTCAAGCAGTCCTCCCACCTCAGCCTCCCAGAGTGCTGGGATTACAAGCATCAGCCACAACACCTGGCCTTGATTCTTCTAATTCTACACTAAGGAATTTTTGCCATCTCTGTATAGGCCACTTTTAAGTCCAGGTTTCATCCAACAACCTGTTAAGAGCCATTCTTGGCCGGTCGCAGTGGCTCACGCCTGTAATCCCAGCACTTTGGGAGGCCAAGGTGGGCAGATCACTTGAGGTCGGGAGTTCAAGACCAGCCTGGCCAACATGGTGAAACCCCACCTCTAGTAAAAATACAAAAAGTAGCCAGGTGTGCTGGCATGAGCCTGTAATTCCAGCTACTTGGGAGGCTGAGGTGGGAGGATTGCTTGAACCTGGGAAGCAGAGGTTGCAGTGAGCCGAGATTGCGCCTCTGCACTCCAGCGTAGGCAACAGAGCAAGACTCTGTCTCCAAAAAAAAAAAAATTCTTAGCTGCTAAAGCCAATATGCTGAGTCCAGAACCTCTAGTACCCCCATATTGATAAATTCAATGCAAATGAAAATAAATGTATATTCCTATCTTCCTGGTCCAACATCTTTGGAATATACTCTACACATTTTCCCCTTGTTTCTGCTGATACAAATTAGCAAAGTCTTACAATTCTTCTGTAAGTCTCTCAGATCAGACTTTGGGTTTGCCTTCCAGAAGCATACTGGGATCTGACTCTAGTTAGAGCTGGTAGCAAGGAGGGGTAGGGGGTGGGACACGAGAAGTATTAGTATTCCCCTTTAAGACAACTACCCCAGGGTCTTCAAGCAGCAGAACCAGCCATATCTATAAGGGGAAGAATGGCTGCTTCTGCTGGTTAAAAGAAGTAGAGTTTGTGAGTTGACAGCACTAGGATTTATCCAAATCCACTCAAGGGTCCCCATTGCTCATTTCAGAGCCCCATTTTCACATAAGAGGCCTGGTAAAGCTACGAATTCAACTTATGTTGTATGTAATTCAGTGATCCAGAATCTCCCTTTGATTTTGATGTACATGAGCCTTGCGGCTACAAAAGATAAAATTCTTTTGGGTCTCTCCCATACTATGCCTTGAGCTGCAAATGTCAAACTTTTGAGCTTTTTGTCTTTTTCCTTTAACCCCTCTAGTGTAGTCACCATCATTTGTCCCCATTTCTTACATGATGATCTATCATGGCAGCCCTTTGAGGTGCCAACGTCTTTTCTCCAAAAGACATTTCATTTCAGGTGACCACAGGTGTAAGCAATTTGCCTACCAGTTTATCATTTTCCAATGGTGACTAGATCTACATTTCATTCAAATGCAGCTTAGTCATAACTAATCTAAGAAGCCCATCTTTGAGGGCCTGTTACTAGTAACCACTTTTGGAACCAAATACTATATTAGCCAGGATTCAGTAACTGCAGGAAACAATACTCCTCTACCAATTTTAAGTGGAAAAGGATTCAACACAGGTAAATTAGGTGCTTACAAAAGCACTGGAAAGCCTGGGGAACATGGCCATAGGCTGGGCCTCCAGGCGATTCCCAGACCTGGAATTAGCCTTCCATGTGAGCTGCTACCTCTGCCACCATAGGGGAGATGAGCAATTAGGAGGCCACTACAGGTTGACTACAAGAAAACATATCGCAAACTGCTATCTATGGATCCAGACACCCTTCAACACCCACAAAGCTACTGATGGCTATTAGAATGCAGTTAAAGAGAAACCTAAGGTCTCTACATCTTGCAGGAGCAATAGCCAAAGTAGCTAAAGATAACCCCTGAATCACTCCTCCTTCCACATCTTGTTTGTGCATCTAACTGGCAAAACTTGACCTTAGGTTACATTCAGAACCTTGGTTTCAAGGAAATCTAAGACATGAAGTTTTTAGTTTTCCAGCCTCTGCAGCATACGAAGGTACATTAGGTGAGCATAAATGAGTATTCATTTACCATATCCACAAGCTTCTTCACATTGGCCTGTCCAAGTAGTACTAGTGATCAGACATGCCCCTCCCAGTTTCAACCTTTTTGAAAGCTGGCCGCAAGCACTGCATCTGTCTGGCGCTGAAGATTACCTCCTCCTGGCCCAAAGAAATCTAAAATTTCCTTGTCTTCAGAGTTGTTTGGCTAATCTACACAATCTTGCTCCAGCTGTCTTTGACCTAATCCACTACTCTCCCCACCTTGGTCCACTTTGTTCCAGCCATATAGGCCTCTATACTATGCTTTTTTGGAAACAGACTAAGGATGCTCTACCAAAGGGCCTTTGTAGTTTATTCCTCATGTCTGGTATGTGCTTCCCCTAGATATTCACATAGTTCTCTTCCTTGCTCCATTAAAGTCTCTAATAAAATGGAACCTTATCAAGGAGGACCAACCTGGTCATGTCAAGTAGCACTATCTACCACTCTGTCTTCCCTGTTTTTCTTCACAGATTACTTATCCTCACTCCAGGTTATATATCTGATTGCCTTCCCCCGTTAAGAGTCTAAGTTCCATGGGGACAGGAACTTTGTATTTTAGTCATTGCTACATCTTATACCTGAAATGCGGTAGGTATTTCAGAATGAATGAAGGCTGTATGAAGAGGAAATTAAACTTTCTCCATTTTCTAAGCTATTATTATTATTTTTTTTTTTTTGTGAGACGGAGTCTCGCTCTGTTGCCCAGGCTGGAGTGCAGTGGCGCAATCTCAGCTCACTGCAAGCTTTGCCTCCCGGGTTCACGCCATTCTCCTGCCTCAGCCTCTCGAGTTGCTGGGACTACAGGCGCCCACCACTACGCCCGGCTAATTTTGTGTATTTTTAGTAGAGACGGGGTTTCACCCGTGTTAGCCAGGATGGTCTCGATCTCCCGACCTTGTGAGCCGCCCGCCTCAGCCTCCCAAAGTGCTGGGATTACAGGCATGAGCCACCACGCCCGGCCAAGCTATTGTAACTTTTCTAATGCATTATTTGTGTTCGCCTCTAGGTGGTGATGATGGGCCTTTTCATCTACTAAAGTGTCGCTAAGGATTAGAATAAATTTAAATTTTTCATAGCCTCTGGCCTAGAGGTCTAGGCTTCCTTTCTTATATGATATCTAAAATCTCCTTTAACTCATTTCTTCTTCTTCCTGCAGGAGGAAAAAACATGGGCCTTTACCAAAAACATTTTCAGTATACCATCTCAGTCTTCACAACCCCTTAACTAGGATCATCATCTCCATTTTGGCTAAGTGAAAACAGACTCAGAGTAAACTGCCCAAATCTCACAGCTGTAGTAAGTGGAACCCAGATAAGAAATATAGGTTTAGCCATAAACTACTGCCCCTCCAACAGACTTCTTTGATTTTATCAAAGAAGTGAATTGTTCTCTCGAGGCTTCAAGAGAATTCCAAGTTTTGAGTTGATAATTTGCGTTTCAGAGATCTCCAGGCTGTCTGCCTCTTTTTCCAACAAGTTCTCTTTTTCACACAAGTACACGCCCCCTTCAGGGAACATTCTTCCAGAAATCCAAAGTCCACTAACAGCATTTCCTGTCCTAGGTGCAGGGAAATGTGTGAAGTCTGGCTGCAGTGCCCAAGAGATAAGAATCTTCTAAGCTGGCTGTTGTCCAGACTTGCCATCCTCATTGTAGTAAAACACTGGCCAGGAAGACAAAAGTGCATCTGTGAAAGGAAACAGAAAGTCATCTGGTCTTCAGGGAAAGGAGGATTTCAATTTTTCCTCTGGGCCCAGGACTAAGGTGAGAGAGGTCTGACACTGGAAGCTCTTTAAATGCAATCTGAGGGCCGGGCGAGGTGGCTCATGCCTGTAATCCCAGCACTTTAGGAGGCTGAGGTGGGGGGAATCACTTGAGTCAGGAGTTCTAGACCAGCCTGGCCAAAATGGCAAAACCCCATCTCTACTAAAAATACAAAAATTAGCCGGGTGTGGTGGCATGCACCTGTAATCCCAGCTACTTGGGAGTCTGAGACTTGAGAATCACTTGAACCCGGGAGGCTGAGGTTGCAGTGTGCCAAAATCATGCCACTGCACTCCAGTCTGGGGGACAGAGCCAGACTCCGTCTCTAAATACATAAATAAGATCTGAAAGTTGGGGAAGTTAGGGGCATGAAACTGACTCATACAAAGTAAGTCACTCTAAGATTTGGAATCTGACATCAGGTTTCACGAGTCTTCTAATTTTCTTGCTATACTGTATATAAGCTTTCACTTCTAAGGACATTATTTTATTTTGTCAGACGGAGTCTCACTCTGTCACCCAGGCTGGAGTGCAAAGGCGCGATCTCGGCTCACTGCAACATCCGCCTCCCGAGTTCAAGTGATTCTCCTGCCTCAGCCTCCCGAGTAGCTGGACTACAGGTGTGCGCCACCACGCCCAGCTAATTTTTGTATTTTTAGTAGAGACGGGGTTTCACCATGTTGGCCAGGATGGTCTTGATCTCCTGACCTCGTGATTCACCCGCCTTGGCCTCCCAAAGTGCTGGGATTGCAGGTGTGAACCACTGCGCCCAGCCCATTATTTTATTTTTTATTTTATTTTTGAGATGGAGTCTCCCTCTGCCTCCCAGGCTGCAGTGCAGTGGGTGATGTCAGCTCACTGCAACCAGCACCTCCCAGGTTCAAGCGATTCTCCTGCCTCAGCCTCCCGAGTAGCTGGAATTACAGACACATGCCACCAGGCCTGGCTAACTTCTGTATTTTTAGTAGAAACGGGGGTTTCACCATGTTGGCCAGGCTGGTCTCGAACTCCTGACCTCAGGTGATCCACCTGCCTCAGCCTCCCAAAGTGCTGGGATTACAGGCGTGAGCCACTGTGCCCGGCCAGGACATTATTTTACACAGAGGCAAAACTCCAAGTAGTACAAACTTAGCTCAATTTTGACAAATTTGTAAGATCAGATAAATATGTTCAGAGATTTTGAGGGCATACCCCCTCCTTTCATTACAAATCTCAGATTTTAGTCCCTTTTATTTAAACCAGATTAGCAAAACTGAGAAAGTTTATCAGAACACGGAGTGGTATACCTGAGAACACAGCAAACACCTATGTCATTGCTTTGTGATTATGCGCATCAGTGTATTTCTTCCTCCAATAACAGAATATTCTGTTCTCCAACTTGTAACCATGCAACATTCACTGAGAACTCTTTTTTTTTTGAGACAGGGTCTCTGCCACCCAGTCTGGAGTTGCAGTGATGTCGGCTCCCTGCAACCTCTGCCTCCCCAGGCTCAAGCGCTTCTCCTGCCACAGCCCCCTGAGTAGCTGGGATTACAGGCGTGCGCAACTACCGCCTGGCTAATTTTTGTACTTTTAATAGAGGCGTGGTTTCACCATGTTGGCCAGGTGGGTCTCAAACAGCTGGCCTCAAATGATCCACCTGCCTCGGCCTCCCAAAGTGCTGGGATTACAGGCGTGAGCCACCATGCCTGACCACTGAGAATTCTCTTAAGAGCTACCTGGGACTGCCACTCCTTCTCTCCTCTGAAGCATATGACTACTAGTGACTATAATGCAGAAAAGGGCAAAGTTTTAAGAGTAAATTGCACAGTTGCTTCTAGAGGGCAAACAAAGTTAGTTTTAATCTACTGCTTCCCTATTCAGCTGACTCAGCTAATAATTCTTCAGCCTGACTACAAAGTCCAAAACAAGCCTAGCTTTGCTTCCTGTCATGCTAGGAGTCATAGGTTTATAGATGACTACTGCGGTTGGATTTGAATACAATCCTTCTTCCCTTGGATTAGAAAAATTCAGGTCTAGAGACTGTCAAAGATGGTGCTTTGTTTCAAACACTTGGCTCTGTGGGACTATCCAAGCCAAGGAAAATGAGGTAAGTTGAATTATGACAGAAATCTTTATTAAAATGTGTCTTTCAGTAATATGTTTAGCATTCAATATACACACATACATATGTACACTCTTTGACACACCTCATGGATTGCTGCCATCAGTTTAACCAATAAATTAAAACTAAAAAGAGGGAGGGGAGGGGAGGGGAACTAACGGCAAACTTTTCATGTTTTATCTGGTAAGAAATTGTGAATTTCTCAGAATTTCCCTGGGCAAAAACCTGTGACCAGAGAATCTGTGAAATAAAATACATAAATCTCTACCCCTTGGAAAAAAAAAAAAAAAAATTCCAAAAGATGCAGTTACAAGTGTGCTTCTCAGAACAGGAGCATTCATTCCACTTCATACTCTGGCTTCTCCACCTTCTGGCTTCAAGACAGTTTGTCCCTCGGCTAGGGCAGAGAGGTTCATATGGGCACTTGGGCTCGGTGCACCTTGGGCTCTGGGGGTCGAGGGGCAGGCTGCAGTATGGGAGCGGGGGGAGCCACACTCATCTGAGGTGATGTCTGGCACATCGTCTGACTGTGCATCAGAACTCTCTAGGTCACTGCGGATGCTTTCAGGCTGGGCCAGGCTGATGTCCCAAGGTTTGCTGGCCAGGCAGTCTTTCTGTTCACAGCTTTGGTGTCTGCAGGGGGGATCCTCTTCACTGCCTCCGCCACCACTACCTTCTTCTTCATTCTCTGCCATCTGAGCATGAACATGGAGCGAGTCCTCCGTGCTGCTTCCACTCACCAGCTGATAGTGGCTTGGTTTGGCTTCAATGTCCACTTGGATTTCCATATTGTTGCATTCTCTGTGGAGACAAAATCCACTTTGCTGAGTCATGCATGGATCATGCTAAACCTGTTGGTAAAAGCAGTTCATGGGTTCAGGATTAGGAATTTCAAAAAGATAGGTGAACAGTTAACTAGAGCTCACTTTTAACAAAAATAACATTTTAATCTAACACTCAAATGAGATGGAGGCTGGACGTGGTGGCTCATGCCTATAACCCCAGCGCTTTGGGAGGTCGAGGTGTGAGGACTGCCTGAGTCCAGGAGTTTGAGACCAGCCAGGGCAACAAAGTCAGACCCTGTTTCTAAAATAAAAAAAATTAGCTGGGCATGGAGGCACGTGCCTGTAGTCCCAGCTACTCGGGAGGCTGAGATGGGAAGATCACTTGAACCCAGGAGTTCAAGGCTGCAGTGAGTTATGATTGTGTCACTGCACTCCAGCCTGGTTGACAGAGCAAGACCCTGTCTCTAAAAAAACAAAAATAAAAATAAATGAGATGGAGAAGAGTAATTAGATCCTTTTTGCTGATTTAACTATACATGCACACGTGTGCTCAGATGCACACACACGTGTATCTCAGCCAATCTCTTTAAACATACAGAAAGAGCTTCCAAAATTCAACTAAGGGTCAGAGCCCCATGCTAGCTTACTCAAAATAGAAAAGTAAAAGCTTTTTACTACCATGCCACAAGTAGAAGAAGCCAGAATACCTACTAGTGGGAGTACCACAATCACACCATCCCAGATACACCAGTTTCTCAAAATGAAAGAGAAAGAAGCTATGGGAATCCTATCAAGCAAAGGGCAAGCAGAAACCCTAGACTTGAAGACATCAATGAACATCAATCTAGCTCTTTAAGTTCCATGTAATTATACACTGTTGCAATAGCCAAGAAAGACAAAAAAAAAAAAAAAAAAAAGAAAAAATACATAAAAGGAAGAAAGAAAAGAAATCTCTAAAAATCAAGCGCTAACAAGAAGAATCAAGAGATGCCAAACACTCAAGTACCAAGAACTTGCTCAAATGAATTCACAGGTTACACTATATATCCCAGGAGATGGTACATACAGCCCTAACATGAGGCATTGAACTTCTGAAGACCTAGTACCCAACGAAAAAATGCAACCTCTCCTGGACATCTGACTGTTCACATACCTGTCCTGTGGGTTGTAGGAACTGATTATGGAACCGGCCATAGCACGAGTGCTTGCGTTGTCACTAATTGCACCAAGACTGGCTGTGTCTTTGGGGAAAATTTCCTTTTGGACATCGGCTTGAACTTCTAACCTGTGTAAAGAGGGGACGTTCAAGTTAATATGAGACCTGGGTATTCCAAGACAGTCTGCTTCCTGGCACACATCTCTTCCATTACTCTCTTGCAAATTGTGGTTGTCTGTCTGATCTTCTCCAACTGTCAAACAGCGCAAATAGATGCCCATACATTTTTTCTCTTAAATATCTATTGAAATCGTCCCCTCCTTTCTATCCCCACAGCTACTGCTGAACTTCAGGTTTTCATCATCTCCTGCCTGGATGACTAAAACTGGGCTCCCTCTCCAGTAGCCCTTAAGTCCAAGTCAAACAACCTCTAGAACAGTGCCAGTGTGAATAAAGACCCAATCACTCTAACAATTCTCTAACTCTTGGCTCCCTACTGCCAACAGGCATTAAGGTCTTCCTGATCTGCCAGGAAGCTCTCTGTCCAGTTCTATCACTCCCTATAGATCCGAAATCATAGTCACTCTGAATTCTTTCTTTCTTTAAATACCTATACATTTTATACTTCCATGACTTTGCACATGCTATTCTGTCTCTCTAGAAATTTCCTTTCTCTACCAGACAAACTTATACTCAGTCCTTAACAACAAAGGAACTATCACTTCCCCTCATTATCCCAGCAAACCATTCACTTCTTGCTAAGTACTCCCACAGCACCTGCCTACTTATTTATTATTATTTGTTTTTAGAGGGAGTCTCACTCTGTCACCCAGGCTGGAGTGCAGTGGCACGATCTTGGCTCACTGCAACTTCTGCCTCCCAGGTTCAAGCGATTCTCCTGCCTCAGCCTCCCAAGTAGCTGGGATTATGGGTTCCCACCACCACACCCAGCTAATTTTTGTATTTTTAGTAGAGATGGGGTTTTACCATGTTGGCCAGGCTGGTCTTGAACTCTAAACCTCAGGTGATCACCCACCTAAAAAAGGTGCTGGGATTACAGGCGTGCGCAGGCCCTGCCTACTTATTATTATGCATCTCTCACTTGTCTGTTAACTCCACAAAAGGAGAGACCACAACTCATACACACTTTACCTTCCCTGCCTTGCACATAATAGGAAATCAAACATTTAACAATCAAATTACCTCCAGGGAATGAGACTGAAGGACATACAGGAGCCAACCTCTTCCCTCCTCTTGGAGCAGCAAACTTTCCCAATAGTGTCTCAGAGCCCATAACTATTGCCTTTCTTGGCTCCAACATCACTTTGTTGCACAGTTAAGTATTTCCTTATAATGGGTTTCACAGTCAAACCCATCTGACTCATTCACTTCCTATAAAATAAAGGCTTTCACAGAACTAGAACAGCTGGACTGGCTAAGCTGCAGTTTCAGCAAGTCAGTCTCCAATTATGTCTGTCTGCTTATTTACAGGGGTGTTGGTTTTAAGAAAGCACAGCAGTGAATATGCCAGCATGTGGGGGCGGGATCCCCTGATAAGAGACAACCAGAGTCATGAGATGCACAGACGGGTCAGTAGCAGCCTGCAGCTGCACATTCAAGCAGCTTCCATCCTACTGCCTGAGCCTTTGCTTTGCTGCTCCAGCTTCAGGTGCCCTTCAAAAATGTGCCAAGGCCCAGGGAAATGAGGGAATGCAATGGAAAGTGCACAGTGTCAGAGACCTGGCTTCTAGTTTCAGGTCTGCCACAGAATCACTCTGAGTTGGAAGAGTCTTTCAGAAAGGGCTCCTACTTAGGTGGTTGTCAGATGCTGGTTCATGCAACGGCTGTGCTAGAATTACCTGGGGAGCTTTTGCAAAACACGGATCACCCCCTAGGTGCCACTCCAGGAAATTCTAAGCTACTCATTCTGGGATGGGTCCCTGAAGTCTATTTTTAAGAGGCTCCCAAGTGATTGACAGGCACTCAGGTGGGAGATCCAGTCCACCTGCCATCTGTTGCTTGAATCCTTCTTATAGCCAAATAGCCATCTGGTCTCATTGTAAACATTTCCAGGGATAGGCAGCTCAGTATCTACTAAAGTAGCCTTTTTCCTCTTTGGGCTTTCATGTTGCTTTTCCCTATATTCTCTATACTGAACCAAAATTAGTTTCCCTTTAGCTTCTGCCAAGTCATCTTAATCTACCTTTTGGTATGAGGCATAGAAGTCTAATCCTTTTCACAGTTGAAGGTCCTTTGGATAGCTGAAGGCAACCATCTCCTCTACCTTCCTATCCTGCTTTGTTCTACCTTTACCCCTCCCTAGGCCTTTCTTCTCCGTTGCATTCAACTGCTTCTCAGGCAACATGTTATGCTCCTCTGAAAATATACACTCTGGTCTGCCTAACTAGTGAAATGACCAAGCAAGTCACAATCTTTTTAGTTACAAAGCTTTACATATTTTCAACACAAGTACATAGAATTGATTTTCCTTATCTAGCAAATGGAAATAGAAAGGTAATAAGGATTGCAGTATCACTAAACCAGCTGGGGGCAATGGTTCATGCCTATAATCCTAGCACGTTGGGAGCCAAGTTGGGAGGATGGCTTCAGGCCAGGAGTTTAAGACCAGCCTGGGTAACCGAGCAAGACCCCATCTCTACAAAAAATTTAAAATGTTAGCTGGGTGTGGTGTGTGCACTTGTAGTCCTAGCTACTCAGGAGGCTGAGGTGGTAGGATTGCCTGAGTCCAGGAAGTTGAGGCTGCAGTGAGCCATGATTGTGCCACTGCATTCCAGCCTGGATGACACAGTGAGAAAAAAAACAAAAAAAAATCCCCAAAGCCCACTATCAATAAACCATGATGGGCTGGGTGTGGTGGTTCATGCTTGTAATCCCAGCACTTTGGGAGGCTGAGGCGGGTGGATCACAAGGTCAGGAGCTTGAGACCAGCCTGGCCAACATGAAACCCTGTCTCTACTGAAAATACAAAAATTAGCCAGGCATGGTGGTGCACGCCTGTAGTCCCAGCCTCTTGGGAGGCTGAGGCAGGACAATCACTAGAACCCAGGAGGTGGAGGCTGCAGCGAGCCAAGATTGCACCATTGCACTCCAGCCTGGGCGACAGAGCAAGACTCCGTCTCAAAAAAATAAAATAAAATAAATAAGCCATGATACAGCATAAATGCTACTGAAAGCCAATGACAAGCCTAACGGAGAGCATTTTACGAATTCTATAAAAATGCCTACTCTCCCTTCCTGAAGCAGGCAGCCTCAGGCAGTCAAGGGGGAATCTCAAGTCAGGATTATTCTTTATATAGAGGCAGCTATGGTGCAATGGAAAGAACAATGAACTTTGCATAACTGACGTAACCTTTTTTTCTAAGCTTGTTTCCTATTTGTAAAAGTAAAAAAAAAAAGGCCTGTCGCAGTGACTCATGCCTGTAATCCCAACGGTTTGGGAGGCCAAGGCGGGCGGATCACGAGGTCAGGAGATTGAGACCATCCTAGCTAACATGGTGAAACTCCATCTCTACTAAAAATACAAAAAATTAGCTGGGCGTGGTGGCGGGTGCCTGTAATCCCAGCTACTCAGTAGGCTGAGGCAGGAGAATCGCTTGAACCCAGGAGGCGGAGCTTGCAGTGAGCCGAGATCACGCCATGGCACTCCAGCCTGAGCCACAGAGTGAGACTCTGTCTTTAAAAATAAAAAAGTAAAAACAAAACAAAACAAAACCATTGACAATTAAATCAAAATAAGATGATACGTGGCACAAGCCTGGCACAGAGAAATGGCTCAATGTGTTACTTCTTATAATTCTAACCATTTCTGTCAGAAATTATCTATTTGTTTACCTGCTATATTTTCCCTTGCCACTGGAGAGAATGCCGCCACTCAGCGTGCCCCCTGAGAGGGCTGCAAAGCTGGCCGTTTCGCTGTAAGGACCTTGCATAACACTAAGTCCATCTGTAGGGCTTCCACTAGTGCTCAATACACTAGTCAGGCCTTCAATGCTGCTTTCCCCAATGCTGGGATTCTTGAGGGCTCTCCAGGCATCTGCCACTGGGGATAGAACCAAACATCCAATTCAAGACAGCAGAGCATCAAAACAGTCAGTAGGCATTTTCCTGCAATGACTTTTCAGAGAACTAATGTATTTACTTAATGAACAGGTACTGTGTGCAGTCGCCACATATCAGGTGTTTTAACATATGTTCATATTTAATCCTCCAAATAACTAGGCATTAATAGCCTCAATTTTAGATGAGAAAACTAAAATTTAAAACTAAATGACTTGTCCAAGGCCATGGTAGTTACATGAAACTATAACTCTGATTCCAAGGCCACTATTCTTTCCACTACACTGTTGCTTCCATGTAACCAAACGTGAAGATTTAAAAAATATGTTTGGGTCATGTGCTGATTTTAATAGGAAGCTTCTAGTAGAAAGCTAGAAAAACCGGCCGGGCGCGGTGGCTCACGCCTGTACTTCCAGCACTTTGGGAGGCCGAGGCGGGCGGATCACGAGGTCAGGAGATGGAGACCATCCTGGCTAACACGGTGAAACCCCATCTCTACTAAAAATACAAAAAATTTAGCCGGGCGTGGTGGCGGGTGCCTGTAGTCCCAGCTACTCGGGAGGCTGAGGCAGGAGAATGACGCGAACCCAGGAGCCGGAGCCTGCAGTGAGCCAGGACCATGCCACTGCACTCCAGCCTGGGCAACAGAGCAAGACTCCGTCTCAAAAAAAAAAAAAGAAAAGAAAAAAGGAAGCTAGAAAAACCTTTGGGGTTTTCTACGTTACTTGTGCCCTACGTTACTTACTACGAGTAGAAACCACATTAAAGTAAAAGTCAGAAGACTTGCCCTAGTCTCAGCTCTGTGAAGCTCTTAATAGATAGTAAGATGAAAGCTTAAAGAAATTCCCATTTAGGCCAGATGTGGTGGCTCACACCTGTAATCCCAGCACTTTGGGAGGCCAAGGTGGGCGGATCATGGGGTGAGGAGATCGAGATCTTCCTGGCTAACACGGTGAAACACCAAACCCCGTCTATACTAAAAAAAAAAAATTAGCCAGGCGTGGTGGCACGTTGCTGTAGTCCCAGCTACTCAGGAGGCTGAGGCAGGAGAATCACTTGAACCTGGGAGGCGGAGGTTGCAGTGAACCGAGATCGCGACATCGTACTCCAGCCTGGGTGACAGAGACTCCGTCTCAAAAAAAAAAAAAGAAATTCCCATTTAAATGGGGATAACAGCTCCATCCTCCCTCGTCAGAGAGCTGTTTGTTGTAAAAAGCAAGTGAGATAATTGTGTAAAATACTCTGAAAATTATCAAGTACTGTGCAGATATAAAGATGTTATTATAATCACTACTACTACCAGCATACTTGGAGTTACTTGGATTCCTACTAGTTTGTACCTGCCACACAGAGGCAAGTACCAGGGGAATTAACCTAATAACTTTGGAACAAAGAAATGAAAAGCTAAAAATACTTTACCCCCTACAAAGCTCATTATCCAAAGTAATCCAATGACAATCTCCCTGTAAAATGCGCTGAATTTTACTGATTTTTATCTTGTATATCATAAATTCAAATGGAAATAAACATCCTGCTTTTTACCTGTGATTGGACCATCATCTTCATCAAATTCAATTTTCACTCCTTTTCCGTTGGCTGTGCTAACTCCACAGCCGCCTCCACGACAAAGAGAAATGGGCACAACCCCATAAACATATGCCAGCATAATGGGGACACCAATACCTGGGGGAAGAGAAGGAAACATGTCAGCTGGCTATTAGGTTGCAAGTGCCCTGAATTCTTCTTCCCAGTCTGGGCATGGACAAACCACTTTATAAAGAAAGGAAGACAGAAAGTGGCTATCCCAAAAAGGTGGCCTGGTGTAACAGAATGATGACCAGGCTAGAAATCAGAAAGGTCTGGATTAGATTCTTGGCTCCATTTACTAGCTGTATAACCTTGGACCTATCTTCCCAGGGTTGTCAATAATCAAATGAGAATGCTATGTACTGTGTTTTGCACAGTAAATATATGTTGCTTTCATTTTCCCCTCTTCTAATCACTGCTGAAATGCTAACCCAATCAAGAGCCAATCAAGAATCAAATATTAAATAAGTGACTACTGCTTGGAGTTTAGGATCTCCTCAGGATGTTAATTCCAAAATCTTACTGCTGTGTGAGGTAGAATGGCTTAGCTGTTAAGAGAACAGGATCTGAAGGCAGATTAACTTGATTCATGTCCCAGCTAAGTGACCTTGGGAAAATTACTGCACCTTTCTTTTTTTTTTTTGAGACGGAGTCTCACTCTGTTGCCCAGGCTGGAGTGCAGTGGCACGATCTCGGCTCACTGCAAGCTCCGCCTCCCAGGTTCACGCCATTCTCCTGCCTCAGCCTCCCAAGTAGCTGGGACTACAGGCACCCGCTACCACACCCGGCTGATTTTCTGTATTTTTAGTAGAGATGGGGTTTCACCGTGTTAGCCAGGATGGTCTCGATCTCCTGACCTCGTGATCCGCCCGCCTCGGCCTCCCAAAACACTGGAATTACAGGCGTGAGCCACTGCGCCCAGCCAATTACTGCACCTTTCTATTAAAATTGTGCTTCCTTTTGTAAGGATTGTGAGGATTAAATAAATTAATATATGCAAAAGTCTCAGAACCACTCCTGGCACATGAAGAGCCACATTAAATGTTAGTTACACTATTATTATTCTAAAACAAACTCTTATGCCTCCCAAAGTAATGTGAAGCATTAAACAAATCAAAACAAAAGTAATTTTGTTTTGTGGATTTCATGGCAAGTAGAGAAGGAAGATGAAAGGTGAAAACTAGGGCTTAAAATAAGTTTCTGTAATTCAACCTTTTCTATGTGCCAAATGGAGTTCTAGGCACTAACTTAAGAACAAAAGATTGCACACTCTGATAATTTGGTGTGCTTGAAAAACTTAAAAATAATCATAATCATGGTGCCTAACAGAATTTACTATCAAGGTGGGTTCGCATAAAATGTAGGAGTCTTTGAGAAACATCTGGCCATCTGGCTAAACTGCTATGGTCAGAAAGCTGAGAGAGAAGAGGTGTGGTCCTGACTAGCTTACCAACACTAACTGCAGCAATAACTGGGGATGCAATGACCGACAAAGTCACTCCTCCAGTGATAGCCAAATTCCTCTTGTGTTTGGAGGTTTTCCTTCCCTCATACCTGCTGTGAATCTAAGAATAAAAAAAGAAAATCCAGGTCAGCAGGTTAGGACATCAATCTTTTGCCAGAGAAAAAAAGGACAGGTGAATATTCACTTGTAAGTTATCTATATTAAAACATATCCTCTACCCCAAATAGGCATCTTTATCAAATTTTAACCTAACTCAGACCTGGAAGATATAAAGTAATACAGGCAAAGTTAATCCAAAAAGAGACAAAATAACTCCAGCAGAATGAAGTAAGCATTTTACCTTCTTCTTTTATTTTTTTTTTTGGAGTCTGTCATGCAGGCTGGAGTGCAGTGGTGCGATCTTGGCTCACTGCAACCTCTACGTCCCTGGGCTCAAGCAATCCTCCCACCTCAGCCTCCCTAGTAGCTGGGACTGTAGGCACATGCCACCATACCCAGCTAATTTTTCTATTTTTTTGGGTACAGATGGGTTTTGTCATGTTGCCCAGGCTGGTCTCAAACACCTGGGCTCAACTGATCTACCTGCCTTGGCTTCCCAAAGTGCTAGGCCACGTATTACAAATGTGAACCATCATGCCTGGCCCAGCATTCTACCTTTAAGTCACTGAGACAAGCCAGGCCCAGGATGTTAATAAGAACTTTCAGATCTCATGGGGGTTTATGAAAATCCATTTAAGAAAGTAAGGTTATTTTTATCTAAGAACCAGCTGGTTTTCAGGCAGCTCTGAAACATAGCTCCTTCCCATTTCCCTCAAACCTTTACTAACGAACCTAAAGTTGAAACAAGCACAGAAACCAGCATGTCTTTCTTACCTTCCTTCCAACATAAACAGGAATGCCAATGACCATGGCAGGAATGGCAATGCCAGCAATGAGAGAAATCCCCACTGGAGCACCAATCAACGTGCCCAGCTGCCAAAGAATTTTCTTCTTACGGCTCCATGGCTTCTTGCCCCAGAATGTACAGCCAGAGGGGCTGCAGGGGAAACAGACTGAAGTTAATGTCAACATTACAAATACAGCTAGTATTATCATAGGGCTTGATAACAGCAACAGCCTTCTTTTCAGTAAGGATTAACAGAAGAGTTTATGGGAAATGAATACATTACACAAGGGAGAGCAAAGGACAAGGCCAGACTATTAGAGCTCTGGGCTCTTTAACTTTTTTGGTTGTTGTTGTAAAGACAGGCTTCCAGACTTGAAATTCCTTTTCCATTCTTCTCTGCTGAATTCTGTCTTCCCTAACCCACCAAAACTGATCTAGCTTCCATGACTGACAATACTTGGGATGCTGCATAGCCTTATGCACTTGACATCCCATCCAGACACACTGCACCCTGCACTAATGAACACTCTGATTTGTGTAGTTTTCTTGGCATATGTCCTACCATACCTAATAGATACTGCAAACCATGTTCGTGGGAGAGGATATAAAAAGACCTCATCATAACCTTTCTATCAGTTTGGTATTCTGAGTTTGGCTACTTTTACAGTCAGCCCTTCTGTGCCCAACCATTTTTGCCCATTCTCTTTGTGCTATCTTCTCCACTAGAAGGGATAAACAATTTTGAAAATAGGGATCATGTCTTACTCACCCCTATGTCCCCAATGACTAGCACACAGTAAGTACTCAAATGTTCGACAAATTGGCAATGAAGGTGTTGTGTTTCATTTACACAATGAATGTTTGTTTGTAAATATTAACACATTTTGTTTATTTGTAAATATTAGCAAACATTTTGTTTGTAAATATTAACTCCTCCACAACATTTTAATATTCACTCAATGAGGCTGGGCGCGGTGGCTCGCGCTTGTAATCCCAGAACTTTGGGAGGCCGAGGCAGGCGGACCACCTGAGGTTCGAGTTCGAGACCAGGCTGGCTAACATGGTGAAACCCCGCCTCCACTAAAAATACAAAAATTAGCTGGGCATGGTGGCAGGTGCCTGTAATCCCAGCTACTTAGGAGGCTGAGGCAGGACAATCACTTGAACCTGGGAGGTGGAGGTTGCAGTGAGTCGAGATCGAGCCACTGCACTCCAGCCTGGGCGACAGAGAGAAACTCTGTCTTAAAAAAAAAAAAAAAAAGAATTCACTTAATGAATTCCTTGGGAACTCACTAAATGCAAAAAACTGTAAAAAGGTCACAACTCTAGCCTCAAGATACTTACAGTTTAGTAAGATAAGATAGGTACGTGAAGTGTAAAGTACTGACGATATTTATGACAAAAGATAAAAGAAAGTCAAAGAATGAGGCGGAAAAAGGAGAGGCAACATGGATGAAAGGCATTTAAGTGGCTCTTAAAAGATAAGAACTGAACAAGTTGAGATAAAAGGAGGATACTGGAAGGTAGGCAGAAAGCATTCTAGGCAAAGGAAAGAACATGAACAAGTATGGAGGCAAGACAGCAAAAGGGAAAAAGCAAGTCCAGACTACCTGTAATATGGCAAGCAAAGAAAGGTAGAAACAGAATAGTAGCTGGTGAAAACATGATTAGAGGAGCATGTCAGAAGAAGTTTTCACAGCTTCCTTAAACCTGTAATGAGAGAACGGATGTGTCTTTTTGACATCCTTTTCCCTAAATCAGTAAGAGAATGAGACTACGAAAGGAATGGATGCATTTCCCATCTTACCTGAGGTAATGCAAGTCTGAGATCTCTTTCATACAAAGCCAACAGAATTCACAGCCACACACTGCACAGGTCATGTGATTACAGCTTCCATCATTCATCTTGATAATGTATGCACTGCATCGTGGGCATGGCTTGATGTCATCTGCTATGAGTGGGGGAAGAATGGGTAGAAAAAATACCCCTAGTTAAATCCAGTTTGATTTAATTGTTCCTAGGAGTATATATAAGAAATGAGGCAGCAGTCAAGAACTCTTCACTGAACACTCCAAATTGTACAACCCACTTTACTGGAAGGTTGGCTATGTCTAGACCTCAGGAATTTTCATAAAATGAATCCTGTCTCTTATTGAGCTGCCTATCCCAACAACTGGCATCTTACACAGCACTTGAACCACATTCTAGCAAGGAGATTTCCTTAGGGAGAAAGATGTTTCCAAGAAAAATGAAATTTCTACCAGTCGATAGGCTGGTAGATTTAAAAGAAGAATCCTACAGAAAGAATAGCCTGCAGCCTGGAATTAGCTTTACATTTTTAAAAACTTTAGTTTGGGAAATTTATTTTTCAGGTTCAACATGTATCATTGTGATTTGCTGTTAACATAGCCCACAATCCCTTCCCATGATACTTTCAAATTCAAAACCTAAAAACAACTGGGTATGCTATCTACCATATACTTGGTAATTTTCAGAGCAAGTTATGAACTATCCTAATAAAATGACAATTTAGGAAATTATGCTGTGCCAGGAAAAAGTGAATGGCAAAATCTTTCCTACTAGCCTCTCCCAAATGACATCAGCAAAATAAAAGTACAAAGCAATAAATCCACTGACATTTTAAAATAGGTTTCCTCTGACTCGCCAAGGTTGGAGCTGAATGTGTGACATTCCTCCTTTTAAGGTTAATCATTAATCTATACTAATACTGTTTCCTTTTCTTCAATCTGTACTCTACTTCCAAAGGCAGTGAGGCACTTAAGTCAGCTTGAAGGCAAACAGCACAGGTTTAATACTAATTAAATGTCTTTCTGTTCACAATGAAAGTTTTGAAAAAGCCCCTAGCAAAACAAAATGAACTAATTGCTCTCCAATCTGAGACATATTACTAAGAAAGTAGGAACTACATAATTCAATTTTGTTGCATTTCAATTTTATATAGTTGGATAACCTATAATGGTCAGAGAGGGAAGTGCTATCTTTATTATAATATTGAAAGTATTATCAAATGATATTTTCTGCTCTCTGATCCTTTGGAGTACTTGGGTTATACAATAAGATAATTTCTTTCAGCTATGGGCTCACATCATGAAATACCAAATAAAGAGACAATGAGATAATGCCAACTTATACCTGGTCCAGATTCTTGCCCATAACTGAGACCTGAAGTGTGTTTGGTCCGAACTCGTAAAGTCTGGGCCCTCTGTTGACGGGCCATATCGCATGTCTGATTTGGATGCCATATCTGCTTGCAGTGGTAGCAGAACTCAGTCTGGCAACCTTCCCTCTCACAAGTTAGCTTCGGGCAGCTGGCACAGCCATAGGCAATAACAGCATAACTAGGTAAGGAAACAGTAAGAGATACCAGTAAGGTAAGAATGATCTAACCAAAAGAGACATTATTCATCAGAGTTAACAATGTTTGGCACTACCCCACTATCACATATGATACAGAGAAAAGAATACACATACACACATATACACACACAAGCACATTTGACCAACTGTAAAATATATCCCATGTGAGAAAGTAAACTTTTTTTTTTTGAGACAGTCTTGCTCTGTCACCCAGGCTGGATTGTGGAGTGCAGTGGTGTAATCTCGGCTTACTACAACCTCCACCTCCCAGGTTCAAGCAATTCTCCTGCCACAGACTCCCTAGTAGCTGGGATTACAGGTGCAAGCCACCACGCCTGGCTAATTTTTTTTGTATTTTTAGTAGAGATGGGGTTTCACCATGTTGGCCAGGCTGGTCTCAAACTCCTGACCTCAGGTGATCCACCCGCCTCGGCCTCCCAAAGTGCTGGGATTACAGGCGTGAGCCACCATGCCTGGCTATAAATTTCTTGAGATTCCAAAAACACAAATCATTTATTTACTTTAAAAAGTGGAGGTGGAGTATCTTATTTATCCTGGATTTCCAGCATTTATTCAATCATAGCTGAAGCTGCTTTAGGAGTAGTTTGTCATAATAAGTTTCATAAATAACAGGGTACAAAACTATTTCCTTTTGATAGTTTGCTATATTTAGAGAGATTAGTATTTGTTTATACGAAGGAAGAGGACATTAGTGAAATAAAGAGCTATGGCAAAAACTAAAGTTTATTTTTTAATTCCTTCTTTTTTTTTTTTGAGATGGGGTCTCACTGTCACCCAGGGTGGAATGCAGTGGCTCACTGCAACCTCCGCATACCAGGCTCAAGCAATCCTCTTGCCTCAGCCTCTAGAGTAGCTGGGACTACAGGTGCGCACCACCACACTTGGCTAATTTTTGTAATTTGCATAGAGATGGGGTTTCGCCCCATTGCCCAGGCTGGTCGCAAACTTCCGGGCTCAATCAATCAGCCTGCCTCAGCCTCCCAAAGTGCTGGAATTACAGGCATGAGCCACCATGCTACCTTTTCATTCTTTTTTTTTTTTTTTTGAGATGGAGTCTCGCTCTGTCGCCAGGCTGGAGTGCAGTGGCGCGACTCGGCTCACTGCAACCTCCGCCTCCCGGGTTCAAGCGATTCTCCTGCCTCAGCCTCCTTAGTAGCTGGGACTATAGGCATGCATCACCATGCGCAGCTAATTTTTGTATTTTTGTAGAGATAGGGTTTCACCATGTTGGCCAGGATGGTCTCGATCTCTTGACCTTATGATCCGCCCTCCTCGGCCTCCCAAAGTGCTGGGATTACAGGCGTGAGCCACTGCACTCAGCCTTTTTCATTTTTTTTCTTCAAGTAAAAATTGTTTTATTGTCATTAACATATTTAATATAAAAAGAAATGAAGCAAATGGCTCAGTGTTGTATTTTTTAAAAAATCCAGGTTTGTGCAGGTTACTCTATTTACATCTGGGAGCAGAGCTGTCCCCACGTCAGGCATAGCAGTTGCACTTCTCCAACGCCCCTTTGCAGATGCAGCCCTGGGCACACTTGGCACAGCCCACGGGGCAGCAGGAGCAGCAGCTCTTCTTGCAGGAGGTGCATTTGCACTCTTTGCACTTGCAGGAGCCGGCGCACATGCAGGAGCCACCAGTGGCACAGGAGCAGTTGGGGTCCATTTCGAGCAAAGGAGATGCTGGAGCTCCCACCGGTGAGGCCAACAAGCAGTCAGGCAGTTGGAAAGCATGCTGCCTTTTTCATTCTTAAGTTCCAGTTCCACAGTGAAGCTGGTCTGACCATAGTCACAGAGACAATAAACCCTAAAGACTTATGATCAGCATCCCTCTTGAAAGCTCATCTTATCTTTCCATACTTTTTCAATTCAAACCTATACCTTGAAATGTCTTGATAGGCTCCAGAATCCAAGAATACCAGGCCTCTATCTTATAAATTAAAATAGCATTAAGGCCATACCTCCCTTTCTCTCTTCTGACACATATTCTTTTTTTTTTTTTGAGACAGAGTCTCACTATATCGCCCAGGATGGAGCGCAGTGGCGTGATCTCGGCTCACTGCAATCTTCTCCCAAATTCAAGTGATTCTCCTGCCTCAGCCTCCCGAGTAGCTGGGATTACAGGCGCCCGCCACCACGCCCGGCTTTTTTTTTTTTTTTTTTTTAGTAGAGACAGGGCTTCACCATGTTGGCAAGACTGGTCTTCAACTCCTGACCTCTGGTGATTTGCCTGTCTTGGCTTCTCAAAGTGTTGGGATTACAGGTGTGAGCCACTGCACTCAGCTGTGACACATATTCTTCATGTAAAGATTCAGAATTTATCAGCACTAATGTCGACCATTTCTTGTAGTTCATGTTCATTTACCAAGAATTAGTCTCACACAAACAATCCAATATATTTATATAACTATTAGCCTTTCTGATTAATTCCAAATATGTCAATTAAGCGCTCAGATTACTCTAACAAGAAATATAATACTTGTATAAAATAACATTTTAGCCAGGTGAGATGGCTCATGCCTGTAATCTCAGCACTTTGGGAGGCTGAGGCAGGAAGATCGCTTGAGGCCAGCATTTTTAGACCAGCCTGGGCAACACAGCAAGACCTTTTCTCTTAAAAAAAAAAAAAAAAAAAAAAAAAAAAAACAGCCTGGCGTGGTGGCTCACACCTGTAATCCCAGCACTTTGGGACACTGAGGCAGGCAAGTCACAAGGTCAGGAGTTCGAGACCAGCCTGGCCAACATGGTGAAACGCTGTCTCTACTAAAAATACAAAAAATTAGCTGGGCATGGTGGCGGGCGCCTGTAATCCCAGCTACTCAGGAGGCTGAGGGAGGAGAATCGCTTGAACCCGGGAGGTGGAGGTTGCAGTGAGCAGAGATTGCGCCACCATGGGTGTCACTCCAGCCTGGGTGACAGTGTGAGACTCCATCTCAAAAAAAAAAAAAAATCAGCCAGGTATGGTGACACAGGCCTGCAGTCACAGCTACTTGGGAGGCTGAGGTGGGAGGACTGCTTGAGGCTGGGAGGTTGAGGCTCCAGTGAGCCACGTTTGCGCCACTGCACTCCAGCCTGGGTGACAGAGTGAGATTCTGTCTAAAAAAAATAATAAATAAATAAATGGAAAGTTATGAAAGTTAATCACACAATTTTTTTTTTTTTTTTTTTTTTGAAGACAAGGTCCCACTCTGTTGCCCAGCTTCTGGACAGTGGTGTGATGATAGCTCATTGCAACCTGAAACTCCTGGGCTCAAGTGATCCCACCTCAGGCCTCCAAGTACCAGTGCATACCACCATGCCCAGCTAACTTTTTCTTTTTTCTTTTTATTTTTTTTTTGTAGAGACAGGGTTGGTCTTGCTATGTTGCCCAGGCTGGTCTGGAACTTCTGTCTTCAAGCAACCCTCCCGCCTTAGCCTCCCAAAGCATTGGGATTACAGGCGTGAGCCACCAAGCTTGGTCTATGACACACATTTTTAAAAACATCAGTAATTGCAGGTTTCCGTGTTGCCATCTGCACTCTGTCCTCTATTCCAATACTCTCCCGCAATATTCAAAGACCTCAAATAACGTGTACAAAAAGCTAATAACATTTTCTGGGATTTATTCTACAGTTTGCTTGTTTATTTGAATGTACATGAGATGTTAATCATAGCAACTCAAGTTCTCAGGTTTATCATAGAGTCTGCAAATTGACTTGAGAATGATGCTGAAAATATAAATGACAATGTATCCCCTATGTTATATAATACAGGCTGTATTAAAACTCTTTTCAGAAAGAACAAAGTGAGAACAGGTCAGTCTATGAATGCAAATGATTCATATCCTGTAGGAGTTCTGGGCAAATTTACCCCACCTAGCTGCAAAATAACTACTAAAGATAAACAACGTGTCTCCTCAAGACAGTGACTAGCTTGTTATTTTGCATTAAATGGGAAAGTTACTGGATGACCTCAGAAAAGCACTAAGTCAACTTCTAAAGATACAAATTAAGTGGACATCCAGTAGGGAGCCTTGAACACTTCATCATCCATTCCTACCTCACATGGCAGAAGTAAATGTTTATTAACATTCCCCCAGCCCCCACTTCTTTTTTTTTTTTTTTTTTTTTTTTGAGACGGAGTTTCACTCTTGTTGCCCAGGCTGGAGTGCAATGGCGTGCTCTCGGCTTACTGCAACCTCTGCCTCCTGGGTTCAAGCGATTCTCCTGCCTCAGCCTCCCAAGTAGCTGGGCTTACAGGCGCCCGCCACCATGCCCAGCTACATTTTTTGTATTTTTAGTAGAGATGGGGTTTCACCATGTTGGCCAGGCTGGTCTCGAACTCCTGGCCTTCAAGTGATCCTCCTGCCTCAGCCTCCCAAAGTGCTGGGATTACAAGTGTGAGCCACCGTGCCCAGCCCACTTTTTTTTTTTTCTTGAAAAAGAAGAACATTGGATAGGATCAACAATGTCAATTTTGAGTGTGTAATTTGGTGCCAAGGAAGTAAAATAACCCCAAATTACTCATGAATCCACAGCAATCTATTACTACGACACAGAATTACTCAGGGCACGAGATTTGGCATTCCTGTTTTTGGGTACCTGGTCTGAGCTCTTGCCTCTGACTCATGCTGCATGACATGAAGCTATTAAAATCTCCAAACCGGCCTGGTGCAGTCACTCACGCCTGTAATCCCAGCACTCTGGGAGGCCGAGGCAGGTGGATCACCTGAGGTCAGGAGTTCAAGACCAGCCTGGCCAACATGGTGAAATCCCGTCTCAACTAAAAATACAAAAATTAGCCAGGCATGGTGGCGCATGCCTGTAATCCAGCTACTCGGGAGGCTGAGGCAGGAGAATTGCTTGAAACTGGGAGGCGGAGGTTGCAGTGAGCCAAGACCACACCACTGCACTCCAGCCTGGGCAACAAAAGAGGAATTCCATCTCAAAAAAAAAAAAAAACAATCTCCAAACCTTAGCTTCTATTCCACCAAATGGAGGTATAGGTACTTGTCACATTCAAACGTAGCTAAACACGTTCTAAAACTGCATGTGAGACCTTGTCCTCAAAGATATATGGCGTAAAAACATCGTACACTCTGTCCTACTTTCTGGCTTTTACATACTCTATTCCTTCTACCTAGAAATGTCTTGTCCTTACTTCTTGCCCTGACAAGTACCCATTTAAGAACCAACTCAGGTGTCATTTTCTCTGTAAAATATACTTAACCTCTCTAGGCAGCTCGTTGCCTACTTCGTGGGTGTGCACAATTATTTTATAACACTTACATTATAATGTAACTAACTGTTTATATGCTTGCCTTCCAAACCACACTGGACTTAAGGAGACATATCATCCACTTTTTAATCTCAGTCTAGTATACTGGTTCATGCTCAAAATACCTGTGTTGCATGAATGACAGAGACCCTCTCTTGTTTTGGTTGTTTGACCTTCCCTAGGACATTCTAGGTCTTCTCCTAGGCCATCACTCTGCTCTAAAGCAATCTTTTCAATGTATCCATGTATCTATTGGCTTATTATATGCCAGGTACTATAACCTAATCCTAAAATTTCATATAAACCCACTTTAGTGGTAAACCCCTAAGTTCTGAATACGGTAATCTTCTTCCCGAATAGTTGGAAAAAAAAAACCTCGCCTGGGCATGGTGGATCACACCTGTAATCCCAGCACTTTGGGAAGCCAAGGTGGGTGGATTGCTTGAGCTCAGGAGTTCGAGACCAGTCTGGGCAACATGGCAAAACCCCATCTCTACAAAAAAAAAAAATACAAAAATTAGCTAGGCGTGGTGGTGCATGCCTGTAGTGCATGCCTGTAGTCCCAGCTACTCAGGAGGCTGAGGTGGGAGGACGGCTACAGCCCGGGAGGTGGAGGCTGCAGTGAGCCAAGATCGTGCCACTGCACTCCAGCCTGGGAGACAGAGCTAAACCCTGTCTCAAAAAAAAAAAAAAAAGAAAAGAAAATACCTCATCCTTGAAACCCAATCTGCCCTGTCCACTTTGTTCCTTCTCTTCCACGTCCCATGCTGGTGCATCTCTCCTACTCTGCTCTTTTAGCTTAACCAATCAGTCAGGCTTGCTAATCAGAAGCTAAAAGAAAGGTGTAGAAAATTACATGCTGTGAAGAATACAGACACAGCTGGGTGCAGTGGCTCATGCCCATAACCCCAGAACTTTGTCAGGCAAAGGCAGGAGGATCACTTGAACCCAAGAGTTCAAGACCAGCCAGGGCAACATGGTGAAATCCCATCTCTACGAAAGACACAAAAATTAGGCCGGGCATGGTGGCTCATGCCTGTAATCCCAGCACTTTGGGAGGCTGAGGTGGGTGGATCACCTGAGGTCAGGAGTTCGAGACCAGCCTGGCCAACCTGACAAAACCCCTCTCTACTAAAAATACAAAAAAATTAGCTGGGCATGGTGGCGTGCACTTGTAGTCCCAGCTACTCCCAGCTACTCGGGAGGCTGAGGCAGGAGAATCACTTGAATCCAGGAGGCAGAGGTTGCTGTGAGCCGAGATTGCACCACTGCACTCCAGCCTGGGTGACAGAGTGAGACTCTCTCTTCAAATAACAACAACAACAAAAATTAGCCGAGTGTGGTGGGGCGCGGTGGCGTGTGGTGGCACATGCCTGCAGTCCCAGCTACTTAGGAGGCTGAGGTGGGAGGATCACCTGAGCCTGGGAGGTTGAGGTTCTAGTGAGCTGAAATTGCACCACTGCACTCCAGCACGGGCAACAGAGTTACAGAGTTAAACCCTATCTCAAAAAAATAAAAAATAATAAAAAAGAAAAAGACTACAGACCGCCCACCCCAGCCCCTGCTGCTTAAGTTCATACAACTTTTACTCATTTTATTAATTTCCTAAATCTTCAGAAACTTCATAAAGTGACAAGCTAGACCACAGCATTACTTAGCTTCAGCCCTGGAAAGAGATTTCCATTAGTATAAATTTGATTATGCTCCAATAGACTTCAGTGGTTAAAGAAATGTGTTCCTATATTATGTCTGTACTTTCCATCCCCAAGTCATGTAACATAACTAGGCTACCCATTTACAAATAGACCCCTAGTAGGCATCAGGGTGGTAGACATGCGCCAACTTGTCACAATGAACTGTACCCTTAACATCTTCATTTTTCCTGCCCTATTTAAGACCCATCTCTAGGCTAGACAACTCCAAGAGCCTCCTTATCTGCTCTCCCTATTCCCCACTCCATCCAAATTCCATTCTGGAAGGTTACTCTTTTGCTTAAAATCCTTCAAAGAAAAAGAAAAAAGAAAAAAAGTGCTTCAACCCAAAACTTATTTCCATGGCTTACACAGGCCTATCAACCTGAATCCAGTCCACGTTTTCAGGTTGATCTCTAGTCATTTCCCAGGTATGGGGTCTTGCTATTACCCAGGCTGGTCTCGAACTCCTGGGCTCAACTAATCCTCCCACCTCAGCCTCCTAAGCAGCTGGGACCACAGGTGCACACCACCATGCCTGCTCCTCTGTGAAGTCTTTCTTGAAACCATCATGCAAATTCTATTGTTCTTTCATCTATCTAAGAGCACCCGTATTTTCTTTAGTATTTATCATATGACATTTGAATAATTTTCTATCTATCTATGTATCAATTATCTGTCTCCTCTACCAGGTGAAACTTCCTATCAAGAAAACCATGTCTAAGTTCTTTTTGAAATACCCAGTACTCACCCAGGGTTCAACAGTGTATCATTCTGAAAGTATCTGTTGAAGCCAGGTGTGGTGGCTCACACCTGTAATCCCAGCACTTTGGGAGGGTGAGGCGGGTGGCTCGCTTGAAGTCAGGAATTCAAGCCCAGCCTGGCCAACATGGTGAAACCCTGTTTCTACTAAAAATACAAACATTAGCTGGACATTGTGGCACATGCCTGTAATCCCAGATACTTGGGAGGCTGAGGCAGAAGAATCGCTTGAACCCGAGAGGCAGAGGTTGCAGTGAGCTGAGATGGCACAACTGCACTCCAGCCTGGGCGACAAAGCGAGACTCCATCTCAAAAAAAAGTTGTCTGTTGAATTGAATGATCACCTGTCTATACTATTCTTGCTTATCTCTTTCATCTCTATTCTTCCTCTGAGAACTATGCTGCTCATATTTCTTATCTTTTTCATCAAAATTCATCTATGTACCACACTCTTCTAGAGCCTAATTGAAAGACTTTGTACACAGAGTTGTAGAAATGGTTGGAATATAGATATCCTAGTCTAGAGACATGAGCTCTCAATCTATTCAGAGCATAAGGTTTATGGTTAAATAAGGACACTAACCAAAGGCAGGCCAGCATGGTAACTATTAAAGGAGTTTAGGGAAAGTTTGAGTTAAGCCTTAAAGATGCTACAGAAAAAACAAAAACCTGTTTCCTGGTGATCTAAATTGGGGAAATTACATTATATTGAAGATTTATACTACATATTAGCATATTAGCATGTTTAAAGATTTAAGAAACTCATAAACTTGTTTTATTTTGTTTAACTCAGTATTTTCCAAGCTTATTTCCTCACAAAACATTTTTCTTTCAAGTAATGCCTATAACATACCTTAGGAAATAGTGATGTGAGTGAAAAATAGAAAATAAAATCAAAAGATGGTTGGAGATGGCCGGGCGTGGTGGCTCACGCCTGTAATCCCAGCACTTTGGGAGGCTGAGATGGGTGGATCACGAGGTCAGGAGATCGAGACCATCCTGGCTAACACGGTAAAACCCCGTCTCTGCTAAAAATACAAAAAATTAGCCAGGCATGGTTGCAGGTGCCTGTAGTCCCAGCTACTCAGGAGGCTGAGGCAGGAGAATAGCATGAACCCGGGAGGTGGAGCTTGCAGTGAGCCGAGATTGCACCACTGCACTCCAGCCTGCCTGGGCAACAGAGCGAGACTCCATCTAAAAAAAAAAAAAAGATGGTTGGAAACTGTAAAGGAGCTTAAATGATAAGGGTAGATCAAATAAGTTCTCAAAGACATAATAAGAACTCATCTTATAGGTTAGGTAGTCAATGAATAGTCTTAGGCAGGGGAGTGATACAGATGTTCTCCTTTAGTACAAGTACTTTGGCAAATCTGAGACAGATGTATTGGGATGGAGGTTGGTGTACGTGCACAAGAGGAGGGGGTGGTGTGGAGTTGGGGAATGCAGGGAAAAGTTGTGGAACAGGAGGTATGGAGCCAAATCAAGAGAAGAGGTTCAGGGAGGCTTCAGAAAGCAAAAATCCTCCTTCACTGACTGAAATTTGTCTTGCTCAAAGAGCTTGCTTGATCTTCCCTCATAAATGTGCTAGGGATGAAAAAAGCTTCCTGTTTATGGGATGGTCCAGTCTAGTTGTCTGGGAAGGCCAATAGCTGATACTGTTTCCTGGGATCAGGTGGGAGGAAGGATTCTGCAGAGGACAGAGGCAGCAATGAAAGGCTGGAGTGGTGGACCTGCACAAAGAATTTAGGTCAAGACAGCCTTATCCCTTCTTATTCATCTGTACAGAAGATCTGCCCCTGTACACCAGGAAATTTTCTGTTGCCTACTTTGCTCACCCGTCAGTCTCCTAGAGATTCTGAAAGGGTTTTAAGATTAGCAACAGGATACTTGAGAGGAAAACATTACAGTTACCTGACTTCGGGGTTTCTGAAAAGACATACTTGGGCAGAGACTCAAAAGCGTAAAAGATCAATTGTACCAATTATTAGCAATGAAACACTAGGCCCCATGTTTAAACTTCTCTGAACTGGTTTCTCCTTTATAAAATGCACGCCAATATCCACCTGGATGAGACTAAAATGAAATTATGTCTGAATGAGATTATAGTCTGAAGACTATAAAGAACTATAAAAAATCAGTTATTTGTATTTTGAACTAATTTTATCTCATTTGACAGCTTGTTTTAAGATTATACTAGGCCATATTGTTCTTAGTATATTAAATAATAATGTGAGGCCGGGCACAGTGGCTCACGCCTGTAATCCCAGCACTTTGGGAGGCCGAGGTGGGCAGATCACGAGGTCAGGAGATCGAGACCATCCTAGCTAACACGGTGAAACCCCGTCTCTACTAAAAATACAAAAAAAAAAAAAAAAAAAATTAACCAGGCGTGGTGGTGGGCGCCTGTGGTCCCAGCTACTCAGGAGGCTGAGGCAGGAGAATGGCGTGAACCCGGCAGGCAGAGCTTGCACTGAGCAGAGATGGTGCCACTGCACTCCAGCCTGGGTGACAGAGCGAGACTCCGTCTCAAAAAAAAAAAAATTATAATGTGAATGTTTTCCCACTGAAATTGGTTCCCTTATTTATGAATAAAATAAAACCATATTTGAGTGTAAGAGAAGAAAAATCCAAAACTCTTTGCTCTATCCTACAAATATTCTGTAAACAAATCATGAATCTCTGAATGTATGGTGTTCTTGTTATTATGAGTAATTATAGTAAAACTAATGATCAGAACCTGTAAGATTGCTCACATGCCCCCCTCACCCTACCAAATGCACATACAAACAAGGCAGAGGGGAGACCTGATCAATTTGGCTGGCAAGAACTTTATCTGTGGGCAGTAAAGATGGTCAGGTATGGGAATAGGAGGTAACTGGGACTTGGACTTCTCTTCTAGTGTTTATCAATGACCTCTACCAGCCCCAGAAGAATAGAACGATTTGTTTAAAAAAATAAAACAAAGGAGCAGTGTGCAGTGGTTCGTGCCTATAATCCCAGTTACTCAGGAGGCTGAGGTGGGAGTACTGCTTTAGTCAAGGAGTTCAAGGTTGTAGTAAGCCATGATCATGCCACTGCACTCCAGCCTGGGCACAGAGTGAGACTCTGTCTCTAAAACAAAACAAAACAACACTGTTCAAAACAAAACAAGGGAACCATGACATCCAGTAAGAACACAGAAGCTATTTTTTTTCCTGGCATTAAAAAGAGGCAGCAATAATCCCAGCACTTTGGGAGGCCAAGGCGGGAAAACAGCTTGAGCCCAGGAGTTCGAGACCAGCCTGGGCAACACAGGGAGACCCTATCTCTACAAATAATAATAATAATATTAATAATAATAATTAGCTGGGCTTGGTGGCATGCACCCGTGTTCCCAGCTACTTGAGATGCTGAGGCAGGAGGATCGCCTGAGCCCAGGAGATTGAGGCTGCAGTGAGCCGTGATTGCACCACTGCTGCACTCCAGCTTGGGTGACAGAGCGAGACGCTGTCTCAAAAAAAAAGAGATGCAAAGCCACTAGGCACATCCCAAGGGAGAACTCAGGCATCTATTTGGCAACTAACAGAATTTTAAAGTTACTCCCTATAACCACTTTCAACTGAAGATCTCAAAACACCGTGTAAACATTAATTAAACCTCTCAAGTCAGGAAAGAATTAGACCTATTTCAGATAAGAAAAATAACGTAGGTAGGAGGCTGTTAACAACAGGAATCAGAAAGGAAACTAGACTCTAGTATCTTTGGCTTTCTCCATGTTGTCCTCAGGCTACACTTAATGAAATGCACCCAAGCAGCAGCATCCTCAATAATGCGGCTATGTTGACAAGCAAATGCTTTTTAAAACAGGGGCTGAATGGAAGGAATATTGGCATTGGTTGGAATTAAGACCCCTGTTCTAAGCCTGGTTCCACCACTTACTAGTTATATGACCCTGAACAAGTCATTCAATTTCCTTAAACTTTAGTTTCCTCATTTATAAAACTATATCAAACCTAAACCTATCTCACAAGGTTGTATCGAATTAAATTATATATACCTGGCACACAGGTATTGAGAGGCCAGCTTTCTTCTTTCCCCAAACTCCACCTTAAGTCCGTAGATGACACATATAAAAAAATACATTGTTTATATATATAACTATATATATGATTATCATTCTTCTAACTAATTAAAAAAATAAAATCTGGAGGATACTAACATAATACTTGGCTAAAATAAGAAATGGCCTAATTTTTTAATAACTTCCAAATAGTTGAGAGTTGTCACCAAGCTTGAAAATTATTTTCTGTGCATTTTTATTGATGTGAGCAAAGACAGAAACTGACTTTAGAAAAATAAAAAAACAAACAGGGACCTTTTCCAGAAAGATGATCTGCCACATTTCTTAGAACTCAAGGAAACATCTCAGAAAGGAGTTAATGTACTATTCCAAAATTAACTATGCAGTGTTTTGTTTTTTTTTTTTCTTGAGACAGAATCTCGCTCTGTCACCCAGGCTGGAGTATAGTGGCCTGATCTCGGCTCACTGCACCTCTGCCTCACAGGTTCAAGCGATTCTGCCTCAGCCTCCTGGGTAGCTGGGACTACAGGTGTGCACCACCATGCCCGGCTAATTTTTCTATTTTTAGCAGAGACAGGATACCACTATGTTGGCCAGGCTGGTCTTGAGCTCCCGACCTCAGGTGATCCACCCACCTTGGTCTCCCAGAATGCTAGGACTATAGGCGTGAGCCACCGAGCCTGGCCTGTGTTCTCTTAATATTCGTTTGGTTAAGAAAACAGATCAACAGTATCTGTAAAACTTTAATATAAATTAACCTCAGAGGGCCAGTAAGATCACTAGACATAGACAGTTCCATGAACCTAAAAGGTCCTTCCTGATACTTATTAACTGAAAGTGAAAGTGAGCCACCATAAACACCATTCCTTTGACCACAACACTTCAAAGTAATTTAGAAACCCCATCTCAGTGAGGTTAAATAGCACACCCATTTCTAAACAAGTTTGGCAGAATTAAAAACAGAAGTTAACTCTTCTTACTCTCCTAGACACTCTAAGACAGCTCCTTTTGAAAGGAGACAACCAGCAGCATCATGGAGATTTCAAAACCACCTTGATATATAGGCTACAATTAAAAGTCCTTAACTCCTTTGAAGCTAAAGATCACACAACTTTTTACTAGCATTACGTTTACACACTGCAAGGACTCCCCAGCATCTTTTTGTCGCCAAAACATGACACACAAGAATAAAATTATCTGCCCAAGGTCACAGAACAGGTAATGGCTGTCTGACTCCCAACTACTTAAATGAGCCCCTCTTCCTGCGTGCAACCCCTTCATGGGATATACTGACAGTAACAATTAGACTTCTAAAGGCGGGGAGGGCGAGGAAGGTCTCCACTGAATGCTTCAGATAGCAAAATCTGGTGTATTATGTCTCTGCAGATATTGCATATTTTAATTTACTGCCCTTTAAAATTCAGCCTACATGGTGCATTAAAAAGACTGTCATCAAGAACTCAAGATCAAAGGGGTTCAGAAACACAATTTCTCCTATCACACCAACCTCTGGGCATTCTTCTCAGTGCCCCCATTGAGACTCTGGACAAAGAACATATCTGTCTACCCCTCACCCTACCCAAGGCAGCAAGGTAAGAACGACAGAGTGCCTCCCGATAGCGTGGCACAGAACACATAGTGCTCAGGGTACCCGAGAGCCTATTCCCCAGTCACCTCCATCCCAACTTTCAGCGGTGGTTGTCAGGGAGAACACGCCTTCTTCTGCAATGCTAAGTCTGTCCCTAGCCAAGTGGACACACCCCTCCGACGCGCTGCCCCCTCAGAATATTCTCATTCCCTCCTTGGCCAAATATCCCCTCCCCACTCTCATTAAGAGATACTCCCCACCTTGGCCGGGAGCGGTGGCTCACGCCTGTAATCCCAGCACTTTGGGAGGCCGAGGCAGGAGGATCACCTGAGGTCAGGAGTTCGAGACCAGCCTAGCCAACATGGTGAAACCCCATCTCTACTAAAAATACAAAGAAATTAGCCGGGTGTGGTGGCGGGCGCCTGTAATCCCAGCTACTCGGGAGGCTGAGGCAGGAGAATCGCTTGAACCTGAGAGGCGGAGGTTGCAGTGAGCCGAGATCGCGCCATTGCACTCCAGCCTGGGCGGCAGGGCGAGACTCCGTCTCCAAAAAAAAAAAGAAAAAAAAAAAAAGATACTGTCCTCACCTCCGGACAGAGGGCATTCCCCCAACAAAAAAACCGCCTCTCCCTGTCTCCTAACTTGGACAGCTCCCTTCCCCTCACCGAATGCTTAGCAGCCACCTCGAGCCCTGGGGCAGGGGGCGGGGTGTCGGGTGCGTTCACACCACTAGTCTGGGCTTGCCTGATGGTTACCACCCCGCCGAAGCTGCCGCCTTGCGGGTTTCCCTGCTTGGGACACCCACGCGGGGTCCCTGCTGCCCCCAGCCACGCCCCTCGGCTGCAGCCCGCCGCCACCCGCGCCACGCCCCCGCGCTCACCCGCAGTCCGGGGCCGGGCACCAGCGGCAGTCGGGGTCCGAGGCTAGGTAGCGGCGCAGCATGAACTCCTCGTACTTGTGCATAAGCGGCGGGTCGGCGAGCAGCAAGCGGATGTCGTGCGGGTTGAGTCGCTCGCTGCACTCGGGGCAGCTGATGGGCACCCTGCTCTCGCTTATCTCCAGGCGCAGGTAGTGGCGGAGGCAGTCCCGGCACGAGCGGTGCGGACAGCTGAGGAGGCGCGGGGCCCGCTCAGGCGGCAGCCGCACCAGGCACAGCGGACACTCCACCTCCTCCGCGCCCGGGCCACCGCCCTCCGCCGCCTCCTCATCGTCGAACCCAGGCTCCGCCGCCGCCGCCGCGGCCTCCGCCTCGGCCTCGGCGGCCGGCTCGGCGGGCAGCGCCTCGGGCGGCGGGCCCTGGGCCGCGGCAGGGGCCGGGGCGGGCGGCGGCTGCGCAGCCGGGGGCGGCGGCTCGGCCTGCGGCTTGGCCCGGGCGCGGCGGCCGCGGGCCGAGGCAGAGAAGACGCTGTGCAAGGTGAGGCGCCGGCGCCGGCCGCCGCTGCGGCACTTAGGGTCGGGTGCGGCCGCATGTAGCGATGTGGAGCGCGGCGACTCGGAGTCCTTCTCGGAGCCCATGGCCGGCAGAGGCCGAGGAGCCAGGGGCGCCCAGCGCCGCCACAGCTCCCGCCTCAGCGCCCCTCAGCCAGCGCCCGGCCGCCGCCGACGCCGCCACCACCGCCTCAACCGCCCTCCCGGCGATAGAAGCCGAGCGGCAACGACGAAGTGATTATAAAGCCTCCGCCCCGCGCGCCGCTGCCCTGCGCAGGCGCTTCGCTCAAACACCTCACAACCCTTGCGCCCCGGTCTAGGAGTGCGCTGGGCAGGGCCGAGCGGGGTGGGGCCGAGCGAGCTGGGGCGGAGCTCCGCCTCCTGCCGGTCAGGTGGTTCCAGGGCCGCCATGTTGCGGAGACTCTCAGAGATCCTAGCCCGCTGCTCTCCCTGGTCTCCGCCTCCAATTCCATCACCATGACACCCAAGGTGGACTTTTTGGTTTGCCGTTCCTCACAGGTTGATTGCCACTTCCAGTAAATGATGGTTCAGTTACATTATTTATAAAAAGCAGGCAGGGGTTGATCAGATGGTGACTCCCAACTGGTTCACCTTCCAACATTTCTGTTTATTAAGCAGACGGCATAAATTAATAAAGAATATATTCATTCACTGAGCTTCTACAAAGTGCGAGGCATTAGAAAATAAAACAGACAAGGTCCCCTATTGCAAGGGACTTCCAGAATAAAGTCCAAATTTCTTAGTCTAGCATTCAGTGTTCTCTATGTATTTAATAAACCCTATGTATATAATAGTCTATTTCTAGGCTCACTTACCATTCTATCCTCCTGGTATCTTGCTTACTTACCAAACTTGTGGAAGGAGACCCAGCGTTTTCTTGCCTGGCAGTGCCTTTGCCTTTCTTTTTCTAGTTCCCCATTCCTCTGACTGGGGGAGGATCTGGACCCTTAGGCTTCCTAGTGGGAGGCAGGCAAACAGCTTCAACAACAGGAATGTATCAGGATTACATTCAATTGCAAATAACAAAAGAAAAAAATAGCTTACGATTGAAATTTATTTATTTTTTTTCCTGAGACGGTTTTGCTCTGTCACCCAGGTTGGAGTGCAGTGGCGTGATCACAGCTCACTGAAGCCTCAACCTCCCAAGCTTAAGCGATCCTCCCACCCCAACCTCTGGAGTAGCTGGGAGCACAGGTGCGCCACCAGGCCTGCCTATTATTTTTATTTTTTTCATGGAGATGAAATCTCCCTGTGTTGCTCAGGCTGGTCTCGAGCTCCTGGGCTCAAGCGATCCTCCTGCCTTGGCCTCTCAAAGTGCTGGGATTACAGGCATGAGCCGCTGCACCTAGCCAGAAATTTCTCTCTTTCCATGAAATATAAGTCCAAAAGTAGGCAGTTCAGGGCTGTTCAGCCATCCTCAGTATTTGGCTTCCAGTGTTAAGGTCACCTCACTATGGTCCATATTCCAAACAGTGGGAAGGAAAAAGGGAAGAAAGATGCATCCTCTTCCTTTTAAGAAGACTGCCTTGGGGCTGGGCGCGGAGGCTCACGCCTGTAATCCCAGCACTTTGGGAGGCCCAGGCTGGCGGATCACGAGGTCAGGAGATGGAGACCATCCTGGCTAACACAGTGAAATCCCGTCTCTACTAAAAATATAAAAAATTAGCCGGGCGTGGTGGCGGGCGCCTGTAATCCCAGCAACTCGAGAGGCTGAGGCAGGAGAATGGCGTGAACCCAGGAGGCGGAGGTTGCAGTGAGCCGAGATCGCGCCGCTGCACTCCATCCTGGGCGACAGAGCGAGACTCTGTCTCAAAAAAAAAAAAAAAAGAAAAAGAAAAAGAAAGAAAGAAAAAAGGACTGCCTCGAAAGTCCCGCACATTTTTGCCAAAACATACTCACTCACATGGCCATACTCAGCTGCAAGGGAGCCTGGGAAACATTCTCTTAACTGGGTACAATGTGCCCAGCTAACAATGAGTGCTCTGTTATTAATAAGGAATGGTAAGATGGGCCAGGAGCTGTGGCTCGCACCTGTAATTACAACACTTTGGGAGACCTAGGCTGGTGAATCTCTTAAGCCCAGGAGTTTGAGACCAGCTTGAGCAACATGGCAAAACCCCATCTCTACAAAAAATACAAAAATTATCTGGGTGTGATGGAGTGTGCCTGTAGTCCCCGCTACTTGGGAGACTGAGGTGGGAGGAATGCTTGAGCCTGGGAGGTTGAGACTGCAGTGAGCCGTGATTATGCCACTGCACTCCAGCCTGGGTGACACAAAAAGACATCGTCTCAAAAGGTGGAAACCAGCTGTGATATTTTAAACCAGGTCTCCAGAACTTCAAACTTTTGACATAAAACAAGAAGGGGAGCCAACAAAGAAAACTGAAAAGCGGGGGCCAGTGACATAAAAGAAAAACTAAGCAGGCATGATGTCACAGACACCAACATAGTATGTTCCCAGAAGGGAGTGGTCAATTGTGACAAATGCTGCTGAGAAATCAAGAAAGATAAGAACAGAGATGTGACCACTGGATTTGGCAACACCAAAGAGTCCTAAAGGAGGGGGAGAGTTTAATCCTCAAATAGGAAGGAGGTTTGATGCTGGATGGCTAAAACAACAATTAATGTCTATATTTATCTGGCAGAATAGGCTAGACTTGGCTATGGTAACAAACAAGCCAAATTTCTCAATGGCATAACACACAACAATGGTATATCTTTTCCACTCATGCAACGCTGGCTGTGGGTTAAGGCACTCTCCAGAGTAGCTCTCCTCAACTCTCCTGGGTAACTCAGAGATCCAGACTACTTCTCTCTTGGGCTCCACTATCTCAATGCAAAGCTTTCAGTATTGCCTCAAAAAGAGAGCTGGAGGCCAGGCACGGTGGCTCATGCCTGTAATCCTAGCACTTTGGGAGGCCGAGGCAGGTGGATCACCTGAGGTCAGGAGTTCGAGACCAGCCTGGCCAACATGGTGAAACCCCATCTCTAAAAATACAAAAGTTAGCGGGGTGTGGTGGGGCGCCTGTAATCCCTGCTATTCAGGAGGCTGAGGCAGGAGAATCGCTTGAACCCAGGAGGTAGAGGTTGCAGTGAGCGGAGATTACACCACTGCACTCCAGCCTGGGCGAGAGAGCAAGACTCTGTGTCAAAAACAAACAAACAAACAAAAAAACTGCAAGGGAGGCTGGGAAATGTAGGAAGAAACCATAAGCCATTTAGTAAGCAGTAGTATCATCTCTGCCACAGTTTCCTATAGTCATCTTTGACTCTGTTCTCAGTGCCCAACGTCCTAATCAACTGCAGAGCCCCCTTAGAGGAGGTATATGCTTATGGTGGGAATGGAGGGTAGGAGAGACGGCTGCCTTGTTCCTTGGGTCAGATTGTGCTAAAAGATATGGGGACCCCCAATTCCAGGTAGACCCAGATGCCTTTTAGATGCTTCTCCTTGTGCAGCTGACAGAAACGGCTGTCAGAATCCCAGCTTGCTGGAAGGCTCAACACTACCAAATGTCTGCTTGTCTTGGCTCTGGCTTCCAAACAAATTCAGCCTCAGTTCAAAGCTGCCAGTGCTTTGGGGAAAATAACTTCTCTTAAATGCCACTAGACTTTGCAGTGGCCCCAACTTGATTGTGTTTTCTTCTCTCCTGAGACTATCACCCTTGAATAAAGGGACTAAAGCAATTCCTCCCACGTTTCCTTATGTGTCTCTTCTTGATAGAAACTGAGTAGTGACTCAGAGATGGCATGAGGGAGAAAAAGATTCTCACTCATCTGTACACTCATTCAGTAAAGATTTATTATACTTACTTGTGCTAGCCTCTTTGCTAGCTACCAGGGTCATGGAGATGAAAAACATAATCTACTGGGGGTTACAGACAAGATGGCAGATCACTGAGATACCAAGTGATGAGGACATATACAAAAAAGCTATGACAGACCAACAGAAGGCATGGCAGGCTCTGCTTAGGGTGGTCAGGGATGGCTTTCCTGAGGAGGAGCCCTTTCAGCTGGATCTCAAATGATGAATATGAGTTGACAAAGTCATAAGAAGGGGGAAGGACATTCCAAGCTTGGGGAGCAGGGAGGAAAGGCATAGTGTGTATAAACACAGGATAAGTCTGAGGAAGTATGAGCAGCAGGGTTGACAGGAGAAGAGAATGTTTGAAAGGACATGAGTGAGAAATGAAAATGGAAAGGTTCTGGCCAGGCATGGTGGCTCACGCTGTAATCCCAGCACTTTGGGAGGCTGAGGTGGGCAGATTGCTTGAGGTCGGGAGGTTCGAGACCAGCCTGGCCAACATGCAGAAACCCTGTCTCTACTAAAAATACAAAAATTAGCCAGGCATGGTGGCACTCACCTGTAGTCCCAGCTACTCGGGAAGCCAAGGCACGAGAATCACTTGAACCTGGGAGGCAGAAGTTGCAGTGAGCCAAGATCATGTCACTGTACTGTAAGCCTGGGCCACAGTGTGAGACTGCTTCTCAAAAAAAAAAAAAAAAAAAAAAGAAAAGAAAAGAAACAAAAAAGAAAATGGAAAGGTTCTGTATTATGGCTCCATTGGATGCAAGGACCAGAAGCCTAACTTGAATGAGGCTAGGCCAAAGGAGTGATTTTTGGCTTCTATAACCTTTTGAACCCTTTGTACCACAGCAACTGCACCCAGGAAAGCCCCCAGATCCTGCACTCCATCATTCATCTTTGCTTCTCTGCATGCTAGCTTCTTCTTTTTTTTTTATTGTGGTAAAATATGCATTACATAAAATCTACCATTTTAACCAATTTTAAGTGTACAGTTTGGTAACATTAAATAAATTCATATTGTTGTGCAACCATCACCACCATCCATCTCCAGAACTTTTTCGTTTTACCAACTTGGAATTCCATAGCCATTAAGCATTAACTCCCTCTTCTTCCCACTTTATTTTTTCAGTCTACTTCTCTCTCTTGCTGGAACTGTAGAATCCCTAGCTTATGTGTCCTAGCTTCCTCACCAGAGAGGAGTAATTATCTTCCCTTTGTTCCAGATTCTCAAAATTCTTCAGAACAAGTCTGATTGGTGAGGTTTGGCTGCATACCCACATCTGTGGTCATGGAGGATGGAATGCTATGATTGATAGGCAGTACCTGAACCATATGGCTGGACCAAAGGGAGGAGCAATTCTCCAAAAGGAAGGAGCTACTCTTTCACAAGGAAGGAGGGAGGGGCCAAACATGAGCAGATGAAATATGAAATGTTCATCAGAGATAGGCTGAGACCCAGCTACAGGAAGCCTTCAGTGCCAGGCTAAGGAGCTCAGCCTTTAGTCTATGAGGTATTATGGGACAGTTTAAATCAAGGAGAGCCATACATACCATGAAATTGGACTACAAAACCTGCTTTTTTCTTTCTTGAGGCTCTACTTTTGAGTTTTCTCTTGTCTTTTTCAAGGTTTTTGTTGTTGTTTTGGTTTTTTGTTGTTGTTGTTTTGTTTGTTTGTTTTTTTGAGACAGAGTCTTGCTCTGTCACCCAGGCTGGAGTGCAATGGCGCGATCTCGGCTCACTGCAACCTCCACCTCCTGGGTTCAAGCGATTCTTGTGCCTCATCCTCCCGTGTAGCTGGGACTACAGGCACTAATCACCATGCCCGGCTGATTTTTTTTTTTGTATTTTAGTAGAGATGGGGTTTCGCCATGTTGGCCAGGCTGGTCTTGAACTCCTGACCTCAAGTGATCTGCCCACCTCGGCCTCCCAAAGTGCTGGGATTACAGGTGTGAGCTACCACGCCCAGCCTCTTTTTTTTTTTTTTTTTTTTGACATGGAGTTTCACTTTTTCGCTTTTGACGGAGTGCAATGGCGCAATCTCAGCTCACTGCAACCTCTGCCTCCCAGATTCAAGAGATTCTCCTGCCTCAGCCTCCCAAGAAGCTGGGACTACAGGTGTGTGCCACCATGCCTGGCTAATTTTTGCATTTTTAGTAGAGACGGGGTTTCACCATGTTGACCAGGCTGGTCTCAAACTCCTGATCTCAGGTGATCTACCCGCCCCAGCCTCCCAAAGTGCTGGGATTACAGGCATGAGCCACAGCACCTGGCTTCAAGGTTGCTTTGAAAGCTAATTTTAATTAGATGTCACATGAATATTGAGGCTCCTAGCTCCTTCCTCTGGCCTCAGAAGTCACCTCTACCTGATGTGATCTCCATTTTTCCCTGTGGATCATGAGCTTCTGTGCCTAGTCAGCCTGATCTGGGTCACCTCCTATTTTCTGGGTCTCCTGGCCTGTCCTCTCTCTGCCTGCCTCAGGGAGTGGCCTCTTTATCCATCTGGAAGTCTTCCTGCCTCTGACCTGTCCTCTGATGCTCACATCGAAGTCCTATCTGTTTTATCTCCAAAATGCTTATGGAATCTCACCCTTTGTTCCTGGGTTTACATGCACTGCCCTGTTCAAGCCTCATTATCTCTTCTGCTTCAATTTCGGCTCCAGCTCCTCAACTGGTCTCTTTTGTGAAGCCATTGGCTCATGTCTACCCCTACTCAAAAACTTTCTCCAGTTCCCACTGCAGAAAGCCTCATCTTCTTGCATGCCTCCTGGACTCAAGCCATTTGGCCTTCTTTATGTTATCTAACTAAGTATGCCCAGGATTGTTAAGCCTCGCTTCTTGGCAAATGCTGGTCCCTCTGCTTCTTATGCCCTTCCTATCCCTCTCCACTTGGTGTAATCCTGTGCATATTTCAGGCTCATTTCCATGGTTACCATCCACCTTTCTACAGTCAGACCCACCTCCCTCCATCCTTTGTGTCCCCAGGGTACAGTGTAGATAACTCTAGAGTTACATGTAGTACTAGGGTATCCACATACTTTACTGTCCAAAGCAGGACATTTGGAGGGATGAAAGGGAATGCTATTAATTTGCTCTAGTTTAACAGGTGTCAATTGATCTGTTCCAGGCAAACTGGAAGATATGATCACCCACCTACACCCAACATCGCTGTAAAACCCGCAGTTGATGCTTTCATTTATCTCATTCATTGCTCTCAACAGCCATGTGAGCTTGGTATTGCTATCCTGTTTTCAAGATGAGAAGATGGAGCCTCAGAGAGAGGAGACTTGTGGTCACACAGCCAGCTCATCATATTCTAAATCCTGGACTCTGACTCCATCCTTGGCACCTCCAATACCACAGGGTCTTGTCTGGGTTAGTGACATGTGGACTCTTAAGACAAAGAGGGAAGGTAGAAATGGAAACTTACTCATTGCATGCACTGGTCTCTGTCCAGGGCCTTGTGTAGCAAAGACCTCAGGACATGTTTGTTGGATAGATGACTTCTTTTTTTGTTTTGTTTATAGACGGTGTCATGCTATGTTGCCCAGGCTGGAGTGCAGTGGCTATTTACAGGCAAAATCATAGTATGATACAGTTTCAAACTCCTGGGCTCAAGCAATCCTCCTGCCTTAGTCTTCCAAGTAGCTGGAACTACAGGCTTCATGACACCAAACCCATCAGATAGGTGACTTCTTGGGGATAGATAAACTGTGTATTTTACTTAAAATCTGTGCCCCTCCCCAGGACTTGTTTTACATGGATTCATTCATTCAATCAATTAATTAACATTTAGTGTGTACCTACTATGTGCCTGGTACAGTGTCGGTGATATAGCAATGAGCAAAACAGACAAGGTCACTGCTCACATGGAGCTTACAATCCAGTGGGAAAAACCCTTACAAAAACAATCATACAAATAAACATACAGTTACAAATCAGGATAGATGCTAAGAAGGAAAAATACTTGGTGTGAGGTGTAAGAAATATTTTGGAGGTAAATTTAATAGGTTTTGGTCATAGATTTGATTGGGGACAGCGAGATGGAGATGGTTCTCAGGTTTTTGCTTGAGACAGAGAAGAGCATTTTGGGGAGATAAGTGGGGCTGGATGTGTGGGACTTGAGGCATCTGTCGGATTTCTCTTTTAATCTTTGCCACCTCCAGCAGGTTGATTTACTCAAAGCTGAAAAATTACAGCAAGTAATGGAAACCTGCAAATAAAGCTGGCCTCCAGGTAGGTAAGGTAGAAAGAGGGGCAGGTGTGGGAAGTCAGGAGAAAAGCAGAGAAGGGAAGGGGGACGAGAGGTGTTCATGGAGACAATAATCAGACCTCCCAGACAATAATCAGACCTCCCGAGACAATAATCAGACAATTGCTCCCACACAATAATCAGACGTCCCAAGCTCCCAATAATCAGACCTCCCTAGGACTGCGGCGATACCGTGCGTTTCACACTGCGGAACGAGCACGGCTCGCGTCTTCCCTTGCCCGGGGCAGGGCCAGCGCTTTCCTTGGGCACTCGAACGAGGGGAGGGGGCCGCTTAGTGCCTGGAAATCCGAGCAGCCTTGGCTTGCTTGGCTGCGCAACCCGCCAATCCGGCTGCGCCCGGTGGCGGTGCCATGTGACCAGCCTCCCTTTCCCTCCCTGGCCTTCCAGGGAAGACCGGCATCCCCGCAGTGCCGCCACCCTCGCCATCCCGCCCCCGCCCCTCGCGTGCCGCATCCGCGCGGGAGAGCGCCCGGCGAGGGGCCGGGATTCCGCCGCGGTCCGCTACGGCGCAGGGGACGGGAAGGGAGCGGAGGCGAGCGAGTTGCTGCCGCAGCTCCCGCAGTGTTTTCTGTCAAGGTCAAGCATACCCACTCTTTGACAAGGCTGCCTCCGAAATCCCTCCCTTGCAGTCCTCCCAGCCGTTCCCACCGCCTTTGCCACTCATCCGGCGGCAGCCGTCCTCGGACCACTGCCCCTGCCTCTCACTGGGCTTCCAGCAGACACAGCGGGGGATGGGAGGGTTTCTTTTTTTTTTTTTTTTTTTAATTTTTATTTATTTATTTATTTTTTTTTTTTATTGATCATTCTTGGGTGTTTCTCGCAGAGGGGGATTTGGCAGGGTCATAGGACAATAGTGGAGGGAAGGTCAGCAGATAAACAAGTGAACAAAGGTCTCTGGTTTTCCTAGGTAGAGGACCCTGCGGCCTTCCGCAGTGTTTGTGTCCCTGGGTACTTAAGATTAGGGAGTGGTGATGACTCTTAACGAGCATGCTGCCTTCAAGCATCGGTTTAACAAAGCACATCTTGCACCGCCCTTAATCCATTTAACCCTGAGTGGACACAGCACATGTTTCAGAGAGCACAGGGTTGGGGATAAGGTCACAGATCAACAGGATCCCAAGGCAGAAGAATTTTTCTTAGTACAGAACAAAATGAAAAGTCTCCCATGTCTACTTCTATCCACACAGACCCGGCACCCATCCGATTTCTCAATTTTTTCCCCACCCTTCCCGCCTTTCTATTCCACAAAACCGCCATTGTCACCATGGCCCATCTCCAATGAGCCGCTGGGCACACCTCCCAGACGGGGTCGTGGCCGGGCAGAGGGGCTCCTCACTTCCCAGTAGGGGCGGCCGGGCAGAAGCGCCCCTCACCTCCCGGATGGGGCGTCTGGCCGGGCGGGGGGCTGACCCCCCCACCACCCTCCCGGACGGGGCGGCTGGCCAGGCAGAGGGGCTCCTCACTTCCCAGTAGGGGCGGCCGGGCAGAGGCGCCCCTCACCTCCTGGATAGGGCGGCTGGCCGGGCGGGGGGCTGACCCCCCCACCTCCCTCCCGGACGGGGCGGCTGGCCAACCCCCCCCCCCGCCTCCCTCCCGGACGGGGCGGCTGGCCGGGCAAAAGGGCTCCTCACTTCCCAATAGGGGCAGCCGGGCAGAGGCGCCCCTCACCTCCCGGACGGGGCGGCTGGCCAGGCGGGGGGCTGACCCCCCCACCTCCCTCCCGGACGGGGCGGCTGGCCGGGCAGAGGGGCTCCTCACTTCCCAGTAGGGGCGGCCGGGCAGAGGCGCCCCTCACCTCCCGGACGGGGCGGCTGGCCAGGCGGGGGGCTGATCCCCCCACCTCCCTCCCGGACGGGGCGGCTGGCCGGGCGGGGGGCTGACCCCCCACCTCCCTCCCGGACTGGGCGGCTGGCCGGGCGGGGGGCTGACCCCCCCACCTCCCTCCCGGACGGGGCGGCTGGCCGGGCAGAGGGGTCCTCACTTCCCAGTAGGGGCGGCCGGGCAGAGGCGCCCCTCACCTCCCGGACGGGGCGGCTGGCCAGGCGGGGGGCTGATCCCCCCACCTCCCTCCCGGACGGGGAGCCTGGCCGGGCAGGGGGCTGACCCCCCCTCCCCCCTCCCGGACGGGGCGGCTGGCTGGGCGGGGGGCTGACCCCCCACCTCTCTCCCGGACTGGGCGGCTGGCCGGGCGGGGGGCTGACCCCCCCACCTCCCTCCTGGACGGGGCGACTGGCTGGGCAGAGGGGCTCCTCACTTCCCAGTAGGGGCGGCCGGGCACAGGAGCCCCTCACCTCCCGGACGGGGCGGCTGGCCGGGCGGGGGGCTGACCCCCCCCCACCTCCCTCCCGGACGGGGTGGCTGCCGGGCGGAGACGCTCCTCACTTCCCAGACGGGGTGGCTGCCGGACGGAGGGGCTCCTCACTTCTCAGACGGGGCGGTTGCCAGGCAGAGGGTTTCCTCACTTCTCAGACGGGGCGGCCGGGCAGAGACGCTCCTCACCTCCCAGACGGGGTGCGGCCCAGCAGAGGCGCTCCTCACGTCCCAGACAGGGCGTCGGGGCAGAGGCGCTCCCCACTCAGACGATGGGCGGGTCAGGCAGAGATGCTCCTCACTTCCTAGATGGGATGGCGGCCGGGCAGAGACGCTCCTCACTTTCCAGACTGGGCAGCCAGGCAGAGGGGCTCCTCACCTCCCAGACGATAGGCGGCCAGGCAGAGACGCTCCTCACTTCCCAGACGGGGTGGCGGCCGGGCAGAGGCTGCATTCTCGGCACTTTGGGAGGCCAAGGCAGGCGGCTGGGAGGTGTAGGTTGTAGAGAGCTGAGATCACACCACTGCACTCCAGCCTGGGCACCATTGAGCACTGAGTGAACCAGACTCCGTCTGCAATCCCGGCACCTCGGGAGGCCGAGGCTGGCGGATCACTCGCGGTTAGGAGCTGGAGACCAGCCCGGCCAACACAGCGAAACCCCGTCTCCACCAAAAAAAAACGAAAACCAGTCAGGCGTGGCGGCGCGCGCCTGCAATCACAGGCACTCGGCAGGCTGAGGCAGGAGAATCAGACCGGGAGGTTGCAGTGAGCCGAGATGGCAGCAGTACCGTCCAGCTTTGGCTCCGCATCAGAGGGAGACCGTGGAAGGAGACCGTGGAGAGGGAGAGGGAGAGGGAGAGGGAGAGGGAGAGGGGTTTTTGTTTTATTTTTAAAGAGGTTTTTTTTTTTGAGCGGGAGGGTTTCAATAGATTCTGCCCCGCAAGCTTCCCAGCCACCTTTCTCATACCTACAGCTCATGGTGTGTCGCCCTGCCTTAAACCCCACACTGGCTCCCCGTGCCCGATGAGAGAGCATTTAGATCCTTCATAACTAAGACTCACCTTCACCCTCACCAGTCCCACCGCCTCCTTGCACGGGAGACCCCATCCCTCTGGACCCGGGGCCCTTCCAGGGATAGCCATCACTTGCATACTTGCGACTGCTCTTGCTGTAGGGTCCCCTTTCCCCCTTTGTGAACCTAGCGAATTCCTAGACCCTACTTAATTATAATAAAGCAACAGAGGGTAGAAACTGGCACTAAAATGCCGCTTAGCAAAGGTCACAAAGGTGAAAGCCTGCAGAAGTCAAGCAGGAGAGAGAAATACGGCTGGTGTATCAGGGGCATAAGAAAAACCTGTCTTGCCGGGCGCGGTGGCTCACGCCTGTAATCCCAGCACTTTGGGAGGCCGAGGTGGGCGGATCACGAGGTCAGGAGATCGAGACCATTCTGGCCAACACGGTGAAACCCCGTCTCTACTAAACACACACACACACACACACACACACACACACACACACACACACACAATTAGCCGGGCATGGTGGCGGGCGCCTGTAGTCCCAGCTACTCGGGAGGCTGAGGCAGGAGAATGGCGTGAACCCGGGAGGTGGAGGTTGCAGTGAACCCAGATTGCACCTCTGCACTCCAGCCTGGGCGACAGAGCGAGACTCCGTCACAGAAAAAAAAAAGAAAAAGAAAAACCTGTCTTATGGCATGAAGTACAGTATTTAGAAAGAAAAAAGAAAGGAAAAACCTGTCTAAAGGGCAGGGAGTCCGCTCTTCATTTAGGCCAATATGCTCCTTGGGAGAAATGTGGGTCTTATGATGCCAGATTTTCTGAATTTATAAGAAAAGCCACAAATCCGGACTTTTATGTGTAATCCATCAATTTTTAAATGTTGATTTGATTTTTTAAAAACAGCCGTGAGCCAGATGCATGTCATAAACCCTTAGCGCATTACCTCCACCCTTAGAGAAGAGGATGGCTTTCATTAGGAAAATGCTTTGGAAAACCAGGGTAAAGGTCTTGAATGTCTGAGAGGCAGCTGTTGTGGAGGCAACAAAGAAGAGAAGGCCAGGCATGGTGGCTCACACCTGTAATCCCAGTACTTTGGGAGGCCGAGGCGGGCGGATCACGAGGTCAGGAGTTTGAGACTAGCCTGGCCAACATAGTGAAACCCCATCTCTACTAAAAATACAAAAATTAGCCAGGGGTGGTGGCACGCGCCTGTAGTCCCAGCTACTCGGGAGGCTGAGACAGGAATATCGCTTGAACCTGGGAGGCAGAGGTTGCAGTGAGCCAAGACCACGCCATTGCACTCCAGCCTGGGTGACAGAGTGAGACTCCGCCTCAAAAAAGAAGAAGAAGAAGAAGAAGAAGAGAACTTAGATTTGGATATGTTCCCCAGTGGCTCTGAATGTTTTAAGCAAAAGGTCATACATACACTGAGAAGCTACTGAGGGCTCAGAGATTCTACCAGAATCTGGAGGACTGGATTTGGGAAATGGGCAGGACCCGAGGGTTCTGGGGAGGGGTGGACAGCAGGAAGCCAGAGAGGGCCAGAATGACAGCAAATGTTTCCTCCTATCCTTGTGCGGACTACATGAAGGCCAAAGAGGAGCCCTGTAAGGCTTTCACTTGATGATGGTGGTGATGGGGAGATAGGAGAGAAAGCCAAGCCCCCAACCCTGAGGCTTCACACAGTGGGATAATGCCTGGAAGAGAAATCTGAGAGGTCCTTAGGAAGAGAGAGTGGAATGAATAGCCAAAGGCAAATTTCCTTTACCAGGAGACAGGAGCTGGCTTGTGGCTGAGGCCGGGGGCTGTGGAGGAAAGTAGAAAAGGCTGTCTTGGAAACTGGGAGTTGTTTTTGTTTTTGTTCACCCTGAGGTTTATAGCTATGATGTGAATGTCTCTGCCTCCTATCCCTGGAAATATTCAAGAAAGATCTATATTCACGGGGGCTGCCCTGACTGGAGTGTTGGTGGAAACAGCTGAAGGGGCCAACTTTTACATCTGTTTTGGTATAGTGCTGACCAAAGATAGTACAGACTGAAGTAGGAACGGGAGCAGGAGAAATAAAGCCTCCCGGGAATTTGCAGTAATCCTGGAAAGGGGTTTCGGAATGGGTGCTTGGGTCCATCCTTGGAAACCTTAAAAATAGGCTTCGTGTTATATAATTTTGTCCAACTGAAGGCTAGTGCAAGTCTTCTGAGCATGTTTAAGATAGGCTAGGCTAAGCTATGATGGTTAGGTTAGGTTTATCAAATGCATTTTCTGCTCACAATATTTTCAACGTATGATGGGTTTATTGGGACATAAGTTGAGAAGTGGCTGGGCATGGTGGCTCACACCTGTAATCCCAGCACTTTGGGAGGCAGAGGTGGGTGGATCACTTGAGGTCAGGAGTTTGACACCAGCCTGGCCAACATGGTGAAACCCTGTCACTGCACTCCAGCCTGGGCAATAGAGCGAGATTCCGTCTCAAAGAAAAAAAAAGTTGTATACATTTACTTGTGCAAAACACCGTATTAAATGCTACATACATCTGTTATCCTCACAGTGATTTTTTTTTTTTTTTGAGACAGAATCTTGCTCTCTTGCCCAGGCTGAAGTGCAGTGGCGCAATCTCGGCTCACTGCAACCTCCGCCTTCTGCGTTCAAGTGATTCTTCCACCTCAGCCTCCCTAGCAGCTGGGATTACAGGCACTCGCCATCATGTCCGGCTCATTTTTGTATTTTTGTAGAGACAGGGTTTCACCATGTTGCCAGCCTGGTGTTAAAATCCTGACCTCAGGTGATCTGCCTGCCTTGGCCTCCCAAAGTGCTGGAATTACAGGTGTGAGCCACCTCACCCGGCCCCCCACAGTGATTTATGAGGGAAGTACTATCATCATAACTCCCACTTGGCAGATGAAATTAAGGCCCAGAGAGGTGAAGTGACTTACCCAAGGCCACTGAGATAGCAAACAGTGGATTGGATCTGCTCTCCAGACAACTGCCCTACATGCCTGTAATTCCAGCACTTTGGGAGGCCTAACGGGGATGATTGCTTGAGGCCAGGAGTTCGAGACCAGCCTGGGCAACACAGCAAGATCCCATCTCCATAAAAAAGTAAAAAAAACCTAACTGGGCATGGTAACACGCACCTGTAGTCCTAGCTACTTGAGAGGCTTGGTGGAAGGATCACTTGAGCCCAGGAATTCAAGGTTGCAGTGAGCAGTGATTGTGCCACCATACTCCAGCCTGGGTGACAGAGTGAGACCCTGACTCAAAAACAAAACAAAAAACCACAATTGCCTCTAAAATACATCTCTCTAAACTAGCCCTCTTCTCTCTTCTGTCTTCTCTCTCTCTCTCATACACACACACACACACACACACACACACACACACACACACACACTCTGGGGGTGATGGGATTAATGCTGGTAGAACTGGTTTCTCCATCCTTCAGCATGCCTGGATGTAGTGGTCCTTGCCTCTGCCCCAAAGCCAAAATGACGGGAAACTTGCATTTAACATCTTGTTAAATATGCCTTAAAAAGAAATCCAGGAGAGTTAACCCAACTGTTAATAGTGATTATCTCTAGGTGATGAAGTTATATGTAATCTCTATTTTCTTATTTTTACTTATTTGCTTAAGTTTTTTTCTGCCATGAATTTATTAAGTTTTGTCATAAGTAAAAATAAATACATAAAATTATTCTCTATTTTAATAATTATCTGTGGTCCCACAGATGGAGGTATTTCTATTAAATACTCAGAAGGGAGCCGGGTGCAGTGGCTCACGCCTATAATCCCAGCACTTTTGAAGGCCAAGGTGGGTGGATCAGTTTAGGTCGGGAGTGGCCAAGATGGTGAAACCCCATCTCTACTAAAAATACAAAAATTAGCCTTTTCCTTTTGTGGGTGGTGGCAAAGGTGGACAGAAAGCCATGAAGGCCTTGGGCACACAACAAGAGTACAAGGTGGTGTGTCACTGCCTGCCCACCCCCAAATGCCACACACTGCCCCTCTACCACATGCAAATCTTTGCGCCTAATCATGTAGTCGCCAAGTTCCACTTCTGGTACTTCCTATCTCAATTAAAGAAGATGAAGAAGTCTTCAGGGGAGACTGTCAACTGTGGGCAGGTGTTTGAGAAGTACCCACTGTGGGTGAAGAACTTTGGCATCTGGCTGCGCTATGACTCCCGGAGCAGCACCCACAACATGTACAGGGAATACCGGGACCTAACCACCATGGGCGCTGTCACCCAGTGCTACCAAGACATGGGCACCCAGTACCGCGCCCGGGCCAACTTCATCCAGATCATGAAGGTGGAGGAGATTGCGGCCAGCAAGTGCTGGTGGCCAGTTGTCAAGCAATTCCACGACTCCAAGATCAAGTTCCTGCTGCCCCACTTGGTGCTGTGCCATCAGCAGAAGCCACGCTTCACCAGGAGACCCAACACCTTCTTCTAGGTACAGGGCCCTCGCCCGGCTGTGCCTCAAATAAACTCAGGAACACCCTGGTGGGGAAAAAAAAAAGTTAGCTGGGCATGGTGATAGGTGCCTGTAATCCCAGCTACTCGAGAGGCTGAGGCAGGAGGATCGCTTGAACCCAAGAGGCGGAGGTTGCAGTGAGCCGAGATCGCACCACTGCACTCCAGCTTGGGTGACAGAGTGAGACTCTGTCTCAAAAAATAAAAAAAAAGAAATACTCTCAGCAGGGGTTTGTCCTGGGCACTGGCATCACACAGAGAGGAAGTGAGAGCTCATCCAGGATTAAAAACAAGAATCACCATTTCTGAAGGATTCCTCTGAGCCCAGTTCCTTGTTCCTTCATAGCCATTGATATGCATATCTCATTTAATCCTCAAAATCAGTTTAGGAGAAAAATTATTTCACAGCTGAGGAAACCAAAGATCCTGAGACTTAGAGAGGTTACATTACTTGCCCAGGGACACACAGCTAGAAAGTGATGGAGGCAGGATTTGAATCCAGATCTAAGTGACTTCATAGTTTGTAAATTTTTAACCTCTGAACTTTGCCCTTCCAGTTGCAAGATGCTGATGCATTCCTGTATTTCCAGCTCTTCACACACAGGCACTCATCGATATTAGCACTGCCTAGAGAAGCCAGTGAGGTAAAGATCATTGTCCCATTTTCCAGGTGAGAAAATTAAGGCCAGAGAGGGGACTTGCTCAGTGTGGTCAGCTGAGAAGTAGTGGCATTCCTTCTAGAATCCAGGTCTCCTTTCTTGCCTCTGGCAGCCTTCCTCCTTCCTATACTTTCTGCCAACTGCTGAGGCTTCCGTCTCGAAACAAATGACTCAAGGTAAATCACTGGTTGGACTTCCCCTTTCTCAAAATACAGGAAGTCTGTGTTGTTTGCAGTCCCTGTGGGTGAACAGTTTCAGCTCAGTTACGAAGTAGGCTGGGCCACATAGAGGACTGGGTCCTGCTGGGGCAGGGTTCCAGGCTACTGGGGCTGGCACCGCTGCATTTTTCCTTCCTAAGAGTCATGTCAGTGTGTCTGTCAAGTCAGGCTTGACGTCTTACCCCAAAAAGCCTGCTGTACTATTATGAAATTTAGAAAAATGAGCCCAAGAGGGAGGGGCCCTGTCAATAATTAATAATAACAACTATTATTTCATGTTTATGGCACATTAACCTTCCTACCAGGCACTGTGCTAAGTGGCTGACACGTGAACCCATTTGAGCCCCGTAACAGCCCTAGTAATAAGGTTCTATAGCTTTGGAGCCAAATAACACTAGATACAAATCACAGAAATGCCACTTTCCAGCTGTGTGACATCAGGGACATTATTTACATTCATTCAGTAAATACTTTTGAGCACTTACTATGTGCCATATTTCAGTGAACAGAACAAAGATCCCTGCTCTCTTGTGATGTTTACATTCTACAAGGTAAAGCAAAGTGTAAACATAATAAATATAATAAATTATAAATACACATAAATAAACTGTGTTAGAAAGTGGTAAGGGGAAGATACAGTAGAGCAGGGAGGAGACAAGGAGTGCTGATGCAGCATCAGTGCAGGGAAGAGGCAGGATGAGTTGTTAAACAGTGGTGTCAAGGAAGGTCTTGCTGAGAAGGTGCTATGCATACAAAACTTTAAGGAGGTGAGGGAGTTAGCCATGTAGGTAACTGGGGAAACCCTTATTAAGCAGAAGGAACAGCCAAAGCAAACGCCCTAAGTGTGCTTGGTGGTTCCAAAGAGTAGCCAGGGCCGGGTGCAGTGGCTCACACCTGTAATCCCAGCACTTTGGGAGGCCAAGGTGGGCGGATCACAAGGTCAGGAGTTCAAGACCATCCTGGCCAACATGGTGAAACCCATCTCTACTAAAAATACAAAAATTAGCTGGGCATGGTAGCGCGCCCCTGTAGTCCCAGCTACTCGGGAGGCTGAGGCAGGAAAATCGCTTGAAACCGGGAGGCGGAGGTTGCAGTGAGCCGAGATCGCACCACTGCGCTCCACCCTAGTGATAGAGCAAGACTTTGTCTCAAAAACAACAACAACAACAAACAAACAACAACAACAACAACAACAACAAAAACAAAGAGCAGCCAGGAGGCCAGTATGGTTGAACAGTGAGCCAGGGAGAGAGTCCTCCCTACCCATAATGTTGCCCCAGTGATTCTTTCTTATACTTTGTTCTGTGTTTCCTTCCTTGCTCTTCTCATAATTTCCAAGTATTTAGTTTACTTGAGTGTTTGCTTATTTCTTGTTCTTTTCCTCCACTAGCCCTAAGTTCCTTAAAGTCAGAGAACATATTAGTTTTACTTGGTGTTGACCACAGAGCCTGGGACATAAAAAGCACTTAAAGTTGAATTAATGAATAAACCATCCATCCATCCATCCATCCATCCATCCATCCATCCATCTAGTCACAGTTATGATAGAATCTTCCCATCATGTAGATGGGAAATAGTAATTTCTCAGGGTAACTCTGGTTACCCTGAGAGTTCTAGTTCAGGACATTAGCAAGAGAGTTAAACTGCCTGGGTTCCAGTTCTGGTTCTACTGTTTACTGGTTGTGTGATCTCAGGCAAGTTAAGAAAAAAACCTCTCTGTGCATCAGTTTCCATATCTATCAACTGGCAAAATAGTAGTATCATTCTCTAAGGGAGGGTTGTAAGCAGTGTAAACAGCACCAGGGGTATAGTGCTTATGTATGTGTTTTCCCTATGCAGTCTAGCCATGAGCGTGAGGAATCCACTTCCTTCCTCCTGTACCAGATCCCAAAAGGGCAGAGAGAAGGGCAAGGGGTGCCACGGTGAGTGAGGCTACAGAAAATCCCTAATGCGTGCTGCCACATCTGTGCTGTGTGTTGGCAACTGGGGGTGGCCCTAGGGTCTTCACTGAAGTGGCATTCTGGGGATACTGTTCTTGATGTGTAGCCCCCAGCCTGATCCTCTGGCCTTTTTCTGCTAGACAATCTTTAGTGGAATCTTACTGCTTGCAGTTGAGAAAGTTGACTGATACAGATGTTAATACTGAATACCTATTTCTTTTTTTTCTTCTTGAGACGCAGTCTGGTTCTGTCGCCCAGGGTGGAGTGCAATGGCGCGATCTCAGCTCACTGCAATCTCCACCTCCCGAGTTCAAGTGATTCTCCCACCTCAGCCTCCCAAGTAGCTGGGATTATAGCACCTGCCATCATGCCCAGCTAATTTTTGTATTTTTAGTAGAGATGGGGTTTCACCGTCTTGGCCAGGCTTGTCTCCAACTCCTGACCTCAGGTGATCCGCCTGCCTCGGCCTCCCAAAGTGCTGAGATTGCAAGTGTGAGCCACCACGCGTGGCCCTGAATACCTATTCCTATGCCTGATACCTTACATTCATATTTTTATTTTTTTTTGAGATGAAGCTCCGCCTCCCGGGTTCACGCCATTCTCCTGGCTCAGCCTCCCGAGTAGCTGGGACTACAGGTGTGGCTAATTTTTTGTATTTTTAGTAGAAACGGGGTTTCACCATGTTAGCCAGGATGGTCTCGATCTCCTGACCTCGTGATCCGCCCACCTCGGCCTCCCAAAGAGTTGGGATTACAGGCGTGAGCCACTGCGCCTGGCCTACATTCATTATTTCATTAACTCTTTACACAGACCTGAGAGGCAGACATTAACCCCATTTTACAGATGAAAGAACCAGCTCAGAGAGGTGGAGTAACTTGATCAAGGTCATGTAGCCAATGACTGGCAGAGCCAGGGTTCAGGCCCAGGGTGATTCCTAAATTGCTCTCTCAATGTGATTAAAGGCCCCAGCAGGATTTTCTCCTCCAGCACTTGCTGTCGGTGATGACAGAGCACAGCTCAGCTCAGCCAGAAGGGAGGAAATCGTGTGAATCTCGTCCCTAAGCAAGAAAGAGAAATGGGTCGGGGCAGCCTGGGAGAGTTCTAGAACCTGGAGGGGAACTGACTGTGCCTAGCCTAGGTAAATGCTTCAAACATGAGGAGTCCTGTCCCTACTGCCCCTAAGACCAGAGACATTTTCTCTCTGAGGTCTGAGCCCAGCTATCGCTGAATGGCCTGATTCTCATGAAAATGTGGAGATAGAAAACATCTGGGGTGGCTGTGGTTGCCAGGCAACAACCAGCCATTCACTCTCTTGCCAGAATCAAGGAGGCTGTCTGATGCTGACAGAGATAGCTGCATCTGAGGCCTGGAGACCTAGATTTTGGTTCTGATTTGCTGTGTGGTCTGGGCAAGTCCCTGCCTTTCTCTGAGCCTTCATTTCCCATTTTTTATGTAAAGAGCAGTCAGACTTACAAGTGGCAATATGAGCAGGCATCAGATGGTCAGAATTAGAGTGATAGTGTGGCACAGGCAGAGGACCAGGGCAGGTCATGGGTGAGGGAAGACTCAGTTCTCCTTTCCATCCTGCCCTAGGCTATCCTGACTCTGGTTACTAGCTAGGGGCAAGGGACATTTCCTTTCCCACCCTGAGCTAATTCAGGCCACCCAGACTCCATCCCAGGCTCACCCTTGCAGCTCAGAGTCTAGGAATTGTCTTCATACCCACAAATTAGCACAGCCACCACCTACTTGGCCAACTTTTCCCCATGGGGAATTTCCTCAGTTCCTGCTGAAGTGAAGCTACCCAGCTTTGGGTGTTTCCCTGGACACCCATCAGAGGACCTTCTGACAGTTTGCAGAGATTGCATTGATGGTAAACCCTGAGGATGGTGTGTTTCGCAGCAATCAGCAGAGTTAACATTTTCTATTTCACATCCATTACAAAATATGACAGAAGCTGCCATTTGCTGGGCCTGGCACAGCCTCAAATGCTTTATGTCTGTAATCTCATTTAATCCTCATACAATCCAGGGGGATAGGAATGTAGGTCCTATTGTACAGATGAGGAAATGGAGCCTCAGAGAGGAGAAGTGATTTGCCCAAGGTCCCAGTAAATGGTGCAGGCAGGACTCCCACTCAGGGCCACAGTCTGGGGTTTAACCACTACAGGACACTGCTTCCTCACAGTCCCACCAGACAGCATCAGAGCTGGAAGGGCTCCACCTGCTCCCAACTTTACAGATGGACAAATCGAGGCCCAGAGGGAAGAAGTGACTGGCCCAAGGTCATGTAACAAGTCAATGCTAGAGCAGATTCTAGGACTGCTCTGCTAAAAGGCTCACCACACCATTCCAGAAAACAAAAAGTGCCTCAGGCAGAAGCAGTGGATATACCAGAAATCTCATTTTAAGAAATCCATAGCATTTCCTAGGAAGTCAAACAGTGCATGAGGTTCACAAGACAAGGATCTTGCAGAGGTTCTTGAGGTTAGGGCAGAGTCCCAGCATTCCTCTAGGCAGTAAGGGGCCTGTGGGTGTCACTCTTTTGGTCCTACAGATGAAGCTGCAACTCCAGCTACTGGCGGAGGTGATATGTATGTCCAGAATGTTCTCGACTGCCTTGCCTAGCTAATGCCTACCTGTCTTCAAGTGTTAGTTAGAAGTCACTTCCTCTGGGAAGGCCTCTGTGAACCCCTAAGCTTGCCCCACTGTAGATTCTCATGGCCCTAGCTCTTTTCCATAAGAGCACTGTCCTCGGTTTGCCCTGTGGACTCACATCAGAGGCACATTTAACTAACACCAGCTTTACAACTTATCCTCCAACCACCCAACTCCAAAGATGCCACCCCAGAATTTGGTATTATCCTCACAAAACCAAACTCACCTTTTAGCATGCGCTAAGCTGATAATGCTGAATATAGAAACAGATTGGAGTCACCCCTGCAGATACCAGGAGCACTCCTGAATTCTCTGCTCAATCTCAATGCATCCCTAGAGATGGGGTCATTTTCTTAAAGGCAGAGAGGCTTCAATGTCCAGGTATCTCAAGACAGCCTTTCCTTCAGTTACTTATTTTAGCATACAAAAGAATTTGAAGATGGAAGAGGGGACCACCAGCCAAGGAATGCAGCCCAAGAAGCTCGAAAAGTTATGAAAACCAATTCTCATTGAGCATACAAAATAATTGAGCATACAAAAGAATTATTGTGCAGTACAGGTAATTTAAGAGCTTTATTTTATTTTATTTTTTGAGACGGAGTCTCGCTCTGTTGCCCAGGCTGGAGTGCAATGGCACGATCTTGGCTCACTGCAACCTCTGCTTCCCAGGTTCAAGCAATTCTCCTGCCTCAGCCTCCCGAGTAGCTGGGATTACAGGCGCCCATCACCATGCCCAGCTAATTTTTATATTTTTAATAGAGACGGGGTTTCACCGTGTTGACCAGGCTGGTCTCAAACTCCTGACTTCAGGTGATCCGCCCACCTTGGCCTCCCAAAGTGCTGGGATTACAGGCATGAGCCACTGTGCCTGGCCTAGAATCTTTGTTTCTGTTTATTAATTGAGAAAAGGAAGTAACCATTTTAGTTAAACATGAACTTCAGAGTCAGAAAGATCTTGGTTCAACTTCTTCCCTGAGAAAACACCAAAGTGCAGATGACTGGTGCAGAGAGAGGACTCAGAGGCCCTTGGGGCCCTGGAATGGGAGGTCATAGTGGTTTCCACGGAGGCTTTGGCAGTGGCATTGGGGCCTGGATAGTGGTTGGGGTCAGGGCCTGGGCCATGGAGCTTGCAGAGGCAAGGATGAAGATGAGGAATGGATGCCTGTCACCAAGTTGGGCTACCTGGTCAAGGACATGAAGATCAAGTCCCTGGAGGAAATCTAGCCCTTCTCCTTGACCATCGAGGAGTCTGAGATCATTGACTTTTTCCTGGGGGCATCTCTCAAGGATGAGGTTTTGAAGACCACGCCCGTGCAAAAGCAGACCTGCGCTGACCAGCATACCAGGTTCAAGGTGTGTGTTGCCATTGGGGACTACAGTGGCCACGTTGGTCTGGGTGTTAAGTGCTCCGAGGAGGTAGCCACGGCCATCTGAGGGGACATCACCTGGTCAGGCTCTCCATTGTCCCTGTGCAGAGAAGCCACTGGGGGAATAAGATCAGTTAGCCCCCACACCATCTCTTGCAAGGTGACAGGCTGCTGTGGCTCTGTGCTGGTGTGCCTTATCCCTGCCCCACTGAGGCAATGGCATCACCTTGGCCCCTGTGCCCAAGATGCTGCTGATGGCTAGTACAGACCAGTGCTACACCTCAGCCAGGTGTATTGCGTCATAACAGAAAGAAAAAGTACTACCCCAGCAGAGAGCCCACAACCTAAGTACCCTGGAGCTGTAAGAGCTGAGAAATCAGCTGGACACGGTGGCTCACGCCTGTAATCCCAGCACTTTGGGAGGCCGAGGTGGGTGGATCACAAGGTCAGGAGTTTGAGACCAGCCTGGCCAACATAGTGAAACCCCGTCTCTACTAAAAATACAACAAATTAGCCGGGTGTGGTGGCACGCGCCTGTAGTCCCAGTTATCCGGGAGGCTGAGGCAGGAGAATCACTTGAACCCAGGAGGTGGAGGTTGCAGTGAGCCAAGATGGCGCCACTGCACTCCAGCCTGGGCAACAGAGACTCCATCTAAAAAAAAAAAAAAAAAAAAAAAGCTGATAAATCATGGGCATAGCATAACCCAAAGCTGCACTGCCACCTGGGCAACTTCGCCAAGGCCACCTTTGGTGCCATCTCCAAGAATTATAGCTATCTGACCCTCAACCTCTGGAGAGAGACCATATTCATCAAGTTTCCCTATCAGGAGTTCACTGACCATCTCATCAAGACCCAGACCAGAGTCTCTGTGCGGAGGACCCAGGCTCCAGCTATGTATACAATATAGAGTTTTGTTTTGTTTTTGTTTTTTGAGACAGGGTTGCCCAGGCTGGAGTGCAGTGGCATGGCCACAGCTCACTGCAGCCTTAACCTCCAGGGCTCAAGCAATCCTCCTGCCTTAGCCACTCCCTAACCCAGTAGCTGGGACTACAGGCATGCACCACCACCCCCAGCTAATTTTTTGTGTGTGTTTTTTGTAGAGACAGGGTTTTGCCATGTTGCCCAGGCTGGTCTGGGACTCGGGCTCAAGTGATCCGTATGCCTCGGCCTCCCAAAGTGCTAAGATTACAGGTGTGAGCCACTGCCCCGGTCAACGGAGTTTTTACACAAGAAAAAATAAAATGAATTAAGCCTGTTAAAAAAAAAAGATCTGGATTCAAAGATCTTGGTTCTGCCACTTACTAGTTATAAATAGTAATTTTAACTCTGAGAAGCCTCAGATGATGTTTTTGTTTGGTTTTGCTTTTTTAACTTGGAAAATGGGGATAACAGAACCTCCATTATAAGGTGGCAGTGACAAATAAATAAGATCATGCATATCAAAGTGTGGTCTCCAGACCAGCTGCATTAACATCACCTGTGAAGTAGCCCCACTTCTGACATACTGAATCAGAAACCCTGGGCATGGGGCCCAGCAATCTGTGTTACAACACACCCTCCAGGAATTCTGGTGTAGTTCAAGTTTGAAAACCACTGATATATATGTAATAAGCCTAGTACCCAATTGGCTTACTATTGACAGTTCTAGTATACTCCCTCTGAGATGTTGAGTTAGGTAGGTATCTTTTCCCCCTCATGTCCTACAAACACTGTATGTCTTAATATCTGGGTTGTCTGCTAATGCAATCTATCACCCACACAGCTGCCCTTTAATATAAGGTACTCTTCCCATCTTTCCTTGCATACTTGCAGTAATAGGTAGCTCACTATTTGGCTGGGTAGGGTAAACCGCCTGGTCAAGCCTGTTCATACAGGCATGCCAACTGCATATGCACTGTAAAGACCTTCCCCTAAAGGCCTCTTCTCCAAGGTCCCTCAGCTGTGCTTAGGTCTCTCTTTAGCTTCAGGGTAGCTCTCCTGTATGTCTGAGCCTCAGATAAGCTTGATCAGCCCTGAGGAGCAGGGGAGGTTTCCTTCTCAAATCTGGGACCATGTTTCTACTTGCTTGCCTGGTGTTTTGGCAGCCACTTCACCCTGCTGACTCACTCTGGTCTGAGGTCACGCAAAACCTCCAAGCCTTTTTCTCAGGAACTACAGGAACTTGCGTCGGCTGGGTCACTCCAGTCCTTGATGTGTGCAATTCATTTCTTAAAAATAACATTACTTTCAAATTATGAAAGACGTGCTTGATATAGTAAGTTAGGAAAACACAAAGGGAAAAAAACCTCACTGGTAATGGTCATCCTAAAATTGACATCTGATTTTCAAAAAAAGGATCCTATATTCTTGTATTCAAGAAAAAAAAAAAACCCACTTAAGCAATTTCCATTTCTGGGGTAAAGAAAAGAATCAGAGAAAATGAAACTAATGTACTGCAGGAATAATTGTGAATTCCAGCATATATGAACATCTCTTGTCTCATAATTCAAATGTACATCAATGCATAACAATGTAAACTCATCCCCCCCGAGACTACCATTGCTATTCTTTTGGATATAGCCTCCAGTCCTTTGCAGTTACCATCCTGTATTTTTTAACTTAACTCTAGGTCTAAATTTAGCACTGAATTTGGAGATAGACAAACCTGGTTCAAATTCTGGCTTTTGTACTTATGAGTTATACCACTTTGGAAATTCATTTAACCTCCTGAAGCCTCAATTTCCTCATCTGTAAAAGGGGGCTGATAATATCTGCTTTCCAGGTTTGTTGTAAAGATGGAAATTGAGGGCCAGGTGAGGTGGCTCACGCCTGTAATCCCAGCACTTTGGGAGGCTGAGGTGAGCAGATCAGCTGAGGTCAGGAGTTCGAGACCAGCCTGGCCAACATGGTGAAACCCCATCTCTACTAAAAATACAAAAATTAGCTGGGAGTGGTGGCGCATGCCTGTAATCCCAGCTACTCGGGAGGCTGAGGCAGGAGAATCACTTGAACTTGGGAGGCAGAGGATGCATTGAGTGGAGGTCGTGCCACTGCACTCTAGCCTGGGTGACAGAGTGAGAGTTCATCTCAAAAAAAAAAAAAAAAAAAAGGCCAGGCGTGGTGGCTCACGTCTGTAATCCCAGCACTCTGGGAGGCCAAGGTGGGCAGATCATGAGGTCAGGAGATTGAGACCATCCTGGCTAACACAGTGAAACCCCATCTCTATTAAAAATACAAAAAAATTAGCCGGGCGTGGTGGTGGGCGCCTATAGTCCCAGCTACTCGGGAGGCTGAGGCAGGAGAACGGCGTGAACCTGGGAGGCGGAGCTTGCAATGAGCGGAGATTGTGCCACTGCATTCCAGCCTGGACAACAGAGTGAGATTCCGTCTCAAAAAAAAAAAAAAAAAAAAGAAATTAATGAGAATAAAGCTTCTGGCACACAGTAAATGCCTTCGGAGTTTGTATTGGGCTTGTTACCGTTAACTCTTCATCTGGCCAACTACTGCTCCCTTCTTCCTCCAAGGCAGATGCTGTCCCCCTTTGTATCTTTCCCCACCTTGCTGCTCTCACACATCACATTCCCTCTCTGTCTTGCTGCTGTCCCATGTCTATCTTTGTGTTATAGCATCAGACACGACACAGTGCCCCTCTACCCTATAAGCTCCTCCAGGGCAGGGCCATGTCCACTTTATTCTTTTCTGTGTCCCCAGGGTCCAGCAGAAGGCATGACCCAGTGTGGCTGTCAGGTTAGAAGGGGTTGGATAAGAATTTGTGATGGAGGCCGGGTGTTGTGACTCATGCCTGTAATCCCAGCACTTTAGGAGGCTGAAGTGGGTGGATCACCTGAGGTCAGGTATTTGAGACCAGCCTGGCCAACATAGCGAAACCCTGTCTCTACTAAAAATACAAAAAAAAAAAAAAATTAATTAGCTGGGCATGGTGGTGCGTGTCAGTAATCCCAGCTACTCGGGAGGCTGAGGCAGGAGAATTGCTTGAACCCAGGAGGTGGAGGCTGCAGTGAGCCGAGATCATGCCACTGCACTCCAGCCTGGGCAACAGAGTGAGACTGCATCTCAAAAAACAAACAAACAAAAATAACATGTTGATGGAATGAATAAACTTAGAAGAGATTGAATGCATGAATGGACGAATGCATGAATGAGTCAGTAATAGCAGGTATCCACCAGCGGAATCCTCTTTCCCCTAGGGATAGAATCCTCCACCTCCCAGACTCCATCTCAAAAAACAAACAAAAAGAATGTGTTGATGGAATGAACAAACTTAGAAGAGACTGAATGCATGAATGAGTCAGTAGTAGCAGGTGTCATCCACCAGCAGAATCCTCTTTCTCCTAGGGAGAGAATCCTCCACCTCCCAAGGTGGGCCCTGCCACGTATGGGAGCAGGGCTCCTGCCTGGCACAGGCTGGGATGAGAGGCTCTGCCCCTCATAGCGAGAGTGTCGCTAGGGGCAGAGCCATCACGGGTCAGGGGTAAAGGGAGGGGGACACGGTGGGGCTGGAGTGGTGGGAGATTTGTAGCCCAGGTAGGGGGGTGCCCTTGCCTAACTTGGTGGGGCTAGAACCCGAGTACTGATGCAACCAAGCTGGTTTCCTACTGCAGCTGCACTCTGGCTCCCACAGTTTCTGTCACCCCATCACTGATGACTGAGGCGTGACCTACAGGAGGGCCTGGCCTACATAGCAGAGAAACAGAGGCCTTAGGGATAAGGGGCGGCAGCCTGGCTGGCTGGCCAATGAATCCAGGTCCAAGCTTAGCGGGTACTTCCTGCCGCCGGGTCCAGCGCCAGCCAGTTCACCTGCTGTGCAACCCTAGCTAAGACATGTCTCCTCCCCCCTGCCTCAGTTTCACCATCCTGGGGGACTCTTCCTGCTTTGGCATCATTAGAAGTCCTACCTCTCTCCCAGGCAATCTTCAAAAAATTTTCTGATAGCAGAACAAAAACCAAAACCTGATACTCGATACCTCTTTTGAGTCCACTAAGCAGCCCCTTAAGAGAAGCAGAGAGCTCAGAGTCAGGCTGAAAAGCTGTGTTACCCTAAGTTACTTCCCTCTCTTCAGTTTCCTTTCCTGTAAAATGGCCATTGATAATGACTATTTCCATCCCCACAGGATAGCTGTGAGGATTAAGTGAGCTGTTGGGTGTAAACTGCTTTGCAGGGGTTAGGAGCATTACTCTTACTCAGAGAGGCAGTAGCTTCAGGCCCAACCTTTCCTGAGGCCAGCCCCTGACACGCCCTCAGCTTGTGGCAGCAACAGAGATGGGAGGGCCTCCTGGGACATTCCTGAGCCTGGTGTGGCCACAGCTGAAGAAGCAAGTCTGCATATACTCTGTGGTGAGAGCCTGGCTGGTCTCAGGGCTTGCAGGGAAGGGAGTTTTTAGAGAAGGAAATGGTTGTGGTGAGACAGAATGATGGAGCAACTTCTTGGGGATCTGGGTGGAAAGCCCCCACTCCTGGTATGTTCTCATGGTGGGATGTGGAGCAGATAATGCAGCCCTGCACCAACCTCATTCACCATCAGAAAGTACCTGGTGTTCACCGACTGCTGGGCTAGAGCAGAAACAGGTTTTAACATGAAACCTCAGACCACTTGCCATTTCTGGGCCTCAGAACCTCCCTCCCCCCAAGCAATTACTAGGGTCATCTGGAGGCTGGTCCTGCCAGCCAAGCCTCTATTCCGCCACTCCAAGGGATGGGCCAGGAAAATAGCCTTTGGAGTTAGCTCCTGATTTGCTGGTGACATGGGATGTCCTTTCCCCTCTTTGGACCTCGGTACTGGGTGAGAGTGAAGTTGTATCTGGTTTGGCCGTGGCATGACCTTGAACCCAAGATACTGTGGCCATGCCAAGTATTTTGTAAAGTTTGGACTGTTGGACAGTGGAAAGGCCAAGTGCTGTGGAGGAATGAAGAAAACGCCCAGGACAGTTGAGGGCTTCGTCACTTTTCACTGAGCAGCTTGAAGGAGACCCAACCTTCTGTGTTTCCACTTCCTCATCAGCGGAATGGGGACATTTCTTTTTTTGTGGTTGTTATTTGTTTGAGACAAGGTCTCGCTCTGTCATCCAGGCTGGAGTACAGTGGCATGATCATGGCTCACTACAGCCTCCATCTCCTGGGCTCAAGCGAGCCTCCAACCTGTGCCTCCTGAGTAGCTGGGACCACACGCATGCGCCACCACGTCCAGCTAATTTTTGTTTTTGTAGAGATGGAGTTTCGCCCTATTGCCCAGACTGGTCTTGAACTCCTGGACTCAAGCGATCTGCCCACCTCAACCTCCCAAAGTGCTGGGATTACAGGCATGAGCCACTGTGCCTGGCTGGGACATTCCTCTTTAGGCCTCTCCTTCCTTCTCTGTAAAACAGGAGGCAGGTGAGCTTCCAGGGTCCTGGGCCCTGTGATTCTGCTTCTCAGCTGTGACCTTGGGCAAGTCAGTTCATCTTCACCTCTCCGCATCTTGGTTTCTCCATCTGTCCAATGGGTATTTTCCCCCTCCCCATTCTCAGAGTTGCTGAGCTCAAATGGGGTGATGAGCACTAAGGTGTTTTGAACAGGAAAAGTGAAAAGGGCTTCTGCAGGGCAGCTCCTTTGAAGCCCCAATCTCCTTGCCCTCACCTGTCCTCCCAAGAAGGTGTAAAGCCTTTTGTGGAGTTCCACCTAAAACAGAGGCCTCCGGTTAGCTCCTTCCTCAGACCCTGCTGGGTTATCTGACAGGCCCATAGCCTAACCTGGCTGGTGACTGGCTGCTTCTCTCTAGCTGGCACAGCCCTGGTGTCCAGGCTACGAGAGAAGAGGCCTGGGTCTCTGCCCAGTGGCTTCTGCAGCAAAGGGTTTTCTAGTCAGATAGAACAGGGTTTGAGCCCCAGCTCTGCCACATTTTAGCTGTGAGCTGTGATGGTTAGTTTTAGCCATTTTACAATTTGATGGTGTCAGTCCGACTGCACCATGGGATACCCAGATAACTTTGGACTTGGACTGGAACTAAACCACTCTCCTGGGTCTCCAGCTTGCCGACTCACTCTGCAGATCTTGGGACTTGCTGGCCTAGCGTGATATATATAGATCCTATTGGCTCTGTTTCCCTGACTGGTACAGAGGCCTTGGGCAATTTGCTGCTTCTTCTGAGTCTGTTTTGAAATCTGTAAAAAATGGAAATAATAATTCCTAGCACAAGGACCACTTTCCTGCTTTAGAATTCCCATTATTGGCTGGGTGCCGTGGCTCACGCCTGTAATCCCAGCCCTTTGGGAGGCCAAGGTGGGCGGATCACAAGGTCAGGAGTTCAAGACCAGCCTGACCAACAAGGTGAAACCCCGTCTCTACTAAAAATACAAAAATTAGCTGGGTGTGCTGGCACCTGCATGTAATCCCAGCTACTCAGGAGGCTGAGGCAGGAGAATTGCTTGAACCTGGGAGGCAGAGGTTGCAGTGAGCCGAGATCGGGTCACTGCACTTCAGTCTGGGCAACAGAGCAAGACATTGTCTTTACAAAAAAAAAAAAAAAAAAAAAAAAAGAATTCCCATTATTTACCGAAATGAACTCTAAATCTTCTTTGCAAGTATTTCTTTTCTTTTTTTTTTTTTTTTTTGAGACAGAGTCTCGCTCTGTCGCCCAGGCTGGAGTGCAGTGGTGCAATCTCGGCTCACTGCAAGCTCCGCCTCCCGGGTTCAGGCTATTCTCCCACCTCAGCCTCCCGAGTAGCTGGGACAACAGGCACCCGCCACCATGCCCAGCTAATTTTTTGTATTTTTAGTAGAGACGGGGTTTCACCATTCACAGGATGGTCTCAATCTCCTGACCTCGTGATCCACCCGCCTCGGCCTCCCAAAGTGCTGGGATTACAGGCGTGAGCCACTGTGCCTGGCCTTTTGCAAGTATTTCAAGGACATGCTCTGCTCTGTCCTGGCCCACCTTGCCAAAACTCATTTCATCCATCCCTGACTGGACACTCTCACTGGACACCATTCCCTTTCCAGCCTCCATGCCTTTGTACAAGCTGTTCCCTCCCTTGAAATATGCATATTCTCTTTAGTCTACCTGGTAAACTTACACGTCCTCAAGACCCATTTCCAATGTGTGCTCTTCTCAAGGCTTTCCCTGACTCCCCTAGGAGTTGTCTGTGCCCTCACAATGCCTGGCACATCCTTTGGCTATTGCATTATCCATGACACATTGGGGCTTGGGGTCTGTATGTCTCCTCCCTCCAAACTGTGACCCTTTGGAAGGCCTGGCTCCAAATCACTCATCTCCATATAAAACAACAGAGTGGTAGTTTCCCCTTCCTCGTGTTCTTTCAACATTTTTCAGTTTCTGGAGCACTTTTAAGATCCTTGATCTCACTTAAACTCATCACAACTCAGGGAAGGAGACAGAGCCAAGATTAAAGCCCCCAGTTCGTCCCACCTTCCTGGCCAGGGCTTTTTCAGAAAGGAGATGTCCAATGGGGAGTGGGGGTTGGTTCTTTGGTATCTAAGGTTTCCAGCTCAGCAGGAGTTAGGGAGGTTGGGGCCTGCAGGTTGGCAGAGGGTGCAAGGGCAGATGGAGGCCACAGGAAAGGGTCAGGTCTAGGGTAGGTAGGAAAGAGCTGGATCTGATTTCAGATGTATACCTCTGTGGGGCCTTAGGCAGCACTCATTTCTTCTTTTCCTTTTCTTCTCTCTTCCTCCTCTTTCTTCTTCCCTTCCTCCCTCCCTCCCTTCCTCCTTTCTTCTTCCTTCTACTCTTCATTTCTTCCTCCTCCTCCTCTTTTTTTTTTGAGATAGGGTCTTGCTCTGTCACCCAGGCTGGAGTGCAGTGGTGCGATCTTGGCTCACTGCAACCTCTGCCTCCCAGGTTCAAGTGATTCTCCTGCCTTAGCCTCTCAAGAAGCTGGGATTACAGGCATGCACCCCCACACTTGGCTAATTTTTGTATTTTTAGTAGAGATGGCATGTCACCATGTTGGCCAGGCTGGTCTCGAACTTTTGACCTCAAGTGATCCACCCACCTTGGCCTCCCAAAGTGCTGGGATTACAGGTGTGAGCTACCGCACCCGGCCTTCTTCTTTTTTATTTTTTTTGAGACGGGGTCTTGCTCTGTCACCCAGGCTGGAGTGCAGTGGCACAGTCTCAGCTCACTGCAACCTTGACCTCCGGGGCTCAAGCAATCCTCCCACCTCAGCCTCTCAAGTAGCTAGGATTACAGGCATATGCCACCATACCTGGCTGATTTTTTACTTTTTTGTAGAGATAAGGTCCCACTATGCTGCCCAGGCTGGTCTTGATCTCTTGGGCTCAAGCAATCCTCCCGCCTTGGCCTCTCAAAGTGCTGAGATTACAAGCGTGAGCCACCGTGCCCAGCCTGCAATTTTCAATTCTCAATCTTCCATCTCTTGAATCGTTTTTAGCTCCATAAAAGGTAGCTCTGAGGGTCAAAGTGGAATGTATAAGATAATCCAAGTGTGGGTGCTCTGGGAATGAAAGGGACTGAAGAAACTATAGACATGGCAAATACATGCCCCTAAATGTATTCAAACACTTCAACTGCTCCCAGCTTGCTGACAAGTGATCTGTTATTGTTAGAACCCCCTCCCCCAGGTACTCTAAAAACTCATCACCAGAACCCAAGTCTTTTCCTTAAGGGCCTAGAGGCCCTCCCAGTACCACGAAAGCTCTTGAATGGGATCAAGGCCTTCTTAGGGCCCAAAGATAACCCCTCCCACTTCAGGGCTTGAGGGCACAGTGTTCAAGAGCTTGGAGCTTCCTATAGCTTACAAGTCTCTGATGGTGGCACTCACATCCCTTAGAGAGATTACAGGGGCCTGCACTGCTTGCCCAGCATGGGGCTCATGCTCCATTTCATCCAAAAGCAGTTCTGTTTGCAATCTCAAGGGCAGAAATACCATAATTTGCTCTGAATGTCTGCTCTGAGCTCTGGGGACCCTCAGGCTCAGAACAGGGTTGCTCCCAAGTCAAACATATCTCTCAGGTCACTATGGTATTCCTCCAGGAAGTTGTTTCCCAGGAAAGTCCCTGGGAAACAACTGGGAACGTGTGTCTGTCATTCAGGGGTAGCCTGGCTCAGGGCAAAGCTGGGAAAGACAGCAACAATTTTCCTCCATGATCTCACCAGGTTATCCTGGAGCCCAGAGATGTGTGTTCTCATCCTAGTTCTGACCTTGTTGTGATCACGGATGAATCACTTAGACTTCCCAGGTCTGTATGCCTCTGAATAGGGAGAGTGGGCCCTATCTCACAGAGGATCCAGCAATATTAAAGATATGAAAATTCTTTGCTGTTGACATTTGAATAATGGGAGAAAAATACCAGTGGGAGGGAACTGCAAATTAGTGGGCCTTGAGTCAGACAGATCAGAGTTTTGGCTCCAGACCTCCCTTACTGGCCAGATGACCTGAAACAAGTCATCTCGTACTTGGTAACACTCTTCCTGTGCTGCTTCAGGAAGCTGGTTCTCTAGAACCTCATGTTCAAACTGCAACTCAGGGATGCCTTCCCTGTCTGTGCAGGGAGGTCAGCTGATTGGTATGATCACATCTTTAGCATCTGTCTTCCCAGCCAGACTGAGGGCTCCCAGCAAGAATTTTGTCTGGCCTGTTCTCCAGAGGCCAACATGGGGCCTGGCCCATAGGTGCTCCCTGTTTCTGTATCACCTACAAGTTCTTTCAGTCTTGGCTGCCTCACTAGGCTGCTGGAGAAACCCAGAAGGTAGACGATGAGACCCACAAGTATGAGGCATTTGGAATGCATGGGCTACCCTGTGAAGAACTTTACCGGAGGTTGAAAGGGGGCAGAGTGCCCTGAACAGGAAGGCACAGGGTGGCCTTTGGCCTCCAGGGAAGGGAAGGAAGTATGAGACACAGGAAGAAATGCAAGCAGCAGGAGGAAGAGCGTTACCAAGCTGGGACTCCAGAGGCTCGAGGCCCTCTCCAGTGCCTGTGAAGCCTGTATGCGGGCTCTGCTCCTTGTAGCCTTGGAGACTTGAGCTGTGGCTCAGGAACTTGGCACTCAGTCCAGTCCCTGCTGCCTCCCACCTGCCCTGTAGCCCCATCTCCTTGCACTCACATTCCTTCCCACCATCTGCCACATGGAGCTCACCCTTTTCTCAACACCTGGTCTTTTCTGTCTCCCGACCACTGTGGAGGTTGTTCCCTCAATAGGAATGCACATCCCCTTCTCTACCTGGAAGATGTAGTAGCTCCACGTCCTTCCTATAGGGAAGCCATCCAGGACACTGCAGGCAGTCAGTTGCTCTCTCCATGGAGCCCTGCAGCTCCTTGGGCATCCTTCTCGCTATGCAGTGCAGTACTTCCTTCTCTCTATGCAGTGCAGCACTTATCACACTAGGTTGATGGCTGGTTTTCCTGTCTGTCTCGCTCCACACCCCCCCTCCACCCCCATCACCCCCTGACAACCAACTGGGAGCTATTTGAAGGCAGGGATCAGCTCAGCTCCTCTCTGTGGCCCCAGTGCCCAGCAGCGCTTGGTACCAAGGAGAGATCCTAAATAACCTGGGGCCTGGGTTCCATGCAGGAGGGACTACTTTGTGGTATCCCAAATGTCCAGCCTGTCACAGATGATATTATGGAGGAAGGTCACGGACAGGAGCAATCTTATTCAACTGCCTTCCAGGAAACTGAGGCCAATGGAGGGGTAGGGATTTGCCCAAGCTCCCGCAGCACATCAGCCACCGAGTTGGGCCTGGAACTCAGGGGTCCTGGTGCTTGGTCCCCAGCTCTAGCTGTAGCAGCTTTGAACAGTGTCCAGGCATTGAGCCAGGGTGTCTGGAGACCCCAGGGGCCCAGCCCATGCAGCTGATCACTCCACTCTGGCTCAGCCCCTCTGGCCCGGCTCTCAGCCAAAGGCAGCACGAGGCTCTGGCTGCCCCTGCCAAAGGTCAGGCCTTCAGCAATTTGGGAAGGTGGCCAGGCCACTTCCCTCAGACACAGCAAGACCTGGAGCAGTGTCTCTATTGGACTGTGGGCTCTGAGGCTGGTCCCCCAGGTGGACAGTGTCCTTCTTGCCAACTTGATTAGAACCTGGTTAAACCTGAGGTAATAATCTGAAGCCCACAGAGCAAAGCACAGTATGGAATATGAGTTCAACAAATGTTCATTAGCGTATCATTATTACTGTGACGACGATGAGATCCTACCCAGCACAGTAACTAAAAGCACAGGCCCTGAAGTGTGCCAGCCAGAGTGCAGTCAGGCCCGCCATTTACCAAGTTATGCAACTTATTTAATTTTTTTATGCCTCAGTTTTTGAACCTTAAAATGAGAATAATAGTATCTGTCTCATAGGGCCCTAGGAGAATTAAATCATTTAAAATGCATAAGGTGGCCCGGCGCGGTGGCTCATGCCTGTAATCCCAGCACTTTGGCAGACTGCTTGAGGCCAGGAGTTCGAGACCAGCCTGGCCAACATGGCAAAACCCCATCTTTACTAAAAATATAAAAATTAGGCCGGGCGCGGTGGCTCACGCCTGTAATCCCAGCACTTTGGGAGGCCGAGGCGGGCGGATCACGAGGTCAGGAGATCGAGACCATCCCGGCTAAAACGGTGAAACCCCGTCTCTACTAAAAATACAAAAAATTAGCCGGGCGTAGTGGCGGGCGCCTGTAGTCCCAGCTACTTGGGAGGCTGAGGCAGGAGAATGGCGTGAACCCGGGAGGCGGAGCTTGCAGTGAGCCGAGATCCCGCCACTGCACTCCAGCCTGGGCGACAGAGCGAGACTCCGTCTCAAAAAAAAAAAAAAAAAAAAAAAAAATTAGCTGGGCATGGTGGTGTGCGCCTGTAGTCTCAGCTACACGGGAGGCTGAGGCATGAGAATCGCTTGAACTCAGGAGGCGCAGGTTGCAGTGAGTGGAGATCACGCCACTGCACTCCAGCCTGGGCAACAGTGAGGCTCTATCTCAAAAAAATAAAATAAAATAAATGTATAAGGTAATGAGAATGGGGCCTACAGAGAGTAATCAGACTAAGTGTTAACTGTTGTTAATACTATTAAGTGGCCAAAAGCCTTGGGCTAACAGAACACCCCTGGCCTCCGACCTGGCCTCTCTCTCCTGCTCCACATTAAAACAAAACTGACCACATCATCCCTTCCCTGCTTGAAAAGCTTCAATAACTGGCTCTAAAATGTGTCCAAACCCTTCACATGAGAGTAAGGTCTGCTCTTCCTTGTCCTCTGCCTGCTTCCCTAGCTGCTTCTTCCAGCCTGCTTCCATTCTTCCCATGTTCCTTCAGCCATACGCATACTCACTGACCCTGGAACCTGCTGTGCTTTTTCATGCTTCCATGCCTCGTACAAGCTCTAGTGTCTGTCTTTCACCACCCAGCAGATTCCTGCTCAATTTCCCGTGTGCCCAAAGTAGTTGATCTCTCCTGTGTCCCCTTCATGTTCCAGATATCCTTTCATCCCAGCACACATCACCCAGTATTACAATGGACTGTTTACATGTGAGTTTCTCTCTGGACTGTGACTGCTTCCAGGGTTGGATTGTACCCTTTGCTTCCTGAATCCTTTTTGCCTGACTTGACGCCAGCAGGCCTGTGGCAGAAGCTCAATGTTTGTGGAAGAAGTGAGACTCCCAACTACCTATCCCTGCATCAGAGATGCAGCTCTGATCAGTTGGTGCTAGGTGTGGCAGGGTAGAGATTGAGACCTACTCTTTGTCTTTGAAGGAGCCCCAGTCCCCTGGAGAAGATGAGTCCATGTATTTACAAATAAAAGGGTGCTGAGGCTGCGTGAGTGGAGTGTGGGTCAATCACATTTCCAGGAAACAAATTAGAGGTTGCCAGGTGGGTGTGGAGAAGAAGAAGACATAGGAGGAGAAACAGGGAGGTAATGATTTCATGGAACTCTAGGTGGTTGTTTTGCGTGAGCATAAAATTAAGAGAAAGATGAAGCCAAACAGGCCTTGTGTGGCAAGATGATGAGCCTAGACTTTAGCATGCATTCAAAACTCTTCCCCGGCCCCTAATTCTAGGAACTCTCAGCCCAGGGAGGGGTTTCTAGGGCATTTCTTATGTTTCCTACAGCAGCAATGCAAGCTGAGGTATGAACCTAGAAGGGAAAGGCAGCCCAATTTATAAAACATTTACTTTGACACAGCTTATCTGATTCTCACAAAACTCTGCCCCAAGTGGCTGCCTGGCAAACTCTTACTAACCATTCAAGGTGTGGCTCAGATGTCCCCTACTTTGAGGCCTTCCCAGATCCACTTAAGCTAAGTTGATCGCTCCCTGATCTATGTTTTCCACTGCTCTCCATAAGTCTCTCTGATTTTATATCCATCTCCTCTGCTAGACTGGGAGGTCCTTGGGGGCAGGCACTGTCTCATTCATCTTTGTTTCTTGGTCTCCCAGGCCCAGCAAAGATAAGGCAAGAGTAAATCTGTTCAATCAATAAATGTGGTATTACTGTGTCTATTTTGCAAATAGGGAAACTGAGGCTCAAAGACTGTGAATGATACATTCAAGGCCACCTAGTAAGGAGCAGAACCAGCACCTAGGCCTTGTCTGAAGAATCCATCTGGTGAGCAGGAAAGGCACAAGGTTTCACATGGTTAAGGTCAAAGTTTGGCAAACTTTCAAAGGAATTGTGCTTTGGTTCTGATCCCCGCTGCCCCAAAAACAGCACAGCTGAGGGAAGAACTTCACATTCTGCACTACCTCTGTGATGACCTGAGGTCAGGCCACTTACTTCACACTAATGCAAACTTCCCAGGTGACCACTGTCTACTTTACTCACCAGCGTCATAGCTCCAGGCACAAGCTTCTCAGCCAGACAAGCTGGGTCCAAGTCTCAACCTCAACACTTACTGTGTGACCCCTGGGTTTCAGTTTCTCAACTGTAAAATGGGGATAATGATGATACCAAACTTGCAGGTCATTGTAAGGGTTAACTGAGATAATGCATACAGAGAATTTTTTTTTTTTTTTTGAGATGGAGTTTTGCTTTATCACCCAGGCTGCAGTGCAGAGGCACAATCTCGGCTCACCGCAACCTCTGCCTCCCGGGTTCAGGCAATGCCCCCACCTCAGTCTCCTGAGTAGCTGGGACTAAAGGAGTGCACCACCATGCCTGACTAATTTTTGTATTTTTGTAGAGACGGGGTTTCTCCATGTTGGCCAATCTTGTCTCGAACTCCTGACCTCAGGTGATCCACCTGTCTCAGCCTCCCAAAGTGTTGGGATTACAGGCGTGAGCCACCACGCCCGGCATACAGAGGGTTTAGTATGATGTCTGGCACAGCACATGGGCAATGTTCCTTCCTTTCCACCTCCCTACCCCATTGCCCAAATCTTTTATCTCTTCAGGGTTTGGCTCCAGTCTCTCATTCTCCTCCATGAAGCCTCCCTGCTCTGACTGATGCAACCTTCACTCATTGCCCTCTAACTCCTGCAGCCCTTGTTTATGCCACACAATTCAGGGTATTCAATTGAGCTGGATTCCTATTGGTTACATCCTCAGGATCCGGACTGCTTTCCCCTTCCCCAAAGTCTCAGTTCCCATCAGGAATCCATGTAGTTTCAGGGAAGCTGATTCTACTCTCTCCCTCCCCTATCTCCCCAGTTCTAAGGGTGAGGTACATGATCTAGGCTAAGCCAGTAAACAACCCTTGCCACTAATTGCTGATTCAGAGGTGGGCATGTAATCTTATTCAGTTCACAGTGACTCTCAGGACTTTTGCTGGGAATTCTGTGATACAGGGTCTCTGTATTTTCTCTTGTTCTGGATGTTGCGGAGTACAGATGTCACGTCTGGAACTGCTGCAGTCATTTTGCTACCATGAGAGAGACAAGCCTGATGATACCAAGGGGGCAGTCAGAGACTGGCACATAAGTGAAGTCCTGACCACACCATGCCTGACTGCTGGGCTCCACTAGACTTTTCAGTTGCATGAGTCAACAAATGTCCTTTATTGAGCCAGTTTTCTGTTATTTACAACTCAAAGCATTCTGATTTAAACATCTAGTTAAATGATTTTGTTTAGGTCACCAAGAAATGTATTTATTCACTTGTATGTTGACTAGGTCCCTGCTACATACAAGCACTGTGCTGGATGCTAGGATTTAATGATGAATAGCATTAATGTGGTACTATTCTCATCAGGGAGCCCAAGCATGACATATAGTATGGCAAAAGGAATTAGAGATTAAAATGCCTGTGTTTAGGGGATGGCTCTGATGTTGTATTTAACTTCCTCAGTATCCATCTTACCTCCTTTGGATAGCAGAACCCTGACTTTTCTTTGGGAAGCCATCTAAAGGCCTGGTCAGTGGACCCAAGCCTGGCCAAGAGGCATATTCCATGCTCCTGGCCACAGCAACTAATTCAGCGATGGGCATAAAAGTCAGCCCTGAGACTGCAAACTTTAAAAACAGGTCCTGTCCTGCTGGGGTCACTAAACTGGGGAAACATAAGCCTGGGTTTCCTTAAGCTGAAAAAGAGTGCTAAGACTAGTTTATCTCCGAGAGTTGGTAGCAATAAACTTCTCTGACTTCACCCATTATTCAACTAGATATTATCAGTGCCTCCTCTGTGCCGGGCCCTGGGCTGCATGATAGGGAAAGAGGGATGAGGCAGACTTATTCATTTGCCGTCTTTAGCTGAGTGTTGAAAAGACTCAGCTAAACATACACAGTATAGCCATACAAGGGGTAATCAGAGGGCACCAACTCAGCCTGAATTGTTAGTTTTGTGTTTTAAAATTATGTGACATGTTAAACATAGAAAAATTAGAAGACATACTAAGAACTTTAAAACAAAAATCTCCCTTAATTCAACCACTCAGCTATGATCATTGTTAACATTTTCATCTATATGCACCCGGATGCTTTTCTATGTACATACACTTTTAAATAAAAAAAAAAAAAATGCAATGTGGTATAAAGGGTTGGAGCCTGGATAGAAAAGACATTAGTAGAAAAACTACTGAAAACCAAATATAGTCAGTCTAGTAATATACCAATGTTAATCTCTTAGTTTTGACAAATGTACCATACTTAAGTAAAATGTTAACATTAGAGGAAACTAGGTGAAGTATATACAGAAACTCTCTATACTATTTTTAGAACCTTTCTGTAAACTTAAAATTACTCCAAAATAAAAAGTTTCCTTTTAAAAATAGATCCATTCTTTACCCAGACATGGTGGCGCACAAGACCAGCCTGGGCAACATATGGAGATCCTGTCTCTAGGAGGAAAAAAAAAAAAAAAAAAAAGCATATTCCATTCTGTATTGTTTTAAAACCTTTGTTTATTCACTTAATAAATTTACCATAAAATCTTTGTCTTAAAATGACTTATTTCGTGATCACATACTATTCCATCCCATGAATCAATCAGCCAATCTCCCCTTTTGTTGGAAATTTAGGTTGTTTCCAATTCTAACCCTGTTATAAAGAATGCTTTCTGCACATACTTAGTCATTTCCTTGGGGGACATGTACAAACTGGAATTGCTGAGCCAGAGCTGCTAGCTTGGAAACACTTACTGAGCACTATGGGAGTCACTGTTCTAAAACACCTGACAGACATGAACTCATCCTGTCAACAGCACAAAGAGAGAGGTACTGTTCTCATTCCCTTACCACAGGACAATTTTCAAAGGTTTCCAAAACATGAGCCAACATATTCTCACTAAAGACTCTCACGGCCCACTCCAGCACCTCACTGGTGTCACGTGCACACAGATCTACCCCACCATGTTCTTTTGTGCTCCCTCCTATTTTGGCCTCAAGATAGGAGCAGGTACAGCCAGGCCAAGGTGTGGTTTCAGCAGTTGAAGATGCTCCCCTCATCTTCAACTATAGAATGTCCTACTCTCAGTAAGCTTTGGGGGTGCCAAGACCATTGCTATCTGGTTGGCTGCCATGTCAGGACCACAATGTCTCCTGCCAGCCTGGAGTAGAATCAGCATCCCTGGGGAAGATAACACTGATTCCCATCTCCACTCAGGGGCACATCTGGCAGCTCAGGAAACACTCCAGTGAAAAGCAACCTGTTCGGGTTTGGTACTGAATTCCAAGGGGGATGAGGTGGCACTGAGGAATAGGAATGGGTAAAGATACCTATCCTGAAATAGCTGGTAGCCATGGTAAGGTCCTTTTTTCCTCAGCAAATGGCCCTGGGAAAGGACATAGAAAGGATCATTTATTGGGCAGCTGCTATTTCTCAATTCATATGAACTTCACCACTCTTCTAGATGAGTGCTATGACCCTCATTTTACAGATGAGTTCATTGAGGCTTACAGGTTAAGTGTCTCCCTCAAGGCACACAGTAAGCTACTGTCAGGGCCAAGATCTAAGCACAGACCATCTTTGTCATCCTCAGAACTCATGCCCATACCACTAGACACATGACTGGAAAAGAGAGCTGACAATAAAACTGAAGGACTTCCCCCACTTCAGCCCCACAGCAAAGTATCGCCTGATTCATGGTCAAAGCACAGACTGTGGTGTGTTTAGGGGAGAGAGGAAGAGTGGCACATGGGCTGAGCTTAAAGCGGTCCATCAAATCTCTATGTACGTATCCTTGTCTTTTGCTCTTCTGCATTCTTGACATTATTCATGAGCTGAAAAACTTCCCTTCTACGGTCACTGTGCTTTGTTTGAAAAACTTATCTCTAATCAGATACAGATTTCCCAAGAACTCTGGTAGGGGTTCTCTAGGTCAGCAGTCTCCAAGATTTTTGGCACCAGGGACTAGTTTCGTGGAAGACAATTTTTCCACAGACCAGGATGAAACTGTTCCACCTCAGATAATCAGGCATTAATTAGATTCTCACAAGGAGCGGGCAACCTACATTACTCGCATGCATAGTTCACAATAGGGTTTGTGCTCCTATGAGAATCTAATGCTACTGCTGATCTGACAGGAGGTGGAGCTTAGGCGGTAATGCTCACTTGCCTGTCGCTCACCTCCTGCTGGTGGTAGTCATGGCCTGGGGGTTGGGGACCCCTGCTTGAGGTTAAAGCAGCCCAGAGCACCAGTGGCCGCTGTACCCTCCCTTGTGCTGTGCCCTCAGCTGGAATGCTGCCACCCTCTGCATGGAGTCACCCAGATCCCACTTCCTTCACAAAGCTACCTTCTTCTCTGCAGTCTGACCTCCTGTACTGCATAATTAGCCCTTCCTTTACACTCTGCTTCTCTTCCAAAATAGACTCAAGGCAGTTTACAACACACATGAGCACAAAAATGCTAAACACAGAACTAAAATTGGGCTGGCGTTGAAATTTTATTAAGAAACCATGGCTGAGGAATGATTAACAACTGAACACAAGACGTAGTTTTGAGTTTCCTCACAGCCAGGGCAAGAAGGAAGACAGTAGAAAGTGAAGCATTTCTTTCTTTCTTTTTTTTTTCTTGAGACGGAGCCTTACCCTGTTGCCCAGGCTGGAGTGCAATGGCGCGATCTCGGCTCACTGCAACCTCCGCCTCCCGGGTTCAAGCAATTCTCCTGCCTCGAACTCCCAAATAGTTGCGATTACAGGTGGGCGCCACCATGCCCAGCTGATTTTTTTGTATCTTTAGTAGAGACGGGGTTTCACCACGTTGGCCAGGCTGGTCTCAAACTCCTGACCTTGTGATCCGCATGCCCCGGCCTCCCAAAGTGCTGAGATTACAGGCATGAGCCACCGTGCTCGGCCAAAAATGAAGCATTTCTTATTTAGTAGAAGAAAGAAGACCAGCTAAACAGGAAGCATAATGAACTCCTAGCTAAGCTCAGAGGAATTTGTCTGCAAAACCCTTACAGAACACCACACAATCAAATTATTTGCTCCATAGCAACTTTACCCCCAAAGTGCAGATCTGTTTGGCTTATTGGCTTGAGGGCTACCTGCACAGGATCTAGGCCCATGTTGTCTTGCCCTCTGATGCTCTGTCTTTCCATTTCCACCTGTTTTCTGCTGGGGGCACCTCAATCTGGACTGGGCACCTGGAAGGGGCCCTCTGTGAGAGCAGCTCATCATCACACTGCCATGGATGACTCTAAACCCAAAGCTGCTGCATTCCCAAAACATCAGAAGCACACTGCTCCCCCTGGAGTTATGAATAATGCAACACCATCAGCTACACAGAGCTGCAATCTGAGACGGCTGCCTGTGACTCAACAGCCTACATACACACCCTCTCCTGGCCACCTTATCCAGAACCAGGAGATAATCGTGGAGGACAAGAGATGGGAACCGGCTCCTTCCCCCAACATAACTCACCCCTCCAGCCTTTCTGGAATACGGGTGATTCCAGGAGCTATGCAAATCCAGCACATTGGAACTTTAGTACCAACAATAAGGAAACAACGGAGGATGGCAAAATAGAAAAAGGTCTTACCTGTGGCAGGTCCTTCACTGTAACAGAGCAAACCTACTTGAGTTTCTCCTTTTGTTTGGATCCATGGCTCATAGCCTTTTCTGTATCATGAGTGCCTTTGAGATCATTTCATCTCTCCCCAGCAAAGTGTCAAAGCAATTGGCACAGTGTTAAGAGGCTGGGGTGTGGAGCCAGACTTGGACTCAGGCTCTGGTTCTGCCATTATCAGATGTCTGAATCTCAAAGTCTACAGACATACCATAGAGATAATAGCAATACTTACCTCCACAGGGTTATCGAGGAGAATAAATGAGATAATGCATGCAGAACCTCTCACACAGCTAAGAATTTAATATGTTAGACTATTATTAATTATGAAAACACATAAAGAATTCTGCATATAATTTCAGAGGTCTATGATTTCTAGGGGATCCTTAGCCTGGTTCCGGATGGTCAGTAAGACAACTTTCTTCAATGCCTACATTTTCCCTCTGAATTCCATCTGTGTTTACTAAGCATCTGCTGTGTCCTGGGCAGTCCAACCCACATGAGTATCTTGGTCACTAGTGTCATCAGCACCTTTGAGGGGTAGGGATCATTCCTATTCTACTGATGAGGTGAGATAACTTGTCCAAGGTCGCATGGTGAAGTCGCTGTTGAAATCTGTCTTCTGACTCGTTGCTCTGTCTTCATCTGAGGAAAGACTTGTGAGGCTTCTGAGGAGGCTGCTCTCCATCCTGCTGTGTTCTGTCAGTGACACTTTGTGCACACAGGAGATCCTAAGACACATACCCTAGGCCCTCAGAGCCGGCAGTGACTTCTTCAAAATCAGTTCCGGCAGCGCTGAGTGTCCATGGAAAAGAGCTCTTATTCAGAGCAGCCCTTCCTGTGTGCAGAGCTACGCAAGTAATTAAATCACTTCAGCAACAAGATCAAGGGGACGGATAAGTGTTAGAGACTGTGTTTCAGTCCTGACTGCCTCTTATGCATGACCTCAGGAATGCCACTTCACCTCTCTGAGTCTGGTTTCCTCACCTATAAAAGTGAAGGACAGTTCTGACTCCACAGGGTGCTGTGTGAGGGTTACGTGAAGTCGAGGGTTACATGAAGCCTTTGCATAATACCTGGCACAACGTCAGTCTTCCGGGAGTGGTAGGACTAGTCTGCATTCTTGGTTTGCAGATTAGATGAGGAAACCCAGGCCCAAAGAAGCAAACAAACAATAGCTCACCCAGTCTTCTCTGTTTATTCTTCTCAACTACACCATGCTGCTTTGCAGGTTGGTTTGACAAACATTTCCCCACAATTAGATGCATGATGACCAAGGGAGGAAAGAAAATTTTCACAGGGTATTTAAAAAGCTCAGGGAACAAACAGATCAGTGCAAATCAGTAAGGCTAACACCTGAAAATGACTCTGCACAGGTGAGGAAGTGGAGCAGAAGAGGGAGGGGCTGGTTCAGGGAACAGGATTTAATATGTCAGTGAAGACCCTGCCTCTCTCTGTAACAAGATGCCTAAAGAAGAATAGTGGTGCTTCCAGCCCAGCTCCCTCTTGTTTTGGGAACAACAGTCATTTCTCAGAAACCTCACTTGCAAAGGCAGCCCTTCCAAAAACATGAGAGCTTTAGTTTGGAGAAATTATTTAAGCTCACTTTTGCTGGAGAGGAAATGAATTTAAACTAGGACACACAGAGAAGCAACAAAGAGTGTTAAAGAAGCAACTGAAAAGGTAGTCAAAGATCTGGCTTAAGGATTAGAAGCACTGGCTTTCTAGACTATGGACAAGTGTCCATTCAACAGTTATCCAGCCTGGCAGGAAGCAGATATCTTTCTGTGTATATCTGGATCCAACTAACATTTATCCAATGTCTGTTGCATGCCAGGTACTGAGCAAAAACCTTCTTCCTATAAATTTCATTTAATGCCATTAAGGCCAAGAAGGTGGCATAACCAACTTCCTTTTTCAGCTGAGGAAACAGGAGCACAGTGAATAACTAACTGGCTGGGATTTGTCCTAGGTCCCCTGAACTCCAAGCACAGTGCTATCTCCACTAGACCAAGCTGCCTTGTCTCTGGGCTCAAGAGAAGCCTGCATAGGAGCTGAAGGTCAAGAGGTTGCAGGCTTATCTCATATGCACATACTTGGACCTCCCTACCACACAGCTGCCAGCGACAAGAAAGGGCTTCTTTTCCTTCCAGCCAGGTCCAGAATTCAATGTCATTTTTCTAGCTTAGATTATCTAAAAAAAATGCCACAACAGGGGATACAAATTTTAACATATTTTATTGATTTAGGGGCCAAACAAGGCAGCATTTGGTCAGTTAAGAAAGGCACCTCATTGAAAATAATACATCACAGTGCTGTTGAGTGATCCCAGTCACAGGATTTGAGAATGGAAAGGACAATCTTTGGATGACATAGCTTAGGACACTTGCTCATTTATTTAAAAGAGTCCCTTCACACAGTGCAGATAAAAGAAGGCAAGAGCATAGGATTGTGGCATGTGCTGGGTAGCTGTGAGAGGTTACTCATGAAAGTAGGTAGCCTAGTAAATTAGTGGTAAGTCAGGGGAAGGGAATCAGCCTCCCTTTCCATTTCATTCCCTTCCCCCTCCCCTTGATTCCAGTTTGCTTGATTTGTTGAGCCACCATCCCTATGAATACACCTTACATCTCTTTCAAATGTGGAGATGGTTTTTTGATCTTACAGTGTGTGGAACCGGAGTCAGTAATCAAAGCTCCCTGTTCCAAGCTATAGACAGACAGGACAACAATTTGATTTCCTGTACTCTTGGTCTGGAACCCATGGGGTTCTGAGATAAAAGCTGAGGTCTTAGAGCACTGGCTTTAAAAAATATTTTCACCAGTCCAGAGTAAATGAAAACCCGATTCCTTAGAAATAATATTGTGTCTATTTCTACCCCCACCCTCCAAGCATGGTGTTTTTTAAAAAATTAATTTTTCCCTTACACTTTAAAAACTCTCACCTATGTATAAAAGAAACTGCCACACTACAATAACACTGCTGTTGTTCCAAGTATTCCTCTGAGCCCCTCACCAGCCCTCCCTCACCATCCTCACCCTGACCACCCTTCCCCTCTGCCCAGCACCTAAGAGCAGGGATCACGCCGCGGGGTGATGAGCAGTGTTGCAGTCTCGCCTGGCCTTCTGATACTAGGCTGAAATAGAGAGGAAACAAGAGAGAACAAAATGGGTTTTTAAAAACCAAGTACATATCAGAGGAGGCTGGCATGTAAGCCCCAGCAACCAAATGCATTAAACACTGGACATTTCTGTGACAGGTAAAAGCAGAACCTGCTGAGGCTGAGGAACTCTGGAATTAAATGAAGCAAAAACAGAATCCTAACCATACTGAGAAGGGTATATGCATTCCCTATGAATCTTCCAGTTCTTATGGGCAGCCCAAATATTACTTGTACATGTTGTATGCACACGTGAATCTATGTGGACGGATGACAAATATTTGGGCAAGGATCATGCACATAAAATTAGCAAACATTCAAGAACCTCAACTTTGAGGCCAAGTGCTTACAATTGTCCCTAGTTAAAGGGGAGCTGATTCTAAGATTCATGATGCCACTGTCACCCAGAGAAGGATCCCAGACCAGGCACACATAGCTGACAGTTTTTGTTTCACTCCTCTTCCTTGCCCATTCCCAGAAGTCATGTGCTTCCCAGAAACACACAAAGCCAGACTGAGTTTCCATTAAGAGTGGGTGGAGTTGGTTTAGAGCCAGGAAAACAAGGCAGGACAGAGGCAGCAGACACTCACTTGGACCAGGCAAAGAGGGAAGCAAGGTGGCCAGGTACTCATGCCCAGTTGCCATGTGGACAGCAGATAAGACCTCTGGTAGTCTCACAGATGGCAGGAGAGCTCAGGTCAGGAGGCTGGGCACTTTAGAGTCCACTGAATCGAGTCAGCAGCAGATTATGCTGAGGCTGGCGATATTATTTACTGGATCTGCCACTGACTTTCTAATGGTTTTTCCAGAGGCTGCCGTTTTTGTGGTCCTTCATAGCAGTCTGTTACTTCATCTGTTTGCCACAAATCAAACCAGAGACCAAAAGACAGCAGGGACCTTAGAAAATGCTCAATAGTTGGGAAGCTAAGGTTATGAATAAAAGCTGGTAACTGTCACAGGTGGTCTTATTTCTGGGTGATCTTTTCTTGGGGAAGTCCATGGCTATAGCCATCATAAAATTAGGGGTGAAGGGTTGGATCTAGAAAGGAGAGGGTTTGGGCTTAAAAAGAACATATCTGATTTCAGTTTTATGTCCTGGAGAGAGACTGGGTTTGAATAAATACTGATCAAAATGAATCCAAGAATAGATCACACACTGTTTTGTTCACACTTGGAAACACAGGCAAACATTAAAAATAAAAGCAAATAAACCTACCCTGGTCTCTTTTTGGGGAAGTAGATTTGACTGCTCTCAGATGATCAGCCTGGATGTTCAGAAGACAATCTGAATTCAAAAGGACCTTTCACCTGGTTTAATTCTCTGGCAACAATTCAGTTTTCAAACCCAATTCCCAAATAATTGCTATTTTCAGCATCATGATGCAGATCACAAAAATATTCCAATTTGGCCTGGCTCTTTTTATGACGATATCCTCTCCCAGTAATTTCTGTAACCTGCAAAGTAAGTGCCTTTTTCCTTCCACCTAGGGGGAAAAAATTAATGATCCCTGTTCACACACTGACTCACGTGGGTTTTCATCATGGGTTAGAAAACAAAATGGAATTCTCTGTCCATAATGTGCCATCAGGAACTGTGACCCTGCCTGACTTCACATGATCCTGGACTTCTAATCAGCTGCTGGAAATGGAAGAAATACTATGAGGTTCTGGAATTGCGGTCCCTGGAAGATTACCTGGGTTAGTTCATTTTGGTCAAAAAATAAAATCAAAAGTATGGTTAAAGAAGTAAACAGCTGGGCTGGGTGTAGTGGCTCACGTCTGTGATCCTGGCACTTCAGGAGGCCAAGGTGGGTGGATTGCTTAAGCCTAGGAGTTCAAGACCAGCCTGGGCAACTTGGCAAAATCCTGTCTCTACAAAAAATACAAATATCAGCCAGGTGTTGTGGCATGCACCTGTAGTCCCAGCTGCTCAGGAGGCTGAGGTGGGATAATTGCTTGAGCCCCAGGAGGCAGAGGTTGCCGTGAGCCAAGATCACGCCACTGCACTCCAGCCAGGGTGGCAGAGCGAAACCTTGTCTCAAAACAACAACAAAAAAGAAGTAAACAGCTGGTAAAGCAACCTAGCCTAAAACTTACAAAGTAGCAGAGTGAACACATATGTGCATGCACACACACACACACACAACACACATACACACAGATGAGAGTAGCACACACGCCAAAGATACATCAAGCAAGTGCTTTTTTAATCAATACATCAAATGATATTTTTGCTAGCCTGAGGAAGCTTCTCTTTGCCTGTCCTATCATTCCCACCCATTGCCTCACAGGGATGGAAAGAAATTCCTTCTTGGACCCAACATTAGATAAACATAACCAAGTCTTTACATGTGGCTTTGGAGAAGGCTGCTAGGATGCTTGCGAACACGACATCGGGGGTCTGGGATGCATCGATGGCGGAGTGGATCCCCCGTTTCCTGTAGTACTCTATGAGTGGGGTGGTTTGAGTGTGGTAGGCTTGCAGGCGGATTTTCAAGGCCTTTTCATTATCATCTGATCGACGGATCAAGGGTTCCCCGGTGATCTGAGAACAGGAAGACAGCAATGAAAGGCTGGGACTGTTAGCAAGGTTTTCTTATTCCATGCCAGATGCAGATTTGAGATGGGACCATTCTGCCCAGGATGCTGTCTGTTCCCAAAGCCCATCAGAGACAAAGACAGGCAATCCAGACCCTCTCCAGTGAAGAACTTTGCTACTCCCAGGAGCAGAGCAGCTGGTGAACAGAAGTCAGAGAGTTTGTCAGAAACACCAACTGTGAGGAAAGGGGCTCATGAGGGGAAGATAGGCAATGACTTTCTCATCTTTGTGCTCAGGCGATTCAGCTTCCAAGATAAACACTTCTAGGGTCAAAAGTAAGGAAGTCAAAAAGGCCCCTAAGACCAGAATACATCAAAATCAAAGATACATTAGCAATTGTAATCTTAGTTGCTTAAATATTTAGTGTATTTACTAGAGTGTCACCCATCAACATTCTAAAAGTGGCAAGTAAAATAAGAACTTTCAATGGTAGAATTAGCAACTTTGCAAAATGTGACTAAGTTGCCATAACGGCTCTGGAACCTGTATTTATAGAACCTGAATGACCTGATGAACTTGTTTCATAGGACAAAGGTAAACCCAGGAAATTCTTACTGTTGCCTGCATGCTTTAAAACAAACCATATAGACTCTTTATGGCAAATGGTGCAGTGACCATGTATGAAACCCCAGGACACAGTACAGCAGCAATAACTATAAAAAGAATATTTTTCTGGAGGACTGGTCATCAAACTTCTCTTCAGTGCCACACTCTTCCCACTCTCCAATTGTAGGCTTTTAAGAAAGCTTCTCCTGATTAGCTGATCACTTAGGTGGCCATGATGCCAGAAAAGGGGCTGCTCTTGACAGAAGACAGGTACAATCTGGGCACTGCAAAAAGCTAGCACCACTGGAAGCAACCTTGAGGCCAAGCAATAAACCACCTGAGGAGACACTGAATAGATCTGACACAGGCCATGTGATTTACTTGATAGTGTTATTTTTCATGACTAAGTTAGTAATATTGGTAGAAATAAAAGGAAGATGGAAAGAATAAAGGAAAAAGAAAAACAGTGAAGAAAGGGGAAGGAAAGAAAAGGAAATTTTTTGTCCTGAGTTTACATACGTCATCTTTCATGGGCTCTTTTGGAGGGTTGAACTCCTCGTGGTAGGAACGGCCACTCTTGGGGTGAATCAGCCTGAAAGACAGCAAATGAATATGAGTTAGGTTAACTGACAGTACGCGCCTGCACTCCACTCTAGGGGGCTCCAGAATGACAAGCAGAGATAGGGACGCTGGATGCAAGGACCCAGCACCCAGCAGAAAATCCAGCTAAATAACTGGGCTTCCAGGAGAGCTTATGCCAGCGGCAGAGTATATTTTCTATTTTGACCAAACATTATTATGAGTATCTGGCTGAAGAGCAAACTGCTGGCATAACTACCTAATTCAGGACTTGAGAGAAGGAACTCTGGTGCTGGTCTCACACAGCCATCCATTCTGTTCACCCATTTACTTAACAAACATTAATAAGTATTCCATTCAAGCCTTAAGCTGAATTCAGAAGCTACAAAGCAATGAGTAATGATCCCTGCTCACAAGTAGTGCTTAGTGGGAGAGACAAATGTGGAAATAAATAACAAACGTGATAATCCTTTAACAGAGATTTGTACAAAGTGCTATGGGGGACAGAGGACAAAGAAATGAACTCTATTTTCTAACCTAGTTTGGTTACAAAACCAGGAAGGTACTAACAGGAAAAATAATTCCCATGGATGCAAACACTGCCAGATAATGGAACACATCTTTTCAATCACACAGATAAAAGATAGCCTAACCCTTATGGAGCAATATTCAAGTAATCGGGAAAAATGACTTATTAAACAAGTCATGGAATATAGAGCTCAAGAACAGGCATTTATTTGGCACTGAATGTATAGTGGGCAGCTGCATCTGTGCTGAGTCCCTACAGACAACAAGCCCATGTTCCTGACTGGGAATGGCCACACCACAGGAGCCTAGAAACCTAAGGAAAGGAGGCAGGCCAAGCTCTGCTCAGCAGCCAGGCCTTGCTTCACTTCTGTGGTTTCTCAATTCTCTGCCAACCAAGTGTTTGTTTGCTTATTTAACTAATGGTTGCTTTTCTCATGAAGGTCTATTAGACTAGAGCTCCCTAATATTTTTCACCATTTGGCAGGCATAGCAATATTTGGGCCGGGCCCAGCAGCTTATGCCTGTGATCCCAACACTTTGGGAGGCTGAGGGGGGCAGATCACCTGAGGTCAGGAGTTCGAGACCAGCCTGACCAACGTGGCGAAACCCCGTTTCTACTAAAAATATGAAAAATTTAGCTGGGTGGCAGGCACCTGTAATCCCAGCTACTTGGGAGGCTGAGGCAGGAGGATCGCTTGAACCTGGGGGTGGAGGTTGCAGTGAACCGAGATCATACCACTGCACTCCAGCCTGAGTGACAGAGCAAGACTGTCTCAAAAAAATAAAATAAATAAAAATTCTATTCAATTCTATTTAGACTATTGAAGTAGCACCTCTGTAAAATGTGCTACTTTCTTTTTTGTTAATCACAGCATATTTTGGGGGGACAAGATGGTCCATTTGGCATAAAGTGGCACTGGGTTATGGGCAGGAGGGAGGTGACAGTAGAGAAAATAAGCTATAGAGTCATCCCTTGGTATCCATGGGGGGATTGGTTCCAGGAGCCCCCTCTGTGGATACCAAAATCCATAGATGCTCAAGTCCCTGATATAAAATGGTACAGCATTTCCATATAACCTATGCATATCCTCCTGTGTACTTTTATTTTTATTTTATTTTTGAGACAGAGTCTCCCTCTGTCACCCAGGTTGGAATACAGTGGCGCGGTCTCTGCTCACTGCAAGCTCCGCCTCCTGGGTTCACGCCATTCTCCTGCCTCAGCCTCCCAAGTAGCTGGGACTACAGGCGCCCACCACCAAGCCTGGCTAATTTTTTGTATATTTAGTAGAAACGGGGTTTCACCGTGTTAGCCAGGATGGTCTCGATCTCCTGACCTCGTGATCCACCTGCCTCAGCCTTCCGAAGTGCTGGGATTACAGGTGTGAGCCACTGCGCCTGGTCTATTTATTTTATTTTTTGAGACATGGTCTTGCTCTGTTGTCCAGGCTGGAGTGCAATGGCAATGACCATAGTTCACTGTAACCACAAACTACTGGGCTCAAGTGACCCTCCCGCCTCAGTCTCTGGAGTAGCTGACTACAAGCATGCGCCACCATGCCTGGCTAATTCTTTTATTTTATTTAATTAATTTATTTTATTTTATTATTATTTTTTGAGACAGAGTCTCATTCTGTTGCCCAGGCTGGAGTGCAGTGTCATGGTCTCGGCTCACTGCAACCTCTGCCTCCCAGGTTCAAGCAATTCTCCTGCCTCAGCCTCCTGAGTAGCTGGGATTACAGATGCCTGCCACCACGCCCGGCTAATTTTTTGTATTTTTAGTAGAGACGGGGTTTCACCATGTTGGCCAGGCTGGTCTCGAACTCCTGACCTCGTGATCCACCCACCTCGGCCTCCCAAAGTGTTAGGATTACAGGTGTGAGCCACCGCGCCCGGTCTAGTTTTTTAATTTTTTGTAGAGATGAGGTCTCACTATGTTGCCCAGGCTGGTTGTCTTGCATACTTTAAATCACCTCTAGATTATGTATACCTAATACAATGTAAATGCCATGTAAAGAATTGATATACTGAATTTTAAAATTTGTATTATTTTTTCTTTTCTTCAGCTTTCCTGGGTTATATTTATTGGTGGTTTTGTTCTGAATATTTTTAATCCACAAATGCTTGAATCCGTAGATGAGGGAACCATGGATATGGAAGGCCAACTGGACAGAGGAGTAAAGGTTCCTGTGACTGCAGTCATGTACTGTGAGGTTGCACCTTCCATTATTTGAGTGCCTGGAAGGATTCCTCTGATGCATTCATTCAGAAATGGCATCCACTGGGAGACCCAGGGAAAGGAGAGAGCAGGCTGCTGGGCTCAGCTGCAGCAACTTTGGGAGGGGCTAGGGGCATGAGATACGGACCAGGATATTTTTTTACCTTCTAGAGAGCACAGGGCACATAGCAGCCAGGCTGCAACAAATATGACTCCCACACACTGCTCTTTTGCCATTCACAAATACCACTTTTTAAAACAATACAAGGCTCATTCCACAGAAGGTAAATGAAAGAAACCCCACTCTCCAAGTTCTCAAAATGGGATTGCTCTCAAGTACCAACCAAAATAGCTCCATGAGCCACTGAGCGTGGCTTGGAGGTATCATCAGGACTGGGAATCTACAATCACTGCTACCGTGAGTGTGATACTTTATTTTTATTTTTTTGAGATAGGGTTTTGCTTTGTCACCCAGGCTGGAGTCCAGTGGCCTAATCATGGCTCAGTGCAGCCTCGACCTCCCTAGCTCAAGCAGGCCTCCCACCTCAGACTCCCAAGTAGCTGGGACCACCACCGCAGGTGCACACTGCCACACCTGGCTAACTTTTTTTTTGCTTTATAGTAGAGACGAGGTCTTGCTATGTTGCTCAAGCTGGTCTGAAACTCCTGGCCTCAAGTAATCCTCCTGTTTAGGTCCCTACCAAATGCTGGGATCACAGGCATGAACCACTGCGCCCAACATTCAGTGCGACACTTTAAACACTTGTTTTCTCATCCACAAAATTGGGATGGTACCAGGTATTAAGATAATACCGGAGAGCCAACTGGTAGGATAATTAGGATTTGAGAGAGCCAATATTGAATAAGTTAAAAACAAAAACCACAACCACCAACTATTCATATTCAAGAAACAGAACAATGACTCAAAATTACTAGAAGTGAGGTCAGAGCTAATTCAGAAGATTGTTACAATGGGTCCATATCATCTCAGACTTGAAAAAGATCCTGTGTGAGGTCCGGGGTGCATTCCCCAGCATCTTCAAACAGCCGACATCTGTGACCAACCTGGGCAACAGAGTGAGACTCTGTCTCAAAAACAACAACAATGACAACAACAAAAAAAAACAGAAAAGAAAAAGATCCATATTAAACTGACTGGTTCCTGCCTCATTTTCTTCTAACCATCAACATTTTGGACTACGAGGCAGAAAGCAGGCTTCCAGGGCTAACCCTGCCACTCATCTGTTGGGTAAACTTGGAAAAACACCTTCAGCAGTGACATGCTCTGTGAGGACGGGGGTCCTTCTCTCTGTGAGGAAGTCACACTAACCACCTACTTCCAAATGGAGGGAATGAATCTTCTCTCTTTCACCCTTTACAGCAATCCTGCTGTTTGTTCTTCAGAATCTCTCTGTTCTCTCCCACCCAACCTCAGTTAGAAATCTCCACCACATCATGTGGATCATAAACAGGCTCCTAGATGGTATCCTTATCTGTTTCTCCTTGCCGTAATTTACCTTGTACACCAGGACCAAGCTAATGTTCTTAGAATACTGTTTTTGCCACAATACCCAGTGGCTCAAGACTATCTCATGAGTCCTGAACTCCGTCAAGTCTACCCTCTTTGGTTTGGCAGATCTCCCCAGTAAAGCTCTTCTCAACAGCATTCCTTCTACCTTCCTGCCCCCCAGACCACTGGGCAGACACGTCTGCTACTAGCCTCAGCGAAAGTCCAACCCATAATCATTCCGGCTTCTCCTCCCTTCTGGGAAAGGCTCTCTGAAATACTCTTCATCGAGGAAGAGTTTAATGTTATCTCTATCCTAGGCAGCCTTTCTTCCCTGTCCCCAGGCTTTCTTCTTGGACTTCCTACTACACTGAACAGCCCAAGTTTCATATATGACTCTCTGAGGTCAGAGATGGGCATCACTATATGGTTATCCTAGAGCCTCTCGTGGTCCTCTGCTCCCAGGGTCTAGTACTGTGCTATGCAGGAAGCAGGTACTCAGGAAGCTGGGCCCATAGAATCAAAGGTCTCCAGTATCACCTGATTCTGCTAATACGTGCTTAGTGCCTAAGAGACCCCAGGCCTAGTGATGTCTTTACTGTTAACCCTACTGCTTCTCGACCTACATCAACTTTGTCTACTCTGTGCCCAGTGGGGATACAAAGAAACAGAAGTTCCTGCATTAAAGGAGCCTATGGAATAGCCGGAGACATGTAACCTGGACATTTGAAAAGAAAATGAATATAAGGTAGAGTCCACTGTATTTCATATCGCTTTCCAGGATAATAGTGCTAACCCTGTGCTGTCTATTCACATGTTTGTCTCTTCTTGAAGGTATGGACTACAAACACATGGAAAAGATGTTCAACCTCATTAGGAAATCAAAGTAATAATGTCTGAAATAAGAAAACATTTTTTCCCTAATCCAAAAATTTACATGCATTATGATGGCCATAGTATCATTTTAACAGTGGCTAACTGGAAGAAACATAAATGTACAACAATAAGGAAATAAGTAAACAATGGTTAACCTACTGTGAAATATTACACAGCAATTAAAAGTAATGGTCATGGATGTCTGGTTCAAGATGGTTGGCTGACCACTTTCCTGAGACACCATTAAAATGACAAAGACATAAAAAAGCTACAGCCCACAATAAAGAAGGGAATGGAGGGTCCATTTGCAGTTGAAAGCTTCTGTCATACTTCTGGAAGGCACAAAGCAGATGGCAGTGATTAGTGAAACAGGGTAGAGACAACTGTAGGCTAAAGCAGTGTTGGTCTGTCAGAACAAACGTGTCCAGAAGCAGAGGCATTTCTGTGTTCAATGCTATTACAGAGAAACAAACATGTTAAAACACACACACACACACACACACACACACACACACACACACAAAGTGGCTGTACTATGAGCAAATTCTTCCTCCATTTTCTAAACTTTGTACAGATGGTTATATTATTTTTACAATAAAAAGTCTACAGCAAAGTATGGCAACTCCAGCTGAAATCAGATTTAAGGAGCACTAAAATGGAGGAGATACACATGTAAAGACATTAACATTTCTTAAGCACCTAATATAGGCAAGGCTTTGAACTATGCATTTTATGTTACCTAACACGTGAAATAGCTTCTCAAAGCAGGTGTTATCAACCCCCTTCTACATATAAGGAAACAGCCTCAGAGAGGTTAAGAAATGTGCCTAGGGTCACAGTTAAAAAGTGACAAGAGGCCAGGCACAGTGGCTCAAGCCTGTAATCCCAGCACTTTGGGAGGCCAAGGCAGGTGGATTGCTTGAGGTCAGAAGTTTGAGACCAGCATGGCCAACATGGTGAAGACCTGTCTCTACTAAAACTACAAAAATTAGCTGGGCGTGGTGGTACATGCCTGTAGTCCGAGTTACTCGGGAGGCTGAGACAGGAGAATTACTTGAACCGGGGAGGCAGAGGTTGCAGTGAGCCAAGATCGCGCCACTGCACTCCAGCCTGGGTGACAGAGTAAGACTCTGTCTCAAAAAAAAAAAAGCAATAAGAGCCAGGCACAGTGGCTCAAGCGTGTAATCCTAGCACTTTGGGAGGCCGAGGCAGGCGGATCACTTGAGGTCAGTTCAAAACCAGCCGGGCCAACATGGTGAAACTCCATCTCTACTAAAAATACAAAAAAATTAGCCAGCCCTGGTGGCAGACACCTATAATCCCAGCTACTTGGGAGGTTGAGGTAGGAGAACTGCTTGAACCCAGGAAGTGGAGGTTGCAGTGAGCCGAGACTGCGCCACTGCACTCCAGCCTGGGCGACAGAGTTAGACTCCCATCTAAAAAAAAAAAGTGACAAGAATGAGATGCTGTCTGACTTCAAATCCCTTGCTCTTCTTTCCATATCCCGATCCCATCTCACCACTTCAGCGGATGTCACCAAATAAAATCAATCCATGTTGAAATGGCACTAAGCTTCATGGCCGGGATTAGGCAAGAGCAATTCTCAGAGTTTGAGAAAGCTCTGAGAAGCATGAAAAGGGACCTTCAAGGGACAAATACCTTCCTGTGATTCTTCGGATCAGCAGAGAGTCTGGGATGCTGAATTCAATCACAGAATCAAGCTTCTCTTTCCTCTTCTCCATGAGGTCATCGAGCTGTAAAAGAATGTGTGGCCCACCTAAGCTACCAGAGCTTGGTTAGACCCATCTCCTTCAAAGGAATTAAGAAAGACAAAGGACAAGAATTTGGTTTCATGCAGTAGTAATATAAAAACTAAGCTACCCACCATTTCTGCCTGCCTCACAGTCCGAGGGAAGCCATCCAGAAGAAAACCATTTTTGCACAAGGGGGTCTCCAAATTCTTCTCAATGAGCTCCACTACCATTTCATCACTCACCTGGAAGTTAGGAACAAAATAGCCTTGGGTTTAAATCCATTACCTAGGTGACTGACATTAGCCCAACTCCACAGCCAAAAGTTTGTGTATATAACCTTATTACTAAACAGCAAGTTTTCTTGGACCCAAAGAAGCAAAAATAAAAGCAAACGTGAAATGGCTCCATTTGGAAGATCCAGTTTCATAATTTTATCTCTGTGGTTGCCAAATACACACTCTCGTCTCTTGAAATTCTCCTGTATCCCAAAAATCTGGGTGAGGGAAGACAGATTCCATTACTTGTTACTTCACCAGGAGAGCTTTGTATCTTAGGTCCTGAAGGTCCCTCCTGCCACTAGAGTCCAGAGTCCAAACTGTCAGATAACAGCTTATCAGCAATCAGTGATCCTCAAGGCACAGGAAATGTGAGGACAAATGGCTGACAGACCACCTGAGAGAGTGCCAGGAGAGAATGGGGTTGACCAAAACACAGGCATCAGCTTTCCCTGTTCCACAGCTGTCATTAGGCTAACAGTAACGTGACTGATGTGTGTACTTGGTTACACATCTGGGCCATCCTGGACATGAGGAAACAGAGAAGTTCACTGAATTGGCAAGATTGGGTCAGAACCAAGGAACTGAAGAGCCAAGCCAACACTCTTCCCTCACTTTTTTTTTTTTTTTTTTTTTTTTGAGACAGTCTCATTCTGTTGCCCAGGCTGGAGTACAGTGGCACAATCTCCCCTCACTGCAACCTCCACCTTCCAGGTTCAGGTGATTCAAGTGCCTCAGCCTCCCAAACAGCTGGGACTACAGGCGCACACGACCATGCCCAGCTAATTTTTTGTATTTTTAATAGAGACGGGGTTTCACCATGTTGGCCAGGCTGGTCTCGAACTGGTGACCTCAAGTGATCTGCCTGTCTCAGCCTCCCAAAGTGTTAGTATTACAGGAGTGAGCCACCATGTCCAGCCCTAAGCCAATATACTTCTGAGTCTCTCTAAAACCCCAATAAGGACTTCTCCCAGTTTTCAGAAACTGGTTTTTCTCTTGGGCTGTTATAGAAAGAAAAGTCTCCAGCCTGTAGTGAAGCCTGCCCATCTTGGCAGCTAATGCTTTTATTTCTTGGTGCTAACTGTGAACTTGGGGACAAAGTACACACTCTGCAACTAAGTGAAGGTTGGAGATAAGCAATCTCATTGCCACATCTCAATTTTTTCTTAGTACAGAGTCTTCTGTCAAAACTCAAAGTCCAAAATATCTAGCTTTCTGGTTTGACTCAGAGATTCAATTACATGAAGGGAAAACTAGATAGAAATGGGCAGGCAGAGGTATCATTTGATACAGCTACAGAATCTCAAAGCCTAACAGAAGGTAACTTGAGGATTAAAGCAAAGTCCAGCTCCTTCCCCAACCAACATTCTAAGATAAAAAAAGACCAGAAGACCAAGCACAAAATGACTTCTGAAGGTGATTCTCAGAGGCCAAGTTCCAGAATAACTCAGTTATAATTAATCTAGCAATCTTTGATTAGTGCCAGAAAATAATAGATTGTATTTGTCCAATCAGGTCAACTGGCCTAAAGAAGGAGAAAATGTGGCTGGGCATGGCAGCTCACACCTGTAATCCCAGCACTTAGAGAGGCTGGGGCAGGAGGACTGCTCCTGGGTTTAGCTCAGTTCAAAACCAGTGTGGGCAACACAGTGAGACTCCATCTCTACAACAACAACAACAACAACAACAACAACAACAAAAGTAGCAGGGCATGGAGGTGTGTGCCTGTAACCCTAGCTACTCATCAGGCCGAAGTGGGAGGATCACTTGAGCCCAGGAGGTCGAGGCTGTAGTAAGCCATGATTGCACCACTGCACACCAGCCTGGGTCTCAGAACAAAAAAAAAGAGAGAAAATGCAATTATCGTCCCCAGATAAGAAGGATTACCTTTGTCACAACTGCGAAGTAATTGCTTTGTTACAGAAACAGCACACAGAGCCATAAAGCAGGTTAAAAAACACTTCTGTGACTTCCTAAATCCTCTCTTGAATACATCTCTGAGTTCTGGCCTAGGGACAGCAGTTTCATTTCTGGCTCTAAAATTTAGGTATATAACAAAACACACCAGCACAGAAAAACTTCAAGAATACTATGAATGAGTGCCATAAATTCAGAACAAACAAAATAACTTGCACTCTAAAAAGTCTTACAAGGCCAAGTGCGGTGGCTCACGCCTGTAATCCCAGCACTTTGGGAGGCCAAGGAGGGTGGATCACCTGAGGTCAGGAGTTTGAGACCAGCCTGGCCAACATGGTGAAACCCCATCTCTACTAAAAACATAAAAATTAGCCAGGCATGGTGGCAGGTGCCTGTAATCCTAGCTACTCGGGAGGCTGAGGTACAAGAATCGCTTGAACCCAGGAGGTGGAGGTTGCAGTGAGCCAAGACTGCGCCACTGCACTCCAGCCTGGGCGACAGAGCGAGACTTTGTCAAAAAAAAAAGAAAAAAAATTTCCTATAATCTGCCAGTTTGTTAAAACACCCTCTAGCACATGGTTGTTCAACAGAATTTTGTTTGATGATGGAAAGTTCTGTATCAGCGTTGGCTGGTAAATACTTGAAATATGGCTAGTGCAACTGAGGAACTGATTTTTACATTAATTAAATTAATCTAAATAGCCACCTGTGGCTGGTGGCTACCATATTGGACAGTGCAGATCTAGATTCTGAGGAATATCAACACTCATTGGTACCACCAAACCTACCAGTTTCCCAGCATCCATAGTTGCCTTCAGCTTTTTTCCTAGCTCTGAGCCAGAAGCCACCATGGCCCTCAGCATGTCCCCAGTAGCTAAATGGCAGACACAGAAGTTTTCAGCCAATCTGGGTGCCTACAGAGAGGAAGACAAAAACCAAGATTCAATTACATTACAGGCTGTGGAGTCAGACTGCCTAGGTGTGAACCTGGCCCTGCCACTTACTGGCTATGTAAACATGGGCAAATGCCTACTTCCTTACCTGTAATGGGGATAAAAGTACCTTATATTACATTCTAACATATACTGATTATAGGGTTATGGTAAGAATTACATGAAATAATATATGTAAAGCACTTAAAACAGTACAACTAGCACACAGGAAGGAGTCATAAATATTAATTATCACTATTTCCACTCAACACACTAGTGACACATAAGTTTCAGTTTCCCCATTATAAATGGGAAGACTTGCTGGGCATGGTGGCTCACGCCTATAACCCCAGCACTTTGGGAGGCTGAGGTGGGCGGATCACGAGGTCAGAAGTTCGAGACCAGCCTGACCAACATGGGGAAACCCCGTCTCTACTAAAAATACAAAAATTAGCTGGGTGTGGTGGCGCTTGCCTGGAATTGCAGCTACTCAGGAGGCTGAGGTAGGAGAATTATTTGAATCTGGTAGGCAGAGGCTGCAGTGAGCTGAGATTGCACCACAGCACTCCAGCTCCAGCCTGGGTGACAGTGAGACTTCGTCTCAAAAAAAAAAAAAAAAAAAAAAGAGAATAAAAATAGTACCAACACTTCACATGGTTGCTGTGAGGTTTAAATGAGATCATGTATATAATGCACTTGGTACAACACCTGGCACATAACATGTGCTGAATAAACATTTGCCAAAGGGATGAATGTACAATTGTCATGTACTACAGCTACTGGGTCAGGGAGGCAACTAGGAGCAGTTTGCCCCCAGGCAGAACTGGGTTTTCCTCCTTCCCTGTCACTAAGTAGCTGTACTATGGTGGCCACCTCACTTTTCAGTTTCCTTATCTGTTTAAAATGAAGGCAAAAAAGGCTCCATCTCAGAAGGTAGCTGTGAGGATTAGCTGAGATATATACAAAGAGCACTTGGCAAATAATAAGCACTTACATACTAGTTTTAGGAGGCATTATAGTGTTTTGGTCAAGAGCACAGGCTTGAGAGTTAAACTGCTGGTTTGCAGACTCCAGGTCCACTAACCATTATGTAAAATTGACTTAAGATGTCACTTCACCTTTCTAGGTTTCAAATTTCCTCTAAGTAAAATGGAGATGGTAATAGTATCTGTATCACTGGGTTGATGAGAAGATTATACAGAATTCAGTATATGCAGGCCCTGGCATATAGTAAGCGCTCAGTGGGCACTGGCTGTTACCATAACCCCTGTCCTAATCCTATATTCATTCATACAAAAAGAAAACATTTACTAATGCCTTTCCCAAGAACCCTGTCGGGAGCCTGGGAAACAGATGAATAAAAGGCATAGACTATGTACTTAAAGAGCTTATATTTGGTGAATTATACATGAGAATGCAGAATTAGAACAGGAAGAGACCCTAGACAGCTCAACACTGGCTTTGCAGTGGGAAAAAAAGAATGCAGAATTTACAAGGAATATAATCAGTTCAAGGAGCTCAATTTTAGCTTTTTCCGTTCAATTGTTTTATAAACTAAGCAGGTTTAGATCCCGATTCCAACAAATCAGTTCACTGGGAGTTTTCTTTTCTTTCTTTCTTTCTTTTTTTTTGAGACAGAGTCTCACTCTATCACCCAGGCTGGAGTGCAGTGGCACGATCACGGCTCACTGCAGCCACGAACTCCCTGGGCTCAGGTGATTCTCCTGCCTCAGCCTCCCAGTAGCTGGGATTGCAGGCACAAGCCACGTGCCTGGCTAATTTTTATGTAATTGGGAGTTTTCTTAGGTGCATGCTTAGGTGCACACAATAAAAGGTACATAGATAGGGCTGGTTTGTGATTCATGGACCAATTCAGTTAAAGCAAAGAAATGACTTCATAGCAAAATGGAATCTAGTGAGAAGGCATTAAAAACTGTACTTGGCCGGGTGCAGTGGCTCACGCCTGTAATCCCAGCACTTTGGGAGGCCAAGGCGGGTGGATCACAAGGTCAGGAGATTGAGACCATCCTGGCCAACATGGTGAAACCCCGTCTCTACTAAAATATAAAAAAATTAGCCGGGCATGGTGGCGCATGCCTGTAGTCCCAGCTACTCAGGAGGCTGAGGCAGGGGAATCGCTTGAACCCAGGAGTTGGAGGTTGCAGTGAGCTGAGACTGCGCCATTGCACTCCAGCCTGGAGACAGAGCAAGACTCCATCTCACAAAAAAACAGCAACAAAAAAAAACTCTGTACTCTGGGTTGGGCGCAGTGGCTCACACCTGTAATCCCAGCACTTTGGGAGGCCGAGGCGGGTGGATCACCGGAAGTCAGGAGTTCGAGACTAGCCTGGCCAACATGGTGAAACCCCATCTCTACTAAGAATACAAAAATTAGCTGGGCGTGCTGGCACGTGCCTGTAATCCCAGCTACTTGGGAGGCTGAGGCAGGAGAATTGCTTGAACCCAGAAGGTGGAAGTTGCGGCGAGCCGAGATCCAGCCCGGGCGAAGAAGCAAGACTACGTCTCAAACAAACAAACAAACCCAAAAAACCAAAATTCTGTACTTTGCAAAATCAGTGAATGTCAGGAGCCCTGACAATGAAAAACCAGGCTGGCACTGTGGCCGTACATCTAGAGAGTGCTTTCTGCCAATCTTTCTCATTGCTGTTGAAATTAACCTGGGTAAACAATTTGGAGGTCAGGCTTGCTCAAGTGGAAAGGCTGACCAAAACACCACAGAGAAGAGCTGTTAGCACAGAACCTGTTCTATTTTTATCACTCCCAAACTGCAGGACTCTTATGCACTGTTCCAGGTGATTGGATTCTACAGCTAGATGAAAGAACACACACCAATAGGGAAGAAAACTAATTCCTGGCTGGGTATGGTGGCTCACGCCTGTAATCCCAGAACTTTGGGAGGCTAAGGCGGGTGGATCACGAGGTCAGGAGTTCAAGACTTCAAGACCAGCCTGGCCAAGATGGTGAAACCCCGTCTCTACTAAAAATACAAAAATTAGCCAGGCGTGGTGGTGGGTGCTTGTAATCCCAGCTACTCAGGAGGCTGTGGCAGAGAACTGCTTGAACCCGTGAGGTGGAGGTTGCAGTGAGCGGAGATCGCGCCACTGTACTCCAGCCTGGGTGACAGAGCAAGACTCTTGTCTCAAAAAAAAAAAAAAAAAGAAAAAGAAAAAAAGAAAACGAATTCCTTCATTTCCTGCTGGCTGCCTGGGAGTCAATGTGGTAGGCTGTAAAGAGCACGCATGGGTTTTGAAGTCAGACAGATTTACACTTGATTCCTAGCTAAGGCACTCAGTAGCCGTGTGATCTTGGGCTAAGTACTTAACTTCTCAGAGTGTCAGTTTCCTCATCAGTTTAATGGGGATAATGACTACTTCACAGGGTTCTTATGAGGATAAATGAAATAAAGTACCAAAAACATCAGACACGCAGCAGGCATTCAATAAATAAAAGGCTTCCTTCCATGGTCTTTCTTCTTTGCATTAGTCTTTATTTACAGGCTGCAGAAACCTAATGAAATAACTTTATTATAGTCCCCTCACACTTCAAACTTATGCTTTAGAGCAGCCATTCACAGACTCTAAATCACTGGAGGAATGCTGTTAAAATGCAGATTCCGGCTGGGCGCGGTGGCTCACGCCTGTAATCCCAGCACTCTAGGAGGCCGAAGCAGGCGGATCATCTGAGGTCGGGAGTTCAAGACCAGCATGACCAACATGGAGAAACCCCGTCTCTACTGAAAATACAAAATTAGCTGGGCGTGGTGGCATAATCCCAGTTACTAGGGAGGCAGAGGCAGAAGAATCGCTTAAAACTGGGAGGCAGAGGTTGTGGTGAGCTGGGATTGAGATCGTGCCGCTACACTCCAGCCTGGGCAACAAGAGTGAAACTCCGTCTCAAGAAAAAAAAAAAAAAATGCAGATTCTAGTTCAATAGGGTAGGGCCTAAGTACCTGCATTTTAAGCAAGCTTCCCGGCCTGGATGAGTGGCTGGGCTCTAAACTACACTTTGAAGAGCAGGGGTCTGAAGCCCACACTCAGTCATAGTCTGTTGCTGTCAGCCAAAAACTGTTGCTGAGCCCAAGAAACAGGCTCATCACCTCTATGAAAACTCTGTGGGGTGGAGGACTCTGGGGTAATTATGGGAATGCTAAAACCACTAGAGAGACAGCATGGTGGGCTGAGTGGTTCTCAAATTTCAGTGTATTATCAATCATCTAGGGCATTTCCTAGGCCCACCTTTAAAGTTTATGATTGAGTGGCTCTCAAGCAGCACCTCAGGTTCTGATGGGTACAGTATGTGAAGCCCTGATGTAGTGGCAGAGACTGGGTTTTGTAGTGGTATAGATCTGGGTTAGGAAACGGGCTCTACCGTTTATTCACTGTGTCATCCTGAACAAATTACATTACCTTTTCTAAGGTCTCGTTTTCTTTATCCATAGAACAGAAAACAGTGTCTATCTGCTGAACTGTTGTGGGGATTTAATAAGATTACGTATGCAAAGACATCCAGCATAGGGCCTGACAACTAGGAAATAAAGGGAAACTATCAGTCCTAGAGATTTGGTTTAATCCCAAATTCACCAGTCTTCTCACCTTGTAACCATCATCTTCTTCTTATGTTTTTTTAGAAATGAGGTCTTGCTATGTTGCCCAGGGTGGAGCACAGTGGCTTCACAAGTGTTAGCCCACTACACATCGGCATGGGAATTTTGGCCTGCTCTTTTTCTGACCTGGGCCGATTTACCTCTCCTTAGGCAACCTAGTGGTCTCCTGCTCCTGGGAGGTCACCATATTGATGTTGAACTTTTTTTTTTTTTTTTTTTTTTGAGATAGGGTCTCACTCTATTGCCCAGGCTGGAGTGCAGTGACATGTTCATAGTTCACTGTGGCCTCAAACTCCCGGGCTCAAGCAATCTTCCTGCCTTAGTCTCCCAGGTAGCTGGGACTCAGGCATGCAGTACCATGCCCGGCTAATTATTGTATTTTTTGTAGAGATGGGGTTTCGTCATGTTGCCCAGGCTGGTCTCCAACTCCTGAGCTCAAGCGAGCTGCCTACCTCAGCCTCTCAAAGTGCTGGAATTATAGGCACAAGCCACAGTGCCTGGCCTGATGCTGAATTTAGTGCAGACACCTGATCAGCATAGCACACTATAGCCCCAAACTCCTGTGCCCAAGCAATCCTCCCACCACAGCTTCCGGAGTAGTTGGGACTATGGGCGCATATCACTGTGCCTGGCACAATTACCTTTGTGCCTCCAGTCTTTGTCACTCCTGCTGTCAATGTTCCTACACATGCAGCTAGAATCATATCTTAAAACACTGTTGGATATGCTACCTACCCTCCAAAACATACACATTCCGAAGCCTTCAACATCTCTGTGGTACAATAGAGGAAGAGTCCAAATATCTTAGCCTGGCACTCAGCTGCCCTCCACAATCAACTTCTAAAACCTGCCAAGCCCTCCCAACTTACTTCCACAAGTGCCCTGTGTTTACGTCCTGCACCACTGCAGACAAACTGCTCTTACGCATGGTTCCCAAATACGCGGCATAAATGCCTCTCCAAGGACCTCAACACAAGCTCCTCACTCCACAGGAATGCCCTCTCTGCTCCAATATTGGTCTAAGCCTTTTCTGTAGTATACTTCTGAGTACATTTCTCCCATCAAAAGCCTAACTGGGCTGGAAGCAGTGGCTCACATCTGTAATCCCAGCACTTTGGGAGGATCACTTGAGGCCAAAAGTTTGAGACCAGTCCGGGCAACACAGCAAGACCCCATTTCTACATTTTTTTTTTTAATTAGCTGGGCATGGTGGCAGGTACTTATAGTCCAGCTACTTAGGAGGCTGAGGTGGGAGGACCATTTGAGCCCAGGAGTTCGAGGCTTCAATGAACTATGACCGTGCCATTGCACTCCAGCCTGAGTGACAGAGTGAGACCCTGTCTCCTAAAACAAAAACACCTCCCCAACTACCCCTTCTTCCGCTGAGGATTCATATTAACATTAGCTAACTTTGAGCATGTGCATCATGCCAAGCAGTTTTCCATGCATTGTTTTACGGTACTTAGTATGTATAATACATAATAAACCCATGAGGTAGGAACTATTTTTAACTGCATTTTACAGATGAAACTCAGGGGCTAAGTTGCCCAAGATCACAGAGCTAGTAAAAGAACTGGCAACAGGCCAGATTACCAAGCCCTAGCTCTTAGCCATGACACTATAAGGCTTTAAGACAAACAACCCAAAGAGCCTTAGTGGCTATCCTCCTGGAAGGGAGCACAAGGAGGATTTCAAAGTGCTGGCAATATTCTGTTTCTTGATAATGGGTGTAAGCTACACAAATCTGTTCACATTGTAAAATAAATCAAGCTGTTCACTTTTTCTAGGTATCTTATAGCTTAAGTTGTTTTTTTTTTAATCACAGAAACCTGTGTTTGCATTTCAGATGTCTCTTAACTTACTGAGGAAATCATTACCAACCTCACTGGGTGGACAGGAGGATGAACAGGAGAACTTCAGCAAATTGTAGTTCTTGTTCTATCCCTGAACTAACCCAACATTCAAAGTCACTCATCTGATGCTTCCCACCTGGCACCCTGCACTTGTATGTATTTTTCCATTCATATTCATTTCTGCCTCTTCATCTAGATTACACAGCAACAATGTAAATTAATGACTACTCAAGAGTCAGACAGACATGAGTTCAAATCCTACCTTTGCTACTTACTACATGTGTGTCCTGAGGCAAGATAAAGCCTCTGAGCTCAGTTTCTCTGTCAGTAAAAAGGACCTATCTCCTAGTGTTATAGGATTAAATCAGATGATACATGTAAAATCTTTAGCTTGGGGGTCTGTCACGTAACTGAGCAATGGGTGACTATGTTGTAATTATTACACCCTCCTGACATGCACACGGTAGGAGAAAAATCTAACCTGGGGCAGTAGATAGCAGCAGAAAGAGCAGGAGCTTTGGAGTCATTCAGATGCAAGCTCTGTAAATTACTTGCTATGTAGCCTAGAGAACAAGCCATTCAAACTTCAGTTTCTCCAACTGTAAAAGGGGAAATAAGAGTGTGGGTCTCAGAGATGTTGCAAGTATCACTGCAATGACATAACTGATGCATCTGACCCATAAGACTGCCTAAGCGTGCCTGGCCTCGAAGAATTGGGCATAAGTTTGACACATGGAAGAAATGAGGAGGGGTTGGCAAAAAAACCAAGAAACATACCTTTGGTTTTGACCACACCGAAGGAGCATCCAACCCCAAAAGGGAGGCAAGGAAATAAAGTTATTTAAATAAAATAACAAACCCAGGTATTATAGATGTTTTAAAACATTACATTGATGCAAAAGCGAGTAGTTTTGAAATATTTAACTACTTTAGTTAAAAGTGAGGAGTTTTAAAAGGAAACATTATTTCAGTCATGCAACATAAAGCACATAAAATACTGAGTTACGCAGGTATAACAAAGTATAGCAGGAAGAAAACAAACATTACTGAGCAGGCACTAGGCACTAACCCCAGGTTAGGGATTTTACATGTAAGATTGCAAACATCTGCCAGTGGGAGCCAAGCAGGCAATGCAACTGTATGAAATGAGTCAAATGTAAGCAATGGGCAGTGAAGAGGACCGTGCAGGGGACAGGAAGACACACAGACCATCCAAAGCAGCAATGCCACACAACTGCAAGTGACTGCTGCCACACTGGAATGGAGGCATCACTGCCAGGTCTTCTGGTTTCTCAAGAGAAACTGGAGCTCTGGATTTTTAAGAGAAATTGCATAACCGAAAACGCTCTGTGGTCAACCTACTATTTTGAAAGCTGACAAAGAGAATAAATCAAGCATTTATCCTGACTTTTCTATACCAACCATATCACGGGGTAACGAAACAGTAGATGAGGGGAAGTTTCTCTTTATAGAAATATTTCAGCTAATAAATGACCAGGGAACAATATAATTAGAATACCACCATTTCACCATCCATAACGAATTACTGAACCTAGACACTGAACAGCATGACTATAAACACCAGAGACAAGGAAATACCATGTGCCTCCTCAGGGAGAGCACAGCACCCACCACCTGTGAAGTAGTTGGGCCAAAAAATTGAACCTAAATTGAATTAAGTATATACTAATTAAGTATAAACCACCAATTTACAGGAAATAGAGAGGGCAGAGGAAGATGTTAAGTACACCAGGGGAATACAACTGAAAATTCCCAGAGAGTGGTATAATACTCCCAGGAAAAATAATCCAATTTCTGGGGCTGGACATGATGGCTCACGGCTATAATCCCAACACTTTGGGAGGCCAAGGTGGGCGGATCATGAGGTCAGGAGATCGAGACCATCCTGGCTAACACAGTGAAACCCCGTCTCTACTAAAGATACAAAAAATTAGCCGGGTGTGGTGGCAGGCACCTGTAGTCCCAGCTACTCGGGAGACTGAGGCAGAATGGCGTGAATCCGGGAAGCAGAGCTTGCAGTGAGCCAAGATCACACCACTGCACTCCAGCCTGGGCAACAGAGCGAGACTCTGTCTCAAAAAAAAAAAAAAGAAAAGAAAAATAATCCAATTTCTTCGGCAAAACCCCAGGAAAAAAAGAGAAGGGGAACTTATAAATTAAAAGAAAGGATGGGCACAGTGGCACATGCCTGTAGTCCCAGCTACTTGGGTGGCTGAGGGAGGAGCCCGGTAGTTCAAGACCAGCCTGAGCAACATGGCAGGACCCCCATCTTTAAAACACTAGAAAAGTTAGCCAGGCATGGTGGCATGCACCTGTAATCCCAGCTATTCAGGAAGCTGAGGTGGGAGGACTGAGGCTGCCGTGAGCTATGATTGGGCTACTACACTCCAGCTTGGGCAACTGAGCAAGACTTTGTCTGTAAAAAAATAAATAAATAAAAGAAACTTAAAATTATCACATTGGTAACACAAAAGAAAATTTGAATAAAAATTGTTGATTTTTTAAAGGATATTATGCTTATGTTTTTAAAAATTATCTTTTAGCAATACATACTAATATTATTTACAAATGAAATGTTATGATGCCTGGGAGGTGCTTTATAATAATTTGTGAAGGGAGAATGGCTAGAGGAGCGAAGGCCACCAGTTAATGGTTGGGGCTGGGTAAGGGCTCATTATGCCATCCTGTCTTCTTTTGTGTATTCAAAATTCTTCATAATAAAAAGTTAAGGTGTATGAGATGTCTCTGCAGGCTAAATGTTATTGTAGGCTACCATTTGTAAAGTCTGATTTAAGATCTTTTTTTTTTGAGACAAAGTCTCACTCTGTTGCCCAGGCTGGGGCGCAATGGTGAGATCCCAGCTCACTACAAACTCTGCCTCCAAGGCTCAAGTGATCCTCCCACCTCAGCCTCCTGAATAGCTGGGACTACAGGCACACACCACCATGCCTGGCTAATTTTTGCATTTTTTTGTAGAGATGGGGTTTCGCCATGTTGCCCAGGCTTGAACTTTTTTTTAAACTCCACAAAAATACATACAATCACCAGTATTCCTATTGTTACAACTCTGGAAAGTGTACAGAGGTTAAATGACTTGTGTAAATCTTATCCTTTCAACTCCCAGCTCTAATCACATCTCCTCTATTTCTACAAAGCCTTCTCTGACCAACTCTCATCTTCATGCACCCTTATCAATCAACTCATTAGTATAATGTTCTTCTAAACTTCCTGAATAAATCATGTCTTACACTGAAACATCCAAGTTGAAGGAGGGGAAGGGAGATGTGTTACTAAGATAAAAGGGAGTCAAAATTTATTGAGTACCTACTATATAGCAGGCTGTCATCTAGGTTGTGGGTGCTTGATACACACACACACACACACACACACACACACACACACACATATATCATAATTTTCCAGTATCATTGTGAATGTTTAGTTGATGAGGGCAAGAACTTTATCAGTCTTGCCCAATGCTTTATATCCCCAATGTTAGGTGCTCATGAAATGCTGAATGAGCAAGGTAGGTATTATCCCCATTTTTCAGGTAAGAACACTGAGGCTCGGAAGTTACATAGCTAGCTAAATTATAAAACCCTTGTCCCAGTACTATACTAGTATAGGTTGTCCATTCCATAATTACTGAAATTATTAACTTCAATATGAGTTAAGAAAAAAATCTCAGGGCATAGTGGCTTGTGCCTATAATCCCTGCACTTTGGGAGGTCAAGGCAGGATGATCGCCTGTGTCCAGGAGTTCAATACCAGCCTGGGCAACATAGCAAGACCCTGTCTCTACAAAAAATTGTTTAAAAATTAGCTGGGCATGGTAGCATGTGCCTGTACTCCCAGCTACCTGGGAGGGTGAGGTGGGAGGATTGCTTGAGCTCACACCACTGCGCTCCAACCTGGGCAACAGAGTGAGACCCTGTCTCAAAAAAAAGAAAAAGAAAAAGAAAAACAATGAAGCATTTGAGCTACTGTTTATACTTGATCACTCACAGCAAAAGTCTGCAGAGTCTAAGATTAAACTTCCCTAAGCTGCAGATTACCCAATAAATGAGTGTGGCAGCAACAGGAAAGAGATGTCAACAACGCTGAGGATAAAGGATAAAGGGATCAGGTACAGGTAAGCTCCAAAGAAGAATCATCTCAGTCTGTGGAGAGAAAAGAAAGCTGTATTTTCTGACTTAGTGCCCAGGTCACAGGAATGAATGGAGTGTTCCAGAACTTCTTTCTTTATCACCCACATTAATCTGTGACATTCATCCACTTCCACTAACCCCATCAAGGGCCAAGTAATGTGCTAGGTGCCACAAGGGGTACCAAGAATGAGTAAGATGGTCTGTTTGCCAAGATTTTTAAAACTTGGCAAGTGCTAGGAAGAGAAAAGCGGGCACAGGGCAGTCCTCAGATTCCCTTTCATTTGGGAGCTCAGACTTCCCTCTTTGAAGCCTAACAACAGGCAAGAGCCAGAGGCTTAGGGCCCCAGGTGCAATGCCAGACCCCAAGCAAGAAGGGGACATCAATAATCCAACCTGCGGGCTTCCAAATCCGAAATGAGATCATCGATCCCAACCCTAATCTATGGCCCCATTATGTCCCAGATCTAGAAGGGGCCCAGATCCCAAGTGAGGCCCCTGTTGCCTGCTAGGGCAGATGGTAACTTCAGACTCTAACTCCATGGTTCCTGAGGTCTCAGGCTCATGAAACTCATTTCACTAATTTGGGAAAGCCACCTGACCTTTCTGGGCCTGTTTTTTAACCTGTTGATTGATAAAGTTAAAATTTCAAGTTCCCTATAAACAACAACAAAATAAAAAAAGGAAAAAATAAATAAAAACCAAAGGGAAGGAAGATACAAACAAACAAAAATAATAAAAACAAAATAAAAAAAAATTCAAGTTCCTTTTCATCTAAAATCATTTGCGTCATCCCAAGCTGCTTAGCCTTCAGTAGCCTCAGGTCCTAACTCCAAGCCAGGTCCCATGAGCACTCCCAACCCTTATTGTGGACACTACTCAAAGGTTGCGACTCATGGGTCTCCAGGCTATAAACCAGTTCTACACATTCACCCCCAACTTTCAAACAGGGAGAGCCTTAGGTTTCCTCCCATCTCAATTCAACTGGCTCACACAGCACATGTCACCTCTCACTCTGCCCCACGTGTTGGAGATGCTTCTCCTCCCCTCCCCCTAAGTCATAAATCATTATCAAAATCTCCCGACCTCCAGTGCCTGGAATGTAACCCTGATTCTGGACAATTCACCTCCAACTCGCAGGTAACCTGGGCCATAAAGCTAATTGCCTCCATTCAGCCTGTAATCTAGATGCCTCGGCCCAGGGCTCACTCTACCCCTCAAACCTTTCCAGTCTCTAGACCCTTAGTGGAATTAATCAGCCCTCACATTCCCTAACCCAACACTTCAACACTGAATCCCTCGGGCACTCCAATCCTAACTCAGACTGCCCCGACCTCCAATTTGGACCCTCTCCGAAATGCCCCACCAGAACCGAGACCCCGGCCAGCGTTCCCCGCAGGCCTTAGTCCCCGGCCCGCTCCGGGCAGGTCCAGGGCTTCTAGATCTCCGGCCGCCTTGACCTTGGAGTTCAGCAGGCTCCGCCGCCAAGCCCAGTCCTGCCGCTCACCTGGGTCCCTTTACCGGCCCCGGGAGGCCCCAGCAGCACGGCCCGGATGCCTTTAGGATACTCGGGTTCTGCCGCTGGCACGCTGGGAGCCATGTCCGCCGAAGTCTCTCACTGCCACCAGTTCGCACGCCTCACAGGTCCAGTGCTTCCCAGGTCAACGCACGCACGCCACGCACGTCCCACTCGCCGCTCACACTGGCCCATAGCCGCGTCCGTCAGCCCGTTCCGCCCGCCCCTGAGCACGACGGACTCTTCACCTTACCAACTGCACGGCGATACTGAGGAACTTTGCTTTTGATTGGACAGAATTGGTGCGGGATAAGGAAGGGGCGGGCCAGCATGTACTAAGGGTGGCGGGTGTGCGGAGTGGGCGGGAAAACGCGAAGGAGGACAGGAGGTCAGGCCGGAAGGTATACTTCGGCATTTGACAGTTGACGACACCAGCAACAACATTGAAATCCTATTAAATTGCGCGTGGGAGTTTAAATGGGTAAAATCACTCTTAGAAGACAAATTAGTAATATGTTTCAAATACCCTTTGGTCCAGCAATTCCACTTCCACGAATTCAATGGATAAAATCAAGGATATGAGTAAAGATTCGTGTAACAAAGTTGTTAATTGCAACACTTAGCCCAAAAGCCCGAGAAAAACCATAAAATAAAGGCAATACTCCAAATGTCCAACAATAAGAGATTGGTTAAATAAATTGCAACCAATTTGTATCCTGGAATACCCCTGTTGTATAAGATAATTTAATCATGCGGGAAAATGTTAGCAAAGCGAGATACAAAATTGCAGTTACAACAAAATCCGAATTTTGGCCGGACGCGGTGGCTCACGCCTGTAATCCCCACACTTTGGGAGACCATGGCGAGCGGATTACCTGAGGTCAGAAGTTCGAGACCAGCCTGACCAACATGATGAAACCCCATCTCTACTGAAAATACAAAATTAGCTGGGAGTGGTGGCATATGCCTGTAATCCCAGCTACTTGGGAGGCTGAGGCAGGAGAACTGCTTGAACCCAGGAGGCGGAGGTTACAGTGAGCCAAGATTGAGCCATTACACTCCAGCCTGGGCAACAAGAGTGAAACTCCGTCCCACTCCCCCCCCAAAAAATCCCGATTTTGTTTATTACAAGTGTAGACCGCTGTGTAGTGTGATTAGAGGAGCACCTCTCCTTTGTATATTTTAATAGATTTTTTAAAGTTCTATGGTAAATTCTTAATAAGTTTAAAAACTTAAGTTTAAAACAAGTTTTACCTTTATATTAAGAAAAACGTTAACCTTTTAAAGTCAGGAAAAGATAGTTTTTCTCAAAAGAGATGACCCTCTTGGATAGGGAAATAATTTCTACAGCTTTTTGGTGTGTGAAAGTTTCATCCAGCTCCAAGGGCCTCTTTGGACCTTTAGTTAAGAGTGTGTAATGAAACGATTATGTTTCCCCACAGGCTCCTAACAACTCATTTTCTACATCTTGATGATGAATTTGCTATCCCTTCAGCTGTGGTCTCTTCTTTTTTTTTTTTTTTTTGAGACGTGGTCTCGCTCTGTTGCCCAGGCTGGAGTGCAGTGGCGCGATCTCGGCTCACTGCAAGCTCCACCTCCTGGGTTCACGCCATTCTCCTGCCTCAGCCTCCTGCGTAGCTGGGACTATAGGTGCCCACCACCACGCCTGGCTAATTTTTTTTATACTTTTAGTAGACACGGGATTTCACCGTGTTAGTCAGGATGGTCTTGATCTCCTGACCTCGTGATCCGCGCGCCTGGGCCTCCCAAAGTGCTGGGATTACAGGCGTGAGCCACTGTGCCCAGCCCAGCTGTGGTCTCTTCCTTACCACACAGAAGTCAACATTCATTTCTCATCGCCACGCTGGACTTTTACAGTGTACCTGCTTAATCTTGTTGGATACTCCCAATGACATTGAAGGAAGAAAGGATTGTTATGTCTATTATTCAGAATGGAAGCTGAGGCCTGAAGATACGTAGTGACCAAAGTCACACAGTAGCAGACTCACAATTAAGACTGAGGATGAGCCAGGTCCAGTGACTCACGCCTGTAATCCCAGCACTTTGAGAGCCTGAGGGGGGGGCAGATCACCTGAGGTCAGGAGTTCGAGACCAGCCTGGCCAACATGGCGAAACCCCGTCTCTACTAAAATTACAAAAAAATTAGCCCAGTGTGGTGGCGCATGCCTGTAATCCCAGCTATTAGGGAGGCTGAGGCAGGAGTATCGCTTGAACCCGGGAGGTGGAGGTTGCAGTGAGCTGAGATGGCACCACTACACTCCAGGCTGGGTGACAGAGCAAGACTCTGAAAACAAAAACAAAAACAACTGAGGATGACAAGCAGGTGCCCTAGAGATTACAGGGCTTATGGGCAGAGGGATGGGAAAACAAGCTGCAGGAAGCCTCTCTGTGGCCAAAATTCACTTCAGTCCAATAAGACCAGAGTTTATTGAAATTTTCTATGCACAGGGACCAGGCAAGGGGAGTAGGAGCAGCCTTCCCTTTCTACCATCAATCCCTATAGTGATTGTGACAAGACTTAGGGCTCCCAGGAGGGAAAGTAAGGAAGACTATCCATAAAGACACAAAGTGTAAGATTTATTCAATACACTTTGAAGTGTAATGAATCACAAGTTAAGTCTTTTTTTTTTCTTTTTTGAGAAGGAGCCGCACTCTGTCACCCAGGCTGGAGTGCAGTGGTGCAATCTCTGCTCACTGCAACCTCCGCCTCCTGGGTTCAAGAGATTCTCCTGCCTCAGCCTCGTGAATAGCTGGGATTACAGGCGCCCCTACCACCCCCGGCTAACTTTTGTATTTTCAGTAGAGATGGGGTTTCACCATGTTGGCCAGGCTGGTCTCAAATTCCTGACCTCCGGTGATCCGCCTGTCTCGGGCCTCCCAAAGTGCTGGGATTACAGGAGTGAGCCACCGTGTCCGGCCAGTTCCTTTTAAAATTTATTTTCTCTTCTCCTTTCTTCCTGCTCCCACTTCTGATTTAATCTTTGAATTTCTTTGAATTTCTAAAGAAGAAATTTTACCAACTTCTTCACCAGACACTCCCTTCAAGGCAAGTTCATCTAATTCTTGGAAAGTTAACAGAGCAAAGCATGCCCGCTAGGGAACTTTCACCTTGGAACTTCTACCCTCTGGGGGATTGCTTCGAACTCACACCTACCAAGAGGGAATGTTGAAAGCGTGTCCACTTGGCCACTTTTATAACTTACTTCTGCCCAGGAAGGCACTAAGTCAACTGCCCAGCAGTTAAGCCACCAGAGCTAACGGAGACGCCCTCCCCCTGCTTACTTCCTCCCACCACCTTATAAAAGGCCCGCTTTCTGCTCCAAAAGGGAAGTGGCACATTTAAGGCAGGATGCTTCGTGCCATTTCCACAAGCTAGCTTCAAAATAAATTCATTTTTTCGTCCCAGACCTTGCTCTTTTTAACTGGACTCTGAATGTTGTGAGCAACTAACCTGCTTTTCAGTTACAAAATGATGGTAGCCTCTGAAGTCAGAAAAGGCAAGGAAATGGGTTCTCCCCTAGAGTCTCCAAAGGAACATGACCCTGAAGATATTTTGATTTTAGCCCCATACGACCTATTTTGAACTCCTGACCTCCAAAACTTTAAGGTAATAAATTTCCGTTCATATAGACCACCAAGTTTGTGGTAATTGGAAACTAGCAGCCATAGGAAACTAGTACATATTCTTTGGATACAAGCAATAGAAACAGACTCTAGCTACATCAAGCAAAAACAAAATTCGCTGAGAGGATTCAGTTGTACAACCACAGGCCTTGGAAGTGATAGGAGCCAGGGCTGCGTTGGGTAATCTAGATATAAGGAATAAGTAGGCCAGGTGTGGTGGCTCACGCCTATAACACTTTGGGAGGCCAAGGCGGGCGGATCACCTGAAGTCAGGAGTTCGAGATGAGCCTGGCCAACATGGCAAAACCCCATCTCTACTAAAAATAGAAAACTTAGCTGGGCATGGTGGCGCATGCCTGTAATCCCAGCTACTTGGGAGGCTGAGGCAGGAGAATTGCTTGAACCAGGACCTGGGAGGCAGAGGTTGCAGTGAGACAAGATTGCGCCACTGCACTCCAGCCTGGGCTACAGAGCGAGACTCCGTATCAAAAAAAAAGAAAGAAAGAAAGAAAGAAAATTCCACACTAACAGGTGGTGTGGTGGCTCTCACCTGTAATCCCAGCGCTTTGGGAGGCTGAGGTGGGAGAATTGCCTGAGGCCAGGAGTTTGAGACCAGCCTGGACTTGGTCTCTACTAATAATAAAATTAGCCAGGCATGATGGTGCACTCCAGTAGTCCCAGCTACTTGGGAGGTTGAGGTGGAAAGATTGCTTGAGTCCAGGAATTCAAGGCTGCAGCCAGGTATGATTGTGCCACTGTGGTTGAGGTGGAAGGATTGCATGAGCCCAGGAGTTCAAGGCTACAGCCAGGTATGATGGTGTCACTGCACTGCAGCCTGAGTGACAGAGCAACCTTGTCTCTGAAAAAAAAAAAAAGAAAAAAGACAAAAATCCACACCTGACCTCACGTGACAGGTTGCAGTCAAAACACAGACATACAACACAGTTTTTTCAGCATCTCCAGGTATTATTTTGATGATGCTACTATGCTGCTTACTTACCCTGAACACATTACTTTTTCACTGTATTAATGGTCTTTTTTTTTAACTGATAAATGTGAATAAGTGTAAGAAAAATGATACAGCATATAAATTCAGAGTCATGAATGATGGTGACGCCGAACAACCACAGATTTTCCAGAGGGGTGTCTAAGTGACACTTTTGTTTTCCCATGATTCAGTATACACAAACTTGGTTTTGTGCACAGAATTATTAAAAATATTGTATAAAATTACCTTCAGGTTATGTGTATAAGGTCTATATAAAACATAAATGAATTTATATTTAGACTTGGTTCCCATCCCCAAGATATCTCATTAAGTATATGCAAATATTCCAAAATCTGAAAATGATCCAAAATCTGAAATACTGCTGGTCCCAAGCACTTTGGATTAGGGATACTCAACCTGTATCTCATTAGTGAGTATGGGAAGAATGAACTGAGCACAACTCAGCTCTTCCTCCTTTTTTCTCTTTCAAATGTGCCTGCCCTTAAGAAGCACGATTTTTTGCCCTCTTCCTCCATGTTCTATTAATACATTTCCCACAGTCTAGCCCTCCCAGAGAGGACTATGATTGGTCAGGCACAGTGGCTCACGCTTGTAATCCCAGCACTTTGGGAGACTGAGGTGGGCGGATCATTTGAGGTCAGGAGTTCAAGACCAGCCTAGCCAACATGATGAAACCCCATCTCTACTAAAAATACAAAAATTAGCTGGGCGTGGTGGCGGGCACCTGTAATCCCAGCTACTCAGTAGGCTGAGGCACGAGAATCCCTTGAACCAAGGAGGTGGAGGTTACAATGAGCCGAGATTGTGCCACTTGCACTCCAGCCTGGGTGACAGAGCGAGACTCCATCTAAAAAAAAGAAGAGGCCGGACACGGTGGCTCACACCTATAATCCCAGCACTTTGGGAGGCTGAGGTGGGTGGTTCACCTAAGGTCAGGAGTTTGAGACCAGCCTGGCCAAAATGGTGAACCCCTGTCTCTACTAAAAATACAAAAAAATAGCTGGGCGTGGTGGCGGGCACCTGTAATCCCAGCTGCTCGGGAGGCTGAGGCAGGAGAATCGTTTGAACTCGGGAGGCGGAGGTTGCCGTAAACTGAGACTGTGCCATTGCACTCCAGCCTGGGCAACAAGAGTGAAACTCTGTCTCAAAAAAAAAAAAAAAAGAAAAAAAAAGAAAGAGAAAAGAGGGCTATGATGATTTTCTAGCACTGCCTGGGATCAGGAGGAAAAGTTTAACTTGGGGGTCCAGAATTCATAACCCCACTTTTCTCTCAGTAAATGCATATGTCAAGCAGCTTTGTCAGTAAAAAGAGTGATATTCTGATCTCCCTGTGCCTTATTTCTGTGGTTATCCCCTCATTTGGGTCTAAACGTGGGTGAGACCACCCCAAAACCCAACAAACAATTTCTTATGGATGCTATGATTTAAATGACTCAGTTCCAACCAGTTTCTATATCTGTCATTCTGCTCAAGACATTAATTTCTGGCTTGGCTTGGATCTCCTGTTCATCCCTTGGCAATGGTGTAAAGGACCTTAATTGACAGTTCCCTCCAGACTACAGAGAATGGAAGAAGTAGTTTCCCAGAAGCAAATTGTGGCAGTTTCCAAAATAAGAAAGAGATACTGAGCAGGCAGAAACAACAGATGTCCTCTGCAGGGAACTATTGCAAAGGCCCAGGAGAAAGAAAATGCAGGCCTAGACTATGGAGGTAGAATTAATGGGACTTGACACCAGACCAGATGGGGATAAGAATGACTGAGTTGAGGGGCCAAGCGACTGGGGGGGATGATGGTGCCATTAGTATTCATCTCATTCATTCATTAGCTGATTCATTCAACATGCATTTAATGAGCATTTATTATGTGTCTAGTATTGTGCTAGATGCTAAGGATCCAGTGGTAAATAATGAGGCCAGGGTCGGTCTAGGCACAGTGGCTCATGCCTGTAATTTCAACACTTTGGGAGGCCGAGGTGGGAGAATTGCTTGAGGCCAGGTGTTTGAGATCAGCCTGGGCAACATGGCCTGGGCTTGAGCAGTGGGAGGTCCTGCCTGGGACTTTGACCCTTGAGGGACAGAAAGGAAGGGGCAGGGTCTGTTCTTGGCGGGGAGGTGAGAGTCCAGCAGCAGTGGGTGGACAATGACCAGTCATGTCTGTCCAAGTAGTCTTTTCCTGTACCATGTCTTTGGCTGTGTTCTTAGCCTAATTGCTTTTGGTTTCTACTCATGTTTGAAATTTGTGAGAACCCCAGAAAAAATTTAAAAAATTAGCCCGGTGTGGTGGTATGCACCTTTGGTTCTAGCTGATAGAGCAGGAGTATCACCATCTTGGACAAGCACGGCCATTTTAAAATTCACCTTAATCAAAAACCGTCTAAATCCAAAGGGCATCAGCCTAATGGCTTAGGTCAGCATGACCATAAACCACAAATAACATCTCCAACCAGAAACATTCCAAACTCCTCCTCAACCAGAGACATGCTAGCCCCGAAATAACCCCCCTCCAGCTGGGAAGATGCCAGCCCTGAATATAACCCCACACCTGCTGAAAAGATGTCAGCCTCAAGATAACCTCCCCTCTGCCCAGAACATTCCAATCCCGCCATAAACTTCTCCCCAACACATAAACATTCCAAGCTTGTAATAAGCCCCCTCACCCTAAAACCAATATATATCTCTGTAAGAGAAAGCACTCCTTATTTTTTCTCTAAAATAAGCTTGTCTTTAAGGGGTTAAGTCACGTTTCGTGTTTCTTTCTTCTTTCTTAACTCTTACACTAGCTACTTGGGAGGCTGAAGTGTGGGAATCACTTGCTGCCAGGAGGTTGAGGCTGCCATAAACTATAATTAGCCCATTGTACTCCAGCCCAGGTGACAGAGCGAGACCCTGTCTCTAAAAACAAAACAAAAGCAAGGTTTCCACCTTTAGAAAACTCTCCACTTCGGGCTGGGCGCAGTGGCTCACACCTGTAATCCCAGCACTTTGGGAGGCCGAGGCGGTCAGATCACCTGAGGTCAGGAGTTTAAGACCAGCGTGGCCAGCATGGTGAAACCCTGTCTCTACTAAAAATACCAAAATTAGCCAGGTGTGGTGGCATGTGCCTGTAATCCCAGCTACTTAGGAGGCTGAGGCAGGAGAATCACTTGAACCTAGGAGGCAGAGGTTGTAGTGGGCTGAGACTGTGCCACTGCACTCTAGACTGGGTGACAGAGCAAGACCCCATCTCAAAAAAAAAAAAAGAAAAGAAAAGAAAACTCTCCACTTCTACAGAACTTGCAGTCAAGCGGGGGAAAAAAACAAAAAAAACAACAAATAAGACATTGACGGAGTCTGTGCTGGGAAAGGTACAGGCTTCAGTAACAGCACAATAGAGGAGCCCCCAGCTCAGATTTGAGGGGAAATGATGTGTAAGTGAGATGAAACCTTAAGAACAAGGAGGATTTGCTTAGGGAAGAGAGGGAAGAAGGGTATTCTAGACAAAGGGAATGGCATGTGCAAAGGCCTGGAGTTAAGAAAGATTATGACAAGAGGTTGGGCGTGGTGGCTCATGCCTGTAATCTCAACACTTTGGGAGGCCGAGGTGGGCAGATCACCTGAGGTCAGGAGTTCAGGACCAGCCTGGCCAACATGGTGAAACCCCATCCCTACTAAAAATACAAAAATTAGCCAGGTATGGTGGCGAGCATCTGTGATCCCAGCTACTCGGGAGGCTGAGGCATGAGAATCACTTGAACCTGGGAGGCGGAGGTTTCAGTGAGCCAAGATCATGCCACTGCACTCCAGCCTGAGGGATAGAGCAAGACCCTATCTCCAAAAAAAAAAAAGAAATATTATAGAAAGTTGAGGGGAACTGTGATATTTGGCAGAGGAACACCCCTCTTGTGTTGTGGAAATCCTTCACTGCAAGGAACTTGGGGGAAAACAGAGCCACCCTGCAGAAGCTGAAAGGGCAGACTCTTGCCTGCCTTCTTGGCAACAGGGGAGTGAGCACGTGACCAGGCTTGGCCAGTGGGATGTCCTGCCCAGGACTTTGACTCTTGAGGGAGAGAGAGGAAGGGGCAGGGCCTGTTCTTGGTGGGGAGGTAAGAGTCCAGCCTCAGTGGGTGGACCGTGGCCAGTGGTGGCTGTCCAGGTAGGCTTTTCCTGTGCCATGTCTTTGGCTGTGTTCTTAGCCTAATTACTTTTGGTTCCTACTCATGTTTGGAATTGGTGAAAACCTCACAGTATTCAATAAATTCCTTCACTGCTTAGGTTAGCCACCAAGACTTCTGTTTGGTACAGAGTTGAAAGAGGGTCAGTCTGGCTGGAGTTACAACTCAAGAGGGTAAGGAAAGAAAAAAGGGGGAGAGGAGACAGGGTCCTATGGGAAATTCTCTTGGGGGCTTTTGTGGGAGGCTTTGCTTTCCAGGAAAAAGAGATGCACAAGAAGAAAAACTCCCTTCCTGCCTGCCTCAGGGATGATGCAGCGCTTGAAATGTAGCAGCTATCTTGGGACCAGGAGGGGAGAGCTGCGAGACTCAGAGGGAAGCTGACCTAGGGTCTGACATCACTGAGCTGCTGAATTAAGCAACTCAGATGTCACCTTCTTCCACACTTCCTGTGATGAGAGATAAACCCCTAATGTTCAAACCGCATCTATGTCGGCATTCTGATACTCACTGCCCAAAGCACCTTATGTGACATGGCAAGTAACTTAACCCTGCTGGGCCTCAATTTCTCTTTGCAAAATCAGGATGCCGATACCCACTTCACAGGATCACAGTGAGTATCAGATTACATAATGGATGTAAAGTACTTAGCACGGTGCCCTACTCATGGTAAGCACTCAGTAAATGTTAACTATTACTACCTGCGTCAAAGACATAGAGGAGATGAGCTTGTTTTGTGGGAGGGTAGAGAGGAGAGAAGAATGACGACTAAAAGCTGGGAAGCCAACACTTGAGGGGAAAGGAATCAGAGAATGACTAGAGACTAAAGAAGAAAACCTGAAATTTCATTCTACCCACCACATCCTTTTTTTTTTTTTTTTTTAAGACGGAGTCTCACTCTGTTGTCCAGGCTGGGGTGCAGTGGTGTGACCTTGGTTCACTGCAACCTCTGCCTCCGGGGTTCAAGCAATTCTCCTGCCTCAGCCTCCTGAATAGCTGGGATTACAGGTGCCTGCTACCATGCCTGGCTAATTTTTGTATTTTTAGTAGAGGTGGGATTTCACCATGTTGGCCAGGTTGGTCTTGAACTCCTGACCTCAGATGATCCCCCACCTTAGCCTCCCAAAGTGCTGGGATTACAGGCATGAGCCACCGTGCACGGCCACCACATTCTTTTTCTTTTTCTTTCCCCTTTTTTTTTTTTGAGACAGAGTTTCACTCTGTTGCCCAGGCTGGAGTGCAGTGGCTCGATCTCAGCTCACTGCAACCTCTGCCTCCTGGGTTCAAGCGATTCTCCTGCCTTAGTCTCCCAAGTAGCTAGGATTACAGGTGCCCACCAACAGACTCGGCTAATTTTTATATTTTTAGTAGAGACGAGGTTTCACATGTTGGCCAGGCTGGTCTTGAACTCCTGACTCAAGTGATCCACCCACCTCGGCCTCCCAAAGTGCTGGGATTACAAGCATGAGCCAATGCCCTCAGCCCATTCTATCAATTTTTATCTGCCCTGTAAGGCCTTTGTTGATCTTTCCTTCCTTCCCAAGCCTGGCCTTTGTCCCATCTCTTCACTTAACTCTGTTAAATGTGGGGTTCATGATATCAGCTTGACAATCCCAGATTCTTTCATTCAGGAATTCTCTGGACATGCATCAAATATATCTCTTGGAGACACTCTCATTTCCAGGAGTTCCCAGTTGATATGCAAATTAGGCCTTTATAGTTACTTCCAGACACTTGGAAACTGTGAGTAAAGCTTCTCCAGTCTGCCTCTCCAGTCTATTCTATTAACCACTATGCTATGTTGTCTCTCATATGTAGTGGGACACTGATTAGTGTTTATTGATAGAAATGATGAAGAAGGAGTGTTACCAAAGCCAAATAAAAAGTTTCTGGGAGTGTATTAGTCAGCTTCAGCTAAGTTATATTGCAGCGACAAATAACCCCAAAATATCAGCTTACAGAAAGGGTTACATGTTAGCTGCAGGTGATGCAGGCTGAAGGTTCGGTTCTTGGAAGAGAGGGAAAAGGTACACTGGTATGCTGGTATAACTTGCATTAGAGAAAGCTGATAGTGTATATCTCTTCCCAACTTTGTGCTCAGTAATGTCACATTGGTAGCTTGAAATCAGTTATGGTGGAAGTACATATACTACAGAATGTGGCAAATATTTTCCCTCTAGAAGAGCCAGTTGTTAAATGTTTACTAGCACAGGACTGGAAAAAAGGAAAATGATGGGATCTCTTGTTGGCCCTTAAACCTTCTGCCTAGAAATGGCACAGGCCATGGAAATGCTACAGGTCACATGCACTTACATTGTACTTGTCAAAGCAAGTCTCATGGACAAGCTGCAGTCAATGGGGCCAGGAATGTACTTCTTCCACTGAGAGGCACTCAGTAGGTGAGGCAGGGAATATTCATGAACAATAGCACAATCTTCCTTCCTGGCGGAGTCAAAGGTGAGGACTGAGAAAAATCCCTTGGAATTGGCCTCAAGGAGTTTGCCCTTTAACATGAGAGCAGTTTCAGCTGAAGGAAGTGACTTTTATTTTACTCTTGCCTGTGGTGATCAGAGTTCTCCACCGATTAATTTTTAAAAGTTACCATTTATTGAGCAAGGATTGGTACCAAGCCCTGTGATCAGATCTCTACATACAATCTCACTGAGTCATCACAATACACTTGCTATGTCAAAACTATTTTTTCTTTTTTTTTTGAGATGGAGTCTTGCTCTGTATCCAGGCTGGAATGCAGTGGCATGATCTTGGCTCACTGCAATCTCTGCCTCTCAGGTTCAAGTGATTCCCCTGCCTCAGCCTCCTGAGTAGGTGGGACTACAGGTGCACACCACCACACCTGGCTAATTTGCCAGAACTATTATATCCCTACTTGATGCATGGGGAAACTGAGGCTTAACTCGGCATGGTTAATTGGCTTGCTTGAAATCACACAGCCGGTGAAGTCTCCCACCACACAGCATTTTCTTTTGTGGCAGACTGTACTGTTTTCCACAAATATTTGATGTCTCTTGCTGTGAAAGGATTATTTGTTTCTGTTCTGTTGAACTTGGGTGAGGGCATATGACTTGCACTGGCCAGTGAAATGAGAACAGAAGTAGCGTGCATGACAATTCAAGGGAGAAGCTTTTGAGAGCCAGGGCAGGATTCACATGTTCTTTTCACCTCAGCAGTCATGGCAGACTGTTGAGATGGAACCTCCACCAGACTAGGTCCCTGAGAGACAAACCACCTGCAGCAGAGCCCCCTAGTCAATCCAAATGAGCAGGTAGTATGAGCAAGGGTTTTATTTATTTTTATTTTTTATTTTTTTGAGATGGAGTCTTGCTCTGTCACCCAGGCTGGAGTGTAGTGGCACTATCTCAGCTCACTGCAACCTCCGCCTCCCGGGTTAAAGCAATTCTCCTGCCTCAGCCTCCTGAGTAGCTGGGACTGCAGGCATGCGCCACCATGCCTGGCTAATTTTTGTGTTTTTAGTAGAGACGGGGTTTTGCCATGTTGGCCAGGCTGGTCTCGAACTCCTGACCTCAGGTGATCCACCCACCTTGGCCTCCCAAAGTGCTAGGATTACAGGCATAAGCCACTGCGCCCAGCCTTATTTTGTTATTTTTAAGCTACAGAGGTCCAGTAGCTTAAATTTTCCCCAGTTGTTTCTTCTAAAGCAAAACCTCATGCATCCTAACTGTTCTATCCCTCGTGAGGGCCAGACAAAGAGGCTGGACAGGAAGCTCTTGCTGAGTATGCCAAGACCTACTTACCTTGGTCAGTAGAGATGTAGACTGAGTTCCAGGGGGTTTGTGGACTTTAAGTTCCAGTTACCTACACAGACCAACTCCCCCCTACCTGGCAGCGTGCATCTCTCCTGTGTCTTTTTTTGGGCTTCACAGCCCACTTGACCTAGGACCGCTTCCCAATTTTTGTAACATGCTTCCTGTTCCTTTGTCAACCAAACCACAACCATGAGATGTGGTTTTCTAAAGAACTGGCTAAGTCCAAGCCACCTGAACAAGCAAAGCCTTTCTACTACTGTTTTGAGGTCACTGTGGCGAAATTCCGATTTCCATAAAAGTCGCCAGCTTCCAAGAAAAGGCGTATGATATTAACAGCAACAAAAACGCCCTCAGCTGGGAAATGCTACACATTAGACATGGCCTGTGAGGAAATCCTTGTGGAGGGAATCAAAGTGCTGGGATTACAGGTGTGAGCCACCACGCCCGGCCTAACATTTAATTTATAAATTAGGGCCAGGCATAGTGGCTCGCACCTATAATCCCAGCACTTTGGGAGGCTGAGGAGGGAGGATCGCTTGAGGTAAAGAGTTCGAGACTAGCCTGGGCAACATGGTGAAACCACATCTCTACAAAAAACACAAAAATTAGCCAGGCATGGTGGTGTGGACCTGTAGTGCTTGCTACTCGGGAGGCTTAAGTGGGAGGATTGCTTGAGCCTAGGAGGTTGAGGCTGCAGTAAGCTGTGATTGTGCCACTGCCCTCCATCCTGGGCGACAGAATGAGACCTTGCCTCAAAAAGAAAAAAAAATTATAAATTAGGCACAGCAAGAGATTAATAACAATAACTAATAATAAAACAATTACAGCAATACACTATAATTATGTGAATGTAATCCCTTTATCTCTCTGAAAATATCTTATTGTGCTCTGCTCACCCTTCTTGTGATCTGTTGATCTGATAAATAGGACCGCTACTAAGCTACTAGCTGGTGGGTGGTGTATACAGCATGGATACGCTGGACAAAGGGATGATTCACATCCTGGGTGAGATGGCTCCAGATTTCATCATGCTGCTCATAAAAGCATGCAATTTACAACTTATGAATTGTTTATTTCTGGAATTTTCCCATGTAATATTTTTGGATCACATTTGTCCTTTGGTAAGTGAAAGTGCAGAAAGGGAAACTGGATAATAGGAAACTACTGTGGTTAGGAAACAGACTCAGCTACTATAGCAGAGACTCCAAAATAACAATGACTTAGACAAGATAGGTGCTTACTTCTTGCTTATGTCAAAACCCTGGCAGGCAAGGGGCAGTGGATATGGTGGCTCTACCATCAGGGAACCCTGGCTTTTTCTGTCTCCTTGGTTTGACATCAACATGCGGCTTCCTTCCTGTGGTCCAAAAGGGCAGCTCCAGCTCCTACCATCACTTCTGCATTTCAGCCAGCAGGAAGGAGTAATGGGGCAGTGGGGGATGCCCCCCTTCCCTCTAAAGGCATAACCTGGAATTGCACCTGTTACTTTCATTCTCATTGCACTGACCGGAACTTAGTTACAATGCCACGACTAGCAGCCGGGGTACTGGGAAACATAGCTTTTATTCTGGACAGACATATGCCTAGCCAACAGGTAGAGGCTCTATTACTAAAGGAAGAATAGGGAGAGCATTAACATTTAAAAAGACTAGCAGAGGAGGTCGCGGCGCCGGAGGCCCCAGAAGGCTCGAAGGCGCCGCGGGCTGGGGTCGGTGGCTTAGGGAGCCCGTCCGGCCATGGTGGCCGCGGGTGGTGGTTGGCGCGGCTGCGCTGCGGCCCGGGGCAGTGCGGAGCCGGGACAGTCGCGGCGCTGACGCCCGCGGGCCCCAGCTGCAGATATGAAGCGGAGCCGCTGCCGTGACCGACCGCAGCCGCCGCCGCCCGACCGCCGGGAGGATGGAGTTCAGCGGGCAGCGGAGCTGTCTCAGTCTTTGCCGCCGCGCCGGCGAGCGCCGCCCGGGAGGCAGCGGCTGGAGGAGCGGACGGGCCCCGCGGGGCCCGAGGGCAAGGAGCAGCCGCCTGCCTTGGCCTCCCAAAGTGCCGAGATTGCAGCCTCTGCCCGGCCGCCACCCCGTCTGGGAAGTGAGGAGTGTCTCTGCCTGGCCGCCCATCGTCTGGGATGTGAGGAGCCCCTCTGCCTGGCTGCCCAGTCTGGAAAGTGAGGAGCGTCTCCGCCCGGCCGCCATCCCATCTAGGAAGTGAGGAGCGCCTCTTCCCAGCCGCCATCACATCTAGGAAGTGAGGAGCGTCTCTGCCCGGCCGCCCATCGTCTGAGATGTGGGGAGCGCCTCTGCCCCGCCGCCCCATCTGGGATGTGAGGAGCGCCTCTGCCCGGCCGAGACCCCGTCTGGGAGGTGAGGAGCGTCTCTGCCCGGCCGCCCCGTCTGAGAAGTGAGGAGACCCTCTGCCTGGCAACCACCCCGTCTGAGAAGTGAGGAGCCCCTCCGCCCGGCAGCTGCCCCGTCTGAGAAGTGAGGAGCCTCTCCGCCCGGCAGCCACCCCATCTGGGAAGTGAGGAGCGTCTCCGCCCGGCAGCCACCCCGTCCGGGAGGGAGGTGGGGGGGGTCAGCCCCCCGCCCGGCCAGCTGCCCCATCCGGGAGGGAGGTGGGGGGTCAGCCCCCCCGCCCGGCCAGCCGTGCCATCCGGGAGGGAGGTGGAGGGGTCAGCCCCCCGCCTGGCCAGCCGTGCCGTCCGGGAGGGAGGTGGGGGGTCAGCCCCCCGCCCGGCCAGCCGCCCCGTCCGGGAGGTGAGGGGCGCCTCTGCCCGGCCGCCCCTACTGGGAAGTGAGGAGCCCCTCAGCCCGGCCAGCCACCCCGTCCGGGAGGGAGATGGGGGGGTCAGCCCCCCCACCCGGCCAGCCGCCCCGTCCGGGAGGGAGGTAGGGGGGTCAGCCCCCCGCCTGGCCAGCCGCCCCGTCCGGGAGGGAGGTGGGGGGGTCAGCCCTCCGCCCGGCCAGCCGCCCCGTCTGGGAGGTGAGGGGCGCCTCTGCCCAGCCGCCCCTACTGGGAAGTGAGGAGCCCCTCTGCCCGGCCAGCCGCCCCGTCCGGGAGGGAGGTGGGGGGGTCAGCCCCCCGCCCAGCCAGCCGCCCTGTCCGGGAGGGAGGTGGGGGGGTCGGCCCCCCGCCCGGCCAGCCGCCCCGTCCGGGAGGGAGGTGGGGGGGTCGGCCCCCCGCCCGGCCAGCCGCCCCGTCCGGGAGGTGAGGGGCGCCTCTGCCCGGCCGCCCCTACTGGGAGTGAGGAGCCCCTCTGCCCGGCCAGCCGCCCCGTCCGGGAGGGAGGTGGGGGGGTCAGCCCCCCGCCCGGCCAGCCGCCCCGTCCGGGAGGGAGGTGGGGGGGGTCAGCCCCCCCGCCCAGCCAGCCGCCCTGTCCGGGAGGTGAGGGGCGCCTCTGCCCGGCCGCCCCTACTGGGAAGTGAGGAGCCCCTCTGCCCGGCCAGCCGCCCCGTCCGGGAGGGAGGTGGGGGGGTCGGCCCCCCGCCCGGCCAGCCGCCCCGTCCGGGAGGGAGGTGGGGGGGGGTCGGCCCCCCTGTCTGGCCAGCCGCCCCGTCCGGGAGGTGAGGGGCGCCTCTGCCCGGCCGCCCCTACTGGAAAGTGAGGAGCCCCTCTGCCCGGCCACCACCCCGTCTGGGAGGTGTGCCCAACAGCTCATTGAGAACGGGCCAGGATGACAATGGCGGCTTTGTGGAATAGAAAGGCGGGAAAGGTGGGGAAAAGATTGAGAAATCCGATGGTTGCCGTGTCTGTGTAGAAAGAAGTAGACATGGGAGACTTTTCATTTTGTTCTGCACTAAGAAAAATTCCTCTGCCTTGGGATCCTGTTGATCTGTGACCTTACCCCCAACCCTGTGCTCTCTGAAACATGTGCTGTGTCCACTCAGGGTTAAATGGATTAAGGGCGGTGCAAGATGTGCTTTGTTAAACAGATGCTTGAAGGCAGCATGCTCGTTAAGAGTCATCACCAATCCCTAATCTCAAGTAATCAGGGACACAAACACTGCGGAAGGCCGCAGGGTCCTCTGCCTAGGAAAACCAGAGACCTTTGTTCACTTGTTTATCTGCTGACCTTCCCTCCACTATTGTCCCATGACCCTGCCAAATCCCCCTCTGTGAGAAACACCCAAGAATTATCAATAAAAAAATAAATTAAAAAAAAAAAAAAAAAAAGAATAGATGCTGGGGAACAATTAGCTGTGTGCAACAGAGTTTACCTTTTGGAAAGATCTCTTGGGGGAAGGGTGGAGAAAGGGCTGGATGGTAACAGATCACAGCCAAAGAAATAACCTGAACCAAGGCAGAGACATCCGGGATGGAGAGAAGTGGCAGAAGGCTTATGAGATATGGAAGTTGAATGGACAGGATGTGTGACTAATTGGCTATACTTCTAATTAACTGTACTTATCATAGCCTGTATTTATGCGATTAACTATTTAATATCTACGTTTCAGGACGGGCTCACACCTGTAATCCCAGCACTTTGGGAGGCTGAGGCGGGCAGATCACGAGGTCAGGAGATAGAGACCATCCTGGCCAACATGGTGAAACCCCGTTTCCACTAAAAATACAAAAATTAGCTGGGTTGGTGGTGTGTGCCTGTAATCCCAACTATTCGGGAGGCTGAGCCCCAAGAATCACTTGAACCCAGGAGGCGGAGGTTGCTGTGAGCCAAGATAATGCTACTGTACTCCAGCCTGGCGATAGAGCGAGACTCCATCTCAAAACAAACAAACAAACAAAAAAAACAAAAAAAGGCTAGGCGCAGCGGCTCACGCCTGTAATCCCAACATTTCGGGAGGCTGAGATGGGCGGATCACAAGGTCAGGAGTTTGAAATCAGCCTGGCCAACACAGTGAAACCTCATTTCTACTAAAAAAATACAAAAATATTAGCTGGACATGGTGGCGGGTGCCTTTCATCCCAGCTACTTGGGAGACTGAGGCAAGGTGAATTGCTTGAACCTGGGAGGTGGAGGATGCAGTGAGCCAAGATTGCGCCACTGCGCTCCAGCCCAAGCAACAGTGCAAGACTCTGTCTCAGAAAAAAAAAAATCTCCCTCTCCAGGAGGATTATAAGCTCCATGAAGACAGAGATTGAGTCTGTTTTGCTTATCACAGCATCCCAGGGCCAGTGCCAAATACAGTGCCTGGCATACAATAAGTGCTTATGTGTGAGCGAATGAATGAGATAAAAGAGGAGCAGCCAAGGACAATAACAACAATAACTCTGGGGACAAGTTTGATTGAGAAAAATCAAAATCTTAAAGTAAACGTCAAACAAAAAAAAATTTTTTTTTTTTGAGACAGGGTCTTACCCTATTGACCAGGCTAGAGGGCAGTGGCACGATCACAGCTCACTTCAGCCTCGACCTCTCCAAGTAGCTGGGACTATACTACAGGTGGGTGCCACCACCTCTAGCTGATTTTTGTATTTTTCTTTTTCTTTTTTTTTGAGACGGAGTCTTGCTCTGTCACCAGGCTGGAGTGCAGTGGTGGGATCTCGGCTCACTGCAACCTCCGCCTCCTGGTTTCAAGCGATTCTCCTGCCTCAGCCTCCTGAGTAGCTGGATTACAGGTGCATGCCACCACACCCAGCTAATTTTTGTATTTTTAGTAGAGATGGGGTTTTGCCATGTTGGCCAGGCTGGTCTTGAACTCCTGACCTCAGGTAATCCACCCACCTCAGCCTCCCAAAGTGTTGGGATTACAGGCATAAACCACAGCACCTGGCCTAACAGTTATTTTTAAAAATAATTTCTACCAACTGTAATCTGTCATCCCCTTTCCTGACGGACATTTGGCCCCCTTGATGACATCTCCAGCTGGTTCCAAAACTTTTCAGTCGTTTTTAGTTATTAATGCAGTCTCTTGTTTCAGCCATTAACTTGGTCTTTCCATTTTCGAAGGTCAGTCTCCTTTGGGACTCACAGTCCAGCAGGCAGGCCTATGGCATGGAGGGGAGATGGGTCTGCTCTCTCTTGTCTGCCCTCTGGTGGGGAGAAACAAGAAGGAAAAAAAGGACTTGTTTCCTTAGATGTCCCCTGCTGGCCCTTGGCTGACCTCTTCTTCGCTTCTCGCGAGGTGTCTGTGTTCCTGTCCTCTCAGACATCACAGCTGCTCAGCTCCTTATCTGTAGACACGGGGTGATGGAGTAGCACGCTGCAAAAGGGCTTGGTGCCTAGTTGCTCTCCTCTGCTGGTGGCCTCTGGCTCACCCTTCACAGTGCACCTCTTTGCCCCCCGCAGGCCTGCTGCCCCATCACATCTACCCTCTGCAGCCCCAGCCTGGGGCCTGTGGACACAGGCCTGTCTCAGAAAAAATCTCAGAATCCATCTTTCTGCCACTCCTTGCCACCTGATCACATCCTTGGCCTTCCCTCTCCATGCCCTTTCCCCTATTTCGTAGCACCAGGACAGGTTGGCAAGTGTAGTTGCTCAGCAAACATCATCAGGGAAGGAGAAGTCAGATGCCCTCTGGTGGCACCGCACACCTGATGAATGATTCTTTTGGCTCTGTTCCAGTTAGCTACTGTCCTAGTTAGCTCTGTTCCAGTTAGCTTGTGTAACTAACGGATCAGCCTCAACTTCGAGGTATAACACAATCACCATTTCATCATGGTCATGGAATCTGTGGGTCAGGAGTTTCACAAGGCACAGTGGGGATGACTGGTCTCTGCTTACGGTAGGTGGCCTCCAAGATGGCTCTCAAAGTCCCCTCCCCCCTGGTATTCACCCCCTTGTGTAGTCCCCTGCCACACCATATCAGTTGGTCTGTGTGACCAATAGAACATAGCAGAAGTGATAGTATGTCGCTTTTGAAGCTAGGTTGTGGAAGATAGTGTGAGGCTGGGCGCGGTATCTTACACTTATAATCCCAGCACTTGGGGAGGCCAAGGTAGAAGGATCGCTTCTACTTGATTGAGAAAAGCCAGGAGTTTGAGACCAGTCTGGGCAACATAGGGAGACCCTGTATCTACAAAAAAATTTTTAAAAATTAGCCGGTGCAGAACGAGACTCCGTCTCAAAAAAAAAAAAAAATTAGCCGGTGCAATGACTCACACCTGTAGTCGCAGCTAGTTGGGAGGCTGAGGCAGGAGGATTGCTTGAACACAGGAGGTAGAGGCTGTAGTGATCTGTGATTGTGCCACTCTGCACTCTAGCCTGGGTGACAGTGCAAGACTCTGTCTCAGAAAAAAAAAAAAAAGAAGATATTGTGGCTTCTGCCTCTCTGTCTCTTGGATCACTCCCTTGGGGAAGCCAGGTGCCGTGTTGTGAGGCCAGCTGCCTCTATGGAGAGGCCCACCTGGAGAGGAACTGAGGCTTCCTGCCAATGGCCACATGAATGAGCTTGGAAATGGATCCTCTGGCCCCAGAGAAAGTAGATGACTGCAGCCCTGCCGACAGCTTAACTGCAATTTCATGAGAGACCTCGAATCAGAATCACCCAGATATGCTACTCTTGGATTCCTGACTATCAGAAACTGTGTGAGATGATAAATATTTATTGTTTTAAGCTGTTACATTCTGGGGGTAACTTGCCATGCAACAGTGCATAACTAATACACTGCGCCATGATGTCTGGGACCTTAGCTGGGAAGACTCAAATGGCTGGGGGCTGGAATCACCTGGAGGTTGCTTCACTCACATGACCAGTGCCTGAGCTGGGACTGTCACCTGGAGAACCTAAACGTGGCCTCCCCATGTGGCTTGGCTTCTCACAGCATAGCACCTGGGTACCAAAAATGAGTGCCTGTAAACTGAGCTTTCTAAGAGACCAAGGAAGAAGTTACAAGGTTTCTTTTGGCCTAGCCTGAGAAATGGTGCATTGTAACTTCTGCTGCATTCTCTGGGTTAGTAGCAGTCACCAAGGCCAGGAGGAGAATTTGACTGGTCCCCTTGACAAAGTAAAAAGGTCATATTGCAAAACCTGTCTTGGGGGAATTGCCTGCCCTACCCTGAGGGAGACAGGGACAGATGGCTTCGTTTCACAAGCCCTGCATAGCTCCTGCATAGAACAGCACTACATAGTGCTAGTTCTGCTGAAATAGCACTTCCTATCAACCCTTCAGGGGAGCTTCTGAGCTTGGAAGGTGGAGCATTTCTCAGCTTTTGTTCTCATTTGTGGACTCTGGCGCTAATTCTTTTTTTTTTTTTTTTTTTTTTTTTTTGAGACGGAGTCTTGCTGTGTCGCCCAGCCTGGAGTGCAGTGGTGCGATCTCGGCTCACTGCAAGCTCCGCCTCCCGGGTTCACGCCATTCTCCTGCCTCAGCCTCCCGAGTAGCTAGGACTACAGGTGCCTGCCACCAGGCCCGGCTAATTTTTTAAAAATATTTTTAGTAGAGACAGGGTTTCACCGTGTTAGCCAGGATGGTCTCGATCTCCTGACCTCGTGATCCGCCCGCCTCGGCCTCCCAAAGTGCTGGGATTACAGGCGTGAGCCACTGTGCCCGGCCTTTTTTTTTTTTTGAGATGGAGTCTTGCTCTGTCATCCAGGCTGGAGTGCAGTGGTGGTGTGATCTTGGCTCACTGCAGCCCCCACCTCCCGGGTTCTAGCGATTCTCCTGCCTCAGTCTCCCAGGTAGCTGGGATTGCAGGCATGCACCACCATGCCCAGATAATTTTTGTATTTTTAGTAGAGACAGGGCTTTGCCATGTTGGTCAGAGTGGTCTTGAACTCCTGACCTCAGGTGATCCGCCCGCCTTGGCCTCCCAAAGTGCTGGGATTACAGGTATGAGCCACCGCGCCTGGCCCTCTGGTGCTAATTCTACCTTTCTGGAAAAACACGGAAGGTCTCACAGGCTCCTCCCACCACCAAGTCACCCCATCCTTTCTCTGCCATCCACAGCACTTAGCCCTCTACTTCCGTCAGGTAAGTAGCCCTTTACCTACCCTGCTAGCTGGAATTATGGCCCTGTTTTACAGAGGAGGAAGTAATCTGGCCAAGGCCACACAACCAGAGGGTGGTAAAGCAGGAACTCAGTGCCAGCTCTGACCCCTAAGTCTATGCTTTAGGGCTTCTGGGATTCCAGAAAGCCTGCAGGTGTTGGAGCCTCAACCCTCATATCCTCATGGCCCTGCTGAGGGTGGGGCCAGTGTGAGCAGCATGAGAGGGTGGGGCTGGAGGGGGCAGGGGCTTCAAACTCTGCCAGACGGTTGGGTCTAGTTGTCAGGTGCACCCTCTGGGTGAAAGGGGAAGAGAAACAAGTGAGAGAAAATCGATTTTTACTTTCTTTTCAGGCCCGTCCCCAGTTGGTGAGTTTTCCAGTGGCCGGAAGACCGAGCCCTAGAGTAACAGCTGTGGACTCACTGCCCACTCTGTGTTTATTGGGCTGGAACCCCCTCTCTGTCCTGGAACTTCTGGTTGGAGAGCCCTCTGAGCTCATGGGGCCTGTGAATGGTGGGTCTTGGAGTGATTTCCAGCCCCAGTGATCAGGTGTCCTGTCAGTGCCCCTCAACTCCCTGCAGTCCCCTACTTCCCATCAAGCCAACTCCCAAATTCCAGGATGTGACAGTTCCCAGGTCTACTGCCTTCCAGGCACTGAGCTCATGTTGGGGACCCAGAAATAAATGAGATACATACAACCTCTGTCCTTGAGTTGGTCACAGTCTAGTAGGTCACAGTCTAGTAGAAGTAGAAATGAAGAGTTAACTGCCAGATGTCATGTTACAGGGCACATTTAATAAGGGTGAGAACCACACAAAGGTGGGAGTGCCTAACTTAACAATCAAAAGAAATGAACCATTGATACACAACAACATAGATGAATCTCAAATCATTATGCAGAACAAAAGAAGCTGGACACAAAAGAGTACATACTCTATGATTCCAATGTTATCACATTCTAGACCAGGCAAAACTGTGGATTATATAGAGATGGAAATAAGGTCAGTAGTTACTTGGAGTGAGGGGGAATTGACTGGGAAGGGGATGAGAGAATGTTCTGACATAATGAAAATGTTCAAAACCTTGATAGGAATATGGGTTATATTAGAATATTTGATTGTTGGGCTGGGCGTGGTGGCTCACGCCTGTAATTCCAGCACTTTGGGAGGCTGAGGTGGGCGGATCACGAGGTCAAGAGTTCGAAACCAGCCTGGCCAACATGGTGAAACCCTGTCTCTACTAAGAATACAAAATTTAGCCGGATGCGGTGGTGCACTCCTGTAATCCCAGCTACTCAGGAGGCTGAGGCAGGAAAATTGCTTGAACCCGGGAAGGGGAGGTTATAGTGAACCAAGATCAAGCCACTGCACTCCAGCCTGGCGACAGAGCAAGCAAGACTTCATCTCGAAAAAAAAACATATTCCGTTGTTAAAACTGATAAAACTGTACGCCTAAGATCTGTGAATTTCATCATATGTGAATTATGTCCATGGCAGGTGGCATTCAAAAGATTCCCCAGGCAGGCATGGTGGTTCACACCTGTAATCCCAGCACTTTGGGAGGCCAAGGTGCGCGGATCACTTGAGGTCGGGAGTTTAAGACCAGCCTGGCCAACATGGTGAAACCCTATCTCTACCAAAAATACAAAAAAGTTAGCTGGGCATGATGGTGTGCGCCTGTAGTCCCAGCTACTCAGGAGGCTGAGGCAGGAGAATCGCTTGAACCTGGAAGGTTGCAGTGAGCCGAGATCACACCAGTGCACTCTAGGCTGGGTGACAAAGCGAGACTCTGTCTCAAAACAAAGAAACAAAAAACCTCAAAGAGCCCCCAAAGACTCCTGCCTACTGGTGTGCATGCCCTTGTATTATCCCCTCCCACGCTGTATCAGGTTGGTCTATTTGGCAGAAGTAATGGGGTGTCACTTCTGAGATTAGTTATAAAAGACACTGCAGGGCGGGCGTGGTGGCTCACACCTGTAATCCCAGCACTTTGGGAGTCTGAGGCGTGTGGATCACCTGAGGTCAGGAGTTCAAGACTAGCCTGGCCAACATGGCAAAACCCCATCTCTACTAAACATACAAAAAAATTAGCCAGGTATGGTGGTAGGTGCCTGTAATCCCAGCTACTCGGGAGGCTGAGGCAGGAGAATCGCTTGAACCTGGGAGGTGGAGGTTGCCATAAGCTGAGATCGCACCATTGCACTCTAACCTGGGAGACAAGAGTGAAACTCCATTTCAAAAAAAAAAAAGACACTGCAGTTCTGTCTTGGTCTCAATCTCCCTTTCCCTCAGGTCACTTATTCTGGAGAACCCATGTGTTGGGCATCCCTATGAAAAAATCCGAGGGGCAAGAAACTAAAGCCTCCTGTCAACAGCTATGTAAGTGAGCTTGCAAGTGGATTCTTCAGCTCCAGTTAAAGCCTTCAGATGTTGGCAGCCCTAGCTGTCTGCTTGACCACAAACTCATGGGAGACCCTGAGCCAGACCACATGGCTAAGCTGCCTCCTAATTCCTGACCTTCAGAAACTGGGTGACATAATCAATGTTTGTTGTTTTAAGCTACTAAGTTTTGAGTTGTTATGCAGCAATAAAAGATGAATATAATATTTCAATAAAAGAAACATGTAGGGAAAAATATTCTAAGTGCTCCTGGCCCAGATGGCTTTCCCAGGGACTTTCAAGTGCTTTCTATGACTCAGACTTCTGGGCTCAGCCTCTATGCTGGGGAGATGATGGCCTTAGGGAACTCTGTCTAGACAATAGGAACTGGTGTCTCCAAAATAGCCGCAGACACCGCCCACCAAACCAGCCCCACAGCAGCTGCACACAGGGCTCAGGCCCACACTTACTATGCAGAGAGGACTCCAGAAATGCTCCCTGACCATGTGGCCACAGCTGCAGCAGGAATCCACTCAGGGCTCAGATGCTGCCATGGTTTGAATGTTTGTCCCCTCCAAAACTCGTGTTAAGGTTAGTCCCCAGTGTGGCAGTATTGAGAGGTGGGACCTTTGACAGGTGATTGGGTCATGAGGCCTCTGCCCTAATGAATGGATTAATTCATTCATGGATTAATGGATTGATGGAGTAATGGGTTATCAGGAAATGGAACTGGTGGCTTCATAAGAAAAGGAAGAGATACCTGAGCTGGCTTGCTCAGCCCCCTCATCATGTGATGCCCTGTACCATATTGAGACTCTGCAGAGAGTCCCCACCAGCAGAAAGGTCCTCATCAGATGCAGCTCCTCCACCTTGGACTTAACAGCCTCCATAACTCTAAGAAATAAATTCCTTTCCTTTATAAATTACCCAGGTTCAGGGATTCTGTTATAAGCAACAGAAAATGGATTAAGACAGGTGCTAATAACAGCTGCTATTTTTGGAACTTTCTGTGTCCCAGGTAATAGGCAAAGTGCTTTGCATGCATCTTTTTATTTGCTCCTTCCAACAACCCTCTGGAGAAGATATTATTAAACCTATCTTACAGTGGAGAAAACTGAGACTCAGAAAGCTGAAGCAAGTTGGCAGGGTCATAGAACTACTAAGTGATGTGGCAGCTTTAGATAGAAATCCAGATTTGTCTAGTTCTCAAACCCAGAGGCAGGGAAGCAGTAACCATAGACTTGAAAACACTTTTTTCATCTATTCCCTGTGATGCTTTTCATGGGAGAATGAGCCACACATTCTGCTATCAGGGAAAAGTCCACAAATCTCAACCCAGACTCCCTAGGTCAATGTATAAAGGTATTAGACTGGCAGATGCTATCAGAGTCACCAAGAGTCTCAGAGATCATGGGAATCTCAGAGTGGGGAACTGAGACCCAAAGAGGGAAGTGGGTCCTTTCTAAGGACTCCCTGCCCAGTGTTTTTGCACCACTTTGCCCTGCCCCTTGCCATATGAGATGGAAATAGTTGCCATGTGGGAGAAACATTAGGGCAAAGAGTGGTTTTGGAGTGGGGAAAGCAGTGAAAAAGGGATATCAGGCTGGGAGCAGTGGCACACACCTGTAATCCCAGCACTTTCAGAGGCCGAGGCGGGCAGATCACAAGGTCAGGGGTTCAAGACCAGCCTGGCCAACATGGTGAAACCCCATCTCTACTAAAAAAATACAAAAATTATTAGCCAGGCGTGGTGGCACATGCCTGTAATTCCAGCTACCTGGGAGGCTGAGGCAGGAGAATAAGCGAATCCATTGGCATTTTTTTCCTGGCTAGAATTCATTCCCCCTTTTCATGTTACAACACCCCACTTTTCTACTAGAGAACCATACCTTCCCCGCTCTCATTCCATATGGTAAGAATGGGGCTGATCTCATCTTGGGCAAGGGGCTGAAGCCCCAGGTCTGGCCAATCAGAGATGTGCACATCAAGGAACCTGGCCTAGGAGGCAGTGGCTGGGGTTCAGGGTAGATTGGAGGATAAGGGTGTGTGTGGGGGGTTGCTGAGAGCCACTTGAACCCAGGAGGTGGAGGTTTAGGTGAGCCAAGATTGCACCATTGCACTCCAGCCTGGGCAACAAGAGTGAAACTCCGTCTCAAAAAAAAACACCCAAAAAGCAAAAATTAGCTGGGAATGGTGGCATGTGCCTGTAACCCCAGCTACTCAGGAGGCTGCGGAAGAAAAATTGCTTGAACCCAGGAGGTGGACGTTGCAGTGAGCCAAGATTGCACCATTGCACTCCAGCCTGGGCAACAGAGGGAGATTCTGTCTCAAAAAGAAAAAAGAAACATCAGAGGTAACAATGGCAAAATTGAGAGCTCATAATTTTGTTTTGGGTCAACCCCACAATGGCTAGAGGCTACATAAAGCAGTGTCATAGATGGGCCCATTGAGAACCTAGGCAGCCCGAGAGGATGTCACAGAAGAGCTCTGAGAGCAGTAGCTGACCCATGATAGGGTCTGATGAAAGCACCATGCCACTTACTCGCTATGACCCTGGGTTACCCCATTTATTTATTCATTCAATAGGTATTTATGGACCATCTGCTGTGTGCCAAGCACTGCTTTAAGGGCTTGGGATATATCAGTAAACAAAAAGTTCAAAGATTCCTGTCCTTAGGGAGCTTAAATTACAAACAGATTTAACCTATAAATTTTAAAGTATCCTAGAAAGTGAAAGGTGTTGTCGAAGAAGAAAAAGTAGAGAGTGGTAAGAGGATTAAGAGTGACAGCAGTGCACAGAAAGGCAGGTTGAAATTTTAAAGGGGTGATTGGGTAGGCCTCCTTGAGAAGGTGACATTTGAACAAAGACTTGCAGGAAGTGAGGGTGTGCTTTGTGCAGAGTGAGCCATGGGAATATCTGGAGGAAACATGTGAGGAAAAGAAAGAGAGATCAGACTGTTACTGTGTCTATGTAGAAAGAAGTAGACATAAGAGACTCCATTTTGTTCTGTACTAAGAAAAATTCTTCTGCCTTGAGATGCTGTTAATCTGTAACCCTACCCCCAACCCTGTGCTCGCAGAGACATGTGCTGTGTTGACTCAAGGTTTAATGGATTTAGGGCTATGCAGGATGTGCTTTGTTAAACAAGTGCTTGAAGGCAGTATGCTTGTTAAAAGTCATCACCACTCTCTAATCTCAAGTACCCAAGGACACAATACACTGCAGAAGGCTGCAAGGACCTCTGCCTAGGAAAGCCAGGTATTGTCCAAGGTTTCTCCCCATGTGATAGTCTGAGAGATGGCCTCGTAAGAAGGGAAAGACCTGACTGTCCCCCAGCCCAACACCCATAAAAGGTCTGTGCTGAGGAGGATTAGTAAACGAGGAAGGCCTCTTTGCAGTTGAGATAAGAGGAAGGCATCTGTCTCCTGCTCATCCCTGGGTAATGGAATGTCTCGGTGTAAAACCCGATTGTATGTTTCATCTACTGAGATAACAGAAAAACCTCCTTAAGGCTGGAGGTGAGACATGCTGGTGGCAATACTGCTCTTTAATGCACCAGATATGTTTATGTATGTGCACATCAAAGCACAGCACCTTTTCTAACCTTGTTTATGACACAGAGACATTTGTTCACATGTTTTCCTGCTGACCCTCTCCCCACTATTACCCTATTGTCCTGCCACATCCCCCTCTCTGAGATGGTAGAGATAATGATCAGTAAATACTGAGGGAACTCAGAGACCAGTGCCGGAGCAGGTCCTCCGTATGCTGAGTGCTGGTCCCCTAGGCCCACTTTTCTTTCTCTATACTTTGTCTCTGTGTCTCTTTCTTTTCTCAGTCTCTTGTCCCACCTGACAAGAAACACCCACAGGTGTGGAGGGGCAGGCCACCCCTTCATCTGGCGCCCAACGTGGGGCTTTTCTCTAGGGTGAAGGTACGCTCGAGCGTGGTCATTGAGGACAAGTCAATGAGAGATTCCCGAGTAAGTCTACAGTCAGCCTTGTGGTAAGCTTGTGTGCTCGGAAGAACCTAGGGTAACAATGGGGCAAACTAAAAGTAAATATGCCTTTTAGCTCTATTAAAATTATTTCAAAAACAGGGGGAGTTAGAGTCTCTACAAAAACTCTAATCATGCTATTTCAAACAATAGAACAATTCTGTCCATGGTTTCTAGAACAAGGAACTTTAGATCTAAAAGATTGGGAAAAAATTGGCAAAGAATTAAAACAAGCAAGTAGGGAGGGTAAAATCATCCCACTTACAATATGGAATGATTGGGTCATTATTAAAGTAGCTTTAGAACTGTTTCAAACAGAAGAAGATAGCATTTCAGTTTCTGATGCCCCTGAAAGCTGTGTAATAGATTGTGAAGAAGAGGCAGGGATAGAATCCCGAAAAGGAATGGAAAGTTCACATTGTAAATATGTAGCAGAGCCGGTAATGGCTCGGTCAACACAAAATGTTGACTATAATCAATTACAGGAGGTGATATATACTGAAACGTTAAAATTAGAAGAAAAAGGAACCTTAGATGTAGACCTGTTAAAACAGGGAAGGGTCTGAGTAACCATGGAAAATATGGTCACTCTATTCAGGGTGTTGGAAAAATACTGTCCTTGGTTTCCTGAAAAAGGAACCGTATATGTAAAAGTATGGGATCGTGTTGGTTCAACATTCTGGGAGCTGGTCCCAGCAGGGAATTATGTTCCCGTCACTGTTTGGGGTGATTAGGCCTTGGAACGTGCCATCCTAATACCTCCTCAACTTTCCTCTCCCACACGGCCTTCATTATCTGATCAGCCTCTTCCTTCGGCTACTCCTCCCCCACCTAACGATGCTGAAAATTCAATGTCTAACTCTGGTGACTTTGGCTTAAAGTTACCCCCTACTTATCTTCTTTTCATGAAGAACTGGTACTTGAAGCTCCCGCGGCCATGACTCACACAGCCCAGGACCATAGATATGCTAATTCTTGTCTCTTCAAATGGCTCCAGGACCAAACTACAATTTACCTATAATTCTCCAGGCCCTCCCCCATCCACTACAGCCCCTCACCCTCCTGTCGTTTCGGTTCCTCAACCGGTCTGTGTCGATATGCACTGCTCAATCTTACTTTTTTTAAAAGAATTTAAGGATGCTTGTACTCAGTCAGTATGGTCCTACTTCTCCTTATGTTAAAATGGTATTACAAACTTTTTGTATGGAGGTCACTTTACTTCCTTTAGACTTGGACCTTTTGGCAAAAAGCTGTTCTAACCCCATCTCAGCCTGGTGGGCAGAGGAGGCCCATGTTCAGGCTCAGCTAAATCAGACTAATGGCATTCTAACTACTCAGGCTCAGCTCACAGGCTCCAATAGTTTCTCTGATACTTAAGCCCAAGTAGGCTTTGATGCTCCTACCACAAAACAAGTAACAAAGGTGTGTATGAGAGCTTGGGATAAATTACGTGCCCCAGGCCAAGCTCCTGTTTCTTTTACTACTGTTAAACAGGCTCAATTGCTTTTACTACCTAATATCGTTTTAAACAAAGGAGATAAGACACGTGGCTCTGGGATAGACTCTGGTGGTAAAAAGGCTGCTTATTGGATTAATACAATTTCTAAACAACGGCCCACCTTCACCATACACATTCAAGGAAAAAAGTTTTGAGGGCCTAGTAGATACTGAGGCTAAAATTAATATTCCATATAACTCTTATAGTGTTCCCGGTCGGCATATGATGAAAAACATGGGTTTGTTCCTGGGCTAGGTCTCGGTCCGAAGCATGAAGGGATTATTAAACCCCTCCCAATTACTATAAAATAAGACAGTAATGGTTTAGATTATCCTTTTTAGTGGTGGCCACTGCCATGCCTCCTGATCCTATCCCTTTACAATGGAAATCTGACACACCTGTTTGGATTCAGCAGTGGCTGCTTTCTAAAGAAAATCTGGAGGCTTTAATTCAATTGGTTTCTGAACAGTTACAACTTGGAAATGTGGAACCTTCTCTTTCCCCCTGGAATTCTCCTATGTTTCTAGTAAAAAAGAAATCAGGCAAGTGGCGTATGGTAACCAATTTATGGGCCATTGACGCTGTAATTAAACCTATGGGAGCTGTCCAACCCAGCATGCCTGCCCCTGCTTTAATACCTAAAAATTGGTCTCTCATAGTTATTGGTCTTAAAGATTGTTTTTTCATATTGCTTTACATAAATCGGATTGTAAAAAATTTGCTTTTACTGTACCATCTATCAATAATCAGGAGCCTGCAGCTCATTATCAATGGAAAGTACTTCCTCAGGGAATGCTGAATAGCCCTACAATCTGCCAGCTTTATGTCGGACAAGTGCTTTCACTAGTTCGAGCCCAATTTCCCCAGGCCTATATTCTTCATTATATTGATGATATTTTAATTGCTACCCCAACTAATAAAGAATTAATTGACTGTTATCAAATTTTAAGCCGCTGTGTTACAGAGGCTGGATTACACATCACTCAGGATAAAATTCAACAGACCACTCCTGTTCAATATTTAGGAATGGTGGTCGATAAACAACGTATTCAACCTCAAAAAGTTCAAATTAAGAGAGTTTCTTTGAAAACTTTAAATGACTTCCAAAAACTTTTAGGTAACATTAATTATTTAAGACCTACAGACAGCTTATTTCTACCCCTTATGCCTCTGCTCAAAAGGCAGAGTTAATTGCTGTAATTACTGCCTTACAGGATTTCCCCAAACCTTTAAATATTGTCTCTTATTCTCCTTAACGTAGGAAAGAGAATATGCTTGTGTTTCACCAGGAGATCATCAAACAAAAACCACAAAGAAAAGACGTCTGTGTCACAGACTGCCCTCAGACGTAGTGAGATCTGTGCCGACTCCTCAGAAGCAGGCACACCAAATCACAATGGGTCTGATTCAATCCTCCCTGATGGCAATGGAGACCCATCTAACTAATCCCACTTCTAATTACCTCTCTTTTTCTCCTTACAAACCTAAAAATCTCACCATTTCTATTAGCCTGAAAATAACATCCCTCTGTTCTCTTCCTCCTTCAGCACTCAATCTCATTTACAATAGGTTTTATTTAATGATTCTCCTCCTTATACTTTCTGTCTCACCAGTTTCCTCTCACACTAATTTACCTTCTACACAAAATTATTCTTATTGGGCTTATGTGCCTTTTCCTCCACTTATTTGACCTCTCACCTAGATTGATGCTCCTACAAAAATCTACACTAACAATAGTGTGTAGATGCCTAGAGCTACAGATGACCATTGCCTTGCTCAACCAGGAGAAGAAGGCACTGCATTTAATGTTACCATAGGTTATAAATACCCACCTCTGTGCCTCAGACACGCACCTGGTTGTATCCATCTAAAAACTCAAGTCTAGGCTGCTTATCTTCCGGAGAGATCAGCTACAGAAGAACCAGGACATTTAGTCTCTGGCCACTCACTTTCTCCTTTAAAACAAATGAAAGGGGGAATAATGGGAGGTACCCCATACTTTCAATATAAACCTGCAGGAAAACCATGCCCTAAAAATTTTGAGGGCCCATCTAAAACTTTAATTTGGGAAGATTGTGTTAACTCACATGCAGTAATATTAAAAAATGACTCATACGGTTTAGTAATAGACTGGGCACCAAAGGGCTATTTAAAAAACAATTGCTCCTCTGGTGGAAAGGAATGCCTGGAGGCTACTTATTTTATTTCTTGTCAGGAGAATGAGAATCATCATTCCACTTTGCATAGGAGGTTCAGCTCATTCTTTCCCCTAAAATGGGAAGATAAAGGCACCTTTTCTAACCTTGTTTATGACACAGAGACATTTGTTCACATGTTTTCCTGCTGACCCTCTCCCCACTATTACCCTATTGTCCTGCCACATCCCCCTCTCCGAGATGTCAGAGATAATGATCAATAAATACTAAGGGAACTCAGAGACCGGTGCTGGTGCAGGTCCTCCTGGTGCAGGTCCTCCATATGCTGAGCGCCAGTCCCCTAGGCCCACTTTTCTTTCTCTATACTTTGTCTCTGTGTCTCTTTCTTTTCTCAGTCTCTCGTCCCACCTGACGAGAAACACCTACAGGTGTGGAAGGGCAGGCCACTCCTTCAGAAACACATTCTAGACAAAATACACATGGACATATTTAGGTGTAAAGTGGCTTTATGTCTGCAACTTACTCTCCAACAGTTTAGAAAAAATAAATAATTTATCCCTCTGTCTATCCATATCTATCCATCCATGTATTCACAAACACACAAATATATATATTTGAATGGAAAGCAAAATTGTCAACATGTTAACATTTGGGGAATCTGGGTGAAAGATATATACTATTTTTGGAAAGTTTCTGTATGAATTTCAAGATAAAACTTTTTTTAAAAAAAGGATTTATAGGTCGGGTGCAGTGGCTCATGCCTGTAATCCCAGCAGTTTGAGAGACTGAGGCAGGCAGATCACTTGAGGTCAGGAGTTCAAGACCAGCCTGGACAACATGGTGAAACCTCATCTTTACTAAAAATACAAAAAACTAGCTGGGCATGGTGATATGAACCTATAATCCTAACTACTCAGGAGGCTGAGGCATGAGAATCGCTTGAAACCGAGAGACAGTGAGGCGAGATTGTGCCACTGTATTCCAGCCTGGGCGACAGAGCAAGACTCCGTCTCAACAACAACAAAAAAAAGCAAAAAGGATTTATATTATTATATTTTTAAAAAAGCATTTCAGGCAGAAGGGGTAGCCTGTGCAAAGATCCTAAGGCAAAAGAGTGCCCTGGGGCTGGGTGCAGTGGTGGGGGGATTACTTAAGCCCGGGAGTCCAAGACTAGCCTGGGTAACATAGGGAGACCCTCTTCTCTACAAAAAAATTTGAAAACTAGCTAGGCATGGTGGTGCATGCCTGTAGTCCCAGCTACTCAGGAGGCTAAGGTGGGAGGATCATTAGAGCCTGGGAGATAGAGGGTGCAGTGAGCCGTGATTGTGTCACTGCACTTCGGCCTGGGGGACAGAGCAAGACCCTGTCTCAAACAAAAACAAAAAGAAAAAACAACCCCCAAACAACAACAGCAACAAAATAAACAAACAATAATAAAAGACAAAAAGAGTGCCCCAGTACGTAGGGCAACACTCAGGGTGCTGATAAACAGAATAAGAGAATCCATCGGCATTTTTTTCCTGGCTAGAATTCATCCCCCCTTTTCACGTTACAACACCCCATTTTTCTACTGGAGAACCATACCTTCCCCACTCTCATTCTATATTGTAAGAATGGGGCTGATCTCATCTTGGGCAAGGGGCTCAAGCCCCAGGTCTGGCCAATCAGAGATGTGCACATCAAGGAACCTGGCCTAGGAGGCAGTGGCTGGGGTCCAGGGTGGATTGGAGGATAAGCGTGTGTGGTGGGGGGGGGTTGCTGAGAGCCTGCCTGAGGTAGAAGCCCACTCCAAGGAAGGCAGCACTGAGACTCGAAGCAGAACAGATCCCAGTGACATTTTTGAGCTCTTGGATTTAGTCTTTGTGTCAACTTTTATCCCTCAGTGACTTTGTCACATAAGGCAATGAATGCCCTTTTTGCTTGAGACAGTTTGAGTTGGGTTTTCCCCTACTCAAAATGAAGAAATGCGTTTAGTGATCCAAAGCGTCAGGGACAGCCTCTCTGAGGAAAGGACATTTCAGCCAAGACCTAAAGGATGAGCAGCAGTTGGTCAGGTGAAGAGGTGGAAAAAATGTCCCAGAGGAACAGCAAGTGCAGAGGTCCCAAGAAAGGAAGAAACATGGCAGGTTCAATAAATTGGAAATGCTGGGTGTGGTGGCTCATACCTGTAGTCCCAGCTACTTGGGAGGCTGAGAGGGGAGGATCACTGGAGCCCAGGAGTTCGAGACCATCCTGGGCAACATAGTTAGACCCTCATCACTAAAAAAAAATTAGCCAGGCATGGTGGCACATGCCTGTAGTCCCAGCTACTTGGAGGCTGAGGTGGAAGGACCCTTGAGCCCAGGAGTCTGAGGCTGCAATGAGTTGTGATTGTGCCACTGCCCTCCAGCTTACATGTAGGTGTGAGAGAGAGGCCTATCTCAAAGAAGAAGAAGGAGAAAGAAGAAGAAGAGAGGTAGCAGCAGCAAGAAGAAGAAGAGGAGGAAGAAGAGAAAGAAGAAGAAGAGGAAGAAGAGGAAGAGGAGGAAGAATAGGAAGAAGAAGAAGAAGAGGAAGAACAAGAGGAAGAAGAAGAGGAAGAAGGAAGAAAAGAAAGAAGAGGAAGAAGAAAGAAGAAAGAAGGAGGAGGAAGATGAAGAAGGAAGAGGAAGAGGAAGAAGGAAGAGGAAGAGGAAGAAGAGGAAGAAAAGAAGAAGCAGAAAGAAGAAAGAAACAGCAGCAGCAGCAGCAGCTGGAGAAAGGCTGGGAAAATGGTGGCCAGGAGAGTGTCCGGTAGAGGTGAGGCTGGGGCAGGGTCCCAGATGAAGGGCCTCGTAGGCTTTGTTAAAGATCTGAGACTTTGCCCCAAGAGCAAAGGGAGGTCATTGCAGGGTTTTTAATAGGCAAAATCTTTACTTAATTTGCATTTTGATATCACCTTCATAAGAACACCCTGGCTGCAGTGTTTGGGCTAGATTGGTGGAAGGTTAAGAGCAGTACAGGGAGATTATTTAGAAAATTATTGCAGACATCCAGGCTAGGGATGATGACTTTGACAGGGTAGGGACAGTGGACACATAGATTTTGGATGGATTTTATGGCAGCTAGTCTCCAAAAATGAACCACGCCTCCCAATATATGTGCCTTGTGTAGTCCCATCTCACATTGAATCTGGGACAACTCTCTGACCCACTTTAACCAGTAGAATGCAGGGAAAGTGATGCTGTGCCAGTTCTGAACCTGAGATTTTCAGGAGACCCGGCAAGCTCTGCCTTTGAGCTCTTAGGAGTCCTGTTCCACCAGGTAAGAGGTCCAGCTCCCCTGCTGTGAGACCAAGTGAAAACCCCATAGTGGGGCCCTGACATACACAAAGAGGGAGAAAGGCCCAGCTATCCCAGTGTCCTAGTTGAGCCTCTGGGTGACTCTAGTTCAGGCTGCCATCTGATTACAACCACATAAGAGTCCTGTCTTAGTCCATTTGTGCTGCTATAACAAAGTGCCTGAGGCTGGGTCATTTATAAACAACAGAAATGTATTGCCCACAGCTCTGGAGGATAGGAAGTCCAAGATCAACATGCCAGCAGATTTTTTTTTTTGAGGCAGGGTCTTGCTCAGTTGCCCAGGCAGGAGTGCAGTGGCACAATCATGGCTCACTGCAGCCTTGACTTCTGGGCTCAGATGATCCTCCCACCTCAGCCTCCCAAGTACCTGGGACTACAGGCATATGCGACCACCACCAGCTTATTATTATTATTATTATTATTTGTATTTTTTGTAGAGACAGGGCTTTGCCATGTTGCCCAGGATGGTCTTGAACTCCTGGGCTCAAGTGATCCACCAGCCTCTGCCTCCCAAAGTGCTGGGATTACAGGCGTGAGCCTCCGTGCCCAGCCCGTGCCAGCAGATTTGATGTCTGGTGAGAACTTGCTCTCTACTTCAAAGATGACACTTTCTGCTGTATCCTCACATGGTGAAAGACTCAAGGGCCTCTCTTAATGATTTAGTCACCTCTCAATGGCTCCACCTCTTAATACTATCAAATTGGGTATTAGATTCCAACATATGAATTTTGGGAGGACACCAACATTCAGACTAGAGCACATGGTTACCTCTTTGCTTACCATATCAACCCCATGAGGTAGGCAGTTTTATGATCTCCATCCTACAGATGAGGACAATGAGGTGCAGAGAGGTTAGGTAACTTCCCCATGGTCACACTATTGGATAAATGGTGGAGCCTGGGTTGAAGAGTAGGAAGCGTGACTCCTTGTGTCCTTGTGGTTGAGGACTCTGCTGTGCTGCCTCTGTGAAGGAGGCTTGCTGAAAGGACTCAGAATCTCTCAGGGACACCAGGCATGGTTGGAAGCCTCAGAGACAGAGGCAAACTCTGGCTCTCTCTCAGGTGGACTCCACTGACCCCAGATCTCACTCTTTCACCCAGCTCCAGTCGCTGTGTCTCTGATTGGTCAGCTAACTGGAGGCATAGGGATGTGGTGCCCAATTATGAGTCCCTCAGCAGTGGGGGAGGGGAGCAGAGCATCCTGAGGTGTAGACATGGCTGCCTGGGTCTGCTCTTTCTTGGCGTGAGTGAACAGCTTTCCGAGAGAACATGACTACTATAGCAATTTAGAAAGAGGTCCAGCTTGGGTGGGGCTTGCATGACTCAATGCTCTGCACATCAACCTCTGCCCCTGTGAAAACCCAAGGGGAAATGGAATTCTACCCTACCCCATACTGTGCTGCCCCACTTCCTGAGCATCTGGGCCCTGTTGGGTGTTTCTCAGCTCACCTCCTAAACCTCCCTGTGGGGCTGCTTCTCTCATCCTGCCCCAGCTGTATCCTCTGAAACCATTCTGAATTTTCTTCTCTGGCCCCATGCACTCTGGCTCAGGCTAATAATGCAAATAGCTACTGTTTTGAATGCATTTGCTAGGAAGCCAAGGTGGGTGGATCACTTGAGGACAGGAGTTCGAGACCAGCCTGGCCAACATGGCGAAACCACCATCTCTACTAAAAATACAAAAAATACAAAAATTAGCCAGGTGTGGTGGTGCACCTGTAATCCTGGCTACTCGGGAGGCTAACGCATGAGAATTGCTTGAACCTGGGAGGCAGAGGCTGCAGTGAGCCCAGATTGTGCCACTGAAGTCCAGCCTGGGTGACTGAGCGAGACTCTTTCTAAAAAAAATAGAATGCATTTGCGAATGCACATGCCAGGCACTAAGCAGGAGATTTTACATGTTCACAGATTTCTTACAGCAGCCCTGGGAAGCAGGCAGTCTTATTATGCTCATTTTACAGATGAATAAAGTGAGGTTCGCAGAAGATAAGTAACTTTGCCAAGGTCACACAGTAAATGAGGGTTGCCCCAGGAGATGGATTCAAGCTTATATACCCCTGAAGTGTGTACTCCTATTTAAAACAATTTTTTTTGTTGTAAATCTCTGTGGGTACATAGTAAGTGTGTATATTTATGGATGTGCTCCTATTGTCTAGAGATAGTATAGCCTTCCAGCCCAGGTTGGTTTTTGGCCCACCAGACCTCCTTGCCAGAGAGGGGTTGGGGCAAGGACTTGACGCCTTCTTTCAAAGGTACACAGCTTTGATCTCTTTGCCTGCTGTGCTTCAGGTCTGTTTAGGTTAGGGGCTCTCAAAGTGTGGTTCCTGGACTGGTAGTATCAGCTTCACCTGGGAACTTGTCAGAACTATATATTCTTGGCTGGGCGTGGTGGCTCACACCTGTAATCCCAGCACTTTGGGAGGCTGAGGCTGGTGGGTCACCTGAGGTCAGGAGTTCGAGACCAGCCTGGCTGAGATGGTGAAACCCTGTCTCTACTAAAAATACAAAAATTAGCTGGGTATGGTGGCGGGTGCCTGTAATCCCATCTACTTGGGAGGCTGAGGCAGGAGAATCACTTGAACCCGGAAGGCAGAGGTTGCAGTGAACCGAGACCACGCCATTGCACTCCAACCTGGGCAACAAGAACAAAAACTTCGTCTCAAAAAAAAAAAAAAAAAAAAAAAGAAATACATATTCTCAGGGCCACCCCAAACCTATTGAATCAGAAACTCTGGAAAAGGGCCTGGCAATGTGTGTTTTCACAAGCCCTCCAGGTGATTCTGATGCAGGCCAAAGCCTGAGAACCATCAGAGAATGTGGAACAGAGCTGTAGTCAACAGCCTTGTTTATTCCCCTCCCGGGTGGCTCTGAAGACAGCAGCTGGAGAAAGTGAGAATTTTCAGCTGAGTATTGTTTTTTTAAATAGTTGTTGTTTTCTCATCACATTTGTTAGAAATGACTCCGGTCTGGCTTCAGAGAAACTGTATGAATTCCTTAATTGTTACACACTATTATTTTTTTTTTCACATTTGTGTGTAGCCTAAAAGAGAATGAAAATAAACACAAATAAATCCAAATTACCACATTCAGCCTCTTAGCATCTTGTCTGTCTAGGGAAGAGTTGTGAGTATAATCCCCAATTCAGTCAACACACTTGAGCTTTGTCTTCTCAGTGCTGATCCTAGGCTGGGTTCCAAGGTACAGGCAGGGCCTCTGCCTGCCTGCTCCTGTATCAAGGGGACACAGACAGCTCTAACAATTAGAATTCAGCGTTTGAAGAGCTGGGGCCCCAGGGTTTGCTCTAACATGATCCTGGGCCTTTCCATTTCAAATTTCTCACCAGGGCACAGCCCTGAGTTTGAGTCCAGGCTCTGCCACTTACCAGCTGTGTGATCTTAGGCAAATCACTTGGCTTCGCTGGGCCTCAGATTCCTCCACTGTGGAATGAGATAATAGTTCCCACCTTGCAGGCTTGTTGTGAAGATGGGGAAAGTGTATATAGTGCAGAGGTGCCCCTTATTTTCTGTGTGACCTTGAGCAAGTTAGCCTCTCTATGCGTTTCCTCCCTTGCAACATAGGGTTACTAAACAGCACATACCTCTTAGGGTTATTGAGTTAAAAATTATATAAATCTTTCTTTCTGTTTTTTTTTTTTTTTTTTTGAGATGTATCACTCTGTCATCCAGTCTGGAGTGCAGTGGCACAATCGCAGCTCACTGCAGCCTCTGCTTCCTGGGTTCAAACAATTCTCCTGCCTCAGTCTCCCAAGTAGCTGGGATTACAGGCATGTGCCACAACACCTGGCTAATTCTTTTTGTATTTTTAGTAGAGACGGGGTTTCACCATGTTGGCCAGGCTGGTCTCGAACTCCTGACCTCAAGTAATCTGCCTGCCTCGGCCTCCCAAAGTGCTGAGATTACAGGCGTGAGCCACTGCACCCAGTCAAAGTTATATGAAATTTTTTTTTTTTTTTTTTTTTTTGAGATGGAGTCTTGCTCTGTCACCAGGCTGGAGTGCAGTGGCTCAATCTCGGCTTACTGCAACCTCCACCTCCCAGGTTCAAGTGATTCCCCTGCCTCAGCCTCCCCAGTAGCTGGGATTACAGGCACCCGCCATTTTTTGTATTTTAGTAGAGACAGGGTTTCACCATGTTGGCCAGGATGGTCTCAACTTCCTGACCTCAGGTGATCCACCTGCCTCAGCCTCCCAAAGTGCTGGGATTACAAGCATGAGCCACTGCGCCTGGCCCAGAGTTATATAAATCTTAATACAAGGCTGCATGATAGTAACCTCTCTAGGGTTCTTAGCTGTTAGTGCCTAGAGCATAGTGGATGCACAATAGATTGTGGCCACTGTTACGATTCATTTCCATCCTTAATTTGCAAGTAGCTCTGACCTTGCAAAGTCCTAAGGCTGCTTTTTTGTTTCTGGTTTCTAGTTACTTCAGGGTCTCCATTTCACTGATGCCTTCAAAGAGTTTGCAGTGGTGACTTTGGGTTGGTGCCCTTTCTGCCAATTTATCTGGTGTCTGAACCTGGGTTCCAGCCACTGCTCAGGTCTCCTGCTGTTTGCTCTTGGCCTGGTGTTGGCATTCTTTGTTCTGAGCTTCATGCCTTATTCTCAGAGCCCATCTCACTGGCATAGTCAGACAGACCAGAGTGAAGTTTCCGTTCTGATACTCACTAGCTGGGTAACCTTAGACAAAGGATTTAATCCCAATTTTCTCACCTGTAAAATGGGGCTAATAATGCCTGTCTTACAGGGTTATCTAAAGATTAAATGCAATCATGTGTTTGTAAACATTCAGTATGATGTCTGCCACACAACAGGTGCTCAAATAATGTTTGTTTACTTCTCTGTCTACTTCTCCCTATGGAATAAATTCCATAATCATTCTGAACTGGTGTCTTAGTCCATTTTGTGCTGCTGCAACAGAATACCTGAGTCTGTGTAAGTTATAATGAACAGAAAATTGGCTCATGGCTCTGGAGGCTGGGAAGTCCAAGACTGAGGAGCTGCATCTAGTGGAGGCCTTCTTGCTGCATAATTTCATGGTGGAAGGTGGTGGAGAGGGCAAGAGAGAGCAAGAGGTTGAACTCACAGCCTTGAGCCCTTTTATAATGGGCATTAATCCATTTATGGTGGTGGAGCCCTCATGACTTAAACACTTCCCATTAGGCCCCACCTCCCAACACTGTTGCATTGGGTATTAAATTACAACCCAAGCTTTTTGAGAGACACATTCAAACCATAGCAACTGATATACTGATCTTTATTTTTTATTTTTTTAGAGATGGAGTCTTGCTCTATTGCCCAGACTGGAGTGCAGTGGTGCAATCTTGGCTCACTGCAACATCTGCCTCCTGGGTTCAATTGATTCTCCCACCTCAGCTGCCCCAGTACCTGGGATTACAGGTGCTCACCACCATGCCCGGCTAATTTTTTGTATTTTTAGTAGAGATGGGGTTTCACTATGTTGGCCAGGCTGGTCTTGAACTCCTGACCTCAAGTGATTCACCTGCCTCAGCCTCCCAAAGTGCTGGGATTACAGGCATGAGCTGCCACACCCGGTGGTATACTGATCTTTAAAAGGGAGAAATAATCTTCCCTACTAGTTACCACAAAATATCTTCTCTCCTTGTCTTCATTAGTATTTTGATTTTATTGGGGGGTAGGAGGAACAGCAATGTACCCAAATAAAGACTACGTCTTCCCACCTCCCTCGCAACTAGGTGTCATCGTGGATCTATATTTTGGTCAATTATGAAAAAAGAAGTGTTTGGTGGTGTTATGGGTTGAATTGTGTCCTTGTAAAATGTTATTTTTAAGTCCTAACCTCCAGTGCCACAGAATGTGACCTTATTTGGAAACAGGACTTTGCAGAGGTAATCAAATTTAAATGGGGTCATTAGGATGGACCCTAATCCCATATGATAAGCATCCTTATTAAAAGGGGAAATTTGGACCCAGAGACAAACACATATAGAGGGAAGATCATATGAAGACACACAGGGAGAAGACGGCCATGTGACTGGAGTGATGCATTACGAGCCAAGGAACGCCAAGGATTGCCAGCTAACACCATAGGCTAGAAGAAGCAAGGAAAGATTCTCTCCTAGAGCCATCAGAGAGAACATGGCCCTGCCAACTCCTTGACTCCAGACTCCTAGCCTCCATAACTGGAGACAATACATTTCTGTTATTTTAAGCCACTCATTTTTGGTACTTTGTTATGGCATCCCTAAGAAATTAATACTGGTGGAATTTTGGGAAGCCTGAATAAAATGATGAACAGGAAAGTATTTTTCAAACTCTCCAGTTCTATGTACTAATAAGGCATTTTTATTATTGCAACGTTTGTGACTATGATTACTCTTGGTTTATGAAGAATAGATTGACTTGGCTGACATGATTCTGACTAGAGATCAGAAGATTTTTATCCTGCTTCTGCTCCATGTTCTTGAGGGCTCAGCACAGCAATCATAGATGCTACAACAGCAGTAGCATGAGAGACAAGCAGAAGAGAAGCTACCAGCTTTTGGGTTGGATGCTGGCAGGATGAGTGTGTAACTTTTGTTTAGCTGGGGCCAGAATTCTCAGCCACTGATTGGCAGTCAAGCATAAAGGTTAAAGGTCAGAATTGGCTTGTATTTAAATCTAGTCTTCACCTTTACTTGCTGTGTGATCCTGGGCAAGTTATTGAACTTTTCTGAGCTTTATATTCCTCATCTGTAAAATGAGAACAAATGTGGCTCCTGTGACATAGGGTTGTCATGGAGTTTCAATGACATCACATAACAAGCAGGGAAAAAAGAAAAAGCCACAGCCTATCTGTACTCAGTCCAGGGTGCAGATTTTTCTGCTCTGATTACTTACTCTTGATAGATTCCAAATGGACAGACTGGATTCTGGCTCGTTTCTTCTTACCTCTATTGATTCATTCAGTAAACATATTGAATGTACCTATTATGTGCCTACTAGGTGATGAAAAAAGCTGGTAGGGCAGACCCAGACCATGACATCCAAATGCAGACAGCTCAGAGAATGATTTAACTAAAAGTAGAGCCAAAGTTATTCGGGTGCTCCTCTCCTCTCAGTCTAATTTTTTTTTTTTTTTTGAGACAGAGTCTTGCTCTGTCACCCAGGCTGGAGTGCGGTGGCGTGATCTCGGCTCACCGCAAGCTCCGCCTCCCGGGTTCACGCCATTCTCCTGCCCCAGCCTCCCGAGTAGCTGGGACTACAGGCTCCCGCCACCGCACCTGGCTAATTTTTTTTTGTATTTTTAGTAGAGATGGGGTTTCACCATGTTAGCCAGGATGGTCTCGATCTCCTGACCTCGTGATCCTCCCATCTCAGCTAGGATTACAGGCGTGAGCCACCGCGCCTGGCCCTCTCAGTATAATCTTTTAGGGTTTCTGCCATGGCCGTCCTAATCTACCCTTCCTGATTGGTAGATACTTGTTCTCATACTATGTTGCAAATGACTATTAATCTCAAAGAAAGGTCCTGCAAATGACTGTCCTATAAAGCTGCCTCCTGAAATACTACTCCTATGCATAGAAAACAAGATGGTTCCAGGCAGAAGGGCCCAGAGAAATCAGTCTGAAACCTCTCAGTTCACAGGGGGAAATCAAGCCAGGCAGAAGTGACCCAGATCCAGTTAGGGTGACTCAGCCAAGGACACCCAGCAATTATATGTCCCAGCTGGGTAGGGAGCAGAAAATGGCTCTCCTGCTTCTGGTCCCTGCCCCACACCATTTGTGTACTGAGCATGTTCTAACTAGGTTGTGCAGTGTCCTAGGGAGATACTAAGGCGGGACAAGAAGTGCCTCTGATTTAAAAAAAAGTCTACAGCCCACTGGGCATGGTGGCTCACGCCTGTAATCCCAGCACTTTGGGAGGCTGAGGCAGGCAGATTGCTAGAGCTCAGGAGTTTGAGACTAGCCTGGGCAACAGGGCGAAACCCTGTCTCTACAAAAAATACAAAAATCAGCAAGGTATGGTAGCATGCACTTGTAGTCCCAGCTACTTGGGAGGCCGAGGTTGGAGGATCACTTGAGCCTGGGAGGTGGAGGTTGCAGTGAGCTGAGGTCATGTCACTGCACTCCAGCCTGGGTGACAGAGCCAGATCTTGTCTCAAAAGAGAAAAAAAAAAAAAAAAGCCCACAGCCTAGCAGGGGACATGAAGACATATGGTAGACCAAAAGCCCTTTGGCTTCATTGATTTGAAATGCTGCCTCCATTGTGTACCAATCTCCAATGTATATGGGACTGTTGTAGACCCTGTTCTGTTTTACCACTGTCTCTTCCTGCTCCAGCACCATACTGTTTTAAAGACTGTAGTTTTGGCCGGGCGCGGTGGCTCACGCCTATAATCCCAGCACTTTGGGAGGCCGGGGCGGGTAGATTACTGGAGGTCAGGAGTTCAAGACCACCCTGGCCAATATGGTGAAACCCCATCTCTACTGAAAATACAAAATTAGCTGTGCGTGGTGGCATGCGCCTATAATCCCAGTTACTTGGGAGGCTGAGGCAGGAGAATCGCTTGAACCCAGGAGGCAGAGGTTGCAGTGAGCTGAGATCGTGCCATTGCACTCCAGCCTGGGCAAAAAGAGTGTCTTGACTGTTCTTGTACACTTACTTTTCCAGATGAACTTTTATATCAGCTTTTGAGTAACACAGCTATTGAATCTTCCTCAGCATTCTTGTCTATGCCAGGCACCAGGCTCTTGAGCAGGGTATTCAGTCCTTGCCCTTGGGAAATCACAAACTAGATGCAAAGTGTAACCAAACAAGAAGTGTAAAATAACAACAGGAATCTCACGCTATGGGTAACAAGAACCAAATGAGTGAGGGGTCCAGACAGACTAAATGCTGTGTTCCTTGGGGCCAGGCAAGTCATGGAAGGTTCAACAGAGGTGACATTATACAGGACTTTGATGGGTGAGCAGCAGCTTTCGGTATAGAAGAAATGCTTTGAGTTGAGGAAGTCCGGGAAAGCTTCTTGGAGAAGGAGACACATTTCTATTGAGAGATGAGTAAGAGTTTGCCGGGTTCACAGGATGGGATAAAGGGAGGGATTGCCCTGAACTGGGAAAGTCACAAAAAGGTTCTCTGAAGACATTTTAGATGCGTTTTGAGTTGGAGTCGGGGAAGATGCCTGGAAGAGGCAATTAAATAAAAAGAATTTTATTACAAAAGTAATACAAGGACATGTCATTGGAACCGGGTTTCGAGAGATGAGTGAGCAGTTCCTGACGCAGACAAGAGCTGGACCACGAAGTAAGTTGAGGCAGAGGCAGAAAAGGCTTCCTGGTCCTGCCCACTCTCTAAGACCTAAGATGCAGGGTCTAAGTGTCTCACCTGCGTGGCGGCGGCCCTGTAGTTCTGACTTCCAGCGTGAGGTAGCCACCGCCAGGCCTCCGGGGGAGAAGACTACAGTAAGGGCGAGCAGAGCTGAATGCTTTATGTCGGAATCGACCAATGGGATGGCGGCACCCGGTTGCCAGGGCTACGGCCAAGCGGAGGTAGGGCCTCGGCACTATGGGCGGGGCCTGGGCGGGGTTATATAAGCCAGCGGCGGGCGGAAGGCGGGGCGTGGGGGTCTGTGGCTGCTGGGCTGGCGGGGCGCAGGCCGCGGGACCCGAGCCCGGGGAAGCGAGAGAGCGGAGGCGCCGAGGATCCGATTCACTCCCTGGGGAGACCTATGGGCCGAAGCCGTGTAAATGCGTTTTAAGGCGAGTGCGGAAAGTGGCCTGGGGAGCCTCGGGGAGCGGACGCCCTCCGCCCTGGTGCTGACCTGCCTCCCTGCCCCTTCTGCCTCCTGTCAGCAGAGGCCTCGGCTCCGCAACTGCCACTCCTCCTCGGGGTGTTGCACAAGTTTCGAGGTCACCGGCGACCCCCCCTAGCAGCGCGCCTGGCTCTGGCCCCCGCGAAGGAGGACGGAGTTTGGTAAGGGGCCCTGGGGGTTGGGGGGACCTCAGCCCTGCACTCTGTAGGAGTCACTCGGACAGAAAAAACCTCGGCCTTCCGTTCTCTCCCAGGAGCTTGCGGCCCCCACCCACCGCGTGGCGTCCCCAGGCACGCCTAGAATTCTAGCACCTCAGGATCAGTCCAGCCCCCATTTACAATTGGGGAAACTGCGGCTCCGAAAGGGTCAGAGGGTACCCGAGGTCAAGCAGTAGAGAGCGGACTCGAACTTAAGCTCTTGCTCTTAGGCTGAGACGCCTTGATGTGGCCACCGGCTACCCTCTAGGTGGGCGTGGTCAAGACTGGGGGCGCCCTGGAAACTTCCCCACCCAAGTTTCTCAGATTTTCTGTTCCATCTCTCTCTCACTCTTTCCTGAAATCCAGAATTTCAGAACTGGGAAGGCTCTCCAAAACAATTCATCCATTTTACAGAGGGAGCAACTGACTCGGAGAGGCAGTGACATTTGGGCATACGGTGCCTTGTCTCCGTCTGAAATCCGGGATTCTTGACTTTCTCCACCCTTGCCCAGTGAACCCCGGGCTTGTGCTGGGGGCGGGTTGTGACGGGATTGGGATCCCTGGCCTCGGGAGGCGAGTGGGGCAGCAGAGCCGGCCCCCCAGCGGTTCCCTTCATCTCCCCTCGCCCCGCAGTGTGTTGCATACTTTCTAAGGCGGCGGCTGCAGCAGCGGCTCCATCCAGCCCGTCAGCTCCTCCTGCAAGGCATGGCTGGCTACCTGAGTGAATCGGACTTTGTGATGGTGGAGGAGGGCTTCAGTACCCGAGACCTGCTGAAGGAACTCACTCTGGGGGCCTCACAGGCCACCACGGTGAGGGGCTGGGAATGGGGGTGGGTCCCCGGTCCCCTGTACAGATCAGCTGCCTCCTCAGGAAGGGTCCCTAGGGCCCTCATCTTATCCTTTCGCTTATTTGGTACGCAATCCTTGCTATTTGCAAGAGAGGGGCTCAATTTATCCCCAATTCTTTGTCCTTGCCCCCAAACCTGCCCCTCCTATGTTGCCTTTTTACCCAGCCCTCCAAGGTCAGAAACGGGGGATTCCTTTCCTGCTGCCCCCTCTCCCTCACCGCCCACATCTAGGCATTACCAAGCTCTGTGAATTCTGCCTCCTTAAATAAGCCTCCAGTGTGCTTATGTGGAACCTCGCTTTCTAGTTCAGTCTTCCTCTCTCCAAAGGCCCCCTGATCTCCCGGTCTCATGCCACCCCCTCCAAAGGTATCATAGTCCTGTTCAAAATCTGAATTTGGCAATTCTCCACTGCCTACAGGATCAAGTCAGAGCTTCCCTGCCTCCATAGCCCCATTCCCAGCTTTCCCCACAGTATATATTATGCTCCTTCGGAGCTGAATGACTCAATTTGCATTTCCCAATGATGCTGTGTGCCCAATGATGCTATTACCATGCCTTTGCCCAGGCTGTTCCTTCTGCCTGCAGCATCCTTCTCTCAGCCTCTCCCCTCTTTACCCCTTTCTAGTCATTCCTTGCTTCTCATCAGTGTTGCCTTTCCTGATCGCCCCAGGCAGATTTTCTATTTTCTTTCTCCATGCCCCTGCATTGCACCTTGTAGAAACTGCCATCTAACATCTGCTGAATGGACTTGTAAGTACTTAAGGGGTTCCTTTTCTTCCAGACCCAAGCTCCTTCAGAACAACAGTACTGTTTGGTCATCTCTGTCCCTTAGCATAACGTTTGGCACCAAGTGGGCATGAGTAAAAAAGTGTTGCATGAAAGGGAAACTGAGTCCCAGGGAAGCAACTCTGGAAGGGTCCCTTCCACATTTAAGTAATGTGGTCTCACCCACAGCCTCATACATGTTTGGCCTTTAGCACATCTACAATGAACAGTTGTCCATAGGGATAGGTTGCAGTGTCAGTGGGACTAGCTTAAGGCTTCATTGAGCACCTGTGTTTGGAAGGCAGTGAGCTGTAGGTCATAGCTTCTGCCTTTAGGGAGTTTACCCTTTTCTAGAATGGACAGATGCATATGCAGTTCTGATACCTTGGAAGCATATGCAAATGCAGTGGGAGCATTTAAAAGCAGAGTTGCCTTATTGGTTTGGGGAAGGTGGCATTTGAGTGAAACTTTAAGGATTTTGCCAGACACAGGAGTGGGGAGGGTATTCTGCAGGACATGGTGGGAACAAAGGTTTGAAGGTGGGAAAATGATCCAGCCTACAGCTGGAGTTTTAGCCGCATTGAGGGGAGGGATTGGGGCTAGATCAGAGCCTTGAATGCCAGGCTGAGGAGTTTGCCTTCTGCCCTGTAGGCTTGGGGAGGCCCAGAAAACTTAGCAGCAGGGTAGCTCTGTGGCCAGTACTGAACCTGGGTCAGGTACTTGGAAGGATCACGGATGGCATGCACAGGGTGCGAGCTGGATGGGGTCTCACATTCATCCACTTCTTGTCATTCAGGACGAGGTAGCTGCCTTCTTCGTGGCTGACCTGGGTGCCATAGTGAGGAAGCACTTTTGCTTTCTGAAGTGCCTGCCACGAGTCCGGCCCTTTTATGCTGTCAAGTGCAACAGCAGCCCAGGTGTGCTGAAGGTTCTGGCCCAGCTGGGGCTGGGCTTTAGCTGTGCCAACAAGGTGAGCCCTGCCCGCACGGTGCACTGACCCTCCATGCCCACTGAACACACACATGGCCAGGCTAGTCCAGGTGGGCTCTGGGGAGCAAGAGGTACCTGTAGTTGGTCCTTGCCCTCTGGGAAGACCACCCACTCAGGAGGGGTCTCAAGGGATGAGGGAGGGAGAAACGAGCATGGAATTTGTCAGCCTTGAAGTTCCAGATTGGAATCTTCTTTGTCCCTGGTAGAAAGCTCATCTTTTTAATGGAGATTTGCAAATTTGTTTGGCACAGAGCTATACATGATGTTCTTCTAATTAAAACAAAAGCGTCTCCATATTGTTGGTTTCTTTTCTTTTTCCTTTTATAATCATAATAATGTGTGGCGGTGCATTTTCTTAACTAGTCCTTGTAGTTTTGTTGTTGCCACCAATTCTGTCTTTCTAATTTGATTTCTGCTGTTGTCTTCATTCCCTCCTGCTCTCTTTAGATTTATTTTTTTCATTTTTTGAGATGGTGTCTTGCTCTGTCACCCAGGCTGGAGTGCAGTGTTGCCATCTTGGCTCACTGCAACCTTCGCCTCCCGGGTTCAAGTGATTCTCCTGCCCTCAGCCTCCCGAGTAGATGGGATTACAGGTGCACACCACCGTACCTGGCTAATTTTTTGGTATTTTCAGTAGAGACAGGATTTCAGCATGTTGGCCAGGTTGATCTCAAACTCCTGAACTCAGGTGATCCACCCGCCTCAGCCTCCTAAAGTGCTGGGTTTACAGCCGTGAGCCACCGCGCATAGCCACTTTAGATTAACTTTACTTATCTACTGTCATTCAGTATCTACTGAACTCCTACAGCGTGTAGTCACTGTGCTAGGCAGGGCTAGCAATACAGAATTGATAGACTGCTGTCCTTGAGTTGAATGCTTAGTTTATTTATTTCTATTCTGTCCTTGCTAGATAAAAGCATTTAAGCTATAAAGTTTCAACTAAGTAGAGCTGAAAGTATCTCATTTATTGATTCAGCAAATATTAATTGGGCATCTCTTCTGAGGCCAAGCATTATTCTAGGTGGGGATTTGGCAGTGAACAAAATAAAACAACAAAAGCCCTTCCTTCATGGAGCTTGTTTACAAAAAAAAAAAAAAAGATGAAATAAAGAAAATATTTAGTATTTTAGATGGAAAATGCTGTAGAGAGAAAGCAGGAAAGGGAAGTAAGGAATGTTGGGAGAGAGGATTGTACTTTTAGATAGTTTGGCCAGGGAATGGTTCACTGAGATTTGAATACAGACCCAAAAGAGCCAAGGGATCAAGCCAGGTAGATAACCAGGGAAAGGGCATTTCAGGCAGCAGGAACAGCAGGTGCAAAGGCCCTGAGGTGGGAGCAAGTCCAGTGGGCACTGCTTTGTGATATTGTCATTAGCACTATTTTCTTGGTGGTTAGTAATGGTTGCGTAATATGGCTGGATGTTGTGAGGAGAGTTCTAGAAAGGACTCCTGGAGTCCTGGGCAGGATGACAGGGCTGGAGCGACTCCAGGTTGGGGAGAGGTGTGCACTTGGCCGGGATGGTCAGAATGAGCAGGTTAACCTGTAGCAGGGACCGAATGTTAATGCCTTTCATGGTAGATGAGGTGCTTCCTCTTATCTTTGGGCTAGTTCATGCTTTGCACACCTCGTTTTGTGCATGTCTTCCACGAAGCTCTGTGAGGCACACAGTGGGAGAGACTGCCGTTCTACAGTTGAGGAAACCATGGGGTCAGCCATCTGTGGGTAGCAGAGCCAGGACGTCCTCGTTTCCCACTTCTTCCTGCGGTGCCCTGGGCCTCCACGTGGGATGAAAAGGAGCAGGATCCTTTCAGTCCCCGAGGTCTAGGGTGAAGAACAGGACCAAACCCCACTGCCTAGAGTTTTCTGCTTCAGGAACCCCAGGGGGAGGAGCTTGGTTCTGTAGAAGAAAGGGCAGAGTGAGGTGTTAAGGCTGAGAGAGACCTTGATGACAGCGGGGACTGGAGAAGCATCTGCCCTTTGCTGAGTGTGTCTGTTGTGTCAGGTACTTTGCCAAGTGTTTTCTGTACACGATCTCATTTTATTCTCACAACAGCCCTGTGAGGTAATTACTATTTTTTTTAATGGGGATTCTGACCGTAGCCTGGTGAGGACACATTTAACGTATAAGGAAATGAGAGATGGAGGTTCCGCATCAGGGTGGTGGCAGCTTGAGTCCTGCTGAGTTGCCTTGGACTCTGTTTTTTCCAAGGTGGCTGGGGAGAGGATGGCTGAGCTGGGATTCAGCCAGTGATGGATGCCCTCAGCCAACTGCAGGGGCGAGGAGAGACTTAAGCCCCCTCCCTGTGATGGGATCATGCAGACCCTTTGGTGCGCTTCTGGAGAGGTGGCTCCCCGACTTACAGCTTTTCTTGGAAGGCCAAGGCTGCCCTCTTCTGGTCGTCTGTAGTGGGTGGCCATGCTTAACAGCGTTGTGCCTTAGTGGACACTGACCAAGGGCCTGGCGTAAGCTAGGGCTGGATGTGCAGACAGACATGCGTTGGACGGGGGCCAGGGCCACAGCTTGCTCGGGGACTCTGGTCTACCCAGCCACCTGCCCGAGGACCACTGTATCATCTCTCCTGTCCCAATCGCTTGCCCTCTGTCTCCCTCAGCATCCTCCCATCTTAAAAAGCCTTTGCTGGGCAGCACATCCTCTTCCAGCCCAATCCCTTGCTCTCTTTTCGTGACCAAACTCAACCAAGTTGTCTGCACTTGCCTGTCTGCCCCCATTTTTTCTTTCCTTCAGTACTCCTTCCTTAAGCCATTGCTTCCCAGCCTCCACTTTCACTACTCCAAAGAATTTTCTCTTACCAACATCCCCAGTGAGCACTTACCAACATCCAGTGAGCACTTTACTTTAAACATGGATTGTGAACTAATAATACATGCAAATAACACATTGATTCATTCACCCCAAAAGAAACTAGGACATCAGCTTTATGTCTCCATAGATAATCACCAGGATGGTTTTGGTGGATATGTAGTATTTTTTTTTTTTTTTTGAGATAGAGTTTCGCTCTTGTTGCCCAGGCTGGAGTGCAGTGGCGCAATCTCGGCTCACCGCAACCTCCACCTCCCGGGTTCAAGTGATTCTCCTGCCTCAGCCTTCCGAGTAGCTGGGATTACAGGCATGTGCCACGATGCCCGGCTAATTTTGTATTTTTAATAGAGATGGGGTTTCTCCATGTTGGTCAGGCTGGTCTCGAACTCCCGACCTCAGGTGATCCACCCGCCTCGGCCTCCCAAAGTGCTGGGATTACGGGCATAAGCCACTGCACCCAGCCATATATATATATATTTTTTTTTGAGACAGAGTCTTGCTCTGTTGCCCAGGGTGGAGTGCAGTGGCGTGATCTCAGTTCACTGCAACCTCTGCCTCCCAGGTTCAAGCGATTCTCCTGCCTCAGCCTCCTGAGCAGCTGGGATTACAGGTGCCTACCACCATGCCCGGCTAATTTTTTGTTTCTTTAGTAGAGACAGGGTTTTACCATGTTGGCCAGGCTGGTCTTGAACTCCTGACCTCATGATTCACCTGCCTTGGCCTCCCAAAGTGCTGGGACTACAGGCATGAGCCACCACACCCGACTGGCAATGCATTCTTTAAAAAAAAAAAAGACTCAACAGTAACATATGGTCCTACTTTTAAAGGCTTCAGAAGTGTATAAGATGAAAGAGAACACTGCTTCGACCCCACCTCATCAGGCACTTCTTATAGCTGAGACAGCTCCTTCCTGTCCAGACACATGTCTCGCTGTGAGACGAGATTTGCATTTACAGGAATAGCTTTCTAATCTGCATATTGCTCTCCATCCCTTGGAAACGTTCTCCATCCTCACCTCTGCAGGTCCCGGGTACCATCTCTCCCCATCTTCTGCCACTCTCTAAATGGTAGCATTCTTCTGAATTCCTAGGCCTCCCTGTCTTGTAAACCCTCCTTCTTCTCAGAAGAAGGGTTATCTCCTCCCATGGCTTTAAATACCATCAATATGCCACTGCTTCCCACATTTTAATCTCCAGCTCAGACCTATATATCCAGTTGACTTGATACGAGGAGATGCCTGGAACCCGGCATGTTCAAATGTGCTCCTGATGTCCCCTTTCCCCGTCATGAAGGGCCCCCTCAGTCTGCTGGGTGTGGGAGTTCCCTCTGACGTCCTCGTCCTCATCACCACATGCAATCTATCACCCAGCTTGCCAGTCCCACCTCCAGAACACATCTCCCCACTTTTCTGGAGCTGGCTCTGTCATCTCCCCCAGGGCGATGGTGATAGCCACTGACTGTCACTGTCTATTCCCCCAGAATCCCCTTGGGCCCTCCTTCAGGTAGCCAGATAGACATGTAGACCTTATATTTAAAATGCAAATCTGACCATGTCGTTTCCCTTCCTAACCCTTTAGACTCTTTCCCATCACATGCAGGGTAAAACATGTTTCCTTGGCAGCTCTGCCCCTCTCCCTCTGACCTCATCGTCCTCACTGCACTAACTTGCTCTTCTTGAGCCACTGCAGCATTCTCTGTTCCTTGATCAGGCTGAAGTGCTCAGCACTGCTTGCCTCAGAACCTCTGCACAGACCACTTCCTCTACTGGAAAGATTCTTAGATTCTTTCCTTCCCTCTTGGCCTGGCTGAGGCCTCCTGCAGGGCTCAGTTTAAATATCTAACCCTGAAGTTGTCCTTTGCCTCTCACACCCAGGTCTCTTGCAGCACGTACTTTTTCTTCCCAGCTCTTAACCACTTGTAATTCCATCATTATTCAGCGCTCATTTGGGACTGCCCTGCCTATCTTTCCCACCAACCTGAAAGCTCCATGGTCTCAGAGACCCTATGTGCTTTAGTCACCACTTGTTTTATTAACACCTATCACAGAGCCTGGCAACTCAATAGATGCTCAAAAATACCCGTCAGTGCAGCATTGAGGTTGCATTCCCCATTACAGCAGTGAGGTTAAGAGCTGGTGTGCTAAGGTCTGACAGTTAGAATCCCATCTGTGCCACTTAGAAGCTGTGTGATTTTGGACAAATCACTTAGCATCCCTGAGCCTCTGTTCCCCACCTTATAAGATTATTAGTAAGGTTAAATGAGAATGTATATAAAATACTTAATGCAGTGACTGGCATAGGATATGCCTTCAATGAATGACAACACTTATTTAAATATTTATAATTAGGCTGAGTGCCTTGGCTCACAGCTGTAATCCCAGCACTCTGGGAGGCCAAGGCAGGAGGACTGCTTGAGCCCAGGAGTTCGAAACCAGCCTGGGCAATGTAGTGAGACCCTGTCTCTAATTAAAAAATATATATATTTAAAAAAAAATTATAATCAAAGCTCAATCACAGGTCCCCAAAGTGCTAAAGTGCTAACACTGCTTCTTCCTCTCACCTCACGTGGTGAGGCAGGGAACAAAAACACAGGTCCACATCCACTCAGATTCGGGGTAGGCCACATCTGCCCCTGGGAAGCAAGCTGTGGTGGCAGCAAGCCCAGCTCTGGAGCTTGACCTTTGTGTCCCATTCTGCTACTGGTTGGCTGTGTCACCACAGACAGGTGGACCTCACTGAACTCAATTTTGTCCTCCATAAAATGTAGCCAGTAAATATTTCATAGCATAGTCATTGGGATTAAATGAAATAATGCTTATAAATATCTAGTGCTGAAAAGTTGCTAAATTAAAATTAGACTCTTATTACAAAATCAGGATGGCTAAAAATGACTCTTATGCCTCTCACCATGTTTCAAAACTGGCTCTCTCTTCTCTTGTTTATTCGTGGAGAGTCAGACTTGAGTTCGAAAGTTCGTTCTGCCACCTATTTTCTGCGTAGCCCTTCTGAGCATCAGTTTCCTTCTCTGTAGATTGGAGCTAATACCCATCTGAATGGGTTATTGGCAAGGACTGAATAAAAGGGTGAATCCAAAGTAGGGGTTGGCAAACTACGGATGGAAGGCCAAATCCAGTCCACCACCTAATTTTATGAAGTTTTATTGACTCACAGCCACATTCATTCAATTATGCTTTGGCTGTGGCTGTTCTGGTGCTACAAAGGCAGTTGAGAAGTTGTGACAGAGACTGTGTGGCTCGCAAAACCTAAAATATTTATTCTGGTTCTTTATAGAAAAAGTATGCTAACACCCGATGTAAACCATCTAATTCAGGGCCTGCTTGTGGTAGGTGCTGAATGAACACAGTTGCTGTCGTCATCATCATCATCATCATTTGTTCATATCATTAATGCAGCAATCAGGTGCCCACAGGTTCTAGAGTAAAGGGGATGAAGAGGAGGCCCCAAGAGGAGCAGGGCTGAGCCCGCACACCCTGCACACCCAGTGCAGGGCCGTGCACAGAGTAGGCCTTTGGAGTGGGGTGATCTCTGTCCAAAAGATCCTTGGTCTGGTGGACTTTCTAATACACCAGCAGTGCTTTTGTTATTTATTAAGCTGACAAATAAAAATTGTATATATTTATGGTGTACAACATGATGTTTTGATATATGTATACGTTGTGGAATGGTTAACAAGCTAATTAGGCATTAACTCACATACTTACCTTTTTTTGTGGTGAGAACCCCTAAGGTCTATTCTTTAGCAATTTCCAAGTGTACCATATATTGTTATTAACTATAGTCACCATGATGTACATTAGATCTCTTGAACTTAATTCTCCTGACTAAAACTTTGTATCCTTTGACCAACTTCTTCCCACTGCCCCCTCGCCATTGACCCGAGCCCTTGGCAACCACCATTCTATGCTGCTTCTCTGAGTTTGACATTTTTAGATTCCACATATAAGTGAGATCATGCATGTTTGTCTTTCTGTGCCTGGCTTATTTCACTTAACATGATGTCCTTCAGGCTCATCCATGTTGCTGCAAATGACAGGATTTCCTGCATTTTTAAGGTTGAATAATATTCCATTGTGTATGTGGACCACATTTTCTTTATCTGTTCATCTGTGATGGACACTTAGGTGGCTTGCGTATCTTGGCGATTGTGGATAATGCTGCACTGAACATGGGAGTGCAGATATCTCTTTTACATATTGACTTCCTTTCCTTTGGATGTATACCCAGTATTGGATTGCTGGATCATATGGTAGTTGGTAGTTCTATTTTTTGAGATGGAGTCTGGCTCTGTCACCCAGGCTAGAGTGCAGTGATGTGATCTCGGCTCACTCCAGCCTCCGCCTCCTGGGTTCAAGTGAGTCTCCTGCCTCAGCCTCCTGAGTAGCTGGAACTACAGGCATGTACTACCAAGCCTGGCTAATTTTTGTATTTTTGGTAGAGATGGGGTTTTGCCATGTTTCCCAGGCTGGTCTCAAGCTCCTGGCCTCAAGTGATCTGCCCACCTCAGCCTCCCAAAGTGTTGGGGTTACAGGCGTGAGCCACTGCGCCCTGTCCTATTTTCAGTTTTTTTTTTGAGGAACCTCCATACTGTTTTCCAAGTAATATTTAAACATTTAAATTTGCCAGGAAAATGTGTCAGAAGCCTGTTGTCAGGGCTACCATGAGTCCATATAATGCCTTTGTGTAAATTAGAAAATGTACCCTTTCCTTAAGACAATTAATTGTTATAATAAATATACTGATTTTCTTAGAATGAGATGCTTTACTGCCAGGAAGTTTTAATAAATATACAAATCTACTCTGTATTCATTCTGAATGGGAACTCCCCACCCCCAGGATTGTTCAGTGTACCACCCGCATGGCTGTACATGGCAGCCCTGCTTATCAAAGAATGGTGAATCCATGTAAGTCCTGATATCTATGTATCTGTTGTCTTAGAGCAAGGCCCACTGTTATGGGCCTCCCTATGCATAGCTATGACTTTGCCCTCATCTGTGCTTCCTTGGGCTCCGTGGGCTAGCAGGCCCTGGTGCCTCCTTACAACCACCTTTGGGGCCCCATAGGCAGAGATGGAGTTGGTCCAGCATATTGGAATCCCTGCCAGTAAGATCATCTGCGCCAACCCCTGTAAGCAAATTGCACAGATCAAATATGCTGCCAAGCATGGGATCCAGCTGCTGAGCTTTGACAATGAGATGGAGCTGGCAAAGGTGGTAAAGAGCCACCCCAGTGCCAAGTAAGCTGAGAACCACTCATGGGGAGGCTGGGCTGTGGGGAGCCTGGGCTGTGGGGAGCCTGGGCTGTGGGGAGGCTGGGCTGTGGGGAGGCTGGGCTGAGGGAAGGCTGGGCTTCAGAGTGAAGGGGGGGGTGGGGTGAGGGGGTGGAGCTGGGGCAGGTCACCCTGTCCTGGACCCAGCCACAGTTGCAGGAGGTTGGGGCAGGTACTCCTGGACTGAACCCAGGATGCTAGGGTCTAGCTAGAACAAAGGCAGAAATAACTGGTTAAAGCCCTAGGCAGAGTGAGACCCATGTGTTATGGAGGCCAAAGTCACAGGCTTGAGAGAGTCGAGGGAGTGGTCAGGAAGGCTCCACGGAGGAAGTGGCATTTGAAGCAGGCCTTGAGGAATGAATAGAATTTGGAGGGGGCATAAATAGTGAACTGCGTAAGCAAATGCATTGAGGTTGGAAACAGCATGGGACATTCAAGCGTAAGCAGAAACTTAGTGTGGCTGACGCATGCTATGTGTAGGGGGTGAAGGAGATCCTGGTCGGGGGCGGGGAGCCGATGCAAATGGACTTTCGAAGGGGTCAGGGCTGGACGTTTTGCTCTGGCTGTGCCTTTTACATGATTACTGGACACCCTTGGACTTCCCAGGAGGGGCCTTGGGGTGAAGGGGGTGGCCAGGTGATGGGCCACTCCAGTCCATCCAAAGCAGCTTCCATCGTATTAATGGGTTCTCCTTAAGGCTTTGTTTAAAAATGGTTCCTCTCATACACGACAAGTTTGAAAGCTCTAACTGGTGTGGAGACTGATTTGGAGGGACTGGAGCTGCCCCAGGAGAGTTGGTGAGGTCTGGACCAGGGCGCAGGGGCTGCAGGAATGGGTCAGGGACATTTAGAGAATGGATTGGACAGGACTTGAAGGTTGATTGGCTGTGTAGGGAGAGGGAGGGGTCAGGGAGCCTGTGGGGTTGGGTGGCTCTGAGCCATGTAGCTCACAGCCCTTGATTGAGAGATGTGGCTGGGGTGGGGCGACAGGGTTTGTCCAGCAGAGGGGCACTGCGTGTCTCATCAGGATGGTTCTGTGCATTGCTACCGATGACTCCCACTCCCTGAGCTGCCTGAGCCTAAAGTTTGGAGTGTCACTGAAATCCTGCAGACACCTGCTTGAAAATGCGAAGAAGCACCATGTGGAGGTGGTGGGTGTGAGGTGAGCACTGGGAACCCCTGCCATCCCCTCCCACACCAGGCTCCCTGCCTCTTTCCCAGGAATTAATTCTATATGAGACCTTCCCCAGGGCCTCTGAGTAGGGCCTGTCCCTGGGCCTGGAATTCTTCCATTTGAGAATTTCCTCTGTTTGAAAAGGAAGTTTAGAAGGGTCCCTTCCCCAGTCCCAGGGTCCCCAGAAGGTCTTGTCCCAGGAAGTTCCATCCAGAGACCTGGCTTTGAGGGAGTCTTACCAGCCTGTAGGACAAAGGTTTTGCAGCTACACTCTTGAGGGGCCTCTTTTCTTTTCTTTCTTTCTTTTTTTTTTTTTTTTTGAGATAGGGTCTCACTCTGTCACCTAGGCTGGAGTGCAGTGGCATGATCATGGTTTTCTGCAGCCTTGAGCTCCCAGGCTCAAGCAATTCTCTCTCCCGCCTCAGCCTCCCAAGTAGCTGTGACCACAGGCGTGCATTACCACACCTGACTAATTTTTATTTGTTGTAGAGATGGGGTCTCACTTTATTGCTCAAGCTGGTCTCAAAGTCTTGGGCTCAAGCAATCCTTTTGCCTTGGCCTCCCAAAGTGCTGGGATTACAGGTGTGAGCCACTGCACCCAGCTGTGTGCCTCTTTTCTTACAGGGATATGGAAGGAGTAATAATGAACTACCTAATGAACAATGAACTACCTAATATAGGGCTTCATTTATTCTGTACTTAGGTGTGCCAGGTGCTGTGCTAAGTGCTTCATGCACATTCTCTCAGCCTTGTGTGGTGTGGGTCTTGTCCCCGCATTATAGGTGGGGAAACTAAAACAAAGCTGAGTAAGCTGCCAAGGCCACCCTGCTGACTGGGAGGCACAGCCAGATCTGGTTGACTTGGGGGTCCTGGCTCTCATCCCAGAAGGAGGGATGGGAGGAGCACCAAGTGCCAGGAGCCCTTGGATCAAGCCTCCTGTCCACTTCTCCCTTGCCATATGGCCCTTGGCAACCCATTGAACATTTCAGGACCTTGGTCACTGCATCTGTAAAATGGGCACAGTGTCTCATGTGCCTGCCCAATGTCATTCTTGGCTGGGGCTCAGGTGGTGGCACTTGGAGCCCTGCATGTCAGCCGAGGCTCTTCCTCTCTTCCCAGTTTTCACATTGGCAGTGGCTGTCCTGACCCTCAGGCCTATGCTCAGTCCATCGCAGACGCCCGGCTCGTGTTTGAAATGGGCACCGAGCTGGGTCACAAGATGCACGTTCTGGACCTTGGTGGTGGCTTCCCTGGCACAGAAGGGGCCAAAGTGAGATTTGAAGAGGTAACCCTGGAGCTGGGAGTGTCATGCTGGGCTCTATGGCGGGGAGGATAGGGAGGGATTAGATGATCGGAGGGAGACCACCGTGCGTGGGTCCTATGCACTGCATGCAGTGCTTGGTGCTTACCTGGGTGATCTCACTGCTTATTAACCCTGTGCTACAGCTGAGCAAGCCAAGGCTCACAGAGGTTACATTGCTTCCTGAGCCCAAAGCAGAACCTGGTTCTGCCTGCCATGCACTTCAGCCAATTGGAGGCATAACCAGGACACATTTACATAAGTCGTAAGGCTCTTTAAGGGGCGGGATAGGCCTCTTCACCCTAAGGTGGGCTGATGAGATATCGGGTGGGGAGGCAGGGAAACGAAAACCAACCTTTGGTCTGCTGCCTGTCCATTCTCTTCCTCTATTCCCTTTTCCTTACCCACTGTGAGGTGAAGTTAAGAAAAATGTGTCCTAGCAGTTCCCACTCCAACCACTAGAGGTCGCCTCTTCTTGGAAGGCGCCTCCTTCGGGAATACCGACATGTAGGAATTGACCTTACAGAAATGATTTGGGATAGTCTCAAAGAATTTGCCTCAAAGATGACTGTTCTAGCTTTGTTCCTAACAGAAGTCCAGTGGACTTCCCTGGTCCATCTAATACTCAGGATTTGTTAAATTATGGTACATCCTTTTGATGAAAACACTTCCTTAATGTGGGGAGGTCGTTCACAGTCTATTAAGTAAAACAGGTTCCAAAAACATATACAGAGACCTACCATGGTTATAATAAAAAATAGCGTTTGTATAAAAAATAATTAAAGACACTACTCCAAAAAGTTAACAATAATTAGATTCATCTAGTTGATAGACTTTGGAGTGACTTTTATCTTCTTTTTCCTTTTCTGTATTTTCTGAATTTTCTGTAATCAAGTATATTACAGTTGACCTTTGAACAACGCAGAGCTTAGGAGCACCGACCCCCTACACACTACAAAATCTGCATATAACTTTTGATTCCCCTAAAACTTAGCTACTATAGCCTACTGTTGACAAGAAGCCTTGCTGATAACATAAACAGCCGATTAACAGATATTTTATGTGTGATATGTATTATATACTGTATTCTTACAATAAAGTAAGCTAGAGGAAATAATTTTTTTTTTGAGACAGAGTCTCACTCTATCACCCAGGCGTGAGTGCAGTGGCACAATCTTGGCTCACTGCAACCTCCGTCTCCTGGGTTCAAGAGATTCTCGTGTCTCAGCCTCCCAAGTAGCTAGGATTACAGGTGCAAGCCACCATGCTCAGCTATTTTTTGTATTTTTAGTAGAGACGGGGTTTCACCATGTTGGCCAGGCTGGTCTCGAATTCCTGACCTCAAGTGATCTGCCCACTTCAGCCTCCCAAAGTTCTGGGATTACAGGCATGAGCCACCATGCCTGGCCAGAAATAAAATATTATTAAGAAAATTATAAGGAAGGGAAAATGTATTTACTATTCATTAAGTGGAAGTGGATCATCATAAAGGTCTTTGTCCTCATTGTCTTCAAGTTGAGAAAGCTGTGGAGGAGGAGCAGGAAGAGGAGGGCTTGGTCTTGCTGTCTCAGGGTGGCAGAGGCAGAAGAAAATCCATGCATAAGTGGACCCACACGGTTCAAACCTGTGTTGTTTAAGGGTCAACTGTATTTAACAAACTGGTTATTTATGAAAGAAAGATCCACATCAGGGCTTCTGGAATCTGAGTACCAAGTGTGATATGAAGAGGACTCCTTCCCATTGTGGGGCCATGGAGGAGGGTGATTTACACAAGCACGAGGCTCTCTACCCAGCTCTGTCCCCCTCCTACCTTCTTGGCCAGCTGTCCACAGTTATCAGCTGGGGCCTTAGCAGCTGCCAAATCCTTCTTCCGGAAATCAAAGCAGCTTTCAAGAAATAGACTTGGAGCTGTAGCAAGTCTTCAGCATAAAGCCCACATTTCAAACACATAATTGTCTCCCCATTCTCCTCCTACCAGATTGCTTCCGTGATCAACTCAGCCTTGGACCTGTACTTCCCAGAGGGCTGTGGCGTGGACATCTTTGCTGAGCTGGGGCGCTACTACGTGACCTCGGCCTTCACTGTGGCAGTCAGCATCATTGCCAAGAAGGAGGTTCTGCTAGACCAGCCTGGCAGGGAGGGTAGGTGCCAGGTGGGCAGTGGAGCCCTGTTCTCCCCTGAAGCTTCAGATAGTGGTTGGCTGAGCAGGATCTGGTTTTAGACCCAGTGGCAGAGGATGGGGGAATCTGGAGAATGAATGGGTTCTTGCTTTAGGGAAACTTTCAGTCAAGTCGCCCCACCCCAAGACATTTATTTAGCATCTTTTTTCCTAGGCATGTTCATATTTTGTGAAGATTGAGAGCAAAACAACCTTAGAGAGAATAGATACTCTGTTGACCCCATTTTACAGATGAGGAAACCGAGAACCAAAGAGAATACAAGTGAACTGCTTAATAGCTAGTAAGAGCCTGCATTTGACCCCATGTCTGTCTCCTCTCCAAAATACAGGCTCCTACTCACCCTACTGCTTCTCATAATATAATGAAAATAATTAATGACAGCTTACATTTGTTTGAGTCCACTTTACAGATGACAACATAGGCAGGGGGAGGCTGAGTCATTAGCCCAAGGTCACATGGCTGATAAGGGGCAGTGTGGGGATTCAAGTTCAGGTTAGGCTGACTCAGCGCTTCTGGGCCCACATCACCAACATCAGTGCTCTTCCCTCCCCTTCCAGATAGGTCAGGGATAGCAGCCTGTGAGTGACAGGTGTCAGGGACTCTGATCTTGAGGCTTGCCCTCTGCTCTGGGACCCTCATGCAGGGGAGCCTCAGGACTGTGCGCTTTTCCCCAGAGAGAATTCATGTGAAGGGTGGTGGGCTCCAGGTAGAATGTCCTGTGTTCGTGTGTGGCATTCTTCTGGCTTCCTTTATAGACCTGGGGGATTGTCCCGTCTGATCCAATCAAGAGACCTGGCTTCTCATTCTGGCTCATCCACTGCCCTATCATGTGCCTCTGAGCAAGTGGCTTAACCTTTTGGGGTCTTGAGTTTGGGTGGGCTGCTCTTCTGCCTTTGCTGGGGCACCTAGGGGCTCAGATGCAAGCAGGGGAGTGCATCCTGGGCAGGTTGCTTGGCTGCAGGGGTGAGTGTTCCTAACACGGCAGTGAACCCATGTCATTGGAAGGATGGCTGCTGATGGCTTTTGTTGTAGGCCTCGCCTCATGGTTGAGGAATGGGTAGCCATTTTGCTTCCTTACTGAGCCCACTGTTGTGTCAGCCCCACTACCACCCCCTCACATTGCTACTTGTGCTGCCTCTGAACCCTCCCCTCCTGCAGAGGAAAATGGTTCCACCTCCAAGACCATCGTGTACCACCTTGATGAGGGCGTGTATGGGATCTTCAACTCAGTCCTGTTTGACAACATCTGCCCTACCCCCATCCTGCAGAAGGTGAGCTTACCCCACGTGGGCCTGTTTTCAGTTGTGTGTGTGTATTTCAATAACATTTGTTGTGTTTTTATCTAATTTTTAAAAAGTCAAACATATTTATTGTCGATAATAGACAACAAGGATGACGAAGGTTATCACCCATAATCCCACCACACTCTTTGAGCATTACATATTTTAAAAAATGCCTTATACTTTTTTCATGACATTGGAATCATATTGTTTTGTAACCTGCTTTTTCCATTTATATGGGGTGTAGCTCTTTCCATGCCATTAACTGATCTTTGACAACATGCTTTTGTATTTTAACCAATCTAACTCTAGTGGTTGGCTATTTGGTTTCCTCTTTTTGAGCACTGTGAATATATGTTGAGGTTTCAGCTCTGTGGTAAATTCCTGGAAGTAGAAACAGTTCATATACAGTGGGTTTTTCTGTAATAACAGGGGAACAGGAATACATAAAACATTCCTCCTAGCCTGTGGAACCCAGCCCAGGGCCTCCAGCAATTTTAATGGGCATCTTTGAGAGGATAAAGAAAACCAGACATCATTTTATCTTCCCCTCTCCATTGTGTCTTCCTATCTCTCTCTCTCTTTTTTTTTTTGAGATGGAGTCTTACTCCGTCAACCAGGCTGGAGTGCAGTGGTGTGATCTCGGCTCACTGCAACCTCCACCTCCTGAGTTCAAGTGATTCTCCTGCCTCAGCCTCCCGAGTAGGTGGGACTATAGGCACCCGCCACCATGCCTGGCTAATTTTTGTATTTTTAGTAGAGGCGGGGTTTCAACCATGTTGTCCAGGCTGGTCTCTAACCCTTGACCTCAAATCATCCACCAACTTTGGCCTCCCAAAGTGCTGGGATTACAGGCACGAGCCACCATGCCTGGCCTCTTCCCATCTCTTGACCTTTGTGCAGCCCCTCTTCCTGGAAAGAAACTTTCCTTGCATGCCTTGAAGTGCCTAACTAGCACTCATTATGTTTTTCCTTCCCTTCCCAACCTATCCAGTTTTTCAAAAGTCAGTCAGAGGGGTCTTGAAAATCAACTCCACTTTGTGGCTCTTCCTGCCCCTTATCCCTGTGCTGGCCTAGGGAACCCCTCTCTCCCTCCCTCCTTCCTCCAGGTACCCAGGCACCCTAGATGTGCTTGATGGAGCCTCACTCCATGGTTAAATGTGGTTACATCTGCTGGTCAGAGTAGGCCTCCCCAAGGTGCTGAGGAATGCTGAGCTCTCTACTCTGACGCACTAGCATTGCCTGCATTCTTGTGGTAGCCCACATCCTACTGCACTGAGAAGGGACCAGGCCAGCCAGCTTACAGAGCGGGCAGCTGTTGAGTCCCCGTTACTCTGCCTCTCCAGTACTCGTCTTCCTGTTGCATGCTGGCTCTCACCCACTCCACTCCCTTCATTGGCTCCTCAGAAGAGGAGATGATGGTCCCAGCCCACTGCCACGCCCCCCACCGGGATCTTTGCTTTGGCTGATCTCTAGTTGGCATTCCTGACTTGGGCACTGGGATGTTTGACTCTCTTTGTGGTCTGTGCTGTTCCTCCCCTGAACGATGCTGCGGTTTCTTCCTTTAGGCTCTTAACTGCTTTTCAAGTTTGGCCACGTGAGCGCCTCCAGAGTGGGGCCCACAGCCTGGCGGTGGAATAAGACATTGCATAGATGACAATACACATAATAAGTTAACTCCTGTGGTGCTGGGAGTGTGTGTCAGAGGGATTCAGCCTGGCTGGGGGTATCCGTACCTTCTTTCCCAAAGAAGGTCCCCTTACAAGTATTAGTTTTGGCATCTTTCTTTGCATACCTGCTCTTCCTTCCCAGGGACTTTGTGTTTAGACCTGGGTATAAAAAGTTGTATGAGGCCAGGCGTGGTGGCTCAAGCCTGTAATCTCAGCACTTTGGGAGGCAGAGGTGGTTGGATACCTGAAGTCAGGAGTTCGAGACCAGTCTAGCCAACATGGTGAAACCCTGTCTCTACTAAAAATCCAAAAATTAGCCGGGCATGATGGCACATGCCTGTGATCGCAGCTACTTGGGAGGCTAAGGCAGGAGAGTAACCTGAGCCTGGGAGGCGGAGGTTGCAGTGATCCAAGACTGTGCCATTGCACTCCAGCCTGGGCGACAGAGTAAGACTCTGTCTCAAAAAAAAAAAAAAGAAAGAAAAGAAAAAAAGTTGTATGAAACATAATCCTTGGCTCAAGATATACTTCTTATTGCACCATGCTTGGCCCTTTTTTGTGTGTTTCTTTTTGGTTTTTATTTTTATAAATTCAGCAAATAATTCAGTACTCTCAAAGCAGTACTCTCAATACTCAAAGCACCGTGCTGAGGTCTGCAGAGGAATTGTCTGTGCTTTGGAAGTACAGTCCTGTTGGATAGAAACACGTGTGTGTGTGTGTGTGTGTGTGTGATTAGTATACAAGCTACAACCATGTATGAGAAAAGTACAGAACAAATATTATTGGAGCTTTTAAAACATATTTTAGTACTGTACATGTTTCTAAAAAATAAGGAACTTAAAAAATCACAATTCCATTATCAAATTAAAAAATGAATAATTCCATAGTATCCCCCATCATCGGTGTTGAGCTATCCCCAACTGTCTCATAATGGTTTTTATATTAACTTGCTGAAATCAGGAGGCAAAGAAGGTCTGCATGGTGCATTTGGTTGCCATCTCTCTCTCTCTCTTTTTTTTTTGAGACAGAGTCTCACTCTGTTGCCTAGGCTAGAGTTCAGTGGTGTGATCTCGGCTCACTGCAACCTCTGCCTCCTAGGTTCAAGCTTCTCTCCTGCCTCAGCCTCCCGAGTAGCTGGGATTACAGGTGTGTGCCACCATGCCTGGCTAATTTTTGTATTTTTAGTAGAGATGAGGTTTTGCCATGCTGGCCAGGCTGGTCTCAAACTCCTGACCTCAAGTGATCCATCTGGCTCGGCCTCCCAAAGTGCTGGGATTACAGGTGTGAGCCACTGGGCCCGGCACCATGTCTCTCTCTTAACCCATTGGTTTCCCCATACTCTTTTCTTCTTTTTCTTTTTTGTAGAGATGCAATCTCCCTGTGTTGTCTAGGCGGGTTGAGAACTCCCAGCCCCAAGCGATTGTCCAGCCTCAGCCTCCCAAAGTGCTGGGATTACAGGCATGAACCACTGTGCCTGGCCCCCACCCTCTTTTTAAGTCTGTTTTGTTTGTTTGTTTTCTTTGGTAATTTTAAACTGAGTTGTTTTTCCTGTGGAGTTTCCTGCATTCTTGATTTTCCTGATTGGTGAATTTCCTGAATTTCCCTTTGGTGCTTTTGAACATGTTTCTCTGCCTGGTATTTTTTTTTTTTTTTTTGAAATTAGGTAGATTTAGAGGTTTGAATAGCATCTCAATCAGCTTTGGAATAAAAATACTCCATGGGAGATCTTGTCTTTGTTTTCCTTTTAGAGTAATAAGCATCCTTATTATTTAACCTACATTGCCTTCCATGCAAAGTCGTCACTATCTTGACTCATGCATTATCATTCTCTGGCTTTCTTTTTCAGTATAGGTTTATCACATCTAAATCTATTCCTCGAGTGTATTTATAATTTATTATATTTGTTTTTTTGCTTTATAAAAAGGTATTTTGATGCATGTAACCTGTTTGGGCTTTTTCTCCCTCATATCACAGTCTAAGAACCACTCACCCTGCTACATGTCTCTAGAGTCCATTCATTTCATTGCCGTGTAGCGCTCTTTTGGTGAGTATGCTGCAGTTTATTTGTCCATTCTCCTCTCAAGGCATTTGGACTGTCTTTGGGTTTTTGCTACTGTGAATACTGCTGCTGTGAATTCTTGTTTCCCTCTCTCTGATGAGTGAGCAAGGAGTGGAATGGCTGGGTATAGGGCATGTGAATGTTTGGCTTCATGAGAAAATGCCAAACAATTTTCTGAAGTGTTGTACTGACAATCCCACCAGCAGTGTGTAAGAGACTCGGTGGCTCTGCATTTTCTCCAGCATGGAGTATTGCCAGACTGAAAACATTTTCCCAGTGGAATGGATGTAAAATGATATCTCATTGTGTCTTGATTTGCATTTCCCTCATCACTAGCAAAGCTGGATGTCTCTTTGTATATTTACTGGCCAAATGTGTTTCCCGGAACTTCTTCCAGGGACTTTGTAAGTTGGTGTTCCCCTTCATGTCTGAATTTCTCCACCGAGTGGTCTGTACCCACTGCCCCTGCTCACTCAGCTCCCTTAGCCCTTCCAACCTCTCCAGTCAGGTACCTGTTCCATGATGCCATGGAAGATGCTCTTGAAAGTCACTTCCACGCTGCTAGCTCTTCCATATGGCTCTTCTGTCCCAGCAGCTGGTCCTCCTCTGTTTTCATGCTCACCTCTCCTGGCTTCTGTGGCAACATCCTGGGCCTTGGCTACTCTTCTGCTGTTCTCACCTTGTCTCCTTGGCACTTCTCCTGCTCACCCTTTAAGTGCTGACTGTCTCAGGCCTCAGTCCTTGATCTTCTCTGTCTATATGCGCTTCCTAGGTAAATGCTTCCAGACTGAGGCTCTTAGTATCTTCCATACTATCATCACTCCCAAATTTCTATCTCTATCCTGGATCACACCCCTGAGCTCCAGACTTGCACATCCAACTACCCGCTTGAGATTCCTACTGGGATTTCACAGACATCTCAAGTTTAACTTGTTCAGAACTGAACTCTTGATTTCCAACCCCAAACTTCTCTCACTAAATAGCACTGCCACTAGCCAACTGCTGAAGCTAAAAAAGTTGGCATTATTCTTGATTTTTGCTTTCCCTCTCCTTCCACATGCAGTCCACCTGCAATTCTTGAGTGTAGTTCCAAAATACATTTTGGTTTCAGTGAATTCTTCCTCTGTCGCCACCCTAATGCAAGCCACCATTGCCTCCTGCTTGAGCTACTGCAGTAGCCATTAACTGGTTTTCCACCCCCATACTACTACCTGCTTACCACCCATTTTCCACGCTGCAGACAGAATGATCTTTTAAAATCCCAAAGATTATGCCCCTCCTCTGCTTAACACCATCTGTGGCTTCCCATTGCTCTCAGAATAAAACCTAGACTCCTTACCACAACGAGCAAGGCTCCTGCCATCTTCCCAGGCACCTCTGCCCTCACTCCTGTCCCTGTTTTCAGCTCCACTTACCTGCTCCAGTCCCATTCCTCTCCTTTCTGTTTTTGTAACACCTAAGTTGTTTCTGCTCTCAGGGCCTTTGCATTCGCTCGCCCAGAATGCTCTTCCACTCACCCCTGAGACAGCTGCTGTATTCTCTTTCTTATGTCTCAGCTCAGATGTCACCTTGTCAGGGAGGCCTTTCCTGACTGCCCTCTCTAAAGTAGGCTCACCTCCCCTAGTCAGATAATTTTGATACCCTGCTTATTTTCTTCACAACCCATCGTAATCTGTTAATTATCTTGTTTTTGTTTACTTGCCTATAGTCTGTCTTCTCCATTAGCAGGTAGGCTCTATGAGGGCAGCCACGTTGTCCAGTTAGTTTCCTCTGAGTTCCCAGCACCAGACACAGTGCCTGGCATATAGTAGGTGCTCACTAAATATCTGTTGAATGAATTGTGAATGGATGAATCAATCATTCAATAAACTGTGAGACCCTTGAGGGTCTCACATCTGTTCATATCTGTTTCCCTAGTACGGAACTTGGCATACAGTAGGTTCAGTATATGTTGGAATTAAATAGATCTTTTTTTTTTTTTTTGAGATGGAGTCTCACTCTGTCACCCAGGCTGGAGTGCAGTGCTACAGTCTTGGCTCACTGCAACCTCTGCCTCCCGGGTTCAAGTGATTCTGCTGCCTCAGCTTCCCGAGTAGCTGGGATTACAGGCGCCCGTCACTATGCCTGGCTAATTTCTGTATTTTTAGTAGAGACGGCATTTCACCATGTTGGTCAGGTTGGTCTTGAACTCCTGACCTCAAGTGATCTGCCCGCCTCGGCCTCCCAAAGTGCTTTGATTACAGGCATGAGCCACTGTACCCGGCCATTGTTTCTTTCATTTCTATGTCTTTGACAAGGATAAACCATTTTGTTTTTGTTTATTGTTTTATTTATTTTGATGTCAATGTCTTTTTATATCCTCTGTTCACTTAATTTGGGAGGTCTTGAAGTTTTTTCTTGCACATAGAAATGAGCTTGCATATGCATGTGTGCATGTATTTAATATGATGTTTGATACAAATATTTTTTCACTCTATTGGTTTATTGTTTTAGTTTTGTAATTCTTTGTTATTCTTTCATAGAAGTTTTGACACACTATTTTGTTTTAACTAAGTTTGCTGTAATTAATAGGAAGGAAATCTGTTACTTTCTTTTGTGCTCTGCTGTTATAGATTATCTTTATTACATATATATATATATAGTCTTATAGAAATAGAATGTTTATTAGAAAAAATTTAACACAAATAGTAAAATAAAATGATTCACTAATCCCACCATTCAGAGATGACTATTGTTAAATGTACTTTGATTTCTACTTTTTTTGGGTTTAATGGCTATTTTATTTTGTTTTATTTTATTTAACACAAGGTCACATTCTGTCACCCTGGCCAGAGTGCAGTGGCACAGTCATGCTCACTGTAGCCTCCACCTCCGAGGCTCAAGCCATCCTTCCCACTCCAGCTTCTGAATAGCTCGGACTACAGGCACATGCCACTATGCCTGGCTAATTTTTGTATTTTTTGCAGAGATGGGGTTTTGCCATGTTGCCCAGGCTGGTCTTGAGCTCCTTGTTTTGTTCAAGCAATCCTCCCACCTTGAGATTACAGACATGAGCCACCACGCCTGACCTGATAATTTTTTTTAAAAGGTTGTCTAGTCTTGCTAAGAATAAGCAAGACGTTTCGTTTACTAATGTCATGATTTAACCAGTTTTAGCTGCTCTGATATTAAAAGGTGTTTTTGTTAATATACTTCTAAAATATTGGAAATAATCAGAGCTGGGTGGGGAGAGAGAACTAAGCCCAAAATCTCTAATTTACAATGCTGTAACATTTTGAAAGACCAATCTTGTTTTTGATTTCTACTTTTTAAAAAAGTGTCATAGTGCACTTTGTTTTTCACTTTAAAGTTTTATATATTGTGAGCATATGGTTTTCTTTAAATACTGACGTGTTAGGTGGACTTTTAAATATAGAAACATTTTAAATGTTCATTGAGTGCTCTAAAATAATACATATTTAGTGTGTGTATTAGTTTGTTCTCACACTGCCAAAAAGGAATACCCAAGAATGGGTAATTTAAAAAGGAAAGAGGTTTAATTGACACAGTTCTGCATGGATAGGGAGGCCTCAGGAAACCTACATTCATGGCAGAAGGGGAAGCAGGCACATCTTACATGGCTGCAGGAGGGAGAGGTGTGAAGGGGGAACTTCCAAACACTTTTAAAACCATCAGCTCTCATGAGAACTCCCTCACTATCATAAGAATAGCATGGGCGAAACTGCCCGCCATGATCCAATCACCTCCCAACAGGCCCCTCCCTCAATATCTGGGGATTACAATTCAAGATGAGATTTGGGTGGGGACACAAAGCCAAACCATATCAGTGTGTAAAGATGCAATTCAACAAATGTGTATGAGCACTTCACAAATGCAAGATACGATTTGGTATAGGGTGGAATCAAGAGGAGGCAAGTATCATGGGAGTTTTATAAGAATCTTGGCAGGCAAAATTCAGGACAGTTACCCCAGTCCATGAAGAGAGATTCTCCTTTTATTGCCAAGATGGGGCTTTCTTACTTGCTGTTCCATTTTATTCTAGTTTGTTATGCTTTCAAAAGTGTGAATCTGTCTGGAATGTATTGCAATAGCACTTACCAAGTGTGTCCCTAGACTAAGAAGACAGAAGACTCAAATAAATAAAATTATAAATGAAAGAGGAGACATTACAGGATACCACAGAAATTCAAAGGATCATAAGAGACCACTACTAGCATGAATAACTATACACCAAGAAATTGGATAACCTAGGCAAAATGGATAAATTCCTAGACAAATATTACCTACAAAGACTCAATCATGAAGAAACAGAAAATCTGAATAGACCAATAGTGAGTTAGGAGATTGAATCAGTAATCAAAAACCTCCCAACAAAGAAAAGCCCAGGACCTTATGGCTTTACTGGTGAATTCTACCAAACATGTAAAAAAGAATTAATACCAATCCTTCTGAAATGCTTCCACAAAACTGAAGCAGAGGGAACACTTCCAAACTCATTTTACAAAACCACAATTACCTTAACACCAAAGCCAAATACACCATAAGAAAAGAAAATTACAGGCCATGTTCACAGATATGCAAAAATCCTCAACAAAATACTAGCAATCCAAATTAAATAGCACATTAAAAGGATCATACACCATGATCCTTTTAAAGTGGAATTTATCCCTGGGATGCAAAGAAATTTTAACATGTCTGAATTTATAAATGTGATGTACTATAATATTACCACAATGAAGGATAAAAATCATATGATCATCTCAGTAGATGGAGAACAAGCATTTGACAAAATTCAGCATCCTTTCATGATAAAAACTTTCAACAAATTAGGTATGGAAGGAATGTACCTCAACATGATAAGGGCCATATATGACAAGCTCACAGCTAATGTTATACTCAACAAGGATCCTAAGGTCAGGAGCAAGACTAAGATGCTCACTCTCACCACTTCTATTTAGTGTGGTACTAGAAGTCCTAGCCAGAGCAATTAGAGAAGAGGAAGAAATAAAAGTCATCCAAATGGGAAAGGGAGATGTAAAATTGTCTCTGTTTGCAGATGACATTATCTTATATATAGAAAACTCTAAGGCTTGGCGTGGTGGCTCATGCCTGTAATCCTAGCACTTTGGGAGGCCAAGGCTGGTGGATCACTTAAGGTCAGGAGTTCAAGACCACCCTGGCCAATGTGGTGAAACCCTGTCTACTAGAGATACAAAATTATCCAGGCGTAAAGATGTGTGCCTGTAATCCTAGCTACTTAGGAGGCTGAGGCATGAGAATTGCTTGAACCTGGGAGGCAGAGGTTGTAGTGAGCCGAGATCATGCCACTGCACTCTAGCCTGGGCAACAGAGTGAGACTCCATCTCACACACACACACAAAGGCCGGCGCAGTGGCTCATGCCTGTAACCCCAGCACTTTGGGAGGCCGAGGCAGGCAGATCACTTAAGGTCAGGAGTTCGAGACCAGCCTGGACAATATGGTGAAGCCCTGTCTCTACTAAAAATGCAGAAATTAGCTGGGCACGGTGATGGGTGCTTGTAATCCCAGCTACTCAGGAGGCTGAGGCACAAGAATCATTTGAGCCTGGGAGGTGGAGGCTGCAGTGAACTGAGATGGCGCCACTGCACTCCAGCCTGGCGACAGAGCCAGACTCCATCTCAAAAACAAAACAAAACAAACAAACAAAAAAACTCTAAAGACTTCACCAAAAAACTATTAGACTTAATAAGTTCAGAAAATTAGAAGATACAAAGTTAACATACAATGTTTCTATATGCTAACTATCTGAAAAAGAAATCAAGAAAACTATCCCATTTATAATTGCATCAAAAAATTACTTAGGAAATTTAAGGAGGTAAGAGATGTGTACGCTGAAAACTAGAAAACATTGATGAAGGAGATAAAAAAGGACATAAATAAATGGAAAGATACCCCATGTTTGTGAATTGGAAGAATTAATACTGTTAAAATGTCCATACTACCCAAAGCGATCCATAGATTCAATGCAGTCCCTATCAAAATTCCAATGATCTTTTCCCCAGAAGTATAAAAAAATCCTAAGATTTGTATAAAACCACAAAACATCCTAAATAGCCAAAGTATCTTGGGCAAAAAGAAGAAAGCTGGAGGCATCACATTATCTGATTTCAAAATATATACTAGAAAGCTATAAAGTAAGCAAAACTGCATGGTACTGGCATAAAAACGAACATATAGACCAGTGGAATAGAATAGAGAGCCCAGAAATAAATCCATGCATTTACGGTCAATTGATCTTCAACAAACGTACCAAGGACACACAATGGGAAAGGACAGTCTCTTCCATAAATGGTGTTAGGAAAACTAGATATCCACATATAGAAGAATAAAATTGGATGCTATCTCACACCATATACAAAATGGATTAAAGACTTTCAGATTGACTTTTTTTTTTTTTTTTTTGAGACAGAGTCTCACTCTGTTGCCCAGGCTGGAGTGCAGTGGTGTGATCTTGGCTCACTGCAGTCTCTGCCTCCTGGGTTCAAGTGATTCTGCTGCCTCAGCCTCCCGAGTAGCTGGGATTACAGACATGTGCCATCATGCCCCGCTACTTTTTGTATTTTTAGTAGAGATGGGGTTTCACCATGTTGGCCAAGCTGGTCTTGAACACCTGAACTCAAGTGATTCGCCCACCTTGGCCTCCCAGAGTGCTGGGATTACAGGCATGAACCACCGTGGCCCAGATTGACTTCTTTCACTTAGTAATATGCACTTAAGTTTCCTTCATTCCTTTCATGGCTTGATAGCTCATTTCTTTTTAGCACTGAATAATATTCCATTATCTGGGTATACAGCAGTTTATCCATTCACCTACTGAAGGACATCTTGGTTGCTTCCAAGTTTTGGCAATTATGAATAAAGCTATTATAAACATCTATGTGTAAGTTTTTGTGTGACAAGCAATTTTTAACTCCTTTGGGTAAATACTAAGGAGTACAATTGCTGGATCATATGGTAAGAATATGTTTAGTTTTGTAGAAAATTGCCAAACGGTATTTCAAAGCGGCTGTACCATTTTGCATTCCCACCAGCAATGAATGGGAGTTCTTGTTGCTCCACATCCACACCAGCATTTGGTGTTACCAGTGTTCTGAATTTTGGCCATTTGAGTAAGTGTTCAGTGGTATTTGTTGTTTTAATTTATATTTCCCTGATGACATATGTTTATTTGCCATCTGTATATATTCTTTGGCGAAGTATCTGTTAAAGTCCTTTGACCATTTTAAACAGAGTTTTACTTGTTTGTTTTCTCATTTTTGAGTTTTAAGAGTTCTTCATATATTTTGGATAACAGTCCTTTATCAGATGTGTCTTTTGCAACTATTTTCTCCCAGTCTGTGGCTTGTCTTCTCTTAACATTTTCTTTTTCTTTTTTTTTTTTTTTAAGTTAGAGTCTTGCTCTGTCACCCAGGCTGGATGGAGTGCAGTGGTGAGATCTTGGCTCACTGCAACCTTCGCCTCCCAGGCTCAAGCGATTCTCCTGCCGCAGCCTCTTGAATGGCTGGGATTACAGGTGTGCACTACCAAGCCTGGCTAGTTTTTGTATTTTTAGTAGAGACGGGGTTTCACCATGTTGTCCAGGCTGGTCTCGAACTCCTGGCCTCAAGTGATCTGCCTGCCTCGACCTCCCAAAGTGCTGGGATTACAGGTGTGAGTCACCACGCCTGGTGAATATTGTCTTTTGCAGTGCAGAAATTTTTAATTTTAATAAAGTCCAGTTTATCAATTATTTCTTTTATGGATTGTGCCTTAGGTGTTGTGTGTTCTATTCTTTTTTTTTTCTGTAGTGCTTATTACCTTCTAACATACTATATAATTTACTTGTTTGCCTCCCCCCTGCTAAACTGTAAACCCCAAGAGGACAAGGACCTTTGTGTATTTTGTTTATTAGTGTGTCCCAAGCATACAAAACAGTGATTATCCAAATATGTATTAAATGGCAACCTAATTCTGAAACTGGATTTTTGTTTTGGAGTGTATGCTGAATCATGGTAGCATTGACCTTCAGTTTTGATATCTGTGTGGGTTCCTAGGGCCTAGTCAAGATGGAGAATCCAATAGGATGCCCTTACATAGAGCTGAGAACCCAAAAGAAGTACATCCTTAGTGTAAGAGTCAACTAGAGAAAAAAGCCCATTCTACAGAGAATGGCAGCAAGAAAACTTCACTGTTTTGATCTTGGTAGTGATTGGAAGAGAGAAAAAAATTGAGATTTTGTAACCACAAGCCAGCCTTCTTTTGGGCTTATGGCCCAAATTCACATTAACTATGGTCTGAAAAACCTTAAGCCTCAAAATAATTTCATCTAGCAGAAGCAAACAAATTCTCTCTGGAGGAGGAATCTTCAGTTTAGGCTTCTCACTGATAAGGTTTCAAAGTACATGAGCTCACAGTCAAAAATCACAACATACAAAGAAACAAGTCATCGTGAGGAAGAACCGCAAAAGCAATAGGTAGCAGATCAGACCTGCGTTTACTTCATATATTGGAATTATCAGGTGCTAACATTCTTTTACAATGTTTGAAGAAATAAGAAATTGAAAATATGACCAAAGAATAAGTGAATATAAAAATATGTTGTAGCAGATTTTAAAAAGGATTAAATAGAACTAGAAATGAAAAATATGAAAATTGAAATTATGGCCAGGGTAAGCAGCATATTAGAGACAACAGAAGAGAGAATGAGAGAATGGGAAGATAGAGTTGAAGAAAGTATCCAAATGTAGCACAGAGACAAAAAGATATAAAATAGGAAAGGCTAAGGAAATGGTGCATAGAGTCAGAAGGCATAATGTCCAATCATAGTTTCAGGAAGAGACTGTATCAGGATACAAATGTCACACTAGTAATTTGAACAGGGAAATTTTAACATAAAGAATGGTTAACTGTAAAGGTGGTTCATTACAATTACTAAAAGGGGTAAAATCAGCTACCACCCCTGGTCCTGAGGGAGAGTGAAGAAGGCAGGAACTTAGAAACACAGAGGAGGAGGGCTCCTCCCTCCAAGGCTGATATTGAAACCTTTGAGGAGAGGCTGCAGTGTCACAGAAACAGCAGTCCACCAGTGGCAAACTTGTCAGAGGGTGACTACTGCAACAATCCATGCAGCACAGAAGCAGCCTGCTGCTGAGTGGGGGAGAATCTTGCTGGAAGGTGCAGGCCAGGGCTGAACTGTGAAGGCCACTAAGGCGAATGCTACCATGTACTTGCTGGGTAACCTTAGGCAAGTTACTTAATCTCTCTGAGTCTTACTTCTCTAGCTTGGAAAATGAGGGGGCTGAACTTTAATTACTAATGTTGCTTCTTTTTTTGAAGTGAGGCCATTCCAGTGTATCTTCACAAAGTTAGAGTTGGTTCCTTATTGAAATGGTCTGTCTTCATTGTGGGGTTTTGTTTTGATTTTTCTGTAGTTTTGATCAAGAATAGATGGTACAGCTATTGAATGCCACGTTGAGATGTTAAAATGTAAATGTATAGAGTAACCACTACAAGAATAGAAATAAGATAATATAACTTCTAACACAGAAAGTAATTAAAATAGTTTAGTTTTGATCCCAGCATAAGAAATAGACCAGCTGAGGCAAACTGGGGGGAATATTGAAACACATATATAATTGATAAGAGATTAGTAGACAAAATATATGAATAATTTTTTTTTTTTTTTCCTGAGACGGAGTCTTTTTCTGTCGCCCAGGCTGGAGTGCAGTGGCTCGGCTCACTGCAACCTCTGCCTCCCAGGTCCAAGCAATTCTCCCACCTCAGCCTCCCAGGTAGCTGGGTTTACAGGCACACGCCACCGTGCCTGGCTAATTTTTGTATTTTTTTTAGTAGAGGTGGGGTTTCACCATGTTGGCCAGGCTGGTCTTGAACTCCTGACCTTGTGATCCACCCACCTCGGCCTCCCAAAGTGCTGGGATTACAGGCGTGAACCACGGCGCCCGGCCTGAAGAATTCTTAAGTAAGGAATAGAGACAAACAAGAATCTCAAGAAAATAAGGAAAAAAGCAACCCAATAGAAATACAGGCAAGAGACTTTACCGGGCAATTCACAGAAGATAAACTGAAAAGGTGCTCAGTGGTAATCAAGGAAATGCAAATAAAAGTGAAAACGAGATACCATTTCATAACAACTAGATTAGAAAAACATTAAAAGCATGATAATGCCAACTGTTGGTGAGGATATGGTGTAGTTGGGTCCTTAGGCACTGCTAGGTGGCAGTGGTGTATCACTACTTTGGGAAACAAGTAGGCATTATTCAGATAAATTTGCACATATGTATGTCCTACATTACAGCAAGTTCCTAGGCCTATATTGTAAAGAAACTCTTGGCATGTGTGTTCGAGGAGATATATCAGAACATATATATCTTTATAATATAAAACATTGGAAATGACCTTAATGTTTATTGGCAGGGTAGCAGAAACATAAATTATGGTGTATTCTGTACAGTGAATTCTATACAGTGTATTGTGAACTTGTAGAGATTACATACTCTATAATTTATATAAATCTCAAAAGTGTGCAAAACTAAACAATACATTGTTTAGGGTTAGGTACACTCATGGAAAACAAAGTAAGAAAATGATGAACATGAAAGTGAGGATGGTGGTTACCTCTAAAGAGGTTAGGAAAGAGGAGATGTCATTGGAGTGGGCACATAGGGAGTTTCAAAGATACTGGAAATTTTATCTTTCTTCAGTTGGGTGGTAAGTACACAGATATTCATTTTATTGTCATTCGTTATATCTTAGACATGATACAAATATTCTTTTGTATAAATTATTTAACAAAAACTGAGTTTGTCATTTGCTTTATTATTATTCTTTGATAGGCTCACATTTATTCTTTTATCACATTATTTCTAATGTTTAGAAAAACATCCTGGGGATTTTAATTAGTAATAGTTTATTTAATCTAGTTATTAAATTAGGGAGAATTCTCTTTTTTGCTTTACTAAGTTTTTCTAGCTAGGACAGTGTAAACTTCATATCTTTTATTTCTTCCATGAAGGTTTTATTTATTTATTTTTTTTGAGACGGCGTCTCGCTCTGTTGCCCAGGCTGGAGTGCAGTGGTGCAATATCAGCTCACTGCAACCTCCACCTCCCAGGCTCAAGCGATTCTCTTGGGAGGCCTCAGCCTCCCAAATACCTGGGACTACAGGCGCCCGCCACCATGCCTGGAGAGATGGGGTAGAGATGGGGTTTCACCGTGTTAACCAGGATGGTCTCGACCTCCTGACCTCATGATCTGCCTACCTCTGCCTCCCAAAGTGTTGGGATTCCAGGCGTGAGCCACCGCGCCCAGCTGGTTTTATTATTTTTTTATTGTTTTATTTGAATAAGTATTACTGTGGCCCAAGTACATCCAAGAATGTAATAGCTTAATGCTTTCACTACTATTGTGAGTGAAAACTTTTCCCTGTGTTTTTGAGCTGAGATGCTGGCTTGCATTCTAAAATTCATTGATTTCCTCTAGTAACCACACCCACCCCCTTAAGATTTTCCAGGTGGGCAAATACGTTATCTGCAGTGTAATATTTTATTTCTTCATCTTCTATGTATTATGCTTTTTTGTTTCTTTTTTTCTGATAGCTATTGCTAGCATTTCTCATCATATATAAAATGGGAATGATGACAGAAAGCTTCAGACTTGGAATCAGAAGACATGGGTTTGAGACCTGGCTCTGCCATAGACCAGCTGAGTAACCTTAGGCAAAGCAAGCTACTTAATCTCTCTGAGCCTTGTTTCTCTAGTTTCTCCATTTGGAAAATGACAGGGCTGAACTTCAGTGTATCTCAATGAAGTCAGAGTTGGATCATTATTTAAAATAGTCTCTCTTCATTGTGGGGTTTTGTTTTGTCTGTAGTTTTAATAAAGAATAGATGCTACGGGCTACTTCATGGTATGTTGACATGTATTGGGAAAATTAAACTTGAACTGTAGATCTATATTTTCCATGTTATGAAGCCAGTGATTGACTTCTCTCCTGTTGTCTGCACCTTTCATTTTAGAGATAATATGACTGTGAATTTGGTTAGCTAAGATTTCATGTCAGGTTTTTGCCTATATATTCACAAGTGAGATTTTGGCCATAGGGTTTTTTTTTCTTTTTATCTCATTTTTGTCTTTTAAAATATTTTTGTACGAATTATTGATTTATTCTTTTCTTTTTTTTTTTGAGATGGAGTCCTGCTCTGTCACCCAGGCTGGAGTGCAGTGGTGCGATCTCAGCTCACTGAAACCTCCGTCCGGGTTCAAATGATTCGCCTGTGTCAGCCTCCTGAGTAGCTGAGATTACAGGCGCCTGCCACCATGCCTGGCTAATTTTTTTGTATTTTTAGTAGAGACAGGGCTTTACCATGTTGGCCAGACTGGATGATTTTTTTTTCTTTTCTTTTTTTTTTTTTTTTGAGATGGAGTCCCGCTCTGTCGCCCAGGCTGGAGTGCAGTGGCGCAATCTCGGCTCACTGCAAGCTCCACCTTCCGGGTTCACGCCATTCTCCTGCCTCAGCCTCCCAAGTAGCTGGGACTACAGGCGCCCGCCACCATGCCCGGCTAATTTTTTGTATTTTTAGTAGAGACGGGGTTTCACCGTGTTAGCCAGGATGGTCTCGATTTCCTGACCTCGTGATCCACCCACCTCAGCCTCCCAAAGTGCTGAGATTACAGGCATGAGCCACCGCGACCCGCCTTTTTTTTTTTTTTTTTTTTTGAGATGGAGTTTTGCTCTTGTCACCCAGGCTGGAGTGCAATGGCTGGATCTTGGCTCACTGCAACCTCTGCCTCCTAGGTTCAAGCGATTCTTCTGCCTCAGCCTCCTGAGTAGCTGGGATTACACGCCCAGCTAATTTTTGTATTTTTAGTAGCGACAGGGTTTTGCCATGTTGGCCAGGCTGGCCTCAAACTCCTGACCTCAAGTGATGCGCCCGTGTCCGCCTCCTAAAGTGCTGGGATTACAGGCGTGAGCCACCGCGCCCAGCCTATTGATTTATTCTTTAAAAGTTGAAGAATTATTTAGGGATTCCATCAAGGCCGTGCACCTTTTTCAATGTTTGACCTTGTTTTTTCTGTGGCTCTGTCAGACATATGTGCCTTTGAAGAAGGCAGCTAGGTGCAGCCAGGAGGCTCCTTGTCTGGGACTGCCCAGAGTTCTACTAACTCCCCCTAGAGCCTTGGGCAGGTCACCTTCCCTCTCTGAGTTTTCTCATCTGTAAAATGGGAATGCAATCATGCCACCTGCCTCCCAGATAAGGTATGAAGTGGTGGTGGTATGCTTTGTAAATGAGGAACCCCCTGCCCTCTCTCACAGAGGGGCCTAGTGGCTGGCAGACTGGGCATCTTGGATTTTTGCAGATGCTTGTCCATTTCCACTCAGACTTGTAAAAATAGCTGAGATTTACAAGCTTGTTGCCACAGCTTTTAGAATATTTATTTCACAGATTCCTTAAAAAAAAAAAAATAGGCTGGGTGCAGTGGCTCACACCTGCAATCTCAGTACTTTGGAAGGCCGAGGTGGCGGATCACCTGAGGTCAGGAGTTTGAGACCAGCCTGGCCAACATGGCAAAATCCTGTATCTACTAAAACTACAAAAATTAGCCAGGTGTGGTGGCCGGCACCTGTAATCTCAGCTACTCGGGAGGCTGAGACAGGAGAATCGCTGAACCCAGGAGGCAGAGGTTGCAGTGGGCTGAGATCACACCACTACACTCCAGCCTCGATGACAGAGTGAGACTCTGTCTCAAAAAAAAGTTAAATAGATACATAAATAGTAAAAGCGTAGCTTTGCATTATGTCATGTGAAGATTTAAAATCTTTTTTCACCTAATTTTTTAAAATTTACACCACTAATAACAAGTGAGGGAATGCTAACTTCTTATAATCCAAGGGTGCCTTTTCTCTTTACCATGGAAGAATCTTTAAAATTTATTTTCCCAAAGATCCTTGTAGATTCATTTATAGAGCATCCCCTCCACTCATCTTTAAACATTAGCTTAATGTTTTTCAATGAGTGGGGCTAAGGGAAATAATTCAGACCACTTGAGGTTAATTTTATTCATCAACAAAAAGTTTATAAACAAGAATGTTCAGTTATATGAACAAGGATATACAGTATTCCTTTGTCTCCCCTTCTTAGAATGGGAGCTTCATGACCACAGGAATTTTATTTTGTGTGTGTGTTTACTGCTGCATCTCCAGCTCCTAGATCACAGCCTGGCAATTAGTAGGTGCTCAATAAGTACTTGTTGAATGAATGAATTCCTGAAGATTGGATAGCTATCATTCTTAACTTACATAATGTACATATTTTTCTTTATTAATGGGACTAATAGCTTATTAACTTTTTATCAAATATATGAGCACTATTTCTGCTTATGGAAACTGCGACTTTTCTTTCTCAATTTTACTCATTCCTGCTCTGGCTAAGGTATTGAAACGCCTTTCCTTTTTTCTCTGCTGGTCTTCTCTGTTGCTTCCATCTATGCCCTTTGGATGGCTTCCATTCATATCCTTTTTCTCCCCTTTGTCATTCTTTCTCTTTCTCATCACTCATATATTCCCCATTCTTTAATTCATTTATTTAAAAATATTATTTGAATAAGCACCTAATGGATGCCAGCCTGCTAGGCATTGAGGAGATGGGGATGACAAGACCTACACATCCCCTGGGCTCATGGAATTTATAGTCTTCAGGGAAGACAGGCCTGAGCAGATATTTCACAAATATTTATGAATTATGGTAAATACTACGAAAGCAAAGCTTGAGGGAGCATGGAGCTTTAGGAAAGGCTTCCCTGAAGCCATTTTAGCTGAGATCTAAAGGAGAAATAGGAATTTGCAAATTTGGGGCCTCAGGGAATAGCATGGGGGAAAGTAGGAGGTATGGGAAGGGAAGTAGGGTTTACCTGGGGAGCCCAGAGCAACTGGAGTAACTGGAGCACAGCAAGTGCAGTGATGGGAGAAGAGGCCTCTCAGAGGGCACAGTCATCATCATCCACATTTCAGTGGTGACTCTAGGATCTGCCTGGCAAGATCCCTGCCTACACTGTGGCAAATGGCACTGATAACTTGGTTGTCCAGAGTCTGTTACAAATTTCTGGATTTGGAAATCATTTAAGAAAAAATCTTAAATTTTATGTCATTGGTAGTTGTGTCTTTGGGCAAGTCATTTAAGCTGTCAGAGCCTCCATTTTTCTGAAATGGGAGTAATTGTGTCTACTCTGTGGGGTCCTCTGTGACCTCTGCCAGGTCCCCCTGTGATTGTTGTTGGAAGTCCATCTTTCTCATTAGACTGAGGGCCTGAGGGAGGGTGAGTCTAGCCTGGTATACTGCTGGCTCCTGTTGTGGGGCCTGGCATGGAGTGAGGACATCTGGGAGGGCTTCATAGACGAGGGAGCCCCAGGGCTGGGCTCAGAAGACAGGCTAGATTTGAGGGTCGGGGAAGGGCTGTAGAGGTGTGGACATATCGACGTCTGGAAAGAGGCCAGTGAAGACCAAAGTGCAGAGGTGGTAACAACAGCAATCACAACAATAAGTTACAATTGTGCTGACTTTCTGTGCACCCTCGCCGTGTGCCGCCACTGTTCTACATGCTCTCCATACACTAACTCATTTATCCTTGCAGTAACCTTACGAGGTAGGTACTGTTGTTATCCCCATTTTACAAATGAGCAAACTGAGACATGGAGAGATTAAGCATTTTGCCCAAGGTCACACAGCTAACAACTGCTGGAACCTGGATTTAAGGCCAGGCATTCGTGACTTCAGAGTGTAAGAGGCAACGAATGCAGAGAAGTGGGAAGGGCCTTAAATGCTAAGCTAGGAGGCCCATCTAGACTTTATCCTGTTGGCTATGGGAGCCATAGAAGGCTTTTGAGGGAGGGAGTGGCAAGGCTGTTGTATGCCCAGGAGAGCTGGCATGGCCATCCCTTCTTCCTACAGAAACCATCCACGGAGCAGCCCCTGTACAGCAGCAGCCTGTGGGGCCCGGCGGTTGATGGCTGTGATTGCGTGGCTGAGGGCCTGTGGCTGCCGCAACTACACGTAGGGGACTGGCTGGTCTTTGACAACATGGGCGCCTACACTGTGGGCATGGGTTCCCCCTTTTGGGGGACCCAGGCCTGCCACATCACCTATGCCATGTCCCGGGTGGCCTGGTAAGAGGGCCCTGCTGGAAAATGGGGGTATGGGGAGGAACTGGGCAGAAACGAGGGAAACTTGAGATTTGAGATTCTGCTTCTGTGTAATCCAACTTGACAAGTAGCTGTTGGCTGCTGGTCCCACGTGAGGGATGTGCTTGGCACCTGGCTGTGGCCATAAGTGAGGCTGGGCTTTCCTAGAGGAGCTCACAGCCCTGAGGGAGGCACAGAGAAGCAGACAGGCCCTTGTGATAATACTGTGCCTGGTGGAAGTGCAGAGCCCTCCCTGAGGCCCAGGCCTCCCTGAGGAAGTGGGAGTCAACTACAGGAGTGGGTGGTAGGACTTCCCAGAAGAAAGGAACGGAGAGCAAGTGTGGTGCATTCAAGGCTCGCATGGAGAGTGGCTGTGACTGCAGAGGGAGGCAGGGCTAGATCTGGGAAGGGCTTGAAGGCCGAGTGACACGCTTTGACAGCAGTGGGAGGCATGGACCAGTTTGAAGCAGGGGCATAACACAGTCTGATTTGCACTTTGGAAAGACCACCCTAGTTCCTGTATAGACTGAGGACAAGGGCAGATGCAGAAAGAGATGACCAGTTAGGTGGCTGCTGTGTGACACAGGAGAGACTTGGTCTGCCTGCTTGCTGAGCCTTGGTCTTTCCATCTAGAAAATAAGCGTAACAGTAGCCCTGCCTGCCCCACCAGGCTAGTGCTGGGATCCAGTGAGGCAAGAGGCATGCAAGATGGGGGAGTCACATCCAGTGAACCCTGACATCAGGCCTTACGTTAGGTGTCGTATGACTATTTCACCCACACAACACTCTGTGGGGGTCAGCGTTATCACAGAGAGGTCATTCTTCTGAGGTCACGCAGCTAGTCAGTGGTGAAGGGTCCCTCTTTTGGGGTAGGGAGAGGGCCACAGAAAGCAGGAGCAGTTTGCCCAGGCACATTCAATTCCTCTGCTGTGTCCAGTCTCAGGACTGTCACCAAAGCTGAGACCTGAAGGCTAAGGAGGAATTAGATGAGAGTTGATGATACAGGCAGAGAGACAAGGATGGATCCAGGCTGGGGAGAGGACATGTGTAAGAGCCCAAAAGGTGGCCATAGTGGATGGCTCAGGTGTGTGGGCCAGTGTGTCCAGGAGTGGGTGGAAGAGGCGGGTAGAGCCAGATCTTGCAGGGCCTGAGAGCAGAGGGAAATGGCTGGCAGCTCAAGGGCAGGGATTTGTTTTTTGGAAAGATGAATCTGGGTCCTGGCTGAGAACTGTCTGGAGAGGGCACGAGCAGATCAGGGAGACTGAAATGGTGTTACCCATGGGGATGGAGACCATGGGGCACATGAGGATGTTCAGAAGCTGGGCTCAGCAGGGCTCAACTGGGTGTGGGAACAAGATTGCCAACTGTTTACAACTCTGATAGTGGAGCCATTGATCAACATGGGTATGTAGGAGGAGAAGCAGTTTGTGGGATTGTTTGAGAGAATGGGATATGATTTTATTTGAAGTCCCAAGCCTGGGGTATGATGAATGTGGGCTTTCGAGTGAGAGTTGGGTTCAGTCCTAGTTCTACTACCTACTAGGGATGTGATCTTAGGTAGGTCACTTCTCTCTCTGGGGAACTGATTGATTACATCATCAATGCAACGGGGATGGTAATGCCTCCCTCATGGGGTTTTTGGGAAGATACAAATAGATAATATAAGTGCCTGGCATGATGTCTGGCATGTAGTAAATGCTCGATACATGTGGATTTCTTTCCCTTGTTGAGGGGTGGGGACCACACGGGAGTAGGAAGCAGTTGGGGAGGGGTCAGCAGCCTGTCCCTGCCCCTGCCCTCAGCTGAGCTCGGGCTCACGTGAGAGCCCTCTGCCCAATGGGGCTGCGTCTCCAGGTACAGGGCCCTGCCAGTCCCATGCTGGCTACTTGCAGCACCCCTCTCTCACCCCTAGGGAAGCGCTGCGAAGGCAGCTGATGGCTGCAGAACAGGAGGATGACGTGGAGGGTGTGTGCAAGCCTCTGTCCTGCGGCTGGGAGATCACAGACACCCTGTGCGTGGGCCCTGTCTTCACCCCAGCGAGCATCATGTGAGTGGGCCTCGTTCCCCCCGGAGAATCCCAGCGGGGCCTCAGAGATGCATCTGGGAGAGGTGGGGAAGATGGCAGGCAAGGGTACCCTTGGCCAGGACTCTGGTGCCCACCCTGCCACCCCCGCGCTCCACCTGCAGTGTTTCTGCCCTGTAAATAGGACCAGTCTTACACTCGCTGTAGTTCAAGTATGCAACATAAATCCTGTTCCTTCCAGCTGTGTCTGCCTCCTCTGCAGTGCAAGGGGCCTGGTCAGCCAGGTGTGGGGGTGTTCTTGGGGTCTCCTTTGGTCTCCTTCCCACCTTTGTAAATATAATGCAAATAAATAAATATTTAGGTTTTTAAAAACTGCAGCGGAATCTGGCAGTTTGATTCACAAAGCAGCCTGGGCTAGGCCTGGGGCAGGATTTCCCCATCACTCACTGATGAGCCCACACCCTCTGCTTTAGTCCTGAGCCCTGGCTGCAGCGTGTGCCTCCCCCACTAGTACTCACCTTATCTGACTCATCTCTCTCCTCCTCATGGGCCTCCAGGCCTGGTGCCATAAGGAAGGGGCTGCTGTCAGGGACTGAGATGGGCAGTTACGTAGCTCATAACTGGTGAATGGCCTTTGGGTCAGCCCAACACCCAGCTTAAGGCCTGGCCCAGAGTAGGGGCAATGGAGTATTTAACACAGCTGTGGAAATTCATACTGAAGATACAGAGCCAAGAAATGGGTGTGTGGGAGGTTTTGAGTGGACCCTGCACCCTTGCTCTCCCTGCAGGTTGGCAAGGCAGTCAGAGTAAAGCAGACACCTGGTGGTCGCTTTTGCTTCTTTGGGCAGTGCCTGTTAGAACAGGGCTGGCCACGGAGTATTGCTGTGTCCAGTGCCGACAGCCCTGGCATCCCCTGAGACTGGCAGTGCTTATCAGGACAAAGGCTCCTTCACACTGCCGGGTTCCCAAATTATGCCCCGGGGTGTGTGAGCTGTTGAGCAAAGGAGTTCAGATTTTAGAGTCCCCCTCAGTGGCTGCAGGGGACTCTAAATATTTTTCTGCTGCAATTAAAAGATTTGAGATGTAATTCATATGCAATCATCAAATTCACCCTTTTAAATGCAGAAGCCTGGGTGCAGTGGCTCACACCTGTAATCCCAGCACTTTGGGAGGCTGAGGCAGGTGATCACCTGAGGTCAGGAGTTCGAGACCAGCCTGGCCAACATGGCAAAACCCCGTCTCTACTAAAAATACAAAAATTAGCCAGGTGTGGTGGTATGTGCCTGTAATTCCAGCTACTCAGGAGGCTGAGGCAGGAGAATCACTTGAACAGGGAGGTGGAGGTCGCAGTGAGCCGAGGTTGCAGTGAGCCGAGATTGCACCACTGCACTCCAGCCTGGGCGACTGAGCGAGACCCTGCCTCAAATAAAGAAATAAATAAATAAAGTGGAGAAGTTAGTGGTTTCTGGTGTATTCAGAGTTGTGTAACCATCACCCTAGAAAGAAATCCCATACCCATTAGCAGTCACTCTCCATTTTTCCCATTCCCCAGTCCCTGATGACACAAATCTACCTTCCATCTCTATGGATTTGCTTATTCTGGACATTGTATTGTGATGGATTTTCTATCTTCACTTGAGCTTCTCTCTAGGTAAGCCTGACCATCCTGCTTCAGTATCTCAGCCAGTCCTGGTGGGAACTGTACGTGGCTTTGAGGTCATCTCATGAGGCAATGTGGCATGGGTTTGGAGTGAACGAGGTGCTTTCTCAAAGCCAGGGGTGTCTCCCTTTTCCAGGTGGGATCTAGTTTTCGGTATCTTGACAATAAATAGGCTGAAAGCTTGGGACATCAAAAGACTCAGGGCAATCAGAAAGGGTTACTCTACTACCCCGTGATCCATCAAAGCCACGATTTACAGGTATTACCATGCCAGTAATTGTCTATCAGACTCTGAGACTTCTTCCATCTCAGATCTCCAAGCACTCATACTTCTTTTGCGGAGAGGGACATAGGTTTTCTGCTGGAACCAGGCATCTGCTGTGAAAAGCGCAGGAATCCTGGGAAGATCTCATGGCTGGCTACAGTGAGACCCAGGTGTAGCTGATTCCCTCTTCTGAGCAAGTCCACTGAGGGGGCATTCTGTGGCTTTTGAAATGACAGTGGCTGTCATGGAGTTTGGATGGATTTCTCACTGGAGCCTTTCTAGTGTTTCATGTTCCATTTGCAGCAAGGATGTGAAATTTACTTTTCCAAGAAAGATACACGCAGAACTTGATGTGGCTTACTTGAGGATAATAGTTAATAGTCATTTTTTCCCAGTTATTTGTTTTTGTTTCTTATTTCAATCTTTTTCTAAAGAGAAGAAAAAAGCCTGAAATGTGGAGAATGGTAAGGGGCTTCAGGCTTGTGCAGGCGAATCTAAGCAGGGGTCTCCTGGACCCCTGGCTGCATGGGCACTGCCTCCTCCAAGCTCCCTGCTGAGCGACCCACTGGCAGTGGCTCCTCATGCCTCCTGGCTGCCTTGGAAGTCAGATGTTCCTGTTGGCCTATCACAGACCCATCCTTCCCTGGGGCATCACCTGAGGAACATCCTCTTCCCAATGCCTCCCTACAACCCACCTGTGCCTCCTGAAGCCCCTCCTGCGCGCACACTCACTCTCTCTCATTCTCTCCTTCAAGGAGTTAACAGATCTGAGCTTCCATCTTCTCATACTCAGGACTGGCCCCTTCTTCCCCTTTCCCCTCCACAGTCCATCCTCCACTCAGCAGCCAGATGCCGTACCTCCTGGGATTCCGTTTCACCAAGAATGAAATTTAAAGTCCTTGGCCAGCTGGCTCTCTGACTCCCACACTTCCCTCTCACGCACTGGGTCCTGGCCACACTGGCCTCCCCTCTGTTCTTCAAACACTCCACTGCTGGGCATGCATTTACTGTCCCCTCTCTAGAATGATCTTCCTGGGTTATCTGTGGGCCTCACTCACTTCATTCAGGTTCTGTGCAAATGTTTTCTTTAGGTGAAGCCTTCTGGATCACCCTTTAGAAAATAGCATGTCCTAGTCTCTCTCTTTTCTCTTAACTAGTTTTCTTTTTCTTCATAGTACCTACCACCACTCAACATACTCTATAACATAACTCCATAATGTGTTCCATAACACAAGGGCAACTGTCAGCCCTTCTAGAATGTGAGCTCTAGGCTCTTGGAATAAACCTGATTTATTTTTTCACTGCTGTGTCCTTATTACCTAGAACGGAGTAGGTGTTCAAAAAGTATATGCTGGATGGGCAAATGAATAAACATGTCTGAATCTGTCTGAATAAACATGCTCTTAACCTGTCTGAATCTGTTTACTCATTTGTACAATGTGGCTGATAACTTTATTTCCCTCAGAGGGTTATTGTGAAGATTAAATAAGAAAATGGGTATAAGGCCAGCTGTGGTGGCTCATGCCTGTAATCCTAGCACTTCGGGAGGCCAAGGCTGGTGGATCACGAGGTCAGGAGTTTGAGACCACCCTGGCCAACATGGTGAAACTCCATCTCTACTAAAGATACAAAAAATTGGCAAGGAGCGGTGGCTTACGCCTATAATTCTAGTACTTTGGGAGGCCAAGGCAGGCGGATCACGAGGTCAGGAGTTTGAGACCAGCCTGGCCAAAACAGTGAAACCCCGTCTCTACTAAAAATACAAAAAATTAGCTGGGTGTGGTGGCGGCACCTGTAATCCTGGCTACTTGGGAGGCTGAGGCAGGAGAATCACTTGAACTGGAAGGTGGAGGTTGTAGTGAGCTGAGATCACACCACTACACTCCAGCCCGGATGACAGTGTGAGACTCCATCTCAAAAAAAAAAGATACAAAAAATTAGCCAGGCATGGTGGCGTGCACCTCTAATCCCAGCTACTTGTGAGGCTGAGACAGGAGAATCACTTGAACCTGGGAGGCGGAGGTTGCATTGAGCCGAGATCCTGCCATTGCACTCCAGCCTAGGCGACAGGGCAAGACTCCATCTCAAAAAAATAAACAATAAAAAATAAAAAAAGAAAATGGGTATAAAGTACTTAGTCCAGGACTTAGCACTCCTCTGAGTTCTCAGGGAGCTCACAGTGCAGCATGGTCACAGAGGACCTTGAATTACAAAGCCAGGAGTTTGAACTTAATTCTGTAGGCAGTAGGGAGCCCGCTATGCTTCTGGAGCAGAAGAAGCACGTCAGGATCTTTGGGAAGATTAATTGAAAGTGTATTCAAAATAAAAAAAAGAAAAAAAAGTATACTCAAAAGGGGTGGAGGGAGGAGACCTTCAGGGCTGGTAGTGGCATGTACTTCCTTCACCTCTGCCCACAGTCTGAAAGGCAGACCCAGTCAGGAAACTTTTTTTTTTATTATACTTTAAGTTCTAGGGTACATGTGCACAACGTGCAGGTTTGTTACATATGTATACATGTGCCATGTTGGTGTGCTGCACCCATTAACTCATCATTTACATTAGGTATATCTTCTAATGCTATCCCTCCCCCGTCCCCCAACCCCACGACAGGCCTCGGTGTGTGGTGTTCCCCAACCTGTGTCCAAGTGCTCTCATTGTTCAATTCCCACCTATGAGTGAGAACATGCAGTATTTGGTTTTTTGTTCTTGTGATAGTTTGCTCAGAATGATGGTTTCCAGTTTCATCCATGTCCCTACAAAGGACAGGAACTCATCCTTTTTTATGGCTGCATAGTATTCCATGGTGTATATGTGCCACATTTTCTTAATCCAGTCTATCATTGATGGACATTTGGGTTGGTTCCAAGTCTTTGCTATTGTGAACAGTGCCACAATAAACATACGTGTGCATGCATCTTTATAGCAGCATGATTTATAATCCTTTGGGTATATACCCAGTAATGGGATCCAACCAGGAAACTTTGAGGAGGTCAGAGAGACGCAAGTTGTCAACTCTGTTCACCCCAGCTCAGAGGGAGATGGTGGCTCTCTGGGTGGGAGTCATCTCTCACCTAGGAAACCCACCTGCCCAAGCCATCTCATTCCAGCTGTAAAGGGAACAAAGGGGAGGCAAGAGGACAGGGGTTCCACTCATCCCTTTGCTCCATTTTAAACCCTCTTCCTGGCACCTTTAGGTAAACAGCTAAGCCTGTGTAAATTCAACCAGTAAAATGATCTGATTGTCAGTCCTCTGCTGAAAGCCCTTCAGTTGATTTCCGCTGCGATGCCAAAAAAAGCTAAATTGCCTGAGACCCCTGCCCACCTCTCCCACCTCATCTCATGCCACTCTTTTCTCACATTTCAGTTTCTCACATTTACTGACTTCTTTCTTGCCTCCAAGTCTTCGCCTTTGCTGTTCCCTTAGCTACTCCAGCATTGGCTCATTCTCATCTTAAAGGCCTCGGCTTGAATGTTGCCATCTCAAGAAGGCCTTTTCCAAACATCCTGTTCAAAGTAGCCCCCACCAACTTATGTGGTCATATTTTACAGGGATGAGGCTCTAAAGACCATATTTAAGGCAAGAATCATATGGTCAAAATTATCATTGAAAATCCCTTAGAAAGCTATCATATTGGAATCTTGTTCATCACACGCCCTTTCCTTTCCTTTCCTTTCCTTTCCTGTAACATGCCAGACACACTTACAACCCCAAATCTCTGCATAGATCTCTCTCCCTCATCCCTTCAGGTCTTTGCTCAAATGTAATGTTCTCAGTGAGAACTTCCTGACTACCCACTTCAGGCTGGGAGTGACGGCTCATTCTTGTAATCCCAGCACTTTGGGAGGCTGAGGCAGGAGGATCACTTGAGCCCAGGAATTTGAGGCCAGCCTGGGCAACATAGTGAGATGCCATCTCTAAATCAAACAAACAAAAAAACTGTAACATTTCCATTCCTGCCCCAGCATTCTATAATCCCCTTCAGAGCCTTACTTTTTCCTCCATAGATCACTGTCTAACATATTATACATTTCACTTAGAATTAAGTTCTGAGGGCAAAGATTTGTTTATTTTGTTCACTGCTGGGTCCACAGTGCCTAGAATACTGTCCTTCATGTAGATGTTCAAGAAATTACTGAATGAAGGAATGAATCTTTCAGGCCTCAGCTTGGGTGTCTCTCTCCTTTCTCTTACTTTCTATTCCTTCATTAGGGGTTCCATCTCCGGGCTTTCATGCATCCTGTATTTGTCCCTATTAAAGAACTACTGATCACAATGTACTGTAGTTTTCCTCTCTAAATACTTGTCTTCCTGCGTATCTAATCCTATTGATTCCATAAAGACAGGGAGTGTTTCTCCTACTTTCTAGTGTGATCTGGAACCTAAGACTGTGCTTACCACAGAGTAGACACTTAGTGTCTTTTGAATAAACTAGTTTGGGTGGTGGTGGTGCGGTACCCCTGAATGGGAGTGGGGGATGTGGCTCCTTGTCAGCTCCTGAATAGGTCTAGATCCTGCACTAGGAAGACCATTGACTGGCATGAGCTGGGGGCCTTTAAAATAACCTCAGAATAGCACCTGGGAACAAGCCAGCTCCATACACTAGTGAGCCCCAGGCAGGGAGGCACGTAGGACCCCCCCAATAGCGCTTTCTGTTTTTCCACTCAGTTAGGTGACCTTGGGGTAGGATCGCCAAATAAAATACAGGACATCCAGATAAATTTGAATTCAGAAAAACAATGAGTAATTTTTTAGCATACGTGTCTCATTGCAATATTTGGGATAGTCTTATACTAAAGCATTACTCGTCGTTTACCTGAAATTCAACTTCAACTGGGCATCCTGCATTTTATTTGCTAAATATGGTAACCCTACTCTGGCAAGTCCCTGTACGCTGCATGTCCCTCTCTGGGTTTCGCTTTCTCCATCTGTGGAATGGGCACAGTTCTGTGAGACTTGCCTCAGGGATTCCTCAGGCTGAGCAAATACCCTCATGGATCGTCCCTTTGTCCTGGTGAGTCGTATGGGAAGCGCGCTTGTCTGAGGAGTTTTTCGCTGTGTAAATATGAGAAGCTCCTTCCTCCAAAAGCCTCCGTTTTCTCATCTGAGCATATGAGACTCTCAGAAGTGGAAACGATTGCCTGGCGGAACCATGACTGCTCAGCTTCCAGCCACCGGAACCCCCAGCTCACGGCCCCCATCCCTTGAAGCCACGGTCTTCCGGTAGCGTAAAGTCACTTCCGTATTCGAGAGCCTTCTAGGCTTCGAGCCACGCGATGTCGCGCCCTCTGGCGGCTGGGAGGAGGGACCGACTTTACCAAACGGTGAGAAGGAACAGGGAAGTCCATTGGTTGAAAGACGGAGAGGCGCAGCTCAGTCTTCCAACCTCAACCAATGTTAAACCGAACCTTCGCCGAGGGCGGGGCTCTCACGGGAAAGGGGTCAACCCGGGACTGAGGCGGCGTGGGAAGCGGGCGACCTTATCTCTGCTCAGCTGGAAAAAGGCCCAGGGTAACACCGGAAGTGGGCTTATTTGCGCATCAGCTACTTTCGCTTCTACTTAAAAACGGAGGATCTGGGTAAAAGAACCGAAAGGCTGTACGAACCTAAGACTTGTCTCCGATGTCCTTCTCAACCATCAATTTCATATGCGAGGGAAAACACCTGCTGGGTTCACGCAGAATATAAAGGTCTTTGAAATAATTCTTGATCTCTAGGCCAAGGAGTTTTACATTTTAAAATAATCAAGCGTGCCTACTGCTTGCCAGGCCCTGCTCTCGCCTTCACTCGCATTATTCAATTAATCGACACAGGCCTGTGCAGTGCGTCTTAATGACAAGGACTCCTACCCTCCACTGCCTGTGTTGGAATCCTGGTTCTGCCAGTTATTAGCTGTGTATCCTGGCCTAAGTTACTCTCTGCCACAGTTTCTGACTCTGTAAAATAGGATAATAGTATCTACCTTATACCATTATTCTAAAGATAAATAAATTTAACATATTTAGGTTGGGCACGGTAGCTCACACCTGTAATCCCAGCACTTTGGGAGGCCGAAGGTGGAAGGATTGTTTGAGCCCAGGAGTTCAAGACCAGCCCGGGTAAAATAGTGAAACTCCCCACCTCTCCAAAAAAAAAAAAAAAAAAAAATCAGCCAGGCGTGGTGGCAAGCACCTGCGGTCCCAGCTACTCTGGAGGCTGAGGTGGGAGGAGGATTGCTTGAGCCTGGGAGGTCGAGGCTTCAGTGAGCCGTGAGTGGGGCACTGCACTCCAGTTTGGGCAACAGAGTGAGACCTCGTCTCCAAAAGAACAAAAAATTTAACGTATTTAAAGCACTCAGAACAGCACCTGACACATGGTAACCACAGTAACCAGGTAAGTTATTTTCATTTACAAATTGAGAAATGAGGCTTACGTATGAAGTAACTTGTCTAGAACAGATAGCAACTAGTGGAGGCAGATTGGGAAAGTCTCTGCCTAATCTGAATCTCAATCACTATACCTGCCCCACCCTCTTCCTGTGTCTACAGGGAGCCTGTTATGATCCTAATTGCCTTTAAAGCATCAGATGTATTTATTTGGTAGCATCCTATTACAAAGTGGCTGCTCTCTGGGCATTTTTGTAATTTTAATGAAGTTGGTGAGGTCCTATAACTTGTCTCTCAGACCAGGGGCAAGGCTTCTGGGAGAAGTCAGAATGGATGGCTTCAAGATCCACCTCCTACTAAATCCTACTTATGGAAAAATCAGTAGAAATGAACTTCTGAACATGTTTCATTTGAGATCTTTTCAGATATCCAAGTGGAGATAATTGTGATTTGGTGTGGTAAGTGCTGTGTTAGTGGAAAGCACAGGGCACCAAGGGAGGTCTGATTAGGGATAGATAAAGCTGCCGGCCAGGATTAGGACAGGCGTGGCAAAAGCAGCAGGTCTTGGTGAATGAGTAGGAGTTGGCCAGGTAGAAAAGTCTGGGGAAGTTGAGGGGAGCATTCCAGACCAGGGCACTGGCGTGTACAAGGGAATGGTAGTTTGATGATTCAGAGCCCTTTCTGGGAACCGGAGTATAGGATGGAAGGTAAGAATGGAATGGAGATTGGGGGCATATTACGAAGAAGTGATCTAAGAAGACACTTCTTATCAACTAAGACAGACCCTAAGATTAAAGAAACCAAAGTTAAAGTTACTTATGGGTTGGGGGTTCATCATATCCCTCCTAACTCTGATTTACAACCCAAGACCACTACAACTCTGATTGGACAGAGGACCGGCCTTACAAACATTCTCTTCTGATAAGCAACTGCAGACCTTAAGCCAGTTTCACCAGCTGATAAAGGCGGTACACAGACTGTCTTTGGGTCCTGTGGTTCATCTTTTGATATAAAGAGTCAAATTCTACCTCATTTTAATGCTAAAATTCTGCCCCAAAGTGAGCATGGGATGAGTGTTACATATATGTTTACGCATTGTGCATGCACTCAGCTCCCCTCATAAATATATATAGTCTTCCCCCACAATCTGCTAAATATGTATGACTCTTTTGTGTAAATATGGACCTTGTGAGGCATAAAACCCAACCTGCTCCTTCCCTTCTCGAAGAGAAAACACATTTGGTCCACACTGGAGATTCTCTTCCTGGTTTGCAAACTAATATCACCGATAAAGCTCTCCTTTTCTACTATTTACCCATTCTGGTGATCTTTTGGACAATAAAGGGTGATGTTCCGAAGTATCAGCAAGTCATCAGAATTTCTGAGCGGGGGAGAGAGGAGGTCAGCTTTGCACATTATTTATTTATTTATTTTGAGACGGAGTTTTGCTTTTGTTGGTCAGGCTGGAGTGCAGTGGGGTCATCTTGGCTCACTGCAGCCTCTGCCTCCCGGGTTCAAGCGATTCTCCTGCCTCAGCCTCCCGAGTAGTTGGGATTACAGGCATGAGCCACCATGCCTGGCTAATTTTGTATTTTTAGTAGAGATGGGGTTTCACCATGTTGGTCAGGCTAGTCTCAAACTCCTGACCTCACGTGATCCACCTGCCTTGGCCTCCCAAAGTGCTGGGATTACAGGTATGAACCACTGCACCTGGCCGTAGCTTTGCACTTTAGATGGTGCACTAGGAGGCAAGGAAGAGGATGCGGTAGGCAGTCTCTGAGTTGTCCTTAATGATTTCACATCCCAGTATTCACACCCTGGTGTGATTTCCTCCCGTTGAGTATGGATGGAATTTATTGATTCCATTCTAATGAATAGAATATGTTAGAAGTGACGGGTTGTCATTTCTGAGATTCGATTACAAAAACTCCCTGTGGCTTCTGTTTTGGGCACCTTCTCTTGCTCTCTTGCTCACTTGCTCTTAGGGAACACAGCAGCCATCTTGTGAACTGCCCTGTGGGTAGGTCTATGTGTCAAAGAACAGATGACTAATCAACGGCTAGCAAGGACTTGAGGACTTCTAACAGCTGTGAGTGAGCTTGAAAGTAGATCCTCCCCCAGGCAAGCCTTAGAATGACTGCAGCCCCAGCCAACACCTGATTGCAGCCATGTGAGAGGCCCTAAGCCAGAGGACCCAGTTAAGCCATACCCAGGTTCTTGACCCTCAGAAAGGGAGATAAGTAATATTCGTGGTTTTAAGTTTTACCTAATTTTAAGGTAATTTGTTAGGCAGCAATAGATAACTAATACAGAGGGATTAGAAGCAAAGACAGAAGTAGAGAAATTAGGAGAGGGTGGTGGTTGTAGGCCATCTCTCTAATAATGAGAACCTGAATTGTGCAGTGGCTGTGCAGGTGAAGAGCAGAAGATGAATTTGAGATATGTCTGGAAAAAGAACAGAAGACATTTGGCAATGGAGTTGGATGTGGGAAGGAGGGATAAGGCAGAGGAGAGAGCAATGCCAGTGTTTGGTAATGTGAGGGATGGTATTTGCTAGAGCTGCCAGCATGCAGGTCACTGGGGATGAGTTTTAAAAGTGGCTCCTTGAGATTTCTGGCAACAACAAGATAGATCAACAAAGCAGACTCAAGGTTGGTCAAAGAAAACAGCCACTGTGAGCTGGGGAAGAAATAATGCAGAAAAATAGAATCAAGGAAGAGCTGGAGGGAATTCTCTTTCCTGAGTTTGATTTACTTGTCAAAGTGTATGGTATACCATTCTCCTCTTCATCTAGCCATTCTCTCCACAAATGTTTACTAAGTGCTTTCTCTGTGCTAGGCACTGGGGACAAACAAGTAAACACACAAGTCCCTGCCTTCATACTGTTCATAACTTGGTTGCAGAGAAACAGTAAGATTGAGGCTAGGACTTTTTAGCCACTCCTGCAGGGCTCTGAGGGTCTAAATCTGTGCTGTCTGTTATGTTAGCCACCGGCTTCCTGTGGCTATGAGACACTTGAAATGTGGCCAGTCCAAATTGAATGTGTTATAAGTGTAAAATACACCCTAGATTTCAAAGATGTAGTTCAAAAGAAAAGATTGTAAACGATTTCAATAATTTTTAAATATTGAATATTGATTTTAGTATTATCATTGGATAACATTTTGTATGTTTAAAAGAAATAAAATAAATAATTAAAATATATTAAATTAATTTCACACATTTCTTTTTAAATTAGTGAAATTAATTTAAATAATAGATTTTACTTATTTTGGCTATTAGAAAATTTAACAGCCAAAATATGGCTATTAGGAAATTTAAAATTATCTATTAAATATACCTCACATTATATTTATGTTGGACCTCACTGACTAAATCTGTATTCCCTACCAACTTTATCTCTCTCAGTGACTTTAATTTTAGTTAATGAAAGGTTTGTTTTTTTTTCATTGAAAGTAACAGAAACCTTGAGGGGAAATGAAAATTAAATGTTAGGGGAATTGATTGCAAGGGCCTTCTGAATCAAGGCATGGTTGATTGAGCAGTCTGGGCAAGGAGCAGGCTCGAGGGGCCTTCGCAGCAGAGCTTCACAGGCATTAATGTGACCGGGCTCCATTTTTGAATTTGACATCCCACATTCCAATTTCTGAGAAGACAGACTCTGATCAGCTCAGTTTAAATCAGGGTGTATCTACTCTGGATCCAGCTGCTACGGCTATGGGAAGAACGCACTGTGAGCTGCCTACTGCTTTTTTCCCACCCTTACCCTCCAGCCACTATGTTCCCTAAAAGGCAGCGTGAGCTCTCCAGTCTCTAGGGGTCAGCAAACCTTTTCTGTCAAGGGCCAGATAGTCAATACTTCTTTTGCTTTGTAATTCTTAGTGTTTCTTTTGCAACTACTTCATTCTGCCCTGCAGAGCAAAAGCTGCCAGAGACAATACATAAGTGATTGGACATGGCTGTGTTTCAGTGAAACTTCATTTCCAAAACCAAGAGGTGGGCCATAGTTTGTCAACCCCTAAACTGTACTTTCTGTTCCCTCTGCCTGGACTATCCTTTCACTCCTTCCTTCCAGCAAGTGCCTAGTCATCCTTCTGGTCTCAGTTCAGATGCCACTTCTTGGAGGCTCCCCCTAACCTTCCTCTCCTGACTGGTTAGTTGCTCCTTCTCTATGCTCCCACAGACCCCTGTATCCCATACATGCACTTCTCATACTCTGTTGTCATTGTTCTTTTCTAACCACTGGCTTACTAATTCTGGGTCTCATTTGTTATAAACTCACCACCTGGCACTCCTGGCACATGGCACGCACTTGAGTGTCATTGGATGAGTGGAAGAAACCATGAACCTTGTGGTTGACACATAGTCAGACTAGATGTCCTGAGATCTTGGGTAGTGATGAGAATTCTGGGCTTTTAAAATTAGCGGCATGAGAGGCACCTCCTGTAACTCCAATACTTCAGAAAAGCATGGGGGAATGTTTTAAGATGGGAGAAGTGGAAAATTCTAAGGGCTGCAAGCCCTGGATAATGTGATAAGCCACACCTCAGCTGGGGTGAAACCAGGAGTGCACTCCTTGGAGGAGGCTTTGTGCTCCTTGGTAAGGTTCCCTGCGGAGGCCCCATCAGGCCCAGTGGGTCAGGAGAGAGACACTGTGGGGTCGAGGGCAGCCTTGGCCCATAGTCACTTACAGTTACAGTTACAGGGCAGCAGAATGGACCTTCCTTGACCCAAGGGCTTGGTGAGTAACATTCAACAGATCCTGGACAAGGGCAACGGAGGCTGTGAGGCCAAAGACAGTGCTCATGGCCTCTGCGAGGCTTTATCCAGCTAAGCACATTGTCCCTGTCGCCTCAAGAGAGGAAGGAGAGTTTCTCTTTTTAATGTCACTCTTAAATGTCACACCTTTGGGCAATACAGATCTGATAGGGCCTTTCCTGGGTGTTTTGCACAATAAGACCAAGAGTAAAAGAGCAGTGGATCTTCCCTGTCATCGTGGACCTTGAATGGCTTACCTGGGCCCCTCATGGGGATGGTGGGCTGGGGCAGGTGACCTGGGACCACCGGCGGCACGTTTTCCATTTATACAGCTGATGACCAGCAGAGTGGATGAGGAGAGCAGGGCCGGGATGGTGATCACTGCAGCTTGCAAGCCACCCATGCCTGGCCAAAGGGATGGGGCATCAGGGCACTGCAGCTTGTAAGCCACCCACGTCTGGCCAAAGAGATGGGGTGTTAGGGCAAGGGCAGTGGACTGCTCCCCCAGGGCAGGCTGTGCTTCTGGCCCTCAGCAGCCTTGGCCCACACAACACTGGGCTCCCACGACACGGAGGAGGCATGGTGCAGAGAAAAAGCAGGCTGAGAGGCAAAGATTGAGTGACCTTGGGCAAGTGGCCAATTGTTCTTCCCCTAGTGTTTGGCACTTAGAAGGTGCTGGGTACTTGCTTGTGGACCCAAAGGGAGAGATGTGATCCTAATACCACCAGATGCTTTACATGCCTTATCTTACTCAACCTGGCGAGCTGCCTCTGCTGTTACCACTTACCAGCTGGTGAAGCTGTGATGCCAAGGCTGGCTTCTCTGAGGCTAAAACGTTTATAAGGGGCAGAGGCAGGATTTGAACCCAGATCCGCATGTTGCCAGGCCTTCATGCTATCCATGTGCTTCCCCACAAGCATGCTCTGAACACTTACCGTGGGCCAGGCATGTGGCCCAGCCCCGTAAGACACCACCTGGCACGTGGCAGTCCCTCAATAAATTTTAGCTGTCATTAGGCATTACTGTTATTTCGACTCATTTGATCCTCACAGCAACCCAGCAAGGGTAGGTATTTTTGTTCCTATTTTCCAGATGGGAAATCTGAGGCTATCGTGGTGAAGTGTCTGGCCTAAGGTCCACAGCTGGTTAAGTGGCAGGGCCAAGAATTAAGTGCAGGTGGACTCTTTTCCCATGTTAGCTAAGGCGCTTAGGTAGCAGAGGAATCCAATAATACTGCCTCTGTTTATTTAGTTGAAGAATGGGAAGGAGTCATTGGAAAAGGAGTAAATGGAGGGCCTTTAAAGGACTATCCTATGGAAAGGAGGGGGTCAGAAGACAGAGCTAGGACCACCAGAGACACAAGGGGACCCATGGAAAGAAAGACCTCCTAATCCGGTAGTAGGATGGGCTGCTGCACAGATAGTGAGCTCCCTGGCACCAGACATGTTTACGCAGGGAAGCTGTGGCATGGGAGACTGCAGGAATTTTCTCTTGGTGCTAGGAGTACATGCGGGTCTCTGGGTTCTTGGCCCACAGCAGCTGCCAGCTTGCTGCGCCTGCCCTCTCTGGGACTCTGAGAAATAGGGGAGCGAGGATGAGTTGTCAGCTCTGAAACAGTCCTGTGCTCCCAGGAGAAATCCCTGGCTCCTCATTTCTTCCGTCTTCTACTTCCTCTTCCATCCCACCCCTGGCCTCAGCCTCACCAGCCTTGCTGCTTTCCCGCTGGGTTCCCTCCCTGCCTCCAGCTGTGTTTCACTCCACATAAATATGACCACCCTCCTTCCCTGATTAAAACCATTCATGGATCTGGGCGCCGTGGCTCATGCCTATAATCCCAGCACTTTGGGAGCCGATGTGGGTGGATCACCTGAGTCAGGAGTTTTAAGACCAGCCTGGCCAACATGGTGAAACCCCGTCTCTACTAAAAATACAAAAAAAATTTAGCCGGGCATGGTGGCACGTGCCTGTAATCCCAGCTATTTGGGAGGCTGAGACAGGAGAATCACTTGAACCTTGAAGCGAGGTTGCAGTGAGCTGAGATGGCGCCACTGCACTCCTGCCTGGGTGACAGAGCAAGACTCTCTCAAAAACAAACAAACAAACAAACAAACCAAACAAAAACAACCCAGGTCCGCATGCTGCCAGGCCTTCACGCTATTCATGTGCTTCCCCACAAGCAAGCTCTGAACACTTACCATGAGCCAGACATGTGGCCCACCCCAGTAAGAGACCACCTGGCACGTGGCAGTCCCTCAATAAATTCTAGCTGTCGTTAGGCATTACTATTATTTCGACTCATTTCATTCTCACAGCAACCCAGCAAGGCTTCTCTGTTGCCCTCAGGATGGCCCACAGCCCATTGCTTTGCCCTTGGTCTCACATTGGATCCTCAGCCACACAGCCTCATTGCCAGCCTCCTGTCCCTCAAACATGCTGTTCCTCCTTCCTGGACAACTTTGCCCAGCACTTACTCAGCATGCAGGTCTCAGCTTCAGCAGAACCTCCTCCAGGAGGAACCTCTTCTCTTGAGTTCCTGAGAGCCTCTCTTGTTCTCCTGAGTCCTCAACCTATGTGCTATCTTTGCCTGGTCACCATCAGCTCTTTGATATAGACCTGGGATGCGGCTGTTGTTGCCTATCTCAGTGCCTAGCAAGCTGTAGGAATTGTTGGGTAAGCGATTGAATGAGGGAGTGAGGGAGTGAAGAGCACAGTGAGGGGTCCCCAGGCCCAGCCCTCCCTCCCCACCCTGCCGGTAATGTATTTCTTTCTTTGGGACTTGCCCAAAGCCAATACTTGTCTGGACTGAGCTGGGGAAGGTGGACCCAAGCTTGTCTGAGCAAACATGGCCTTCTCTTCTTGACTGCCCCCATCCCTGTTCAGTTCTGGGCATTTGACTCCAGCCCAGGGGCCAGCCCTTCCTTCCTTCCTTCCTTCCTTCCTTCCTTCCTTCCTTCCTTCCTTCCTTCCTTCCTTCCCTCCCTCTCTCCCTCCCTCCATTCTCCCTTTCTCCCTTCCTTCCCTCCTTTCTTTCTCTTTCTTTTCCTTTCTCTCTTTCTTTTTCTTTCTCTCTTTCTTTCTCTCTTCCTTTCCTTTCTTTCTTTTTCTTTCTTTCTTTCTTTTTCTTTCTTTCCTTCCTTCCTTCCTTCTTTCTCTCTCTCTCTGTCTTTCTTTCTTTCTTCCTTTCTTTCTTGATAGTGCCTCGCCATCACCCAGGCTGGAGTGCAGTGGCACAATCTTGGCTCACTGCAATCTCTGCCTCCCAGGCTCAAGCAATTCTCATGCCTCAGCCTACCGAGTAGCTGGGACTACAGGTGCATGCCACCACACCTAGCTAATTTTTTGTATTTTTAGTAGAGACAGGGTTTCGCCATGTTGGGCAGGCTGGTCTTGAACTCCTGGCCTCAAGTGATCCTCCTGCTTCAGCCTCCCAAAGTGCTGGGATTACAGGCCTGAGCCACTGCGCCTGGCCCCAGGGGCTGTTTCCGGTTCCCCAACAACTGTCTATGAAAATCAGCCAGGCCGGGCACGGTGGCTCACGCCCGTAATCCCAGCACTTTGGGAGGCCGAGGCAGGTGGATCAGAGGTCAGGAGTCCGAGACCAGCCTGGCCAATATGGTGAAACCCTGTCTCTACTAAAAATACAAAAATTAGCTGGGCGTGGTGGTGCGTGCTTGTAGTCCCAGCTGCTTGGGAGGCTGAGACAGGATAATTGCTTGAACCCAGGAGGCAGAGGTTGCAGTGAGCTGAGATCACATCACTGCACTCCAGCCTGGGCGACAGAGCAAGACTCAGTCTCCAAAAAAAAAAAAAGAAAAGAAAATCAGCCAGTGCTTGTTGGGAGTGGGGGAGTGACGGTTGGCCAGGAGACACAGAGCCTGGGTTCACCCAGCTGTGCCATGAACTTGCTATGTGACCCTGAGGAAAACATCTCTTCTGTTTGGCCTCAGTTTCCTTAACTGTAGCAAGGGAAGAATGATCCCTACACCCATCACAGGGTAGTATGGGGACTGGAGGCTAATAAGGAGCACAGGTTTGGGAGTCACACAGCCCTGGGTTCAAATGTGAGCTCTGCCACGTAAGCAGAAAGTCATCTTAACTCTCTGGACCTTGTGTTCTTATCAGTAAAAAGAGGATAAAAATGGTATCTCCTCTTATGCTTGTTGTGAGGATTAAATGAGAGGACAGCCCATAATAATTATTATGTTAATGATATTTCAAACCAGACCTGGTCTATAATTGGATTCAACTAATCATGAGGCGTACAGGGACTTTGAGAGAAAACAGAGCATTTGAAAACATGGATTCCAGTTGGGTTTTAGAGTTTCAGAGCTGGGAAGGTGGCTTAGAAACCACCTGGCTATATTTCCCCTTGTATAATTGGTAAGAAGACTGAGATCCCCAGAGGGGGGATCTTGCCCAACATCACACTTAACCACACTATTTGGCTAGTAAATTCCTTGGGCAGAGTATGGGCTTGGGCTGGGAAGCTGGGTATTTGCTTTGGGAACCAGAAAACTTTCAAGTGGCTCAGCACCCTCCTTGGCCCACCTCTGATACCTACCTGCCCCTGTCCCTTCCTCAGTCTCATCATTCTGAGGGAAAGCTGGCCACGGTACAAGGGCAAGAGGCACTGTCGCTTGCCCAACTTGAGTCCAGAGGGCTTCCCTTGCCTCACAGTCAGGACCACCCAGGCCCCCACCTCCATCCTCCCCACCTTGGGTCTTGGGTTGGCAGCAGAGCCGAGGAGCTGAGGGTCCAGGGAGGTGGCAGGGGAAAGGGGTGGGCTTCTACTTACTGCACCGGTAGGTGGCGCCGGAGAAGTTGCAGGGGGACTGCATAACCATCAGTGGGGTGCTGGGATTTCAGCTCAGGGGAGGTGGAGGAGGCAAGTGCTCAGGGACTTCTCAGGGCATTTTATTCCTGAAAGGGAGCCAGTAGGCAGAGGTTACACCCTGGAGCAAGAGCGTTCTGGGCATCTGCTGCGGCAGGTTCCCTACTCAGAATGGGGGTTAGGAAAAGTAGGCTTCTAAGGTGGCCCTGAGGTCACACAGCATACTAAACTGATGCTGTAGACTAACATGGAATAACAATCTTTTATTAAGTGGAAAAAAACAGGTTATGGAACAATAGGCAAAGTGGTTTGATTTACGTAGAATAGACTCACGTAGAAAAAAGGCTGGTCTAGGTGCAGTGGTTCATGCCTGTAATCCCAACACTTTAAGAAGCTGAGTGGAGAGGTTGCTTGAGACCAGGAGTTCAAGATGAGCCTAGGCAACATAGCGAGACCCTGTCTCTGCAAAATTTCTTTTTAAATTAGCACGCCCAATAATAGTCCTAGCTAGTTGGGAGGCTGAGGCACTGTGATCGTGCCACTGCATTCCAGTCTGGGTGACAGAGCGAGATCCTGTCTCAACAACAACAACAACAAAAAAAAAAAAAAAAAAAGAAAAGGAAAGAAAGACTGTAAACCTTATCCTCAAAATGCTAGCAGCAGTTATCTCTGGACAGTGGCTGATGGATGATTTTTTTCCTTTGTGTCTTGTGTATTTTCCAAATTTTCCATAATGAGCATGTTACAAGAAAATAAAACGACCCAGGAAAGCAACACATTTTAAATGAGAAAATCTTTTGACCAATAATTTCATTTGTAGGAGCCTGAGGAGCCCGAGGTCCAGGGAGGTGGCAGGGGAAAGGGTTGGGCTTCTACTTACACCACAGAACACATAGAAAGATGGACAGTATGTGAAAGATGATCATATTTGTGTAAAAGAAAATGACATTTGTTTATGTGTAAGCAAAAATGCCTGCAAGACTCGCACTGACTGTTAATAGCTGCTGACTTCTGGGACTGGGGAAGAAGGAGAATGAGAATTTCTACTGTGTTTATTTTCATTTTTTAAAATGAGCACAAGTTATGTTATAATTTGTTAAAAAAGCAAACAAATAACTTTCCTAGTCTCTGCCTCTTTTCCCTGGCTCTCCCTGCACAAAATCTAGGTGTCGGGGGAATGATCAGTGAGGGTCGCTCTGGGGGCTCAGCATCATCAGGGAGGGGTTATCTCTGGTCTGTAAGTTCCCTCCCATCTTGGAGATGGGGTAGTTTCAAAATTACAGCTTGACATTAGCTACTTTTCAGCCAGAAAACATTTTCTGACATTCTCTCTGCACCCAGCATGCAAAACCATAGGACAGGATCCCCATCTTGAGATGCTCATGCCTAGTGGCAGTGGGAGACCCAGAGTCCTTCTTGGAAAGCCCAGGGTCAGTGAATCTCCTGGACCTGGATGACTGACACAGCCTGCCTTGAGTGGGACATGAAGGATGAGTAAGATTTCAACAGTAAGGAAAAGGAGGGCATTAGGTAGGGGGAAGAGTACTCCAAAAGCAGATTCATTAAGGCCAAAAATATGCTTATCATTCTCCACGTGGGATCATAAAGGTCCACATGTCTGATTCTAACATTATATGCATAGGTTGTTTTCCTCCTGCAGAGGAAGCCCCTGCAAACAGAAAGGCTGTGGTGCGTGGCCATTAGCCTGTATTGGGCTGCTGGTGGGGAGGGCTGAGTGCTGAGGATGGGGGCAAGAGTGGGACAGATCAGCTGGAAAGACAGGAGCCACCAGCAGCTGCTGTAGAGCTGCCATATGGTGTCATGAGAAGTCCCCTATCTCTTTCTATCCTCCCCATAATCTTTCCTCTGCTGCTTGTCAGGGTTTCTAAGATCCCACCATCAGCTACTCTTCCGGGAGTGGTTCCTATTATAAATGTGCATAGGTTGTAGACAGGGAGACATCTTAAACAGTAAGCCAGTTAACCTGAGGAACACCGGAGGGTAAATTTTGATGGAGGAATGAAAGAAGTGGGGAAGGACTTTCCAGGAGTGTGGCAGAGGGGGGTCCCTAAGAGGAAAGAGGGGAGAGAGGGGTACCAATGGACAAACTCCAGGAAGCTGCCTCAGGCTAGAACCTTTGCCTGTCCCTCTTGTTCAGCCGATGAGGAACAGGGATGCTTACGGTGGCGATGAAGGAGCTGTCCAGGGTCATTGGTGAGTCAGAGACGGAGCTGGGGTTTACCCAGGTCTCGACTCACAGCCCCACCCTGGTGAGAGGCACAAACCTCCAGCCTGTCTGCTTTTTTTGGTGACCTTTCAGGTCCCATATCTGCTTCTCCCTTCTCCCAGTGGCAAGAACAGTGCTGCTGGGCCCCAGGACCTCGCTTCTGATTGGCAGATCTGGCAGCTTGGTCAGGGAGGGCCTTTGACCTGCGGTATGTGGTAAGCAGAGGAAGCAGGCACAGGGGCTCAGCCTGCAGGGAGTGAGGGGGCAAGAGCCTCTTTTCTGGGGAAAAAGACTTCAAAACATTCAAACCACCTGATATCCCAGGGCTTTCTCTAGTGCCATGAAATCAGGGAACCCCCTTGGGCCATCAGTCCCAATGCTTTCACTTACCTGGGACTCCCTGCAGCTCCAGCAGCTGCCTGGGCTGGGCTTTGTCCTTGCTGTGGCTGGTGCTAGCTCTGAACTCTGTTGCCAGCAAAGGAGGACCAGGTGTGGGCAGGTATGAAGTGGCTCTGCCCTGGAGGTCCAGGCCAGCTCTCTCTTCTCCTTGGAGAGGACAACAGAGGAAGGCACCCAGCTCCTGGTGCCTGGGGTTGTTGGAACCCTCCTCTCTCCCCTTCTCCTTCTGCTCAGGCTCCAGGTTCCCAGGGGGTAGGAGGAGACACCAGAATCCACAAGAGGGAGACTGAAGTTTGCATGAAAAGAGCCGATGGCTGGGAGTCAGGAGACTTGGATCTGGCCCTGACTGTGCCCTGCAGGCTGCTGTCTTTGCATCTGTGTCTCAGTTTTCTTCTATGTAAATGGCAGGGCTGAGATCAGGGGTCTCTCATCAGCCATGTTGGGGCCCGTGATGCTGACTGGCATGCACACCCCAGGGAGGACTTCCTGATTTGATCACCCTTTTGCCCCCTCCTTCTCCTCTCGGAGGAGCTGCAGCCCCCAACTCTGATAGGCCCTCTTGTACCCCCGCAGACCTTCTTAGATGTGGGACCCTTCTCCTCTGAGCACCTCCCTCCTAAGCTCTGGCCCTGTCCCTTCCAGCCTGGCCTGTGTTCCTTTTCTTTGCCTGGGCTGGGGCCCTCTCAGTTAGTCAATCTCCCTCCCCTATGTGCTGACTGGGAACCAGGACACTTGAGTACTCATCTCAGCTCCACCATATGCTGTGTGATGTGGAGCTAGAAACTAACCCTCTCTGGGCTTCAGGTTAGACTGGAGGATCACTCAGACCCTTCCAGCATTCAGATTCGATCACATCTAGTCTCACAGTTTTGGGAAGCTCACCAGGACCTGAAGCTTTGTGCCTCTGATGCCAGCTTCCTGAAAGCCCTTCCCCAGCCCTTATCATGACATCAGGGTAGGAAGTCCCTGGGTCTCTGGTCCACAGTGTCAACCCTTCCCCCTCTTCATCTAATTTCAAGGGAGGGGGGAGCATTTTGTAATAGAAATATGATAGAACTGTTGAAATTTTTAAAGCAGATAGAAAACTGTTCTGATAGGTTGATAGGTGCAGCAAACCACCATAGCACACATTTACCTATGTAACAAACCTGCACGTCCTGCACATGTATCCTGGAACTTAAAAAAAAATAGAAAACTGTACTATTTTGTATTTAGGTTTAAAAATATATTCTTTTCATCAAGATAGAAAATAAAACAAAGAAAAATGAACACATTTCAAAATAAAAGTACTTCCCCCCTCCCCTCTCCTACTTTTTTTTGGAGGCTGTGCCTCCCTTTTGTGGTTCAGGATTATAGGAAGATTGTGTAGAATCTTTGGTGTCCCAGAGTAAGGGGAAATAACCGTGTCCTGATGGGCAGTGATAATTCAACACCTTTGTTAGTACTCCACCTTCCTCTCCCACCTCCCACCTCCCTCCTAGCCCTCTGTATTTAAGCCTGTGATACCGGGCCTTTGCAACTGACCTTGTGGTGATGTGCTTTGGGGTGGTGAACAGAGCTGGGACCCAGGCAGGAGGGGAGGAGACAGAGTGCTGCCCAGGTGTGAGCAGTCAGCCTCTCGAGATGGCCTCCCTGGCAGGAGGGAAGGCCCCATCCCCAGAACCCTTGAGCTGAGTTCTGTGCTGCCAAGAGAATGTATCTCTGTTGTTTTCTGTCCCTGCTGCCACCCCAGAGAGAAGGAGCCAGAGCTAATGGCCTTATTAGGTGCTGAGCAGGGCAAGCCGTGGGACCTAACGTTAGACTTACAGAATCCTGGACCATCAGAGCTCAGGCCCTGGCAATTAATCAACTAGAATAGATACCTAACCCTTCCCCAATAGAGATGGGGAAACTGAGGACCAGGGAAGGAGAGAGACTTGCTCAGGGTCACATGGGGCCTTTCTAACTCCACCTCTGACCCTGGGAGAAGCTTGGCTCACAATTGAGACTTGACTTACAATTGCACAATTCCGCAGTGGCGTGGAGCCTGGTTTAACCTCCCACTTTAAATCCCAGGGAGATCACAGTCCTGGTGGCTGCTGCCTGTCACTGGAGCCATCATCAAAGTTGAGAAGCATTTCCAGAGAGGTCCAGTAAAGAGACATCTGGCTTTAGCTTTGGATGGACCGGGTTTGATTTCCAGCTCTGCCGAGTACTGGCTGTGGGTCCTCTGGGAAGTGACGTTTCCCTGCTCAAACACTGAGATAATGATACCAACCACAGGGGCGTGTCTCGATGGTTAGATAAGGTGTAAAAAGGACCAGTACTTTGCTTGCTGACTACAAATGGGGGCTCCAAATGGGGTTACTGCCATTCTATCATTTTTATCTGTCCTGGGTAAGGGCTTTGTTGATCCCTCCTTCCTTCCCAAGCCTGGCCTTTGTCCCCTCTCTTCACTTAATGTGTTAAATGTGGGGTTCATGATATCAGCCTGACAACCCCAGATTCTTTCCTTCAGGAATTCTCTGGACGTGTATCAAATATATCTCTTGGAGACACCCCCATTTCCAGGAGTCCCCAGTTGATAATGCAAATTTGGCCTCTATAGTTACTTCCACACACGTGGAAACTGTGAGTAAAGCCTGGGAAGTGGCCAGCATTTCTTGGAGCTGCTGCTGAGGCTGAGTGGGGAGAAGGTGGAATGCGCCATGGAGGGGGTGCTCCGACCCCAGAGGGAGAAGGCTGAGCAAAGACAGATCCACTGAGCCAAAATGAGAGGGCGTGGTTTTAGAGCAGTCACAGGGATCTGAGAGGATGGGGGAGGGCTTGGGATACTCTAGTCTCAGAATCACCCCAGTCACTTCCCTGTGAACTGGGCTGCTCTCCATCAGACAATCAGAGACCTCTCCACCCACCCCTGCCAACAGCCCCTCTCCCATCCTCGTTCTCATTCCTCTTCCTAGAAACCCAGGCGAGTCAATGACTGGGGTGGTTCCCTCTCCCCAGCTCCAGGCTGTAGATGAAGATCCACCTGTGGCCTGCAGCCTAACCTCCCTCATTCTGTGGGTGAGGAGGCCAAGAATGGCTTAGGGTGAAAATGACTTAACAGAAAGCCAACACCAGTCCTGGGCTCCCAGGGGTGCTGTACTCCCTTGCACACTGCAGAGAGCACCCAGTGGCCTGGGAGACACAGTAGCAAATGGAAGAAGCTACTTCCCTCATTTCTGTTTGCCAGCATAATTTCACAAGCCTCTGACTCTGTGACCATGTGCGGCTCTGTGGAGGGATACTTTGGAGACAAGACAGAATAGTGGGCATGGCCCCCATGTCTCTTGCCTGAGTCACTACGTTCCTTAAAAGATAAATAAACCTAGTCCTTGCCTTTTCCTGTACAGAAGATAGTGTCTGATGGCATTCATGATTATGCCTCTGTAATCTATAGCCCAGACACACTCTTACATGCAAACGTTGATATATGATTCCGCTTTAATGTTACTTCTTTTTTTTTTTTTTTTTTTTGAGACGGAGTTTCGCTCTTTGCCCAGGCTGGAGTGCAATGGCGCGATCTCCAGCTCACCGCAACCTCCGCCTCCCGGGTTCAAGAGATTCTCCTGCCTCAGCCTCCCGAGCAGCTGGGATTACAGGCATGTGCCACCACACCCGGCTAATTTTGTATTTTTTAGTAGAGACGGGGTTTCTCCACGTTGGTCAGGGCGGTTTTGAACTCCCAACCTCAGGTGATCCGCCTGCCTTGGCCTCCCAAAGTGTTGGGATTACAGGCATGAGCCACTGCGCCCGGTGGCTTTAATGTTACTTCTGAGCAAGTGTGATGTGATTTTGCGTGTACTAAACCTCCACCACCTGTATATAAGCAGTGGGCTAAAATACTGTCCTGGGCCCGACTGATAGAACCTCTCTAAAGGGCCGCTGCTGGGCTCTAGGCCTGTCTATAGTACTCAGTAAGACTTCTAAGTAAAGTGAACTTTAATTCTTTAAAAGCTTGATATTTCTTCTTTAGTCGACAGTCTTTTCCACTTAAGTGTGCACAGCCTGTGTGTCCACATGCAGAGCCTGTCCTAACTCCCAGCCAGGATGCTTCCTCATCAGTCAGAGGTGGGATGGACCTCAGGATGGTCCTGGTCTAGGTGGTTCCATACCCGTCACAGCCCATAAGGAGAAAGACAGACTTCTTGGGTCAGAGCCAGCCCAGAGGTTCAGGAAACCCATACAGCTCCAGGCACTGACTCTGGGAGGCAGCTGGGGGGATAGGGTAGGGCCTCCTTAAGTGCACTGCACTTTACAGCTTACCAATAAATTATGTGAAATTGGTATCCTCATCTTCCATGTGGGAAAACTGAGTCCCAGAGAGGGTGGTCATTTTTCTAAAGTCACACAGTGATGGAGCCTGGATTTGAGCTGAGGTCTGTGTGGTTCCCGAGACCAGGCTCTTGCCACTGCCCCATGAGCTGCCTGCTGCCTGCTCCCAAGACTACCACCACCTCTCCTCCAGGTAAAGACTGACAGCCTTCCCTGGCTGGTAAGTTTTTGGACAGGTTTGTGGTGTGGCACTTGCCAGCATGGGATATGGGACCCCAGGTAAGTCTTGGCTTCTCTCTGAACCTCAATTTTCCTCCTCTGTAAAATGAGCATAATACCATTTACCCAGCCGGGCTGCTTTGTGGATTAGCTATGCTCATGTGTGTGCACTGCCTGGGACAGAGCTGGGTGGGCCTGTGTGTTTGTCAAAATGAATGGAACTGGCTACTGACATCTGTAACTTTAATTTAATACAAATTGATCATAACTCATAAAATGGGCAACATTTTAAATAAAAATACTGCTGGGGTGGCCCAGATTCTGGTAGTTGAAGGGTTGGGGTAGGGCTGACAATTCCTTTTGCCCAAGGGAGGCCCGGGTGGCGGGGGCAGCCATTTTAAGAACCCCCTGTGTTTAGCTCTTCCGGCTACTTTGGGATGGTGTGTTGTGTCAGAGACCCCAAGTGCAGAATCTAGGCCCCAGGACTAGAAAGAAAAGTCAAGGCCGGGGAGACATTTAGGCTCAGTCTTGCAGCCCACTCCTCCAGTTCCCACCTCTGGGCAGGGATAGAGCCAAGGGGCAGGACAACCCTAGATGTGGACTCCACCCTCTCCCGAGTTCTTCACGATTGGATGCTGTGGCAGAAAAACGCAGGTGGGGCTTGCTCCACCCACCCTAACTTCCTTCTAGGGAAATGACATTTCCCAGACTCCCTTGCAGCCAAGGTTCTGGATCTGACTTAAGTTCCCCCAAACAGAATCTCTTGTAAAAATTTAGATTTGGGAACTGAGTGAAGTGGGAGAGGGGCAGGCCTCAGGACATCTATTGGCTGGCACGGACCGTGGCAGAGGGAGCCTAGTTCTGCAGTCAGCAGCTTTCTGGCATAGTGGCTTCCTGCAGATGGGGGCAGCTTTCCTGGTCACAACAGACATGATGAATCTGGCGCTGGGAGTTCCTGGAAATTCAGCAGAGTCTGCTTCTCCAGCTCTTCCAACAATTTTGCAAGCCACCAGGGGCCAGGTAGTAAATCCTTGTCTAATTAAACCAGCTACAAGTGGCTCTTGTTTTCTGCAGCAGGATCCTAACTGAGATAGATGCCAAGTCTGACAAGGGGTCCAGCCAACAGCCCCTCCCAGTGCTTGGGTCCTAATTACAACAACTGCTTCTGGAAGCCTCCTGCACCCTAGCAGGTCACAGAGGCCTGGCTGAAGAGGGTTGGCTGGACTCTTGTTCAGAGCTACTGGGGACCTCGATCATCCAGGGAGGCTTGTCCTGCAGTTGCTTTTAGGCTAATGGGCTCTGCATCAGCTTTGGGTATACCCTCACCCTGTCCCTCGGCCTGTGGGCAGGAAGGTGGTGGCACATGACTATAATGTGTGGACTCAACTACCAGGTGCCTTCCACAGGCCACAGCATCATCACTGACCAGCAGATCAGTGGGAGAAGTAGGAACCATATAGTTCTTGGTGTGGGGGTGGCAGGAGAGGTTGGCTCTCAGGCAACCCTAGGACCAGGTACTACCTGTGACCACTGTGGACTGGGGTCAAGGGTAAATGGCCCATCACTAGCTTGGTCAGGGGTAAGTCTTAGGCCATGGGACATAAGAGGGTGCTGTGTGTCTTTCGGGCTGCCAACTACTGGCCATGCTCTGACACTTCCTGAGGTCAGGGCTGGGCTGGAGGGAGACACTGGAAGGTAGTCCCCTGCCCCTGAGAAGATGGGGATGAGGGTTGGGCAGGGGTTGCCCTGAGGAGAAGCCATGTCACATCCTTGGATCAAAGCTGTATCCCTATCAAGGTCAGAGCTACAGAACATCGATGCTGGAAGAGAGTTTAGGAAGTAGGGAATGCAACCTCCATTTTACAGACTGGAGGCTGGAGGGTAAACAACTGGCCTGAGGTCTCCAGTGGCCACGGTGGGCTGGAGTCCAGGTCTTCTATCTCCTGGGCAGGGCTCTTGCAGGTGGCAGTGGTCCCAGGAGGTTGTGGTCTCCTTCTGCCTGGACTAGATGCGGACGGTGTTGATCCGCAGCGGCTGAACGTTCTTGCCATTGGCGTGGCTCTGGCCAGGGCTGAAGTAAGAGCAGAGCTTGCCAGGGAACTTCTCGCGGAAGGTGTAGAGCCAGGACATGTCATCAGCATTGTAGAAGATGAGCAAGCCTTGGTCATAGTCCAGGAAGACACCCACCTTGTCAAGCTTGTCCCGGACGTTAAGCCGCGTCCAGGGCTCCGTGCAGGCGCTGTACTGGTTGCCATCGTGCATCACGATGCAGTAGAAGCCGCGGCTGGGCTGGATCTGGATGCTGCCCTTGCGGCTTGCGGCTTCGTGTGCCAGCCCGATCACCCACTGGGTCTTCTCCGCCACCACCACCTCCCAGTAGTGGACGCCACTACTGAAGGCTTCAGAACCCAGCACCGACACCTCCACATCGAAGCGCTTTGGCGAGTCCTGCAGTGGCTGTGGGTGCAAGTTGCCGTAAGCCACAATGGTGCAGTCGTCCGACAGGATCAGGCGCTGGTGGGCTGTGCCCGGGTCCAGGGTTAGGGCGGCTGGCACTGTGGGGGTTGGAGGAGGGAGAGAAGATGAGTGGGGAGAAGGCTGTGGACCCACCATGCAGTGCCTTCCTGAGGGCAGAGTTCTGGTTGGTACGCAGGAGGCCTCTGACCTGCTGTGTGACCTTGAATACAAGTCTGCCCTCTCTGGGCCTCATCTTCCTCCTCTGTAGAATGGAAGGGTGGTGGTTAAGGTCCTTCCAGATATTGTCTGCAGGGGAGCAGGGGCTACAGCTGCTTGTTCACTGCCTGATGCCCAGGGCGGAGCACATAGTGGGCACTGGCAAATGTTTGTTGAATTAACCAGAATGAGGCCTAGAATTGGGGAATTTTAGAGCTGGAAGGGAGCTTCCAGATGATCCAGTTGCTACTGCCCCCTAGGGGGAATGGGGAAATTGGTGAGTGTGTTCAGGTTGTCTTAACAACAGCTGGGATCCAGGGATGCTAAAGACCACGAAATGGACAGGACAGTTCTGCAAAGGGAAGTTCTGCCCCACACCTTCCCCGACTCCCAGTGATTTTCACGTGTCCCAGCAGACATTCATGTGGATGAAAAATCTTTTTTATAAGGATAAGAAACTATAACCTAACTCCATTTCATGTATAAACATGAAATTTTTTTTGCAGTTTTAATATATACTGAATATTTCAGAATGCAACCACTGTGTAAATGAAGGGAAGGCTGCATTTGTTTTGTTTGGAACTTCCCTAAGAACTGTTTGCTTTGTTGGAAAATACATCCCTAAGGGCAACACCACTGACTGAGACAACCTACCTGTATAGGCATTTGAGGCAGGATGGTGTTTTACCTATGACGAGAGGACCTGGCTGCTTTGTTAGGTTTTCTAGTGTGATTGTGGGTGAGCATCTACATGTTGACATACAAAATATTTTATTATTAATAATTTCCTTCTATTTTCCTTCATATTAATAGTCAGAGTATGTATCTATGTACATATACACACACAACACTTGAAATTGTGAAAAGGTTACACTTGAAATTATAAAAAGGTTATATTATCTTTGAGATATTACACATGATTTGTTATGAAAAGTAGACAATGGGTCTGAAAAGATTGAAAACCATGAATTCTAGGCCAACTCTTCCATTTGACAGATGAGGAAACTGAGACCCAGAGGGGAGACATGACAAACTTAGGTCATCCTGCAAATATTGGCAGAGCCAGGACTAACCAAGGTCGTCTGCAATCTAGCGCCAGTCCTTTCTCCCAGCCAACCTCTCACTTCTGCCCCCTACCCCACTTAGGTCCAAAGCCTCTGCTTACACGGTTCCCTCCACCTCCTCCTCTCTGCTTGTTGCAACCACCCCCAGAGGCTCAATTCAAAAGGCCCACCCTTTGGGAAGCCTTCCTGGTCACCCAGCAGATGTGCTCGTTCTGTCCTCTGAAATTCCTTTTGCCTCTTCTTTTTCTTATTTATTTATTGGAGACAGAGTCTTGCTTTATCCCCCAGGCGGGAATGCAGTGGCATGATCTTGGCCCACTGCAACCTCCACCTCCCAGGTTCAAGTGATTCTCATGCCTCAGCCTCTCGAGTAGTTGGGATTATAGGCACGCGCCACCACGCCTGGCTAATTTTTTGTATTTTTAGTAGAGACAGGGTTTCGTCATGTTGGCCAGGCTGGTCTTGAACTCCTGGCCTCAAGTGATCTGCCCACCTCGGCCTCCCAAAGTTCTGGGATTACAGGCATGAGCCACTGTGCTGGATTCTTTTAAAAAAAAAAAATACAGACAGGGTCTCACTCTGCCACCCAGGCTGGAGTGCAGTAGTGTCATCATAGCTCATTGGAGCCTCCAACTCCTAGGCTTAAGTGATCCTCCTGCTTCAGCCTCTTGAGTAGCTGAGACTATAGGCATGCATCACTATGCGCAGCTAATTTTTAAATTTTTCATAGAGATGAGGTTTCGCAATGTTGGCCAGGCTGGTCTCGAACTCCTGGCCTCAAGTGATCCTGCTGCCTCAGCCTCTCACAGTGCTGGGATTATAGGTGTGAGCCACTGCACCTGGCCTGAAATTCTTTAGCTTTATTTGTGCCCTGATACTGGCGTGGGGTATTATCTTCTGTGATCACATTTTGCCCTATTTCCCCATTTGCACCAAGAGGGCAAGGACCGTGTACTGTCTAATGGGGCTCTCCCTTGTGTGTCCAGAGCCCAGCCCAGGGCCTGGCTTGTGGCACATTTCCGGAAAGACTCACCAAATTAAACTGGCCATGTTTGTGTTGGGCAGGTGGCATGGGCTGCATCACCTGGCTCTGGGCTGGCCACACCGGCTTAGCAGGTCTGACTAAAAATTTCATGAACCCTTGTTAAGACCTCTGTTTACTCTCTGCTCCCTGAGGGAGCTGATAACTGGCCAGAGGAGAAGGAGGAAACTGGGATTGGCTTTCCTTAGCCTGAATGACCATTTCCAGGCAACAGCAAGACAGAGATGAGGAAAAGTGGGAAGAAGGAATTGCCTCTGTTCCTTGGGGTCTTGGACATCCAGCTCTCTGGCTCTTTCCTTTACTGGCGAAGTGGGGACATGGTTATGCTTGGCTGGAGCATTCTCCCTACTTCAGTTGCCTCTGTTGGCTGCACTGATGTGCAGAAATAAGATGCCTCAATGATGGGGACTGTCCCCAACAGGGAGCTACAGCCAGTCCCTGAACTGTGCCTCTGTTCATATACCCACTGGACCAGTGACCTATATCAAGTTCCTTCCATGATCTTTGCCAGGAGTAAGTTTAGTTTTGCATTTTACCCTCTTTGTTTCTGTCCTTTGGACTTAGAGGGCTGTATGGAAGTAATTAGCCTTGTGAATAGAGGGGTCAATGGAAACACAATCCTCTGTCCAGGGACATAGAAGACGGGGAACCAAGAGAGGACGGCCACTGAGTTGGTGGCTGGATGTTTCACCCTGTGGTCTGACTGGCCACAGGCAGCTTGTCAGAACCAGGGGGCCCCTGCCTGGTGGAATGTGGGCAATTCCCACAGTGGGGTCGGGAGGTGGGAGTGGGAGGGAGCTGTAGGAGGAGTGTGTGGTAGGGGGAAGAGCTAGATTGAGAAGAGGAACCTAATCAGACATAGGTGGGCCACCCCTATGACAGTGGGATGTGGATCACACTCAGGTGTGACAGTGGAGGGGCAGAAGAGCGATGCACAGTGCCCAGGCATGAACAGCAGCAGTTCAGAGTGCTGGGGGAACCTAGGCATGATATCTAAGGCGCCTGGGTGATTTGAGACCAGCAACAGGCAGCAACCGAGGCTCAGGGCAGAAGGACTGGTGCGGGGCGGGGGGTACCCTCAAGCAGGTATAAGGGCTCAGCTTCAGACTTGTAGCTTATGTAGGACAATGTGAGCCACTTGTGGTGCCACTGATGAGTGGGAGGGCACCCTAGGAGGGAGACAAGGGGGCTCTCCGTGGGTCTGAGACCAGTAGACAAAGATAAGCCTGCAGATTGGAGGAAATCCTGACCCAGTGAATGCCAGCCCTGGCGAGCGGACCTGTGCTGCTTGAAGCCCAGGGGACAGGATGGGTACAGGGCCTGCCACTCACTGGGCCGGCCTAGGGGCAGGGCCTGCCACTCTCTTAGGCGGGGGTGTGGCCTGACTCTTAGGAGACTTCTATACCCCAAGGGGTGAGGCTGGGGCAGGGTGTGGCACCCTGGCTGAAGCCACCTCCAAGGCCTTGCACGAATCATTAACACAGGGTCTTGGCTCCTGGGGCTCCCTCCCCGAGGCTAGGGCTAACAGGAGTAACAACCTTCAGACCAGAAAGGGACCTAGAAGGGGCATGGCAACACCCCTTCCCCCTCTGAGAAGTCAGTTCCTCCATCTGTCCCTCATCCCCAGGAGGTGACAGGCCCAGCAAAACAAGCGCAGTCCCTGGGGGCTCACTATTCTACAGGTCAGAGCTCATTTCTAAGTCCCGGGACACCAAGATTTATAAAAACAAGCCAGACACTGAGGCAGCCCGTCTGGTCTCCAGGTGTGTTGTCCATTCATTTAAGCATCTCTGAGACCTTGAGGTCAAAGGCATTCAGGAAGGATCATGGACTGTGGAGGTCCCAGGAGATGTTTCCCGGCCACCACTGAGCAATCACATTCTGCCCAAGCAGCGGAGAAAGCCCTCCCGGGGCACAGCCCAGCACAGCTGCTTGGCAGTGAGTGGATTGTGTTTCTTTGTTCTCAAGAACAGAGGCTTCGAACATGCAGAGGCCTGACAGAACATGAAAGGCTGGCTGTAAGCGTTTTCCTCTGGCCAGGCCTTTAAAAAACCAGGTTCCTCAGTCCCTCAGATGTACAGGGCAGACATGTGCAAAAACATTCTCACACTCACTAGCTCATGGGAGCACCACGACAGACCCAGGGGCACAAATTGTTCTAGCCATTTTTCAGAAGAGGAGACTGAGGCTCCAAGGAGACAACTCTGAGGTAAGTGGCTTGCTCAAGCTGCCACTTGGAGAGGAAGCAGAGTTGGAACTTCAGCTGAGGTCTTTTCACATCATGCTCTTCCCAGCATGTGGCCCCAGAAAGCCTGTTCAGCAAGACTGGGGAGGCTGGGCTTGGTGGCTCACGCCCGTAATTCCAGCACTTTGGGAGGCCGAGGCAGGCGGATCACCTGAGGTCCGGAGTTCGAGATCAGCCTGGCCAACATGTAGAAACCCTGTCTCTACTAAAAATACAAAAAATTAGCGGCGCATGGTGGCACATGCCTGTAATCCCAGCTACTTGGGAGGCTGAGGCAGGAGAATCGCTTGAATCTGGGAGGCGGAGGTTGTGGTGAGCCAAGATTGTGCCATTGCACTCCAGCCTGGGCAACAAGAGTGAAACTCCGTCTCAAAAAGAAAAAAAAAAAAAAAAAAGACTGGGGACCATCTGTCGATTCATGATGATAATAACAATAAACAGACAGGAATCAAGTACTTACTAAGTGTTACAGGATCATTATTACAAACAAATAATTTAATCTGCATAGCTACCCTGGGAGAGAAATGCAACTATCCTTGTTTTACAGATGAGGAAACTGGGGCTCTGAGAGGGGAGTGCATTGCTCTGGGTCACACAGCTAGGCAAGGAATGTGCCGGGACTCAAAATGACTGGATTCAGATTAGCAGGGGGCGGGGAGAGCAGCCCAGGATGGGGAGAAGGCAGGAGCAAGGCAGGCTGCTCCTGGTGTCCTTGGGACAATGGGCTGCCTGGCCTGGCTGAGGAGGCAGTTTGTGCCTGGGAGTTGGGGGATTTAGACCAGGTAGGTAAGAAGGTCACAGTTGGAGGAGAGCTTCCTAATGTTAGGCTGGGGGTGGGATAGAGGGGTGGGAGGTGGGGGAGGGTGGAAGTGCCAGAGCAGGGGAGTGACAGGTGCTGGATGGGGTTCTCAGGTGACCCAATAGGAAGCCTGAGCTGGAGGGGAGGGGCAGGCAGGAAGCTGCTAGAATCCATGGGCTAGGTCCCTGGGGGCACCCCTCCCATCTGGACATAAAGGGCTTTGGTGCTGGCAGAGGAGCCAGACTGACTTCACAGGCCCCACAGACAAAGAAAGGGGCCCAGCCAACCAGGCTGCTGCTCTCTGAACTCCCCAGGGGCCTCTGCTCTGGGCAGGATGTTGGAGCACAGTCTGTTCCTCCCTCAGCTCCTCTCTGGCAGGCAGCTTTCTCTAGAGCAGTGGTTCTCAACTGGGCCAATTTTGCTTCCCAGGGACATCTGGCAAAGTCCAGAGACATTTTTGGTTGTTACAACTGAGTGGGGTGGCTACTGGCTACTGGCATCTAATGGATAGAGGCCAGGGATGCCACTAAACATCCTGCAGAGCACAGAGCGGGGCCCTGCAACAAGGAATGGTCCAGCCTCCAGTGTCAATGGGGCTGTGGTTGAGAAACCCTGCACTGGGGTGATGGCAAGTTCCACATCCCTTTGCTCCCTTATGAGGGAGTTGAGAAGGGAACACTAGCATCCCTATTTCAGAGGAAGAAACTGAAGTTCAGAGGAGGCAGTGACTTGTTCAAGGCTGTGCAGCAAGTTTCTTCAGTCAGCAAATACTTACTAAGCACCTATTTTATTGAGGCGCTATTCTAGAAACAGAACTGAGACTAGGATCCATTCATTTTGTTATGCATTTATCGACAAACATTTGCTGTGCTAGCTGCTGGGAGTGAATCAGACCTGGCCCCTGACCCTCACAGTTCACAGTCTAGTGAGTGAGACAGCCACACAGACAATGACAAAACAGTGAGACCATGTAAGCCCAGGTTGCCTTGAGAAATCCAGGAAGGCTTCTCAGAGGAAGGTTTTATAAACTAAGATGCCAAGGAGAGTAAGAGTTGGCCATCAAAGACTAAGGATTGTGTAGAGGGCTGCAGCCGAAGGGAATGGCATGTGCAAACGTGTAGATGAGGGAGAATACAAAACATGTAGATGAGGGAGAATATGGCTCATTTAAGATCTAAAGATGGGCCGGGTGTGGTGGCTCACGCCTGTAATGCCAGCACTTTGGGAGGCTGAGACTAAGTTCTGGGAGGCAAAAGTGCATCCAAGGCTCCGATTCCCTCCCCAGTCACTGACCCAGGACAGCCCTGGAGCAGGGAGCCTGGGGAGCCTTCTAGCCTCAGCTGCCACCTGCTCCATGTCTGTCACAGCTCGGAGAGGCAGTCCAGGCACCTCAGCCTGGCATTCAAGGCCCTGTAGGATCTGGGGCCTGCCAGCTTCTCATTCTCTCTTCCATTATCTTGCTCAGCTATATGGAACCATCTTTAGATCTTTTTTTTTTCTTAATTAAATTTGTTTTTTTTGAGGCTGGGCGCGGTGGCTCACGCCTGTAATCCTAGCACTTTGGGAGGCCAAGGTGGGCGGATCACGAGGTCAGGAGTTCAAGACCACCCTGGCCAACATGGTGAAACACCGTCTCTACTAAAAATACAAAAATTAGCTGGGTGCAGTGGCGTGTGCCTGTAATCCCAGCTACTTGGGAGGCCGAGGCAGGAAAATCGCCTGAACCCAGGAGGCAGAGGTTGCAGTGAGCCGAGATCACGCCACTGCACTCCAGCCTGGTTGACAGAGCGAAACTCCGTATCCAAAAAAAAAAAGTGGCCAGGCGCGGTGATTCACGCCTGTAATCCCAGCACTTTGGGAGGCCAAGACGGGCAGAACATGAGGTCAGGAGATCGAGACCATCCTGGCTAACACGGTGAAACCCCGTCTCTACTAAAAATACAAAAAATTAGCCAGGCGTCTTGGCAGGTGCCTGCAGTCCCAGCTACTCGGGAGGCTGAGGCGGGAGAATGGCGTGAACCCGGGAGGCAGACCTTGCAGTGAGCCGAGATCGCGCCACTGCACTCCAGCCTGGGCGACAGAGCGAGACTCCATCTCAAAAGGTCTCGCTCTGTCGCCCAGGCTGTAGTGCAGTGGCGCGATCTCGGCTCATTGCAGCCTTCACCGCCTGGGTTCAAGCCATTCTCCCACCTCAGCCTCCCGAGTAATTGGGATTACAGGCGTGTACCACCATGCCTGGCTAATTTTTGTATTTTTAGTAGAGACGGGGTTTCACCATGTTGGCCAGGCTGGTCTCGAACTCCTGACCTCAAGTGATCCGCCTGCCTTGCCTCCCAAAGTGCTGGAATTACAGGCATGAGCCACCATGCCCGGCCTCCCCTGACTCTTGAACGTGCCTTGAGGGACTTTTGATGTTTGTGGAACAGAAGAATGAATCCAGCCAGATGGAAGAAACTCTGACCCCTGTGTGACCTGAGGGAGTCAGTGAGTCTCCCTGAGCCTTGGTCTCCCCAGCCTCCTTCCTGGTGTGTGTGAGGTCAGAGAATGGCCAGTGAGCTTAGTAGGTAAGGAAGGGCACAGGCTCTGGGGCCCGACGTTGGGGTTTAAGTCCTGGCTGTAGCATTTCCAAGTCGTGACCAAGGACAAGTTCCTAACAGCTCTGTGCCTCCGTTACTTATTCTGAAAAAATGAGGATAATAACACTTCCCACTTCTCAGGGAGAATTCACTTCTCTATCCAGGTCTCTCCTCTAAAGGACATCGTGCCTGACTCAGGAACACACAGGGTTCTCTGCTGCCAGTCAGTTTGAATCTGCCCTTGGGGGGGATCTGTGATTTTGGGAAGGCACTGATTTCCCAGTCCCAACACCTGATAAGTCTACTAGAAACCTGTTTCAGACCTTCTTCTCTATCTGCAAACCTCTCATCCCTTGCTCCCATCTCCGCTGATGATCTTGCTTCCTGCTTTACTGAGAAAGGTGAAGCCATCAGAAGAGAATCCCCCAAGCGCCCACCACTGCCCCACTGGCTTTGGTGCCCACTTATTCTACTTTCTCTGGGCTCCTGAAGATGAACTGTCTGGGCTCCCAGCAGAAGCTGGCTCTCAGCCATGCAGCAGATCGCAGTCAAGGCTGGGCTGCAGTCAAGACTGTCACTCCTGCAACTTCCTCTCCTACATCCTTAATTCTGTCCCCTCTACTGGATCTTTCCAATCATCTCACAGATATGCTGTATTTCTTCTATCATAAAAAACAGCACTGCCACACTCTCTCTCCTTCGCTTGAAAACTCCTTTAAAGCATTGCCTCCACCTCTCTTGGACCAGCTCCAACCAGGCTTTGGCCCCTACTGCTCCACCCAACCAGCTCTCATCAAGGCCACCAATGACTTCCCTGTTGCTAAATCTGGAGAATAGTCTCTTCTGGGTTCTCCCATGCTTGGCTCAGCAGCCTTTGTCACTGTTAGCCACTCTCTCCTGGAAATGCTTCCTCCAGGCTTCCAGGACATACCTGGGTTGCCCTCCTATCCCTCTGACTGCTCCTTCTCGGTCTCCTTGGCTGGGTCCCCCTCTTGTCCCTGACTTCTAGGAGTGTTCCGGGGCTCCTGATGTTAGGGCAGCCCTCTGTCTTTTCTATCCGCCCCCACTTCCTAGGTGATCTTGTCCAGGCTCATTAAAAGCTGTCCATATGCTAATGATGCTGGTGCTGACCTTCCTTTTGTATTGCTGGCTTGTCATCCCTACTGCCTTTTCAGCATCAGTGCTGAGATAACTAATTGGCATCACAAACCTTACAGGCTTACAACTTCATCCTTTTAGTCACTTTGGCTGAAATAATTACTATCTCCCTCGTCTTCTTTCTTTCACACCTGGATTTGCTAATCCGCTAGCAAATCCTGTTGGCTGTCCTTACAAAATATGTCCTAAATCCCACCCCTTCCCACCCCCTCCACTACCACCACCCTGCTTCACGCCCACATCACCTCTTGCCTGGATTATGCAGTGGTCTCCTAACCCATTTCCCAGCCCCCATCCTTCACCCCCTTCGGTCTATTCTCAACCCACTAGCCAAAGGGATCCTTAAAAAACTTAAACCAGTTCACGTCACTTCATGGCTCCAAGCCCTCCACTGGCTCTCATCTCACTCAGCATAAAATCCAAAGTTCTCACAATGGCCTACAGACCCTCGTGGTGTCTGGCCACTGCTACCTTCTCAGTCTCTTCACCTTGACCCTCCTTCTCACTCATCTCCCTCCAGCCACGTTAACCTCCTTGCTCTTCCTGCCTGGGAAACAGAGGGAGACTGGTGAGAGTGAGATGTGCTCCTGCCTCAGGTCCTTTGCACTTGCTGTCCCCATGCCAGGAGCACTCTTCCTCCAGATACCTACGTGGCTCACTCTTCTTCAGCCCTTGACTCTAATGCTTCCTTCTCAGTGCGGGCTGGTTCCTGGACCACCTGTCTAAAATCTCCATCCTGTCTCACCTTTCCCAGCCCCCTTCCTTATTCTTTGTCAGTATCTAATATGCTCTGTATTTTTCTGATTTACTTTTGTCTACTTTCTATCTCACACCCTAGGATGTAAGATGCGTGAGGGCAGGGATTTTTGCCTGTTTTGCTTACTATGGTATCTCCAGCACCTAGAACAGTTCCTGATGTGAACTCTTATGTACCCTGTTGTATAGAAGGAGTCTATGAAGTGTCCAGGCCTCAGTCATTTCATCTGGAGAATGGGTTTGCTAATGGAACCTATCTCATGTTTTTTTTTTTTCTTCCTTTTTTTCCGAGATGGAGTCTTGCTCTGTTGCCCAGGCTGGAGTGCAGTGGCTCAGTCTCAGCTCACTGCAACCTCTGCCTCCTGGGTTCAAGCAATTCTCCTGCCTCAGCCTCTCGAGTAGCTGGGATTACAGGTGCACGCCACCATGCCCAGCTAATTTTTGTATTTTTAATAGAGACAGGGTTTCACCATGTTGACCAGGCTGGTCTCGAACTCCTGACCTCATGATCCACCCACCTCAGCCTCCCAAAGTGCTGGGATTACAGGTGTGAGCCACCACGCCCAGCCATCTCCTGGGGTGTTATGAAGGTCCACTGAGCTGAGTGATTGTGCAGGTGCCCAGGACAGGTCCTGGAACACACTAGGTGCTCAGCAAGGCACTCTGCTCATTCACCCCAACTGCCCCATGCTGTGTTTAGGACAGGGGGCTGGGCTGTGCTGGGACATGCCCCACCTAGCTCTGGACCATGATAACCCATGCCTTACCTGGGTGGATGTCCTGGAACAGGGACTTCCAGATGGTGTACTGCAGGGGGCCTGTGTACTTGGAGGTCGGGAAGTCTTCATATGTGAGGTTGGTCTCATGGATTTTTCCCTTGAGCCTGGAAGGAGAGCAGGAAAGGGGGCTGCACCAGGGACTGGATTCCTGCCCCAATGCCAGGGGCCCCGCAGCCACCTTCAGGGCAGCTGGCATAGGATGTGGTCATGAGTGAGAAGTCTGTGGGACTCAGATTCAAGTGCCTGCTTGTGCTGCTTCTGGCCTCTCTAACCATTCCCTCAGTCTTCTCATCTTTAAAATGGGTGCTATGCTAGCATCAGCCTTCTAGGCTTTTTGTGAGAATTACATGGCATAACATATACAGATGCTCAGCACAGTGCTCGGTCACGGTCAATGCCAAATTCATGATCTTAGCAATCAGTATTGATCACCAACAAACCAATGACTAAGTGTTATTACTACTAAGGGAAGATTTGGGGTCACAGAGACCTAGGCTTGAATCCTGGCTTACCAGTTACCAGATGGGGGGCCTTGGCCAACTGATGTAGCTTTTCAGAGCCTCAGTTTTTTTCTTTTTTTTCTTTTTTTTTTTGAGACAGAGTTTCGCTCTTATTGCCCAGGCTGAAGTGCAATGGCGCGATCTCAGCTCACTGCAACCTCTGCCTCCTGGGTTCAAGCAATTCTCCTGCCTCAGCCTCCTGAATAGCTGGGACTACAGGTGCCTGCCACCACGCCCGGCTAATTTTTGTATTTTTTTTTAGTAGAGACGGGGTTTCACCATGTTAGTCAGGCTGGTCCTGAACTCCTGACCTCAGGTAATCCACCTGCCTCGGCCTCCCAAAGTGCTGGGATTACAGGTGTGAGCCACCGTGCCCAGCAGGAGCCTCAGTTTCTACATGCATGAAATGATGATGACAGTGGTAACTACTTTCAAAGGGACTGAGAGGGTTACAGTAATATAAAGCCTTTATATAGTAACACGTAATGCCAACATTATCATAAATAAAATAATATGTAATATATTTATATTATGATTGTAAACACTATTAAATGCTACCTACTATCTATAATGTATACAGAATATATTACATATATAATAATGTAAATATATGAAGTCTTTATTCCCAGATCCTTTCTCTCCTGCACCCCTAGAGCCAAGACAGCAGGGTCAAAGTGGCTGCCCTCTAGATGGTTTTCAAACTGTGTTCCTCACCATTGCTGCTGCTCCTCTAGTTCAAGCCTCACTGGCTTCATACTCAAGGCTTCATGCTCCTACCCATAGCAGATGTCCCGTAAATGTTTGATGAAGATTTGAATGAAAGAATTCTCTGCTAAGGATCCCATCTGCCTCCACTCCCACTGCCCAGCATGGGTCGAGGAGGGGATGGTCAGCCGGGGAGGGCCCCGGCGGGTGGCACTTACCGCTCGGACAGTGAGGCCACCCCAGCCAGGAAGGTGTGCCGGTCGGTTTCAGCCAGCCGCTCCTGCAGGATCTGGGCTCCCTCCTGGACCTTGCGCAGCTGCTGGCTGTAGCGCTGGACTTTCTGCTCGATGTCGGTCAGCGTGCGGGCCGTGTCCGCCTCCAGCTCCTCTAGCATGGCCTTCTGGCGTTCACGCAGCAGCCGGTGCAGCCGCTCGAAGGCCTCGCCGATAGTGGTCCGCAGGCTCTTGGTGGAAGACTGTGGGGGACAGTCGTCAGGGGTTATGGCTGGGGGAGCAGATGGGGTGATCTCTGGGTGAGAGGAGGAAATCGAGAGCCTTGACACACAGAGAGGAAAGGGTGGGAAAGGGCACGCGTGGTGGGGGAAATGTCACATGCAAAAGCATGGTGGTAGGAAAGGATGGGCATGTTCTATGTGGTCCATTAAATAGCTAATGAAATGGCCCAGGTGAGAAAATGAGGCCTGAACTAGAGGAGCAGCAGCAATGGTGAGGAACACGGTTTGAGAAACATCTAGAGGGCAGCCTCTTTGACCCTGCTGTGTTGGCTAGAGGGGTACAGAAGAGAAAGGAGCTGGGGATAATGCCCAGGTTTCTGGCTTGGGGGTAGGAGGGATGAGGGAGCTGGAGTGAGGGCTAGGGGACAGGGTGAAGATGTTCTCTCAAGGACATAGTGAAGTCTTTATTTTTTTTGCTTTTATTATTATTAGTTTTTTGAGATGGAGTTTTGCTCCTGTCACCCAGGCTGGAGTGTGATGGCACGATCTCGGATCATTGCAACCTCCACCTCCTGGGTTCAGGCGATTCTCCAGCCTCAGCCTCCCTAGTAGCTGGGATTACAGGAGCCCGCCACTATGCCCGGATAATTTTTGTATTTTTAGTAGAGATGGGGTTTCACCATGTTGGCCAGGCTGGTCTCAAACACCTGACGTTAGGTGATCTGCCCACCTTGGCCTCCCAAAGTGCTGGGATTACAGGCGTGAGCCATCGTGCCCGGCTGAAGTCTTTATTTTAAAAAAATCATTCATGGGGCTCATTCAGGGGGCTCAAGGAAAGATGACAAGATCACAGACATCAAAGAGCTTTGTAAATTGCAACGTATTGAGAAAACCTTGGTGGTTACTCGCTGTCTCCTGTTACCTCTAGGACCCTCTGGCTAAGGAGCAAGGACTGGTGTTTATAGACAGGATCAGGGAGGTAAGCATGAACTTTCATGGTTTTCTCTGCCCCCAAGGGCACTGTGAGGCTCAGGAAGGGTGAAGTAGTGAAGGGCACAGGTTTGGTGCCTGACAGTCTGCGTAAGGACTCTAGCTCTGGGTCTCTAGCTATGGCAACGTCAGTTGCCTAAGAGCTGTGAACCTTAGTTTTCTTATCTGTGAAAGGAGTAACAAAAACTGCATTGTAGGATTGTGGTGAAGATGAAATGAGGGGGTGTTGTTGTGCGCACTCCAAGGCGCAGAGAAAGAGCCTGGTTATTGAAGACTGCAATTCTAATAAGCGTTTCCCGGAAGTCTTCATTGAGAGACGGGTTCTGAGCCGGGGCCTGAGGGATGGGCAGGATGTCAGTTGGGGGTCAGGGGAACAGGCAGAGGGAGCCGCATGAGGAAGGGCTTAACGTCAGGACGACACGGGCTATAGAAGTGCGGCCAGGCTGCAGCAGCATGTGGGGCCTGCCTCTGCAATTTTACTTTGTGGGATTCTGGCTGGGAGTTCATGGAGTCAGAAACCCCACTGTGTTCAGTGCCCAGGGCTCTGTGGGAGGCTCTACAAAGGCTCAATTAGGGCCTGTTCCCTCCCCGACGCGCGGCTGCTGGCCTGCAGGAAGAACTGCTGGCGGTGGGCCAGCCTCGCTGCGCATGCCCACCCAGAACGCCAGGCAGACAAAGGGGGGCGGACGAGAGTCTGGGGATGCACGGCCAGGCTGCCGTGGCCTTCCTGAGCCCCCTCACCCGGGGAGGGTGGAGGCCTCTGCAGCGGCATGTTGCTGATGGGGAAGATGGGGTCCGTCGTCCCTGCACCACCTGGAGCTGCCCTCCACAGGCGCCCAGACTCCGCAGCTACTCCTCTGGCTCCTCCTAGACCACTCTGCAGCACTTAGCCCACTCGCCACCCTCTCCTAGTTGAAAGTTCTGCTTTGCCTCCCATCTCTGTGACTGCTGCCTCTCTGCCTCCCATGTTCCTCGGGGCTCATCCAGGTCAGCGCCTTCCATCCTCACCCTGAACACCTGCCCCCATTTTCAACTTGAACTGCTTTAAGGATGGTTCCCAAGTCCATATAGATGGCCTTGCCTGTCTCCTGAGTGCCACACCCATTTTTCCAACAGTCTCCCCAACACATCCCTCTGGGGTCCCACAGGTCTTTCCAACTCACTTGGTCTACAAGTCAACTCTTGTCTTTGCCAGCAAACTCACTGTCAGAGTGATCCTTCTAAAGTGCCAACTGAATCACAGATGATCCTGAGTTTAGGAACCTTCTTTAGCTCCTTGACACATAGTAAAATGCTGAACTCTTTAGTCTGGCATTCAAGGACCTTCTCAATTTAACCCTAGCTTACCTCCCTAGCGCCACTGCATTGCAACTCCACCTGCCTAGAATGACCCTACCCAAACCCTGTATTCAACTGGCAAACTCCTACTCATCCTGCAAGACCTAGCTTGAAAGTGACCTCTTCAGAGATAACTTTCCTCTCTTTCAGGCACTTGGATGTTCCCAGAGCCTTTTGTCAACAGTCTTAATACATTGTCCCACATTTTCTGTCTCCCTGGCTAGTAAGTGGGCCCCTGCTGGGTAGGAATGACATCTCCCTCGGCTCTGCACCCCTGTGCCCATCCCAGAGCCTGGTACAAGGCTGGCAATCAGGAGTTGCTTGAGGGGTGAAGGAGGGAAGAGTCTTGTCTGAGATTGCTCCGTAGAGCTGGGTGCAGGCTCCAGCTTCTTTCCAGGCTGGGGTTTCAATGTCTCAAGGACGAGAGAGGATGGGAGGGAAAGGGGGGAAGGCAGGGACAGGGCAGCCAGCAGTGGAACATCAGAGTGACAGCCACCCCTGGAGCCCCAAGTACATTCCCGATGAGTCCTACTGACCTACCTGGCTTGCTGACTACAAAGCCATAGCTCTTGCAGGACACCCCAGGAGACATCCCAGCTGCACTATGCACTGGGCTCTGACAGGACTGGATGGTAAGCTCCCAAGTTGCCATTTTCTAGCTGTGGGACTTCAGGTTGGTCCCTCAACCTCTCTGTGCCTCAGTTGCCTCACTGATAAGATTGAGATAACAACAGTTCCTACCTGGGACGATTTTTTTTCTTTCCTGTTTTTTTGGTTTTTGTTTTTGTTGTTTTTTATTTTTTTGAGATGGAGTCTCACTCTTGTTGCCCAGGCTGGGGTGCAGTGGCTCGATATTGGCTCACTACAACCTCCACCTCCTGGGTTCAAGCAATTCTCCTGCCTCAGCCTCTTGAGTAGCTGGGATTACAGGCACCCACCACCATGCCCAGCTAGTTTTTGTATTTTTAGTAGAGACGGGGTTTCACCATATTGGCCAGGCTGGTCTTGAACTCCTGACCTCAGGTGATCCGCCCGCCTCAGCCTCCCAAAGTGCTAGGATTACAGGCGTGAGCCACTGTGCCTGGCCGATTTTTTTTTCCTTTCAATCACTTTTTTTATAACTACTTATTGTGTGCCAGACACTGTGCTAGGTTTTAGGGAATCCTGCTCTCGTGGAGGTGACATTCTGTGAGGTTGGCAGGATAATGAAGAGGAACACAATTCTCAGCACAGAGAAAAGTTCTGCTCAACTGGTGCACCCCATTTATTCTAGTTCTTTCCAGGGCAGAGTCACCCTTTCCCCAACCCCCTCCTTTCAGCTCTGTGGCTGGGGAAACAGCCCCCACCCCAACCCACCACATCCCTTGGAACACCCTAGGGCCTGGAGGTGCTGGGGCCCTTTCAGAAAAACACCCTGCCAAGAATGCATCACCCCGCCAGGGCGCCGACCAAGGAAAACAGAGGGCCTGAGGAGGGAGATCAGACAGGCCCTCAGGCCAGGCCATTGGAGGGGCAGGCGCAGCAGGAAAGCCGAGTCAGGCACCAGGTGAAATATGACCTCCAAAGCATCCATAGGCATTTCTTGTATAAACACCCCAGTCCAGACAGGAAGTGGGGCTGGGGGAACTCGAGGGGGATGTGGCCCCACAGGACCCCCCAGAGGCAGACAGATGGACAGGAAAGCGGGGGAGGAAGAGGTCAGTGGAGAAAAACAAAGAGGGTGTGGGATGTGGAGAGAAGAGAGTGCTGCTGGGGAGAAGGAACAGCCCATAATACTCCGCTCTCATACAGAGAGAGGCTTCCATTTGCTTCTCATCATCCAAGAGGTACAGAATCACCAGACAGTTGGGGAAACTGAGGCTGCAAGAAGCAATGAGGCCAGCATCCTGTGACTGTTTATCATCTGTTGCCCCCGAGGGTCCTGCCCAGAGGCACTCTGGAATGTTCTGTGAAGAATTGTTTGTCATGACCTTCCTGAGACCCCACAGTGGGTTGGTGGCCAAGCTGGGGCATAGATCTGGGTTTCCAATGGTGTCTTCAGGCCCCAGGATGACCTCCAGAGGCCCAGCGCATTCCTAAGGCTCTGCCGCAGCTCCTGCTGACAGAGCGGGGTCAGCCTGAAATCACCCCAGGCCTCACGACACAGAGTCACTCTGTATAGTGGGGACTCCACCCGGCACCTTCCAGTCCCAGAGTGCTGGACTGAGCCTGGCAGTCCCCACTGGACAGATGGGAAGGCTGGGGACCCAGGAAAGCATGCAATTTACCCAAAGTCACACAGTGAGTTAGTGGTGGGATCAGAACCCATGTCCTTCTCAAGTCAGTGGAAAAGTCTGTTTGTTTGTTTGTTTGTTTGTTTCCCAAACCACGGTAGCCAGAGACTGCAGAGTTTGGCCCTACCTTTCAGAGTCTGTATCCCATGGCCTGAGCTTAAGGGGAGATGATACCAGGGCTGGGCCACCTCTGGAGGGCTTCGAGGGGACATGCTCAGGATTGACTCCTAGGCAATGGGCTTATTCATTCATTCATTCATTCATTCATTTTAGAGACAGGGTATCACTCTGTCACCCAGGCTGGAGTGCAGTGGCATGATCATGGCCTACTGCAGCCTCAAACTCCTGGGCTCAGGCAATCTTCCCATCTGTCTCAGTCTCCAGAGTAGCTGGGACTACAGGCATGTGCCACTACGCCTGGCTATATTCAATTTTTTTTTTTTTTTTTGTAGAGAAGGCATCTCGTTATATTGGCCAGGCTGGTCTCAAACTCCTGGGCTCAAGCCATCATCTTGCCTCGGCCTCTGAAGAGACTGGGACTACAAGTGTGTGTCACAACACCAGGGTTGGGCGGTTTTAATAAGGGGAGAGGAGAAAGAGACTGAGCACATTCCCCAGCCCTTCAGGAGGCAGGGGGTTTCCGGAGGGTCCCGGGACCCGCCTCAACTTCCACCCAAAGTGGGAAGGGAGAAATGGCCCCGTCCTTAACCGAGGGACCAGCCCACATCCTTGCCGCCAGTCATGATGGGGTGGGTGCCGCCCCATTGAACTTCACGGATGCCCTACCCTCTTCCCCACCCTGCCCTTCTCACTCCAGGTTTGGCTCCTTGAAGCCAGGTTTCCACCGCACACCCGAGGCCCCGCCCCTCTTCCCCAGCTGGCCCCGCCCCTCGAAGCCCTGCCCTCATCTCTGCCGGCCCCACCTCCGCGCCCCGGCCAGGCTCACCTTGGTCTCCGCCAGTTGTCGCTTGAGCAGCTGCAGCGCTTCGGTGTGTTCCCGCTCGCTGTCTTGAAGGGCCTGAAGTTGGTCCTTCAGCTCCCTCTGAAACACACACAGGGCCGGGATGGGGGCAGGGGCCATGCCTGGCCCAGGCATTCAGCCCTGACCACTGCCAGGCGCTGGGGGTTAGCCTGGTCTCTGTCCCCAACCTCCAACACTTGCCTCCCGTCACAGTTCAACCACCAGCAAGTCCTGTAGAGTCTGTCTCCTAAACACCTCCAGAACCCGTCCGTATCTTTCACCTGCATCTTTGCAACAACCTCCTCCTCTTTGGCCACCCTAGAGGCTTCTGTGACAATCGACTTCCACATACACACTCTCTGGCTCCCCACACTTGGCCCTGGATCCCCGCTTAGAATTAAGGCAGGGGTCTCCAACCCCCAGGCCACAGGTGGGTATTGGTCCATAGCTTGTTAGGAACCTGGACGCACAGCAGGAGATGAACAGTGGTGGGGAGGGGCAAACCATCTGTATTTGCAGCCGCTCCTCATCGCTGGCATTACCACCTGACTCCACCTCCTGTTGGATCAGTGGTGGCATTAGATTCTCACAGGAGTGTGAACTGCACATGGGAGGGATCTAGGTTGCCTGCTCCTTATGAGAATCTAATGCCTGATGATCACTCACTGTCTTCCATCACCCCCAGATGGGACTGTCTAGCTGCGGAAAAACAAGCTCAGGGCTCCCACTGATCCTACATCATGTTGAGTTGTGTAATTATTCCATTATATATTACAATGAAATAATAATAGAAATAAAGTGCACAATAAATGTAATGTGCTTGAATCATCCTGAAACCATCACCCCACCCCCACCCCCTGCGGTTTGTGGAAAAATTGTCTTCCATGAAGCTGGTCCCTGGTGCTAAAAAGGTTGGGGACCACTGCTCTAAGGAACCAAAGCTGTACCAGTCCAATGCTACAGACTAGCTGCCAACATTCTCCGAGGGCTACAGTGGGCTGGGCACAGTTCTTAGCTCTTTGCTTATATTAAATCATTTGGGCCTCTCAGTAACCCTAAGGGAGGCACAATTATTATCTCCATCTTCTGATGGAGAAAAAGATACAGAGAGGTCAAGAAACTGGCCCCATAGCATACAGATAAACATATAATGGTAAAGAAGGAATTGGAACCCGGACAGCCTGGTTGTGGAGACCATGATCTTGATGCCAGGTGACACGTTTTCTACCATGATGACTCCTGCGATGAATAACAACAAATCCACAACACACAAGATATCAAAATTTTAAATAAAAACACAATCAGCCTCACTGATTTTTCCTTTGTCTCAGGTTCCAGTGTGGCTCAGCAGAGCATTGTTAGTGATCCTGGCCTTGTTTGAAATGTTGAATTTTGTTCATCGTGGGTTTTTTGCATTAATTTTGATTTAAGAAATATTGCATTAAATACTATTCATCTTGATTGCTGAGTTTGGGGCACCCTCTGATCCCACCTCTGTCTCCAACACCCTCCCCCATCACTCCCATCCAGCCAGTGGCCTTCTTCCTGTGCCTCCACCATCTTGAGCTCGTTCCAATCTTCAGACTATGCCCTGGCTATTCCCTCTGGCTGGTGGCCTCCACTCTCAGAGTTTCTCACGGTGACTCCTTTGTACCATTAATTTAACTCAGATGCCACCTCCTTGAAGAGTCTTGCCTGACCGCCCCACGCACAGTGGCACCTCCTCATACCCTGTCACACATCTGGATTCACGGTCTTCCTTGCGCCTTCTGCTGTCTGAATATATTTGACTGTGTGTTTATTGCTTATCTCCTCACTAGAATGTGAGTTTCATGAGAGTAGTAGGAATCTTGTCTGGCTTGTTCCCTGCCTTATGCCCAGGGACTCAGTGATTATTTGTCAAGTGATAAATGGGTTGTGGAGGTGAGTGCTCCCTAGCACAGGGTCCAGCTGTCTGCAGGCATTGGGAATCTAGCCCATTGTATTATCGCCAGTTGTTCTCCTGTCTGTCTCTTCTTCGTCCCCGTATTGGCCCACAAGTCCTCCAGGGTGGCTCCTACTGCTCCCTCTCCATATACCTCACACCCAGCAACAGCCTGGCACTGAGATGGGACTCAATGACGCTTGCTGCGTGAATGAAGTTCCTGGAAATGGCCTCTGAGTTCCCCAAGTCAGTCTGGGCTGTGAGCAGTGCCAGGAAGGCTGACTTACCTGTTCACATCCACCTCCCTCCCACTCATTCAGCTTGTCAGACCAGGGAGGGCCTTGGTAAATGTCTAGTTCAATTAATTTTACAGACTAGGCAGCAACATGGGAAAATATTCATGATGACATGCTGATGGAAGAATGCAGGAAACAAAATTATCTTTGATTACTATCAATTATTCATTTAAAAAACATTTCTTGGGCAACTATTATGTACCAGGCACTGTTGAGGCACTGGGATTATGGCGAAGGACAAGACAGACACAGTCCCTGATCATAGGGACTAGTCTGGTGGGGAAGACAGACAACAAACAAGGAAAATAATAAAGGAGCGAGGTTACCAATATGGTGTGTCCTGCAGAGAAAATAAAGCAGTGTGAGATGGAGGGGACTTTAGGTAGGGTGGCCAGGGAAGGCTTCTCTGAGGAGGTGACAGCAGAAGGATGAGGAGGAGCCAGCCATGAAAATGGGGGTAAGATAGAAAAATACAAGCTGCTTGTTTTGAGAGCCCATGCTGATGCAATTGTTGGAACTCTGGCAGCCATCTCAGGCCATGAGGCAACTGTAAAGACCAAAGTCACAAGCTGAAACCAGAAGAGTAGAAGGAAGAAGGAGCCCGAGTCCCTGATGACTGTGGGGCTGCCACACCATCGGTTTACTCAGTGACATGCTAGGAAGCTGGCTGTCTGAGAAAAACTTTTTTTTTTAAATCCCCAACAGTGCCAATTTCCATGGTGTAAATGTTCCCACTCAAGTGGATTTCAAGCCATCAGTGTGAAGTAGTAGTTGGACTTGGCATTGGGATGAGATGCACACAATCAGCTCTCAGGAGCCAGTGCAACCTGCCGCAGCACACCCACCTGGAGTCCTTTCCTAGAGACTTGTCTTACATGAGAGAGAAACGCACCCCATCTGACTGCAGCTACTTCAGCCAGGGCTCTGTTACTAACAGCTGAAAGTCATTCCTAACATTCGTGTGCAGCTTGAGCGGATACAGTCCTCGGAGCAGAGGAATCTTGTTTGCCTAAGAGAGTAGAAAGACCGCTCCTCAGGTGCCTCTGACAGCCTTGGGCTATCCAGCCTGGGACACAGTGTGGCTGAGAGGCAGATGTTGAGGAGATGGGCCAAGTGCTACAATTCTCCCCCTGGTGGCCCCCATGGGTCCACAGAAGACCCAGCCACCCAGGCAGCTCTTCAGGATTTCTGAGAAACTGCCTTGGAGTCTGCCTTCCTCACATTGCTCAGGGCACTTGAGAAACCTGGACATTTCCTCCCTGATTTTGCAGTCAGGGAATAAGGACAGCGGGCTTGCTCCTTCCTCCTGGATCCCGGGAGAATCAGAACACTCATTTGCCCATTCCACAAACATGTGTTGAGACCTTGGGCCCCACATGGTGCTGTGTCAAGGATGGGGAGAGATGAGGTGTGAGTCCTAAACGTGATGCCACGAGGTGTGCATGTGTTGGGGTGACAGTCAGGGACACAGACACTTACATCATGGGGAATGCTGCGATCGTGTTAGGAGATCCCAAACTTGCTCCTCTCCCCATATTCCCCATCTCAGTGAAGTGCACCCCTCCCCTAACTCCATCCCAGCCAGAAACCTCGGAGTGAGAGTCATCCTTGATTCCTACCGCCTCCAAACCAATCCAGTCACTAGGTTTGCTCTGGAATTTGTTCTCTCCTCTCTATGCGTGCTGCCTCTGGTTCGGTTTTTATCACTTCTTTTCTGGGCTGTGGCCCCAGGCTCCTCCCTGCCTCTAGCTCTCCTGCTGCTCCAAGTGCCCTGCACAGCAGCTGCAGTGATTGTTCTAAAGGGCAGATGTATAAATGCTTCCCCCTCTCACTCTCCCCATTGTGCCAGTCTGCAGATTTCCACATTGTCTGGGAAGAAAGGCACAAAGCCTTAGGGTGACATTCAAGGCTCTACTGCTGGCCCCAACCTTTTCTTCTCCAGTCCTAGCTCTTGGTCCAGACGTGTGCTGTTCAATACGACACACGTGGCTATTTAAATTGCAATTAATTAAAATGAAATAAAATGGAAAATTCAGCTCCTCGGTTGCACTGGCCACATTTCAAGTGCTTGCCAGCCACCTGGGCTGCTGTATCAGACAGTGCAGACACAGAACTGCCCGTTCTACCAGAGAGTTCTAGTGGACAGTACTGCTGCAGACACACTGAGCAGCTCGCAGGGCTCTCCAGGCCTTTACACATCTCTCAAGACCCAGATCAAATGTCACCTCCCCTGGGAGTACATGTCTCAAACTCTGCATGCACAGTGTCCCACACTTGTACCCTGATGGCACACACTGCATTTTAATTGCAAGGTTACCTGTCAATCTCCCCTACTAGGCCGGGCACAGTGGCTCACACCTGTAATCCCAACCCTTTGGGAGGCTGAGGCTGAGACCTTTGGATCACCTAAGGTCAGAAGTTCAAAACCAGCCTGGCCAACATGGCAAAACCCCGTCTCTACTAAAAATACAAAAATTAGCCAGGCATGGTGGTGGATGCCTGTAATTCCAGCTACTTGGGAGGCTGAGGAGCAAGAATCGCTTTAACCCAGGAGGTTGCAGTGAGCCAAGATCGTGCCACTGCACTCCAGCCTGGGTGACACAGCCCAGTCTCTTTAAAAAAAAAAAAAATCTCCCCTACTAGATTGTACATTCCAGCCTGGGTGACAGAGCGAGACCCCATCTTTAAAACAACAACAACAAAAATCTCCCCCACTAGATTATGGGCTCTTGAGGGCAAGGACTGTGGAAAGGGGAGATTTTCACAATCTCAGTACCTAGGACACGGCCACACACCCCTGGCCTCGCTGAGTCTTCAGGATGTCCCTGCCCAAGGATGAGGCTAGGCTGAGTCAGAGTTCACCTCGAAAGGGTGGGAGGGGAGAGAAGGCCCCCAGCAGGCAGAGTTCCTTGGATGGGCTAGGTGCAGAGCCCAAAGAAACAGCTAACTTAGGAAAACCAAACCCTAGAGTCCAGAAGGTAGGACTTAGAAGGCTGCCTGAGCTGTGTCACCCCTCCCGCTCCAACGTGTCTCCTTCCTTGGTTAGAAGACTGGCTCTACCACCCATTGGGCTGTGTGACCCTAGGATGTCACCTAACCTCTCTGTGCCCCAGTGCCTTGTCTGAAAAATGGGGATAATCATATCTCCTAGGGTTGGGAGGATAAAGTGAGACAATGGTAAGAAGTGTTCAGCCTCACAGGGCACAGAGCCTGGCACACCCTGGGTGCTCGGGAGACAGAGCGGTCACTGTGTCCCGTATGCGGCTCCCTAGTCGCTTCTTTGTGTCTTCATCCCTCACTGTGTCCAGGTGGCCCCTCCTTCCCTTCTCAGATGGCCAGAGCAGGAAGAGGCTGCAGGGACCATCTGGTCCAACCCCTTGGATTGCCAGGACAGGAAACACAGGCCCAAGGGAAGGGACTGACTGGCCCACGGCCACACAGCTTGACACAGGAGAACAAACTAGAAATTTTACTCCAGCAGAGAGGTCACACAGGAAACTGGAGCCTGATAAACTCTCAAGTGATACAGCTTAACCCTGAGGAAGGACACTGGTAACGGCAGAGACCCAGGACCAGAGGGGCTGGAGGCGGATGTGGTTTGGGTTTGAATTTCACAGGCATCTTGTCACCTAATTCTCACAACAATCCACAAGGTTAGTAGTGTCTTTATTGCGTCCATCTCACAGAGGGGGAAATTGAGGCTCAGTGAGGTTAGGCAGCTTGCCTAAGTTCACACAGCTAGTAAGAGGCAGAGGGGAGGCTCTCAGTGGCTCCGAAAATCCATGTTCAAAATCTCTTGGCCTCCCTACCTCCCATGCAAATCAATGCAGCAAAAATTTCTGAGTACCCAATGAGTGTCAGGCTTTGTGCTGGCCGCTCCAGGGGTGGGCCTATACATGGTCCTTGAAAAATTTGCAGTTAGTCGAGGAGGAAGAAACTTGAATAGGTAAAATACAAAGAAGAACAGGATAAACATGGAGGGCCTGCTAGGATCCAGAACAGCTGACAACACCTGGCTGTGCTCACAGCACCCTCCCTCCACCTTGGTTTCCAAATCTGTAAAGTAAGGTCTTATTTTTATTTTTTATTTTTTTGAGACAGAATCTCGCTCTGTAACCCAGTCTGGGGTGTAGTGGTGCGATCTTGGCTCACTACAACCTCTGCCTCCCAGGTTCAAGTGATACTCCTGCCTCAGCCTCCTGAGTAGCTGGGATTATAGGCGCCCGACACCACGCCTGGCTAATTTTTGTATTTTTAGTAGAGATGGGGTTTCACCATGTTGGTCAGGCTGGTCTTGAACTCCTGACCTCAAGTGATCTGCCTACCTTGGCCTCCCAAAGTGCTGTGATTACAGGCATCAGCCATGGCACCGGACCTCAAATCTATTAAGTAAGGCCTAACAGCACCTGCTCCATAGGCTTGCTCTGGGAATGAAATGACTTAATTCATGACCTGACATGACGTACAGGGTGAGCTCAATCAATCTTAGTTGTCATTATCATCATAGTAACTATATGTAAAGTTGGGACTCAGAACGGGGGGAGCTTCAAGGAAGGAGTTTGTTTCTGATGGAAGGACAAAGGAAGATGGATGGCCAGGGTTCCTTCAAGTCTCCAGGATGGGCCAGGGCATTGCAGGTGGGGAGAACAGGTTGGGTAGGGGCCCACCCTCACGTGTGCAGGAAGTCGGGGTGGTTGGGGATGGCTGCAGCCAGGCATGTGACAGGTGGGTGGAGTCACAAGCTGGAAAGGCCAGCTGGGGCTAGCTAGGGTAGGGGTGGGCACTGGAGGAGGCCTTGAATGTCAGCCTGGGAGAGTTGGATTCCACAGGGCCCCATCGGAGCGGGGGTGGGCCGGGCAGGATGAGGTGAGTGGGGAGGACACACCTCAGAGGGTGGGGCTGTGGAGTCTGCGCAGCCCTGAGCACACAGTTATGCAAATATGCCAGCTTTGAGGCTCTGGGGCTCTTTATTGGTATGAAGAAGCCAGGACTGGGGCAACAGAGGAGTTGGGGGGCACAGAGAGGCAGGGCTCAAATGTTCCCAAGGCCAGATCTCTCCTGCTGTGAGGCCATCCCTCCCTCTGGTCCAGGGGACAAAGCAGCTGTGGAAAGCCATCTCAGCTCTGGCTTCAGGGACTCTTCATCAGAAAAGCCTGTGTTCAAATCCTGACAGCATGACTTTCGCTCAGGGCTCACCTCCGCAAGCTTTCACAGTGTTGTGATGAAGGCTAAAGTGAGATGGCACCTATGACACGGCCCAGCATGGCGCTGCACACAATAGGTGCTCAAGCCTCTCCTCTTCTCCATGTCTGGGTACTGCTCTCTCTTTCCCTCTCTGACCCAAGGATGCCAGAAACCTGACCGTGACAAACTTGAACTTGCCTCTCCCTTTCCTCCCCCAACCCCAATCCTTCATCTATACCTAGAACCGGATGCTCCTGGTCCTCCCAACAGACTGGAATTATTTTATATCTTTGAGCCCCAACCCTCCCTGTGCACTTCTGAGCCACACAATCTCTGGCAACATCTGGCCAGTCCCTGCTTCTAGGGTCTCCCACCAGCTCCCCTGGCACACTGCCCCACAGTGCTTGGTCCATAATGCAGACCTGGCCGGGCTGCACTTGCCTGCTCACATTTGTTTCTGGCTTCCTAGCATGTTAAGTAAGGATCAAGCTCAATGGGTGCGTGCATGTGTGTGTGTGAGCTTGTGTGCGCATGCATGTGTATGTGTGTATGTGTGTGTGTGCATGTATGTGCACATTCAAGCATTCAAAGCCCTTCCTGAGCTGGTCAAGCCTTGCTTTTCCATTCTTACCTCCTCCTGCCACACCCTCCCCTCTAGCCACAACGAACCACCTGAACACATGTGTGCTCACCTCCATGCCTGTCCCTGGTCACACTCAGATAACCTGAGTTCAAGTTTCAGCTTCAGGGACACTTAGTGGTTTTCTGACCTTAAGCACAGTTTCTTTCTTTTTTTTTTTTTTCCCTAATTAAAAAAAATTTTTTTAGAGACAAGGGCTCACTCTATCACCTAGGCTGAAGTGCAGTGGTGCAATCATAGCTCACTATAGCCTCAAACTCCTGGGGCTCAAGTAATCCTCCTGCCTCAGCCTCCCAAGTACCTCACACTACAGGCATGCATCATGCCTGGATAATTTTTAAAAATTTATTGTAGAGATGGGGTCTCTCTGTGTTGCCCAGGATGGTCTCGAACTCCTAGCTTCTGGCCTCAAATGATCCTCCCACCTTGGCCTCCCAAGAGCTGGGATTAGAAGCATAAGCCACTGTGCTTAGCCTCTTTTTAAAAAAAATTTTATTGAGGTAAAATATACATATATACCTTATCATCTTTACCATTTTTAGGTGTACAATTCAGAGGTAGTAAATACATTTATATTCTTTTCCCCCCTTTCTTCTTCCCCCTTCTTCTCCCTTCTCCCTTTCCAGGCCCTTAGGCACAGTTTCTGTTTTTCCTTTTTGGTTTTTTGAGACAGGGTCTCACTCTGTTGCCCAGGCTGGCTGTAGTGCAGTGGCACCATCACAGCTCACTGCAGTTTCAACCTCCTGGGCTCAAGTGATCCTCCCACCTCAGCCTCCCAAATAGCTGGGACTACAGGTGCATGAAACCATGCCCAGCTAATTTTTTTGCATTTTTTATAGAGATAGGGTTTTGCCATGTTGCCCACACTGGTCTCGAACTTCTGGGCTCAAGCAATCCTCTTGCCTTGACCTCTCAAAGTACTGGAGTTACAGGTGTGAGCTACTGTGCCCAGCTAGGCACAGTTTCTGAGCCTCAGTTTCTCCATTTATAAAATGGGGCAATGAGATCCATCTCATAGGGTTACTGTTAGAATTAAATGAGAGGTAGGCTGGGGGAGAGAGAGAGAAGGAGAGCATGACTGCCTGTCAAAGCCTTGAACCCAGTCCGTGGAACAATCTGCACCAGGCTGTGCATGTTTTTGTTCCCTCTGTCCATAACATCTTTCTTTCTGCTCCCTGGCCTGAAGTACTCAGCGTATCTTTTAGGATTCAGCTCAACAGAGCAAGCCTCAGTTACAGCAACCTACCAGTTTATGGGCCTATCTTTCGGGACCACACAGGGCCAGGTCTTGTGTAGTTCTCTCCTGGGCCCAACACAGGGCTGGCCCTCTGTAGCCATGGCACAGATACTGGCTAAAGAAATTATGTGTGTGTGTGTATATATATATATACACACACACACATACATATATGTGTGTATATATATATATATATATATATACACACATATACATATATATGCACACACACATGTATGTATATGTATATGTATATGTATATGTTTATGTATATGTATATGTATTTTTTTTAAGATGGAGTCTCACTCTGTCACCCAGGCTGGAGAGTAGTGGAATAATCTCAGCTCACTGCAACCTCTGCCTCCCGGTTCAAGCGATTCTCGTGCCTCAGCCTCCCGAGTAGCTGGGATTATAGGTGTGTGCCACGAATGCCCAGCTAATTTTTTTTTTTTTTGTATTTTTAGTAGAGATGGGGGTTTCATAATGTTGGCCAGGCTGATCTCAAACTCAGGTGATCCGCCTGCCTTGGCCTCCTGAAGTGCTGGGATTACAGGCGTGGGCCACTGCGCCCAGCCCAGAAATTATTAAAGGAATCCCTGAATCCAAGACAGAACTCACCTCCAAATCTGCCTCATCCCTCTGAGTGTTCAAGCAGAGATGGAGGTCAGGAAGGTAAATGGTACTGGGAAAACAACACTGGACTGAGTCGGGAGAGCTGAGCTCTGGTCTAACCCTGGGCAAGGCAGTTTCCCCATCTGCAAAATGGGGAGCGTGTCAACCAGATGGTTTCTCAGGTTCCTCCCCATTTGGTGCTCCCTGGGACAGTTGGCGTGTTGGGAAGGAGGGTGAATTCTGAGTCAGAAAGACCACTTTGAATCTCAGCTCTTCCTCCTACTTGCAGTGTGATCTTGGGAAGGTTACTGAATCTCTCAGCCTCATTTTCTTCATCTGTGAGATGGTACTGATCTCAGTCCCACTCAGGGAGTAGGGAACGAAAAAATCCTTGTGAGAATCAAATGCCTATAACACAGCACCTGGCACACAGTAAGTGCCCCATAACTTACTTTGTGCCTCCAAAACTTGGGCTATAATTTTATAGAGTCATTGTTTCATCATTGTTAGTCCCTACCAGGTCTTTTTTCTTTCTATAAAATAAACATCTTGGGGTCCCCAATGTTGGCCCTAAGCTTCTACACTGTGGCCCGTGCTCAGCAAAGGTATCCTGGCTGCCCAGACACCTGTGAAGAGGGATGTGGAGATGCCAGCGGCCAGCTCTGAGTTTGACCCACAGCCAGCTTTGCCCTCACAGAGGCTGCTGTTGGCATAGAAATCCTGCCCTCTCCTTGGAAAAGTAACAGCAGAGCCACTTCCCCACAACACAGACAACCCAGCTGCCTTCCTGTCCATGCTACAAAATAAAGTGCCTCTGAATCTCTCATTTCTTTGGATATTTAGCAACTCTTTCTCTCTCTTTATACAGAAAGCAGGAGGGCTAGTTCTTACTTCCATTTCTCAGATTGGGTAAGAGGGTGTCACCCCCTCTCCTGGAAGAAACCAGAGCCGAAATTTGAACCTAGCCCCCAGCCCCCTCCCTCCTTGGGTGGCTGCCTTGGTGTCACTGGATCACCATACCCTGCCTACCAGGGCTTGCGTCCAAGGCTGATCCACTGCTGTCTTCTCTGGCATGAAGGAAGCCTTGGGAAGGGCTCCAATGGTCACATGAGGCCTGGAGGGGGCGGCTGAGACTGAATCGGATCCCCTCTCTGGGGGTTAGGAACCTGAGACGGCCAGAGAGCCGGATGCCACGTCTGCTCTGACCAAGATGACGTCCCAACCACCTGCCCTCGGGGCGTCAGCTGGCACAGATGGCCTAGCCCTGTCAATACAGGACAGGCAGGGTGGCTGGGAGACAATTACCCAGCCCTCAGAGGTAGCTCAGGGACGGTATGTGGCCTAGTCAGACTGGCTTCCAATCCTGGCCCTGCCATTTACCAGCTGCGTGACCAAATGAGTCACTTAATTCCTCTGAGTCTGTTTCTTCATCAGTAGAAGAAATAGATAACAATACCCATCCCACAGGGTGCTATGAAGATTAAATGAGGTAATGCAAGAAAAGCCCTTAGTGCAGTCCCAGGCATTCAGACTGGGCTCGATGAATATTGGCTGAGAAGCCCTGAACTCTTTGGAAATGGGCTCCTTCCCTCCACTTTGCTCAGTGGTCCAGGTACTCAGCAGTGGAGGTGGGGAGGAAGACACCAACACACATACACATGCACACACACACGCACACACACACACATGCACACACACACATGCATGCACAAATGCACACACATGCACACACACATGCATGTACGCATGCACACACACGCACATGCACACCCACAGGTTACATAAAAATCCTTAGAACTGTATAGTAACTCCTGCCATGTTTCATGGGGTATTATTATGGGGGGACTTTAACTTTTACATTATACAGCTCTGCTTCTTATGTTAATTTTATAATCAGAATAAAGACATTTAAAAATAGTTTTGGGGTGCCTACTATGCCAGGCACAGTACTAGGCACTTCTGATAAAGGATCCCTAACCCTTACAACATCCTTCCCAGGAACATCATATCCTCTTGTTATAGATGAACCTTAGAGAAGGAGCCTTAGAGAAGCAAAGTGACGTGACCAAGGACACACAGCATGTCAGGATCTGACCCCTGTGATGTAATCTGGAGTACAAAGCAATTGTGCTTAGTAGGTCAGGGAAGGCTTCACAGAGGAGGTGATATTTGACCTGAAGTTTTAAAGTTCAGTGGGACTTTTCTAGGTCAGGTTTCTCAACTAGAGGTGATTTTGACTCTAGGAGACATTTGTCAATGCTTGGAGATGGTTTTGATTGTCACAACTTGCGGGGTGGGTGGAGTTTGCTACTGGCATCTAATGGGTAGAGGCCAGGAATGCTACCAGACTTCCTATAACACACAAGATGGCCCTGCACAACAGTTATCTAGCCCCAAATGTCAATAATGCCGAGTACGATGTAACCTACTATAGCTGTCATTTATTGAGTGCTGTTAGGTGCCAAGTGCAGTACTAAGTTTTTATAAACATCATCTTGTTTAATCCTAATATAATTACTTCCATGCTGTCCATGAAGGACCCAAGGCTCAGAGATGGTAAATAATCTTCCCAAAGTCACACAGTAAATGGTAGAGCCAGGATTGAGATTACCTGGGTACAAAGCAGGGCTCTTAATTTCTCTGCTCTGATGCCTCAAGGATTTATAATAAATGTAAAAGCTGCACGCCAACTGCTAGGTAGGGTGTTGGGAGACTCCAGCTGAGTATAGGCCCAGCTTCCTCTGGCTTCGAGGCCTTAGGCAAGTTCCCTTCCTCCCTCTCCCTCTCCTGTTTCCCCATCTGTCAAGTGGATGTGGCACCAGATCATCTGCATGGCTCTGAGTCTGTAATTCTGCAGAAGGGCCCCAGCTCCATCAGCTGCTGGGAGAGAAGGGGATGTGAGGGTGGGTTCAGCCTTATTTCTGCTGCATAAATAGCTAATAAGCCTTGCCTTCCCCATATGGAGGGAGAGGCAGGTGGGGTGGAGGGTGCCTTGAATCTCACCCAGCAGCACATCCTCTCTAGATGGGAGGCAGATTTCTCTGCCACCAAATTGCCAAGCCCAGAGGACACACTAAAGCAAGGCCTCCTTCTCGGGCCAGAGAGGAGAGTCTGGGCATTCACTCAGCTGGGCACATGAGCTCTCACAGGCAGAAAGAGAAAAGGTGGGCTGTATGTTATTCCAGCCCGTACTGTGTGCCTTTGAACCTCAAATAGCAGGTTAATCCCAGGTCAGCTTCACAAAAGTCCTGGTAGGAAGGAAGCATCCTGACCCCATTGTACAGACAGAGCATCAGCGTTTACATGAAGTGACTCACCAAGGTGCACACAGTGCCCACAGCAGGTTTGGAACCCAAGTATGTCCAACCCCACAACAGTGCACTAGAGAGTAAGCAAGTGGCAGTCCTGTTTTACTTTTCACCCAATAATGAAGCATTTCAATAATATTTGTAGGTAATACATGTTCAATTTCTCCTGTGTCCCCCAGGTCATGGGATAGAGTACAGAAGCCCAACATACAGTAATTTGGATTTCCTGGTTTGCAGACAGGAGAACCAAGGCTCTGAAGCAGAGGCTAGAAGGTCAGACAAGGAGGGGAGAGATCAGAGAAGAGGGATCTGGGTCAGGCTGTGCCCTATAGCCCTGGCTCTCTCACTGTCTGGAAGTGTGGCCTTGGGCAAGTCACATAACTTCTCCAGGCCTCACTTTCCATTCCTACATGATGAAGAGGTTGGACAGATGGTTTCAGACAGAGTCCCCTCAAACTCTTCCTGCTTATGTGACTCCATAGACGGGGAGATGGACAGCAGCAGCGCCTAAAACGATGGCTCTGGGGGTGGAGGGCCAAGCCTTGTGCAGGCTCCCAGAGGCCCAGGCCCTTGCTCACCCTCTGATGGGGCCTTCATCCTCAGACAGCTAGACTGGAAGGGAGTCAGTTGTAGTTTTGAGATAAAAGGGACAGGGAAGGAGCGATGGTGAACATGGGCCATTTCTCCTGAGGCCCATGGGCATCTGCTGGGTGCAGGCCTACTCAAAGACTAGTGTGTGGAGGGGTTGGGAGCCCCTACAATACAGGGGAAAGTAATTATTTAGTTTCTGTTTGAGTATCTCGAGGCCAGAGAGCTCATTACCTCCCAAGTTAGCCCACTCCATTTTCATAAAATGTTTGAGCCAAAAACCTTCTGCTTCCAAACGCTCCACAGTGTGGTCCAGCTTAGGCCAGGGTTGGTCATTCTTTCGTTCATTCATTTGGCCTTTATTGGTGTGTACTGTGGGCCAGGCCTTGCACCAGGCTTTGGGGCCATAGATAGGAGAAATAAGATTCTGTCTCTGGCCTTGGAGAACTACGTGCTCGACTAGTATCCCAAAGCCAGGTACATGGGGCTGCTGGATTTAAGTGATTTAGCTTGAAAAAAGGATTCCAGGCCCAAGTAAGCTTGGGAACCATTTTATTAAACACAGTAAAATAGATTTATTTGCAACAAAATTTCTCTAAGCTTTTAATATGCAAATGCACACTGAAAATTCTCCAAGGGGGTGGGTATAAAAAATATACTATATTTCCCACACTTATTAATAGAGAGCATTTGGGGAAATGCAGTTCTAATGTTTTTGTTTGTTTGTTTGTTTGTTTGACCAGTGGAACTTGGAGAAGGCTTCACGGAGAGGATATTTGAGCAAGGCTCAATAAAAGTTGAGTAGGAGTTTGTCAGTGAAGACAGGAAGTCTTAAGGGAGACCGATTAGAGTTCTATGCCAACTATGCTCAGGTCACTCTGCATGTACCGTTTCACTTAGTCTTCAAAAGTCCTGATGTGGGGGACAGAGCCAAAGAGGTCATCAAAAACCTCTAGAGACTCCTAGAGGTCTAGCCCCTCCCTTCTTGAATCACCTTACATCTGGGCCTTATTCTCCAAATCTTTACCTTTAAGTCCTGGCCCCACTCAACCTGGCCTCTACTCTGGCTTAAATCTAAACTTGTTGTAGAGTATCCGGACCTGATCTCAGTCTTAACCCCTCATACACCTTGGCCTAACCCTCGGTACTCAAACCTGCCCTCTCAGCACTTTGGCACCCTAACTTATACCACTCTATTAGGTTTCACCCTCACCTGTCCAGCACATTCTAGCCCCCGTACTCCTCTTAGTCCTGATGCACATCTGATCCGGTCTCCGCCCCCACAGAACCCCCAGCCTGCCAGAGCTCAGCTACCCGGTTTAATACAGACCCATCCTCGCGACCTCGCCCTCAGTCTGACAGTGGCCCTGCCTTTGCCCAACTCTGATTCCGGTTCGTCCACAACCCTGCCCCAGCCCAGTATCTGGTCCAGTTCTGATCTCACTTGTTTCCGCCATCCCATCCGCATCCCCGACTTCTCCCTAACCGCGGACCAGCCGGTACTCCAGGTCTGTCTCAGATCCCTCAGGGTCCGGACTGCCCAAGGCCCCGCCCCCACGGCCCCGCCATGCGGCGGCCCCGCCCCTCCCTGCCCCGCGTTACTCCTGATAGGGCCCTGACCTTGCTGGCGGCCCCGCCCCAGGACCATTCTGACTGGGCCTGGCCCGCGGTCCAGCCCTGACCCCACCCCCCGCCCGGCCCCACCTCCAGCCCGGCCCCGCCCCTTCCCCAGGCAGGCCGGGTAGCGCACCTGCAGCTCGTCGAAGGCGTCGTCGATGCCGGTGACCTGATGCTGCTCGTGCAGTGCAGGCTCGTCGCAGAAGAAGCAGAGAAGCGCGCGGTCCGTGAGGCAGAAGAGCTTGACCTTGTCGTGCGCCTGGCAGGGTCGCGCGGCGCGGCGCGCGTTGAGGATGGCGTCCAGCGGGAAGGAGCTGTAGCGCTCCACGATGTTGGCCAGCTTGAGGCTGGGCGCCAGCGCGGGCTCGGCGAACGTGCGCCGGCACTCGGGGCAGTCGCGGGCGCCCTGCGCCTCCTGCCGCACCCAGTGCTCCGTGATGCAGCGGCGGCAGAAGTAATGCTCGCAGCCCAGGCTCACCGGGTCCTGGTAGATGCTCAGGCAGATGGAGCACAGCAGCTCGTCCTTGAGGCTGCACGCCATGGCGCCAGGGGCAGCAGAGAGGGGGGCCCGAGGGGCAGGGGGGCGGCTGAGAGAGCGCGGCGCTGTCGGAGGCAGCACCGAGGGCTGGGCGCGGGGACGAGGCCCGCACAGGCAGGGGTAGGAGCTACCGGAGAAGGGAGGGGGTGCTGTCCGGAAGGAGGGTAACGCGAGGAAGGGGTGCGCGGCTGAGACTCCGTGGGACGCCAGCCCGGGAGGGCAGTCTAGAGGTAGTGGGCAGCTCAAGGCGATGGGCGCTGGGAGGAGGCTGTGAGCGGCTGAGGGACGGAGATCCTGACGGGGAGGTTCTAGGGGGCGGGGCAGTCCTAAGGGATAGGAGCTGGGAGAAGGGGATCCCGGAGCGGGGTGGAGCCCTTAAGGGGGTCGAAATCCCGGGGTGGGGGCGGTGCGGGGAGGGCGAGAAGCTGGGGATGGGGAATCCTGGGGGAGGGGGCAGCCAGGCCGAGCCGTACATTGGCTGTGACCGGCAGAGAAGAGGAGGGGTGCCGGCCCGCTCAGCTGCCGGATCCCGGCCCCAAACCCTGGCCCAGCGCGACCCCTTACCCCCGCGAGCTTAGCAGCCACCGCTTCGGTCCAGCGCAGCCTCTCAACCCGGAACCAGCCGAATCCGAGCTGCCGGTGGCCGCGGCTGCCTCCCCGCCCCCGTGGGCGGGACCCAAGCAACTCCGCCCCCGCAGCGGGCGGGGGAGGGGCGGGGCCACCAGCCGGTTGACCCCGCCCCACCCCCACCATCCTCCAGCTCCCAGGGAAGCGAAGCCCAGCTGTTCCTTCGGGGTGTGTACTTGGAACTGCATCCAGGTCTCGCTTAGGGTCCCCGCGGCGAGGCGGAGCAGCTAATTTGAGAGCACAACAAATAAACAAGGAGCATCTTTCTGGATCATCGATTTGAAGATGTAGAAAAAATCATATTTTGTATTAAAACGAACAAGAATATATTTGGAATACAACTTCTGCATAAAATATAAAGATAAAACTCTTGAAATGCCCTGCTTGCTTAGAGCGAGTTCAAGGCCCTCACACTCCTAAGCCCTGGGGTCCCATTTCCTCTTCACTTTCTTAAGGAGTGCTTGGGGAGAAGTTTGGAAAGCCCTGGCTAACATCTGGCCCCGGAGGCTGCCTCCATTGGCAAACAATTCTGGAGTGCTGTATTTGTGTGTGTGTGTGTGTGTGTGTGTGTGTGTGTGTAAGGCGGTGAGGGGTGGAGCAGGAGAGAGGGAGAAAAAGTAATAGGAGAACTTGTCTTGTGTGCCAGATGGAGAGGGGATAAGGGATTTCTAGGCAGAGGAGACAGCCTGTGCAAAAGCATAGAGGCGTGAAAGGGGAGGGCGCAGTGAAGGAAGTGCTAGTAATTCTGTACTGTTGGGGGTGGGGTGGAGAAGGAGCCTGGGTGGGCTGGAGGGCATTGTGGGTCATGGTAAAGAATTTCTTGAAGGCATGGGGCTTTCAGGCAAGGGAATGACCTGGTCCGATTGGGTTTCAGGAAGTCTTGGAGATAATCATTATACCATCTGCAAGGTGAAGAAGACAGGGAGCTTTTCCAATGTGTCTGCGGATGCACAGCACTCAGCACACAGTAAAGGTGTGTAGCTGAATAACCGCATCAACGCCCTGGGTTGCAGGAGGAAGGAAAGACTGGGCACCCCTAAGGTGCTGTTGTCATCGTGCCTGCAGGAGGTGAGACCCGAACTGGGGCCTCAGCAGTGGGTAAGGAGAGAAGACTAGGGTATTGCAAGTACAGACACGGTGACATTTGGTGATGGTTGGATACGGGGGTGAGGGAAATGAGCCATAGAGGGTGGCTACCAGTTTCTGCCTCCTCCAGAAATATCTTCATTGGTGTTAAACTTTATTGAGGTACAGTTTATGAAAAAGCTCTCAGTTTAGTTCTCTATGGTTAACACTTTCTCCATCACACCCTCATCTGGCCCAGAATCTCCATCATTGCGAGAAAAATAGTTGGTTGCTCATGCAACAGCAGTTTCTCAACATTTTCTTATGGGCAGAGCCCTGATTTTGGTCAGGTGGCCCCCTTCCCCAAGTGACCCAAGGAAGGCTGACCCCAGCCCATTTCCAGGAGTGAGTCTTGTTTGGTCCAAGTCCATTATGGTGGTCTCATGGAGTGAGTCTTGTTTGGTCCAAGTCCATTATGGTGGTCTCATTCCTCTTGCCAGTGACGGTTTGGGCAGGTCCAGCCTGAAAAACTAAAGGGGAAGCCTATGGCAGAGAGGGGTTTTCAGGAAATGGTCTCTTTACTTTGCAAAACAGTCTGCCCCCTTTGCTGGGATATGTTTGGTGGCAATGCTTGGAATTGCAACAGCCATCTTGCTCCCAGTCTGAGGATGCAGCAAATACAGAAGGGAGGGCAAGGCCAAGAGAGTCCTAGGGAAGAGAAGCTTTTATTCTGATGCAGAGTCTGGACTTCAGGATATGTGAGATGGTCCATCTTATTGCATAAGCCAGTTTAACAGTAGTGCATTGTCACTTTGCAACCCAGAGAATCCCAACTGATATACTGACGTGCACCCCTAATGAGGGGGTGGGGAAAGTGAACAGGGCAGAGTCTAAATTATTGAAGCATTTGAAATGAAATGAAAAAAAAAAAGGCTTGATGATGGATGAAACAGTGACTTCATTATTCAACATGTATTTACTGATGCTGACTCCAAGCAGGTCTTTGTGAGGAGGTGGAATAAACTATGCTCCTTGCTCCCAAGGAGCTGGCAGTCTAGAGGGCAAAATCAATGAGAAATTCTTATCAGGCACAGTAGGGCTTGCTAAGCATTCTCACATATATTATTGGATTTCAGTCCCAAAGCAGCCTTAACTAGTTTATATTATTATCCCCGTTTTATAGAGGAAGATACCAAGGCTCAAATAAAGGAGATGTGATGGAAATTGCTAGCTGTCCACTAAACTTCATCCTCCTGTTCTTCTATGTAGTAGAGTAGCAGTCGGAGGAATGGCTGGTCCACTAGAGATCATACATCCCAGCTGTTCTTGCAGCCGAGTGAGACTTGGTGACTAAAATCTTTCTAATAGAACATAAATAGAAATAGACCTTAAGGCATGAAGCTTTTGCTCTCCCATGCTCCATTTTCTCTTCTCTTGAGTTGGAACATAGATGTACCAGGGACACAGCTTCAATAATGCTTCAAAAGGGCTGATGGAGCAAAGATATGGGAGGATCCTGGGTTCCTGAATGACTGCATGAAGTACAGCCACCCTGACATGGACTACAGAGTGAGAAGTAAACTTATTTTCTAAGAGCCATTGTATTTTGGGTCTTTTGTTGCAGCAGCCCAGCTTTCTCCATACTATTTTGCAGCTGTTTTTATTATTTATTTATTTGAGATGGAGTCTCGCTCTGTCACCCTGGCTGGAGCACAGTGGCATGATCTTGGCTCACTGCAACCTCTGCCTCCCAGGTCCAAGTGATTCTCCTATCTCAGCCTCCCTAGTAGCTGGGACTACAGGCGCATACCACCATGCCTGGCTAATTTTTGTATTTTTAGTAAAGACAGGGTTTCACCATATTGGTCAGGCTGGTCTCAAACTCCTGACCTCAGGTCATCCAACCGCCTCTGCCTCCCAAAGTGCTGGGAATACAGGCATGAGCCACTGCGCCCAGCCAATTTTGCAGCTGTTTTTAGAAGAGGCTCTGGTACTATTTTACTCTATTGTCTAAATCCTTTCAGTAGATAGTCTTAATATGTAGGTCTAATCTCCTCCAAAGGACATAGTATGTGGTTTTCTCTGGCTGAAAGTCACAGACTCTTTTTTTTTTCTTTTGAGATGGAGTCTTGCTCTGTTGCCCAGGCTGGAGTGAAGTGGTGCAATCTTGGCTCACTGCAACCTCCACCTCCCAGCCTCAAGCAATTCTTGTGCTTCAGCCTCCCGAGTAGCTGGGATTACAGGTGCCCGCCACCACGCCAAGCTAATTTTTGTATTTTTAGTAGAGAGGGGGTTTCACCATGTTGGCCAGGCTGGTCTCAAACTCCTGACCTCAAGTGATCTGCCTGCCTTGGCCTCCCAGAGTGCTGGGATTATAGGTGTGAGCCACCGTGCCCGACCCAGTCTCTTCTCTTTCACTTTACTTCCCAGTGTTCAGTCCTTTTATCCTCTGAGCAGTTCTTCTCTTGACCTTATTCCATCTCCATTAAGATGCAGAACACTAAAACTGTTGATTATCTTTACATTTGGCAAGTCATTGCTCTCTCCACATCTGATGTGGTTGAGTGGTCTGAACTAAGACTTAGAGATCCTGACTGCAGTGTATGCCATCTGCTTCCATTCATACTCCAGAAATTAACATCAGGAATTTTTTTTTCTGGAAAGCTATCCAAGAGCTATTGTTGAGTGAGAAAAAGAAAAGAAAGACCCAAATACACTGACACATAGACACCCACAGACTTAGACACAATCACAGGCATTATTTGCATAACAAAAATTCTATAGAACTATATTCTAATTGTGTTCTTTTGTGGGCTGGGATTATGGGGGACTTTAACTTTTACATTAGATAGCTCTGTTTATTATATATATTTTTGTAATCAGAAAAAATAAAGAAAATTGATCCTCATTATTTATGGATTCCATATTTGCAAAATCACCTACTTCTAAAATTTATTTGTAACCTTCAAATCAATACTTGAGGCACAATTGCTATTATTTGTGGACATACTTATGTGCAGTGGTGAAAATCTTGACTTACCCACACATATGTTCCCAGCTGAAGGTGAACAAAGGGACACCCTGCCTTCTTGTCTCAGCTGTCATAGTGTAAACAAGTATTCTTTTTGTGACTTATTTGGTGCGAACCGTTCTCATTTTTTGTGCCTTTTTGTTGGTGATTTTGCTATTTAAAATGGCCCCAAGCATTGTGCTGAAGTGCTCTCTGGTGTTCTCAAGCACAAGAAGGCTGTGATGTGCCTTAAGGAGAAAATACGTGTGCTTGATAAGCTTTGTTCAGACATGAGTTACAGTAGTGTTGGCTGTGAGTTCAGTGCTAGTGAATCAACAATTTATATATTAAATAAGGGTCTCTAAGCAGAAACACACATAAAACAAAGTTGTGGCTGGGTCCAGTGGCTCACTCCTGTAATCCCAGCATTTTGGGAGGCTAAGGCAGGAGGATCACCTGAGGTCAGGAGTTTGAGACCAGCCTGGCCAACATGGTGAAACCCCCATCTCTACTAAAAAACAAAAATTAGCTGGGCGTGGTGGCGGGTGCTTGTAATTCCAGCTACTTGTGAGGTTGAGGCACGAGAATCACCTGAACCCAGGAAGTGGAGGTTGCAGTGAGCCAAGATCCCGCCACTGCACTCCAGCCTGGGCGACAGAGCGAGACTCCGTCTCAAAAAAAAAAAAAAAAAAAAGAAATGAGTTCACTCTCTAAATTAGTGCTTCTCAATGCATAGTCCTTGAGCCACATGTGTCTTAGCATGGGTTCTTCCAAGAACTGACCTTAAGATAAGGACTAAAGTGAAAATAGTTTATTTGGGGAGCATAAGTAACACTAATAGGGAAGTGGGAAGGTGATACAGGGAAGGGAAGGCAGCCCCATAAGGGTGCACTATTATCACAAAGGGGAACTGAAGATTTATCCTGCAGGGAAACTCTGGGAAATGGTACAAAACCTCAGAATGATCGATGCCTCAGAAGCATCCCACCCAAAGGGTGAGGGAGCTGGGGTATTTATACACCATGTTTGAGTGTTGAGGCTGCTCCCTGGTGGTGTTTAATTCTTTGGCACTTGTGAACTGTGATGTGTACAGTCAGCTCTCTGTAGTTCTGGGAAAATGATCCCTTAGCTACCATGTGGATGCTGGCAGTTGGAAGTCTTGGGAATACATTGACAGGTTTGAGGGACAATGGCAGGGCATTGACAGTATGTGTCACAGTTCACCCTTGCACCTGCTCAGATAAACTTGCATTCATATTAAGTTTCATGTTCTGTCACTGCTTCTTTGGGTGGTGGAAAGTCACGATTTGTTACAAGAAGAGAGGAGAAGAAGGAAGAGGAAGAGGTAGAAAGGATAACAGATAAGAGGAGGGACAATCTCCAGACCCCACTGCTGTAGTTGGTCCTAAAGTGTAACTGATGCTCAGCTTCCGACTCTACTACCCTTTCTAGATGCCCCTCACCTGGTCCAGCAGGGGTCACTTACTCCTGCCTGTTCAGAATCTCCTTTCTTAGCTTGCTGGTCTGCTGTCATGAGGATCCCAAAATTACCAGAGGCAGATATAATTTTAGGTTTAGTAAAACCACAATTATGTCCTCTGGTAGAAGTGATCTCTCCCTACCCTCTGAGAACTAGGATCTCTGGTTCAACAGAGCCTAAAGCTTTGGCAATAGAAAGCATAAATTTGCCAAGTGGGTCATTGGGAATAAAGGTGAGAGAGGCCACTCATTTCTTGGCTTCCAGACCTATGTATTCTGACTGTTGGGGATGTAGCACCCTTACAATAGCTATTGTCTCAAGTATAGAAATACATGTAAGGGAGGCAGGGTGTGATGGCTCACGCCTGTAATCCCAGCACTTTGGGAGGCCGAGACGGGCAGATCACGAAGTCAGGAGTTTGAGACCAGCCTGACCAACATGGTGAAACCCCGTCTCTACTAAAAATACAAAAATTAGCCGGGGGTGGTGGCGGGTGCCTGTAATCCCAGCTACTCGGGAGGCTGAGGCAAGAGAATCCCTTGAACCCAGGAGGCAGAGGTTGAAGTAAGAGATTGTGCCACTGCACTCCAGCCTGGGCAACAGAATGAGACTTCATCTCAAAACAAACAAACAAACAAACAAACATGTAAGGACAGGTTCTCAACCCTATCTTCAAGCTGATGACTTAGCTATGCCTTCAAGTGGTTATTCCAGCATTTTCTCAGGATGCAGCCCTGGTTGGTATGGTAAATAGCAGGACCAGTGAATAACATGGTCATGTGCTCACTTTCTCCATGGCCATGTTATGGGGGAATGCTTTGATGATAAACTGCACACCCTGGGAACTCTGAGAGAGTGCTGCTGATCATGACATTGTGGACAGAGAAGGCAAATCTGTATCAGTCCCATGAAGTCATAGAAGAGTCACAGCACCTCCAGGGTGGTTGGGTCCAGTGTAATCAACTGGCACCATGTGGCTGGGTGCCCTCCTTGAGGGGTGGTACCATGTCAAGAGCTCAGCCCTGCCTGTGCTTTGACAGATTGGACACTTAGTAGTAATACCTAGGTCAGCCTCGGCCAGAGGAAGCCCATGCTGTTGGGCCATGCGTGGCTTCCATCCCTCTTACCATGGCTTCTCAGTTATGGGTCTGTTGTGCATGCTCTGGGGCAGCTAAGGAGAGAGATAAGCTCATTTCCACTGGATGAATCATCCTATCTAACTGATTGTTCAGCACCTTCTCTGCGATGGACACCCTCTGGTAGACAATGAAATGAGACAGAGACCCACATATTTTTGTGTCTTCTCTCAAAGATCAATCCACATGCTTCTTCCCCAGACCTCCTTAACTGCAATTTTGCAGTCTTGCTCTTCACGAGTCCCTGAGCAATCAGCTGAACTGTTCACTACTGCCTGGGATTCCTGACCTCAGGCCACGACTCTTTCTGCACCAAGTTGATGACTCAATGCACCGCCTAAAGTTCTGCCCCTGCAAAAAATTCTCCACATGGCTGTTCTTCAGGAGCCCTTGAGTGGGACTGTAGTGCAGTAAGAGTGCACTTTTGTTTTCCACCAACCTATTGTGCCAACCTGTCCATAAACCAGGCCTAAGCTTTTTCCTCCTCTGTCACCTGGTCATCAGGAATCTCTCATGATTTCATAAGTGTGAGCTGAGGGGAGAGGTTCCAATGCAGGGATCACAACAGGGGATTCTGGGCCTGCTTCTGTAGTTTATTTGTGACCTCTGGTCCTGCTCAGGCCTAGTTCATGACAACGTTCCATGTCCACCCTTCAATGGATTACTGTTGCACATACTCGACTATACAGTTGGGTGGATCTGACAGTACACAACTTACAATGGGAAACTCTGGCTATATAATCAGTTGATCCCCCATATATATATATTCTACATCGTTTATTGTAACTCTTGTCAGTTGTTAAGCTGTTGCCTCTTAGCGCCGCAACCACACTTCTGTATCAACTTGTGTAGTGCTGGGGCTGGGGTTCAGAAATTCACATTCCAGCATATATATATATATATATATATATATATATATATATATGTATATATATACGTATATATATATACACATATATACGTATATATATACATACACACATACACATATATATATATACACATACTGTTGTCACCTCTGCTTTGGGTGACCCTCACCAGTTTCTTTACAGATTAAGAAACCGATGTGAGGTTTCTACTGCCTGCTGAGTTTACTAATCCCAATTAAGTATTCAGGGATGGGGAAAATAGTCACAGGAGGGTGTGAAGACCCACTGGACTCACTGTAAAATGGGCTTTGGCAAAGACTCCATTTATCATCTTGCCTCCATATCTCCTTACTTTAACAGGAGGGCTATAGTGGCAATTTGGATCCCCTGGAATCAGTGTCAGTCCGGACTCTGAATTCCCCAACTATAGAAATATCTGGATATTTTTGTTCTCCTGTGTACAGTTACTGTGGTACTGGGTCTGAGGACTAGCTTAAGCATGAAAAATGGGTGAGGGATAGTGATTTTCCACTGTGATGGCTCACCTCAGTCTTCACATTACATGCTCTTGATCTGTTTTTATTATATTGGGCAGCAATACCCTTGCTAGTCACCCACTGATCTCGCCCTTAGGAACTTCAGGGTCTATTAGCAATCCCACAGATCTCTGTGGGTAAGGGCCCCTTGGTTGAGTTTCTGACTTTGCTGCCCATTATGGTAATTCCATACACTATGTGTCTGATGGTTAAGTGCTGCTACCTGGCCTCTGCTGTTCTGGAATCCTATTGTCACCATTAAGAAACAGTAGGAACTCCAGTTCCCTAGCAGCTACAACACAATATAGAAGGGGCAGCCACCACTGAGTTGCTCAATGATGTCAGTGCCCCTTCAGGAGCTCATTCTTTATTGCTCCAGTGAAGGTGTACTGGAAACATACTAAGCTACTAAGCTGGTGGTCTTTTGGTTTTAGGCAATACATTTCTCCTCTGAACTTTTGACTCCTTTCTCCAGTTATGTCAGTTCACACATTTCTACATTGTTTATTGTAACTCTTGTCAGTAGTTAAGCTGTCACCTCTTAGCGCCACAACCACCCTTCTGTATCAACTTGTGTAGTGCTGGGGCTGGGGTTCAGAAATTCACATTCCAGCATTGCCAGTTGCTCCCTGTTATGCCTGCCAATGAGGAGGGCAGGAGGGAATTGATGTCGCAGCATCAGGAAGGAGGGACTTGCTTCTTCCTATTGACTTCCTGTCAGCTTCCTGTTCCTGTGAGCATCACCCTAGCAACGCTTCTTCACCCTGGCATCAGCAGCATCTTTCCTTAGCAGCAGCTGAATCCAGTTTGCAGTTTCCCAACACTTCCTAGCACCAGTTTCCAACACTTTGGTGTTCCTCCTCAGAGATCTGAGTTTTGGTTTCTTGGAACTTCTCTTGTAAGCTTCTAAATTTTGATAATTCCACTTCTTATTTTGTTTCACCAGCCGTGGGCATGGTATCTGCTTTTGTCATTGCTATCTTTGTGACAACTTAGCATTCTCTTTTTACCTTTGCAGTTACCTACTTAATAATTTTATACCTACTTAAGAATACACTACATTAGATCTCTATTTAAATTAGTGGTGTAGTTTCTACCTCCTGATTGGACACTGATCCTTTTGTCCTCTGAACCATCCCAGCTCCAAGTGTTCTTGCCAGGATGGTAAGTGCAGAAGCTCAGGAGACTTCGTCCTTATCAACAACTCTTCTCTTCTCCATCCCTATGTTCCATTTCCCTTCTTCCTATGTTCCTTCCCTTCCCAAAGCAGGCACATCTTCCAGCTTTTTATTGGTATCTATTAGGCAGGTCCTGCAGTTCTTTTAGTAAACATCCTTTTTTTTGTTTTTGTTTTTGTTTTTGTTTTTGTTTTTTGAGATGGAGTCTCGCTGTGTCCCCCAGGCAGGCAATGGCACGATCTTGGTTCACTGCAACCACTGCCTCCCAGGTTCAAGTGATTCTCCTGTCTCAGCCTCCCAAGTAGCTGGGACTACAGGTGTGCACCACCACACCTGGCTAATTTTTGTATTTTTAGAAGAGATGGGGTTTCACCATATTGGCCAGGCTGGTCCTGAACTCCTGACCTCAGGTGATTCACCTGCCTCAACCTCCCAAAGTGCTGGGATTACAGGCATAAGCCTGGCCAAAATCCTGTTTCTTTAAGCAGAGATAGTACCTCCTCAATGGTTGAGTGATGAGATTTAACCCTAGTGATTGACCTAGAAGACGCAAGAGAATGTAGAAGCAGATCTTGAAGAGGGCAAGTATCATCTTGCAAGGCATCTGCCTTAGGGGAGGCCTCTGCATAGTTTCCAGGCAAGAGGAGGAAGCCTATTATCCTCTAGCAAACGGGAGTGGGACACTTCTACTACTTTCATCATTAGGTTCTGGATGTGGTTTTCAGACCTATCTGCCCTCCAGCTGTAGGAAATTAGGGGATTTTAAAATGCTGTCATAGTGGCTTTCTAGGTTTCATACCATCCCCTGGGCTGGTAATTGACTAATTTGACCCTATCATTTTCCTCCTTTAGCACTTCAATGGTACTTAACAACAACCAACAAACTCCACCAGTTCTTTAACTACCATTGCCTCCACATCTCTCAGATGTTAGAGAGACTTCATAAATGGTTGTATCCCCTTGTATCTGTATCTTGTCCCCCAATTCATCCTAGGCCTCTACAATATATTAAAGACCATCAATAATGGAATCTTATTACCATTGGCCGACAAATTTTACAATCCTAGATTCCATCCTTGGGATCTAAGACCACTTCTGATCTGAGCTTAGAAGACCAGATACAGACCGCCACACAAAGATTTGAGTTAAATTAGCTTATTTGGAAAGTGACTATTTGGGTAGAGAAGTGGGAATTGATAAAGAAAAGGAAGGCAGACAATAAGAGTGCTACCACAGTGGTTTATTAACGGTTAATTTAGCAGGGAGACTCTGGGAAATGGTGCAAAACATGACTCAGAAATAACGCATATGAAGGGTAAGGGAACCAGGGTATTTATATACCAATGCTGAGAGTCATTGGTTAAGAGTGGTTGCTAACAGTTGGTAGGAAAGGTCCAAGGGATATGGATGGGGAACTGATAGCATCTGCAACAACCTGCACCTACATCTGAGTCCTCTGATTACCTGCTAAAATGCAGATTCCTGAGTACATTCCCTGAATGAAGGGAACTGAGTGAAGTGTATTCGGGAGTCTTCTGCAGCTTCCTATGAATGTATAATTATTCCAAAATAAAAAGTTAAAAAATAGATAGTATGACCAAGAACATAAATTATATAGAAATATATACGTATATATATGTCTCTCTCTCCACACACACACACACACACACACACATATATATATATATATATACGCATATATATGCAGGTTCCAGGGTTTACTTTCATTGACTATGGGGTACTGTAGAAAGAAAAGAAGTTCCTTTTATCTCTTACGCTAAATAAATAGAAATGCTAGGTAAAATATAAAAAGTACATTAAAAAATATATAGCTGAGCTCAAAAGCTCAGGTGGAGCTAGAAAAGAGCTAGGAAAGAGTCACCTGGAAGCAATTGTAATCACAATCTGCATTAGTATGGGTGTGAGAATTAAGTTCACATGTTTGCATTAACTGTGTGATGGTGGCAGTGATGTTTGGGGGAACCCTAGCTAAGAAATTGACATAAAGTTTGTCTTGGAACTGGTTAAACTAATGGATCTTCTTGTGAAACTACCTGTGATTCTCCTCCACAATGCAGGGCACACAGGACTTCTATAGAAAACAACTCCCACTGAAGATAATCTCATGGTAAAAAACATTACAAAGTATGAGAGGAAAAGGATTGCTAGGAAAGAAAGTCAGAAGATGAAATAACCTGGATAATTCACATGCTGTTTTAGTTGGGTCCTCCAGAAAGTAAATGCAGAGACGGGATTAGGAGTGCAAGGGGTTTATTGAGGGGTAATGCCTGTAAAAGACAAAATGGGGAGAATCAAGATTGGGCAGAGAGCCTTAGATGGGACGCAAATGTGATAAAGTCTTGGCTAACACAAAGGGGGATTATAGAACAAATACCGCCTGTTAGAGAAAGTCCCTTGTTGAGCAGAAATAGCAAGACTATAGTACACCTGCCATGTTCATAAAGTTATTGCTTAGGGACTGCCGAAGAAGAGCATAGCCTTAACTAAAAAACGGAGGCATATCTTGAAGGCAGTAACGGTACTAACAGCTTGAGGTAGTCAGCCAACTGCACTTGTGTGGCTGAAGAGCAAGTTCTTTCTTGAAGGGAGATCTTAGTGGTGCATACGCCAAAAATTAGGATTATAGAACAACCTGAGAAATTTTAATGTAAGTATGTTTAAATGAGATAAAATTAGGAATCGAAGACATAAGGCAAGAAGAAGAGCTTATGAAAAAAGAAGCAAATAGAAATAGCAAAAATGAACTATTAAAAATGCAATAGATGTTTTAAAGAGTAGATTAGACACAGATGGAGAGAGAGAATTAGTACACTCAAATTGATCTGAAGAAATTACCCAGAAGGCAGCACAGAAAGCAGCACAAAGAGATGAAATTATAATAGTATGGAATATTAGTGCAGTGGGCTGGGCACGGTGGCTCACACCCGTAATCCCAGCAATTTGGGAGGCTGAGGCTGGTGGATTGCTTAAGCCCAGGAGTTGGAGACCAGCCTGGGCAAAATGGCAAAACCCCATCTCTACTAAAAATACAAAAAATTAGCCGGGCATGGTGGCACATATCTGTAGTTCCAGCTACTTGGGAGGCTGAGGTGGGAGAATCACCTGAGCTTGGGAAGTCGAGGCTGCAAAGAGATTGCACCACTGCACTCCAGCCTGGGTGACGAGTGTGTGACCCTGTCTCAAAAAAAAAAAAAAAAAAAAATACATGGGGTCTGAAGCCGCACACCTGGTATTAAATCTCTGATACTTACTATTAATAGCAATAGAGATTCAGGTATGTTTTTAAGCCTTTTGTGTATCAATTTTCTCATCTATAAAATGGAGATATACTATAATGTTATAATGTTATAATATACTATAATGTACCTACCTCATGGTGTTGCTATGAGGATTAAATGAGTTTATAGTTCTTGGCACATAGAGAGTGCTCAGTATTATAGAGTAATGGAAAATATGAAAGATAAAAATCATAGAGGAGAAAATGAGAAGTTCCAAAATTTATACTAGATTAGTAGTTCTACAAGGAGGAAATAGGGGAGAAGAAGCACCATTCTAAGAAATAATGATGAAGGATTTTCTACAAGCAAAGAAAAATGAGCCTCTGGAATGAAAAGGCACATTGAGTTCTGAGTAGAATAAAAAATTTCATTTCTAGACATATTGAAGAGACTGAAAAACAATAAAAATAAAAAAATCTGAAAAGCCATCAGAAATGAAACATCCACAAATGAATGATGTTCTGCCTGAAGCCAATTTCTCATCAGCAACAATAGATGCCAGTGGACTAATACCTTTGAAGTGATCAGAAAAACAAATTCTACATTCAGTTAACCAGCATTTAAGGATGAATGCAAAATAAAGACATTTTCAGATATATACAGACTGAGGTTTAACTAATCTCAGACTTTTGCTCAAAGAATTTATGAAGGGTGGACTTTAGCAAGAAAAAAATTCAGCTCAGAGGGGAAGAATCTTCCAATCAAAATGGAAGAATAAGAACCAGATTTACCTTTTCACCTGGAACAACAAATAAAACTGGACAAAACAGTTATTATTGATAATTATTTAATGATGAGGATGTATTCTGAGAAATGCACCTTTAGGTGTTTTTTGTCCTTACTGAAACATCATAGAGGATACTTACACAAACCTGGATGTCATAGCCTACTACACACCTGGGCTACATGTAGAGCCTGTTGCTCCTAGGCTCCTGTACAGGATGTTACTGTATTGAATACTGTTGGCAATTGTAACACAATGGTAAGTATTTGTGTTTAAACATATCTAAACATAGAAAAGGCAGACTAAAAATATGGCATAAAAGATTAAAGTATGGTATATTTCTATAGGGCACTTACCACAAGTGAAGCTTGCAGGACTGGAAGTTGCTCTCGGTGAGTCAGTGAGTGGGTGGTGAGTGAATGTGAAGTTGTAGGACATTATGCATAATTCTGTAGACTTCATAAACACTGTACACTATGGCTACACTAAATTTATAAAAAAATTTTCTTTCTTCGATAATAAATTAACCTTAGCTTTCTGTAACTTTTTTACTTTATAAACTTTTTAAACTTTTAAAAACTTTTGGGCTCTTCTGTAATAACACTTAGCTTAAAACATGTACACGTTGTACAGCTGTACTAAAATATTTTCTTTATATCCTTATTCTATAAGCCTTTTTGTATTTTTTAAATTATTATTCTTAGGTTTTACTTTTTAAACTTCTTTGTTAAAACCAAAGACACAGGCTGGGTGCAGTGGTCCACACCTGTAATCCCAACACTTTGGGAGGCCGAGTCAGGTGGATTGCTTGAGGTCAGGAGTTCGAGACCAGCCTGGCCAACATGGTGAAACCCTGTCTCTACTAAAAATACAAAAATTAGCCGGGCATGGTGGCAGGCGCCTGTAATCCCAGCTACTTGGGAGGCTGAGACAGGAGAATTGCTTGAACCTGGGAGACAGAGGTTGCAGTGAGCCAAGATTGCTCCATTGCACTCCAGCCTGGGTGACAGAGCAAGGCTCCATCTCAAAAACAAACAAACAAGCAAACAAACAAATAAAAAACAAAGACACAAACATATGCATTAGCCTAGGCCCACACAGGGTCAAGATCATTGATATCACTGTCTTCCAAGTCCACATCTCGCCCCACTGGAAGGTTATCAGGGGTAATAACATGCATGGAGCTGTCATGTCCTATGCTAACAATGTCTTCTTCTGGAATACCTCCTGAAGGACCTGCCAGAGGTTGTTTTGCAGTTAACTTTTTTTTCTTTTAATAAGTAGAAGGAGTACACTTTAAAATAATGATAAAAATTATAGCATAGTATACATAAACCAGTAACAGCTGTTTATTATAATTATCAAGTATTATGTACTGTACATAATTGTATGTGCTAGACTTTTATATGACTGGCAGTGCAGTAGGCCATTTACACCAGCATCACTACAAACATGTGAGTAATATATTGCACTATGACATTTTGATGGTTAATATTAGGTGTCAATTTGATTGGATTGAAGGATGCCTAGATGGCTGGCAAAGTACTGTTTCTGGGTGTGCCTGTGAGTATGTTGCCAGAGATTTACATTTGAGTTGGTGGACTGGGAGAGGAAGACCCACCCTCAATGTGGGTGGGTGCCATCCAATGGGCTGCCAGCTAGAACAAAGCAGGTGAAAGAAGGTGGGATATCCTAGCTTGCTGAGTTGTCTGGCTTCCTTCTTTCTTCTGTGCTGGATGCTTTCTTCTGCTCCTCCTGCTCTTGGACATCAGAGTCCAGGTTCTTTGGTCTTTGGATTCTGGGTCTTGCACCAGTGGCTTGCTGGGGGATCTTGGGCCTTCAGCCATTGACTGAAGGCTGCACTGTTGGCTTCCCTTGTTTTGAGGCTGTCAGACTCAGACTGAGCCACTACTGGCTTCTCTCCTCCCCAGTTTGCAGACAGCCTATTGTGGGACTTTGCCTTGTAATCGTGTGAGCCAATCCTCCCTAATAAACTCCCTTTCATATATATACATATATCCTATTAGTTCTGTCTCTCTGGAGAACCCTGACTAATACAGATGGCTATGGCATCACTAGGGGATAGGAATTTTTCAGCTCCATTGTAATCTTTTGGGACCACTGTCACATATGCGTCCATCATTGATCAAAAGTCGTTATGCAGTGCATAACTATATATGAAACGATGGTTCTCAAGGCATTGGACATTAGGCAAAAAGGGGAGCAATCTCTGGGAAACAAGCAAGGTGAGCTAAACAGTTTCCAACCTTACTGCCTAGAAAGAGTTTCCAGGCCACAGTACGGGGGAGGGAACCCAGGCTAACCCTGGAGGTCTTTCTGAGAGGAGGAGACAGAGCTGAGAGGCCAAGGAAGCCAAGGAAGCTAGAGTTTGCCGGGCAGAGTCCCAGAAAGGAGAGCACTTCATAGTACTGAGTACTGATCATGTGCATGTGAGGAAATGACCCAAGCCTTGGGAAAGAACTTTACAAAAAGAGTAGAGAAAAACATTCTCAGAGTTCACATATAGTCAGGAATAGTGATCTTCCCACCGGCCACAGTAGAAAAATCTCATAACTCTTGAGGCACTGTGTAGAGCACTCAGAAGGGTTTTGCCTCAGTAACAAGGGAATTTAACTCTTGACTAAATGCTACTGGGGTTCTGCCAAGAATGTTGAAAGTAAGACCTGAAAGGATCAAATTATCTCAGAGTAACTTAACTACATTAAGAACAAAGCTAAAGAATATTTATAGGCATATAAAAATTATCCAGAGCCCCCCAAAAAGTAAAATTTACAATGTCTAGCATCCAATAAAAAATTACCAGGCAAGTGAAAGTGCAGAAAAATACTATGTATAAAGAAGAGAAAAGTCGGCCAAGTGTGGTGGCTCATGCCTATAAATCCTAAATCCTAGCACTTTGGGAGACCAGGGTATTTGAGCCCAGTAGTTCAAGACCAACCTGGGCAACACAGTGAGATGCTATCTCTATTAAATTTAAAAAACAAAAATAAAAAAGAAGAGAAAAGTCAAAGCTGGGCATGGTGGCTCATGCCTGTAATCCCAGCACTTTGTAAGGCCAAGGTGGGCAGATTGTTTGAGCTCAGGAGTTTGGAGACCAGCCTGGACAACATGGCAAAACCCCATCTCTGCAAAAAATACAAAAATTAGCTGAGTATGGTGATGCACGCCTCTAGTTTCAGCTACTTAGGAGGCTGAGGTGGGAGGATCACTTGAGCCTGGGAGGTTGAGGCTGATGTGAACCATGATCATGCCACTATACTCCAGCCTGGGCAACAGAGCAAGATCCTGTATCAAAAATTTAAAAAGAGAAAAGTCAATCGTCAATCAATCAAAACTGACCCAGAAGTGACACATGATAGAATTAGGAGGCAAAGACTTTAAAACACCAATTGTAACTGAATTCCATATGTTCAAAAAGCCAGAAGAAAGATTAAACATGTTAAACAGAATAATAGAAGATATTTTAAAAATACTCAAATCAAACATCCAAACATGAAAATCACAATGTTTGAAGTGAAAAATATACTGGATGAGATTAATGGCAGTTTTGACACTGCAGAAGAACAGATTTGTAAACTTGAAGATACAGCAATAGAAGCTATCCAAAATAAAACACAGAAAGAAAAAAGACAAAAACAAATAAAAAGAGCATCAGTGAGTCATGGGATAATTTAAAGCAGCCTAACATATGTATATTTGGAGTCCCTTAAGGAGAGAAGGGAAGAAAAGAAAAAAATTGAAGAAACATCTGAAAAATTTCCAAATTTGATGAAAACTATAAACTCACATAACCATGAAACTCAACAAACCTAAACACAAGAAACATAAAGAAAAAATACACCAAGGCACATCACAATCAAATTGCTCAAAACAAGTTAAAATGAGAGAATCTTAAAAACCGCTAAAGGAAGAAGAAACATTACACAGAGGAACAAAGAATGACAGTAGATTTTTTTTTATTATAAACAATGCAAACTAAGAGATAGTGGAACAACATCTTTAAAGTACTGAAAGGAAAAATCTACCAAGCTAGAATTCTACACCCATTGAAAATATATTTCAAAAATGAAGGGGAAATAAATACTTTCTTGGAAATACAAAAACTGAAAGAATTTATCACCAGCAGACCTGTACTTACAAGAAATGTTAAAGGAAGTTATTCAAGCAGAAAGAAAATGATACAAGATGGAAATCTGGATCTATGTAAAGAAATGAAAAGTACTGGAAATGGCAATTATGTGGGTAAAAAATAATGCCTTTTAAAAATTATTTAAATCCCTTTAAAGATAATCAACAATTTAGAGCAAAAGCAATAACAATGCATTGTTACTGTGGGGTTATAAGTAAAAGTAAAATATCTAGGCCGGGCATGATGGCTCATGCCTGTAATCCCAGCACTTTGGGAGGCTGAGGCAGGTGGATCACCTGAGGTTGGGAGTTTGAGACCATCCTGGCATGGGGAAACCCCATCTCTACTAAAAATACAAAAATTAGCCAGGTGTGATAGCAGGTGCCTGTAATCCCAGCTACTCGGGAGGCTGAGGCAGGAGAATTGCTTGAACCTGGGAGGCAGACGTTGCCGTGAGATAAGATGGCGCCACTGCACTCCAGCCTGGGCAACAGAGCAAAACTCCATCTCAAAAACAAAACAAAACAAACAAACAAAACAAAACAAAACAAAAAAACCAGTAAAATATCTGACAACAATAGCACAAAGTCCAGGAGGGGCTAAGTGGAAGTGTACTGTTATAAGGGTCATATTCTGTTTGTGAGGTGGTGTACTATCACTTGAAGGTAGGCTGTTGTCTTATCTATTCCTGCTGCTGTGACAAAATACCTTAGGCAAGAAGCTAAGGTGGAAGGATCACTTGAGCCCAGGAGTTAGAGGTTACATTACAATGAGCTATGATTGTGCCACTGCACTCCAGCCCAGGTGACAGAGTGAAACCCTGTCTCTTAAAAAAGAAAGAGAAGAAAAAATACTCAATCCAAAAAAGGCAGAAAAAGAGAAAAAATGGAAGAAAAAATTGAAATAGGACAAACAGAAGTCAGATAGCCAGAATTCAAACTCAACCATATCAAGAATTACATTAATGTAAAAGATTTAAATACTCCAATTAAAAAGTATAGATTTTCAGACTGAATAAAAAAGCAAGGCACAGCTATATGTTACTTATAAGACATCCACTTTAAATATAAGATACAAACAGGTTAAAAGTAAAAGGATGGAAAAATATATATCACATCATAGCCAATCAAAATGAAGTAGATTTCAGAGTAAAGGTTATTATTAGAGATAAAGTGAGTTATTTCACAAAGAAAAGGGGGTCAATTAATCAGGAGAACATAGAAGTCCTAAGCAACTAATAAGGGAGCTTTGAAATACATTGTTATGGGCTAAATTGTGTACCCTTTCCAAAATCATAAAGTCCTAACCTCCAATGTGACTATATTTGGAGATAGGATATTTAAAGAGATAATCAGGTTAAATTAGGGTGGGCCCTAATCTACTATGACTGGTGTCTTTGTAAGAAGAGAGAATTTGGACACAGACAAGGTACAGAGGGAATATGATGTGAAGACACAGGGAGAAGACCGTCATCTACAAGACAAGGAGAGAGGCCTCAGAAGACATCAACCCTGCTGAAATCTTAATCTTGGATTTCTGGCCTCCATATCTGTGAGGAAATAATTTTTTTTTTGTTTAAGCCACATTGTCTATAGTGCTGTATTATGGCAGCCCTAGCAAACTAATACATGCATGAAGCAAAAACTGATAGAACGAACTGCAAGGAAAAAGAGACAAAGCCACAATGATAGTAGGAGATTCCAACACCCTTCTATTAGAAGTTGATAGAAAGAGTAGGCATAGATCAGTAAAGATACAGGAGTTGAACAATACTGTCAGCCAACTTGATCTAATAGACATTTATAGAACACTTCATCCAACATCAGCAAAGTACACATTAATTTCAGCTAACACGGAACATTTACTAAGACAGACCATATTCTGGGGCATGAAACAAGGATTGATAAATTTAAATGAACTCAAGTCATATAAAGTATATTTCCTGACAACAATGAAATAAAATTAAAAGTCAATAATGGAAAGATCTCTGGAAAATCTGCAAGTATTTAGAAACTGAATAACATACTTCTAAACAATCCATGGGCTAAAGAAGAAATCAAAAGACAAATTAAAATATTTTGAATGGAATTAAAATGGTAATACACATATTAAAATTTGTAGGATGCTGCTACATAGTACATAGAAGGAAAGTTATAGCACTAAATGCTCTATATTAATCAAGGGCCTTAGCTTTCACCTTAAGAAACAACAAAAAGAGAAAATTAAATGTAAAGTAAGCAGAAGAAATAAATGATAAAGATGAAAGCAAAATTCAATGAAATAGAAAACAAAAACGATACAGAACATCAATGACAACAAAAGCTGGTTCATAGAGCAGACCAGTAAAATTGACAAATCTCTATCCAGACTGATTTGGGAAAAAAGGGAAAGAAAATATAAATTATTTCAATACCAAGAATGAAAGGGTGACATCACCACAGATTCTAAATACATCAAAAGGATAATAAGGGAGTACTATGAGCACCTTTGTGCCAAGAAGTTGGATAACTTAGATGAAATGGACAAATTCCTCAAAAGATAAAAACTACCAAAGTTCACTCAAGAAGAAATAAATAACCTGAATAGCCCTCAAATATTACATAAATTGAATTCGTATTTAAAAGCCTTTCCATAAATAAAACTCCAGGTCCAGACAGCTTCACTGAGGAATTCTTCCAAACATATAAGAAGGAAATAATACAAATTCTAAATAAAATCTTCCATAAAATTGAAGAGGAGGGAATATTTTCCAATTCATCCTATAAAACCAGCAGGTTGAATTTAACAATATATAAAGAAGACACTGTATCAGGCCGGGCGTGGTGGCTCACGCCTGTAATCCCAGCACTTTGGGAGGCGAGGGCGGGCGGATCACAAGGTCAGGAGATTGAGATCATCCTGGCTAACATGGTGAAACCCTGTCTCTACTAAAAATACAAAAAAAATCAGCCAGGCATGGTGGCGGCCGCCTGTAGTCCCAGCTACTGGGGAGGCTGAGGCAGGAGAATGACGTGAACCCGGGAGGCGGGGCTTGCAGTGAGCCGAGATTGCGCCACTGCACTCCAGCCTGGGTGACAGAGCGAGACTCCATAAAAAAAAAAAAAAAGACGCTATATCATGACCAAAAGGATACTATGCCTCGGGAATGTAAGATTGGTTTAAGCATCCCAAATCAATCACTATAATTTATCATGTTGACAGGCTGAGAAAGAAAAGCTATATAATCATCTTAATTGATGCAGAAAAAAAATTTATAAAAGCCAGCACTCAATCTTGATTAAAACACTCAATGTGCTAGGAACAATAGTGGAGTTCCTCAGCCCAGTGAAGATCACTTTTTTATTTAAAATTTTTATTGTATATATTTAAGGTATATAAATACCTTAAATATGATGTTTGGTATACATACATTTGGCGAAGTTGTTAATGTAGTCAAGCAAATTAACATATCCATCATCTCAAATAGTTACTCCTTTCCTTTTGTGGGAATACCACCTAAAATCCATTCTTTCAACAAAAATCTCAAATATAATACAATATTATTAGTGATAGTCCTTATGTGTTACATTAGATCTCCAGATTTGTTCATCCTACATAGCTACAACACTGTATCCTTGGATCTACATCTCCCTATTTACTCCTTCCCATCTACCATTTTATTCTCCATCTTTCTGACTTTTCTTTTTTTTGATGATTCCACATATAAGTGAGATCATGCAATATTTTCCTTTCTGTGTTTGGCTTATTTCATTTAGCATAATGTCTTCCAAGTTCATCCATGTTGTGGTAAATGGCAGGATCTCCTTTTTTAAGGCTGAATGATATTCCATCATATATGTGCACCATGGTTTCTTTACCCATTCATCCATCGATGGATATTTTAGTTTGTTTTCATATCACGGCTATTGTGAATAATGCTGCAATGAACATGGGAGTACAGACGTTTCTATGAGATGATGATTTTATTTCATTTTTGTATATACCCACAAGAAGGATTGCTGGGTCATATAGTACTTCTATTTTTAATTTCTTTGGAAACCTCCATGCTGTTTTCCACAATGGCTGTACCGATCTACATTCCCACCAACAGTGTACAAGGGTTCCCTTTTCTCCACACTCTTAACATGTGTTATCTCTCATCTTTTTGATAATAACCATCTTAACAGGTGTGAGGTGATATCTCCTTGTGGTTTTGATTCGCATTTCCCTGATGATTAGTGATGTTGAACACCTTTTCATACACGTATTGACCATTTTAATGTCTTCTTTGAAGAAATGTCTTTTCAGTCCTTTGCGCATTTTTTAATTGGGTTATTTGTTTTCTTGCTATTGTTTCTTGCTATTGAATTGTTTGAGTTTCTTATATATTTTGGATATCAGATGTACGGTTTGCAAACATTTTCTCCCATTTTGTATGCTGCCTTTTCCTTTTACTGACTGTTTCCCCTGCTGTGAAGAAGCTCTTTGGTTTGATGTAGTCCCATTTATTTATTTTTGCTTTTATAGCCTGAGCTTTTTGTGTGATATCCAGAAAATTATTACCAAGGCCAAAGTCAAGGAGCTTTTCCTCTGTGTTTTCTTTTAGAAATTTTATGGTTTTGGTTCTTATATTTAGGTCCTTTGTCCATTTTGAGTTGATTTTTTTCTGTATAATATAAGAGTCCAGTTTCCACATTTTTTGGCATGTGGAAATCTAGTTTTTCAGCACCATCTATTGAAGAGGCTGTCTTTTCCCCATTATGTCTTCTTGGTACCCTTGTCAAAAATTAGTTGACCATATATGACTGAGTTTATTTCTGGGCTCTCTATTCTGTTCCATTTGTCTATGTGTCTGTCTTTTATGTCAGTACTATACTGTTTTGATTACCATACCTTTATAATATAATTAAAAATCAGGAAATGTGATGCCTTCAACTTTGTTTTTCTTTCTCTAAATTGCTTTGGCTACTTGTGGTCTTTTGTGGTTCCATACAAATTTTAGAATTGCTTTTCCTATTTCTGTAAAGAATGCCATTGAAACTTTCATAGGGATTGGAATAAACCTGTATATGGAATTCAGTAGTATGAACATTTTAACAATATTAATTCTAATCCATGAACATAGGATGTCTTTCCATTTAGTTGTGTCTTCTTCAATTTCAAATGGCATTTATGAAAAACCTACAGTTTACAGCATACTTCATGGTGAAAGACTGAATGCTTTCCTCTAAGATCAGAATCAAATCAAGGATGTCTGCACTCATCTCTTTTATTCATCGTTACTGTACTAGGGGTTCTTGCCAGTCCCATTGGAATAAGAAGTGAGTTTGGTAAGGCTTCAGGATACAAAATTAATATGTAAGAATCTATTGTATTTCTATATATTAGCAACAAACGATCAGAAATTAAAATTTAAAAACATCTTTTATAATAGCCTTAAAATATAGGAAATACTTAGGGATGAATCTACAAGATATGTGGAAGACCTATATATTGAACACTACAAAACATTGCTGAGAGAAATTAAAGACTCAAATAAATGGGAAGATATACCATGTTCTTAGATTAGAAGACTCAATACTGCTAAGATGTCAACTCTCTCAAAATTCATCTATATATTTAAGAGAATCCTAATGCAAATCCTGTGTGTTTTTGTGTGTGTGTGTGTGTATTTACAAATGGATGAGCTAATTTTAAAATTCTAAAAAATGCAGAGAATGGCTGGGCACAGCGGCTCACAACTATAACGTCAGCACTTTGGGAGGCTGAGGCAAGAGGATCACTTGAGCTCAGAAGTTCAAGACCAGCCTGAGCAACATAGTGAGACCTCATCTCTACTAAAAATTTAAAAAGTTAGCCAGGCATGGTGGTGCACGCCTGTGGTCCCAGATACTTGGGAAGCTGAGGTGGGAGGATCACGTGAGCCCAGGTGATGGAGGCTGCACTGAGCTATGATTGCACAACTGCACTTCAGCCTGGGCAACAAATAAAGACCCTATCTCAAAAAAGAAAAAAATGCAAAGGATCTAAAATAGAAAAAAATAACTTTGAAAAAAAAGAAGAAAGTTGAAGGACTTATTTGACTTTATGACATTATAAAGCTACAGTAGTCAAGATATTTTGGTATTGGTATCAAGATAGACAAACAGGGCCAGGTGTGGTATCTCACACCTGTAATCCCAGCACTTTGGGAGGCTGAGGTGAGTGGATCACCTGAGGTCAGGAGTTTGAGACCAGCTTGGCAAACATCATGAAACCCTGTCTCTACTAAAAATACAAAAAAATTAGCCAGATGTGGTGGTGGGTGCCTGTAATCTCAGGTACTTGGGAGGCTGAAGCAGGAGAATCATTTGAACCTGGGAGGCAGAGGATGCAGTGAGCCAAGGTCGCACCACTGCACTCCATACTGGGCGACAGAGCAAGACTCTGTCTCAAAAAAAAAATAAATAAATAAAAGATAGACAAATAGATCAATAGAACAGAGTACAGATTCCAAATATAGACCCGTGTTTATATAGTCAACTGATTTTTGACAAAGATGTGCAGGCCATTCATTTGAGAAAAGATAATCTTTTAAAACAAATAATATTGGAAAAATTATATATTCATGTGCAAATGCAAAAACAAAACAAAAATAAAACTTGAGCCATAACTTCAAATGTATCATAGAAAATTAGCATATAAAAATGTTTGACATCATTAATCATTAAGGAGATGCAAATGAAAACTACAATAAGATACTACCATGCACCTGTTGATTTTAGATCTTTCCTGCTTAAGTGTACAACATAAAAATATAAAACTTCTAGAAGAAAACATATAAGATAATTTTATGGGCCTTGAGTTGGGCAAAGATTTATTGGACATAATACCAAAACAAAAAAAAAATGACTACAACAAACAAGAAAAAATTGATAAACTGGATTTCATCGAAGTTAAGAAAATTTGTAATTCAAAAGAATCTATTATAGCTAAGCATGGTGATATGAACCTGTAGTCTCAGTTACTCATGAAGCTGAGATGGGAGGATCACTTGAGCCCAGGAATTTGAGGCTGCAGTGTGTTATGATTGCACCTGTGAATAACTACTGTACTCTAGCCTGGCCAACACAGTGAGACCCCATCTGTAAAAAGAGAAAAAAATACTATTATAAAAACGAAAAGACAAGCCACAGACTGGGGAAAAATATTTGCATATCACATATCTGATAAAGGACTTGTAACTAGAATGTATAAAGAACTCTGAAAACTCAATAATAGTAAAACACACATCTCTCCCAAAATGGGCAAAAAACTTTCAGACACTTAAATAATATATGCAGATGGAAAATTAGTATATAAAATATGTTCGACATCATTAATCATTAAGGAGATGCAAATTAAAACTACAATAAGATACTACTATGCACCTGTTGTAATGTCTAAGATCATACCATCTGTTGGGGAGGATATGGAGAAACTTGACAATTCCTTTTTATAAAATTATACTTTAAGTTCTAGGGTACATGTGTACAACGTGCAGGTTTGTTACACAGATATACATGTGCCATGTTGGTTTGCTGCACCCATCAACTCATCATTTACATTAGGTATTTCTCCTAATGCTATCCCTCCCCCAGCCCCCCACTCCCCAACAGGCCCCGGTGTGTGATGCTCCCCTCCCTGTGTCCATGTGTTCTCATTGTTTAACTCCCACTTATGAGTGAGAACATGCGGTGTTTGGTTTTCTGTCTTTGTGATATTTTGCTGATAATGATGGTTTCCAGCTTCATCCACGTCCCTGCAAAGGACATGAACTCATACTTTTTTATAGCTGCATAGTATTCCATGGTGTATATGTGCCATATTTTCTTAATCCAATCTATCATTGTTGGACATTTGGGTTGGTTCCAAGTCTTTGCTATTGTGAATAATGCCGCAATAAACATACCTGTGCATGTGTCTTTATAGCAGCATGATTTATAATCCTTTGGGTATATACCCACTAATGAGATTGCTGGGTCAAATGGTATTTCTAGTTCTAGATCCTTGAAGAATCACCACACTGTCTTCCACAATGGTTGAACTAATTTACACTCCCATCAACAGTGTAAAAACCTTCCTATTTTTCCACATCCTCTCCAGCATCTGTTGTTTCCTGACTTTTTAATGATCGCCATTCTAACTGGCGTGAGATGGTATCTCATTGTGGTTTTGATTTGCATTTCTCTGATAACCAGTGATGATGAGCATTTTTTCATATGTCTGTTGGCTGCATAAATGTCTTCTTTTAAGAAGTGTCTGTTCATATCCTTTGCACTTTTTGATGGGGTTGTTTTTTTTCTTATAAATTTGTTTAAGTTCTTTGTAGATTCTGGATATTAGCCCTTTGTCAGATGGATAGATTGCAAAAATTTTCTCCCATTCTGTAGATTGCCTGTTCACTCTGATGATAGTTTCTTTTGCTGTGCAGAAGCTCTTTAGTTTAACTAGTCCTCATTTGTCTATTTTGGCTTTTGTTGCCATTGCTTTTGGTGTTTTAGTCATGAAGTCTTTGCCCATGCCTATGTCTTTAATGGTATTGCCTAGGTTTTCTTCTAGGGTTTTTATGGTTTTACGTCTTTAATCCATCTTGAGTTAATTTTTGTATAAAGTGTAAGGAAGGGATCCAGTTTCAGCTTTCTACATATGGCTAGCCAGTTTTCCCAGCACCATTTATTAAATAGGGCATCCTTTCCCCATTGTTTGTTTTTGTGGGGTTTGTCAAATATCAGATGGTTGTAGACGTGTTATTTCTGTGGCCTCTGTTCTGTTCCATTGATCTATATATCTGTTTTGGTACCAGTACTATGCTGTTTTGGTTACTGTAGCCTTGTAGTTTAGCTTGAAGTCAGGTAGCGTGATGCCTCCAGCTTTGTTCTTTTTGCTTAGAATCGTCTTGGCTCTGTGGGCTCTTTTTTTGTTCCATATGAAATTTAAAGTCGTTTTTTTCCAATTCTGTAAAGAAAATCAGTGGTAGCTTGATGGGGATAGCATTGAAACTATAAATTACCTTGTGCAGTATGGCCATTTTCACGATATTGATTTTTCCTATCCATGAGCATGGAATGTTCTTCCATTTGTTTGTGTCCTCTTTTATTTTGTTGAGCAGTGGTTTGTAATTCTCCTTGAAGAGGTTCTTCACATCCATTGTAATTTGGATTCCTAGGTATTTTATTCTCTTTGTAGTAATTGTGAATAGGAGTTCACTCATGATTTGGCTCTCTGTTATTGGTATATAGGAATGCTTGTGATTTTTGCACATTGATTTTGTATCCTGAGACTTTGCTGAATTTGCTTATCAGCTTAAGGAGATTTTGGGCTGAGATGATGGGGTTTTCTAAATATACAATCATGTCATCTGGAAACAGAGACAATTTGATTTCCTTTTTTCCTAATTGAATATCCTTTATTTCTTTCTCCTGCCTGATTGCCCTGGCCAGAACTTCCAATACTATGTTGAATAGGAGTGGTGAGAGAGGGCATCCTTGTCTTGTCCCAGTTTTCAAAGGGAATGCTTCCAGTTTTTGCCCATTCAGTATATTGGCTGTGGGTTTGTCATAAATAGCTCTTATTATTTTGAGATATGTTCCATCAATACCTAGTTTATTGAGAATTTTTAGCATGAAAGGCTGTTGAATTTTGTCAAAGGCCTTTTCTGCATCTATTGAGATAATCATGTGGTTTTTGTCGTTGGTTCTGTTTATGTGATGGATTACACTTATTGATTTGTGTATGTTGAACCAGACTTGCATCCCAGGGATGAAGCTGACTTGATCGTGGTGGATAAGCTTTTAGATGTGCTGCTGGATTCGGTTTGCCAGTATTTTATTAAGGATTTTTGCATTGATGTTCATCAGGGATATTGGCCTAAAATTCTCTTTTTTTGTTGTTGTGTCTCTGCCAGGCTTTGGTATCAGGATGATGCTGGCCTCATAAAATGAGTTAGGGAGGATTCTCTCTTTTTCTATTGATTGGAATAATTTCAGAAGGAATGATACCAGCTCTTCTTTGTACCTCTGGTAGAATTCGGCTGTGACTCCGTCTGGTCCTGGACTTTTTTTGGTTGGTAAGCTATTAATTATTGCCTCAATTTCAGAGCCTGTTATTGGTCTATTTGGAGATTCAACTTCTTCCTGGTTTAGTCTTGAGAGGGTGTATGTGTCCAGGAATTTATCCATTTCTTCTAGGTTTTCTAGTTTATTTGCATAGAGGTGTTTATAATATTCCCTGATGGTAGTTTGTATTTCTGTGGGATCGGTGGTGATATCCCCTTTATCATTTTTTATTGCATCTATTTGATTCTTCTCTCTTTTCTTCTTTATTAGTCTTGCTAGTGGTCTATGAATTTTGTTGATCTTTTCAAAAAACCAGCTCCTGGATTCATTGATTTTTTTTTGAAGGGTTTGTTTTGTCTCTATTTCCTTCAGTTCTGCTCTGATCTTAGTTATTTGTTGCCTTCTGCTAGCTTTTGAATTTGTTTGCTCTTCCTTCTCTAGTTGTTTTAATTGTGATGTTAGGGTGTCAATTTTAGATCTTTCCTGCTTTCTCTTGTGGGTATTTAGTGCTATAAAGTTCCCTCTACACACTGCTTTAAATGTGCCCCAGAGATTCTGGTATGTTGTGTCTTTGTTCTTATTGGTTTCAAAGAACATCTTTATTTCTGCCTTCATTTCATTATTTACCCAGTAGTCATTCAGGAGCAGATTGTTCAGTTTCCATGTAGTTGTGCAGTTTTGAGTGTTTCTTAATCCTGAGTTCCAATTTGATTGTACTGTGGTCTGAGAGACAGTTTGTTGTAATTTCTGTTCTTTTACATTTGCTGAGGAGTGTTTTACTTCCAATTATGAGGTCAATTTTAGAATAAGTGCAATGTGGTGCTGAGAAGAATGTATATTCTGTTGATTTGGGGTGAAGAATTCTGTAGATGTCTATTAGGTCTGCTTGGTCCAGAGATGAGTTCAAGTCCTGGATATCCTTGTTAATTTTCTGTCTCATTGATCTGTCTAATATTGACAGTGGGGTATTAAAGTCTCCCATTATTATTGCCTGGGAGTCTAAGTCTCTTTGTGGGTCTCTAAGAACTTGCTTTATGAATCGTGATGCTCCTGTATTGGGTGCATATATATTTAGGATAGTTAGCTCTTCTTGGTGAATTGATCCCTTTACCACTATGTAATGGCCTTCTTCATCTCTTTTGATCTTTGTTGGTTTAAAGTCTGTTTTATCAGAGACCCAGGATTGCAACCCCTACTTTTTTTTCTTTCCACTTGCTTGGTAGACCTTCCTCCATCCCTTTATTTTGAGCCTATGTGTGTCTTTGCATGTGAGATGTGTCTCCTGAATACAGCACACCGATGGGTCTTAACCCGTTATCCAATTTGCCAGTCTGTGTCTTTTAATTGGGACATTTAGCTCATTTACATTTAAGGTTAATTTTTTTTTTTTTTTGAGACAGAGACTCACTCTGTCACCCAGGCTGGAGTGCAGTGGCACAATCCTGGCTCACTGCAAGCTCTGCCTCCTAGGTTCACACCATTCTCCTGCCTCAGCCTCCCGAGTAGCTGGGACTACAGGTGCCCACCACCACGCCTGGCTAATTTTTTGTATTTTTAGTAGAGATGGGGTTTCACCATGTTAGCCAGGTTGGTCTCAATCTCCTGACCTTGTGATCTGCCCTCGCTAGCCTCCCAAAGTGTTGGGATTACAGATGTGAGCCACCGCGCCAGGCCTACATTTAAGGTTAATATTGTTATGTGTGAATTTGATCCTGCCATTATGATGCTAGCTGGTTATTTCACTGTTTAATTGATGCAGTTTCTTCATAGCGTTGATGGTCTCTACAATTTGGCATGTTTTTGCAGTGGCTGGTACCGTTTGTTCATGTCCATGTTTAGTGCTTCCTTCAGGAGCTCTTGTAAGGCAGGCCTGGTGGTGACAAAATCTCTCAGCATTTGGTTGACTGTAAGGGATTTTATTTCTCCTTCATTTATGAAGCTTATTTTGGCTGGATATGAAATTCTGGGTTGAAAATTCTTTTCTTTAAGAATGTTGAATATTGACCCCCACTCTCTTCTGGTTTGCAGGGTTTCTGCAGAGAGATCTGCTAGTCTGATGGGCTTCCCTTTGTGGGTAACCCGCCCTTTCTCTCTGGCTGCCCTTAGCATTTTTTCCTTCATTTCAACCTTGGTGAATCTGACATTTATGTGTCTCGGGGTTGCTCTTCTCAAGGAGTAATCTTTGTGGTGTTCTCTGCATTTCTTGAATTTGAATGTTGGCCTGCCTTGCTAGGTTGGGGATGTTCTCCTGGATAGTATCCTGAAGAATGTTTTCTAACTTGGTTCCATTCTCCCCATCACTTTCAGGTACACCAATCCAAAGGAGATTTGGTCTTGATAATTCTTATATTGCTGGTGGGAATATCAAATGTACATCTGAGATGGTTTTCATCTGTGTCCCCACCCAAATCTCACATTCAATTGTAATCCCTGGTGTTGGAGGTGGGATCTGGTGGGAAGTGATTGGATCACAGGGACTGTTTCTCATGGTTAACATCATCTCCCTTGGAGCTGTCATTACGATAGTGAATTCTCATGAGATCTGGTTGTTAAAAAGTGTGTAGCACCGCCGCCTTCTCTCTGTTCCTCCTGCTTCAACCATGTAAGACATGCCTGCTTCCCCTTCACCTTCCACTATGAGTCAAAGCTCCCTGAGGCCTCCCCAGAAGCAGATGCAGCCAAGCTTCCTATACAGCTTGCAGTACTGTGAGCCACTTAAACCTCTTTTCTTTATAAATTATCCAGTCCCAGGTATTTCTTCATAGCAGTGTGAGAATGACTAGTATGATAGCCATTTTGGAAAACAGTTTGGCAGTTTCTCAATAATTTACCTAGGTATCTCTAACGTATATTGAGCCATTCCACTTCTAGGTACCTATATTAGGCTATTGGTGTGTTGCTGTAAAGAAGTACCCAAGACTGGATAGTTTATAAAGAAAAGTGGTTTAATTGAGTCACAGTACTGCAGGCTGTACAGGAAGCATGGCGCTAGGCATCTGCTTGGCTTCTGGTGAGGCCTCAGGAAACTTACAATCATGGCAGAAGACAAAGGGGAAGCTGGCCTATCACATGGCAAGAGCAGGAGTAAGACAGAGAGGTGGTGGGGTGCAGTGGGGAGGTGCCACACACTTTTAAACAACCAGATCTTGTGTGAACTCATTCATCACCAAGGGAATGGCACTAAGCCATTCATGAGGGATACTCCCCCATGATCCAAACATCTCTGACCTTCAGGCCTCACCTCCAACACTGGGAATTACATTTTAACATGAGATTTGGAGAAGACAGCCGAACTATATGAGAAATGAAAGCGTACGTGCATGCAAAGATTTGTACACAAATGTTTATTGCTGCCTTATTTATAATAGTCACAATTTATTTAGAAGTAACCCTAATGTCCCAAATCCATGGATGAATGAATAAACTAAATGTGGCACATCCATACAATGGAAATGCTCCTTGGCAATAAAAAGGATAAATTTTATATGTGCAATAGCATGGCTGAATCTCAAAATAATTGTGCTGAGTGAAAGAAGATGGACAAAAAGAGTATGTATGTATTATACTATTCATATAAATTTTTAGAATTTTGTTTTGTTTTGTTTTAGATGGAGTCTCACTCTGTTGCCCAGGCTGGAGTGCAGTGGTGCGATCTTGGCTCCTGACCTCAGGTGACCCACCCACCTCAGCCTCCTAAAGTGCTGAGATTACAGGCATGAGCCACTACGCCCAGCCTGAAGTTCATTTTCTTAATCACGGCGATGATTTCACAGATGCATACATATATACATAACAACCTCTCAAAATTGTTCACTTTAAGTATGGGCAGTTTATTGTTTGTCAATTGTATTTCAATAAATCAGTTAGAAAAAATCCCAGAAGAAGGGTGGGAAGCAGTAAAGTGAACAAAGAAGCTGGTAAATGTGTTGGTGAATTTAAATAAGTATTGATTACTATAGTAATAATAATAATAATTACTATTTTGGGGGTTTTAAAACAAGATTGAGGCCAGGCGTGTTGGCTCACGCCTGTAATCCAAGCACTTTGGGAGGCCGAGGCGGGTGGATCACGATGTCAAGAGATCGAGACCATCCTGGCCAACATGGTGAAACCCCATCTCTACTAAAAATATAAAAATTAACTGGGCGTGGTGGCATGTGCCTGTAGTCCCAGCTACTTGGGAGGCTGAGGCAGGAGAATCGCTTGAACCCGGGAGGCAAAGGTTGCAGTGAACTGAGATCACGCCACTGCACTCCAGCCTGGCAACAGACAGAAACTCTGTCTCAAAAAAACCAAAGCAAACCAAAACAAAACAAAACAAAAAAAACAAAACAACAACAACAACAAAAAACAAGATTGAACGAAAACACCTGATTTTGTATTGGTTTGGAAAAGTCTAGGGATTTTACTGAGTTCTAGATTTTAAGAGTGCATGATGTATACTTAACTTCATGCTAGTTCAGGGAAAAAAAGAATAGAATTAAAAAGAAATCAATCCAATTAAAAATGTGAAATAAGAAAAAAGAAGCAAATAAAAAGCATGTAAATTGAAAGACACAAAATAAGATAGAAGCTGAAGCCATGGGAAAACATACAGGAATAGCTGAATGCACACCCCTAAAAATTCCTATGGGACATCTACAGTGAACTCATTTTTCACAAAGGTGCTAAGAACATTCACTGGGGAAAGGAAAGTCTCTTCAATATTTGGAGCTAGGAAAACAGGATCTCCATATGCAGAAGAATGAAAGTAGACCCCTATCTCTTGCCATATACAATAATCAAGTAAGAATGGATTAAAGACTTAAATCTAAGACCCCAACTGTGAAACTACTAAAAGGAAACATTGGGAAAACTCTCTAGGACATTGGTCTGGGCAAAGATTTCTCAAATAATACCTCAAAGGCACAGACAACCAAAGCAAAAACGGACAAATGAGATCACATCCAGCTAAAAATCTTCTGCACAGCAAAGGAAACAATCAGCAAAGTAAAGAGACAACTCACACAATGAAAGGCAATATTTGCAAACTACCCATCTGAAAGGGATTAACAACCAGAATATATAAGGAGCTCAGACAACTTGATCAGAAAAAATGAAGTAATTGGATTAAAAAGTGGGCAAAAGATCCAAATAGATATTTCTCCAAAGAAGACCTACAAATGATTGATAGGTGTTTGAAAAAAATGCTCAACATTATTAATCATCAGAGAAATGCAAATGAAAACTACAATGAGATATCATCTCACCCCAGTTAAAATGGCTTTCACTCAAAAGACAGGCAATAACAAATACTGGTGAGGATATGGTGAAAGGGGAACCCTCGTACACTGTTGGGAGTGTAAATTAGTATAGTCACTATGGAGAGTAGTTTGAAGGTTCCTCAAAAAAACTAAAGATAGAACTACCATATGATCTAGCAATTCCACTAGTAGGTATACATCCAAATAAAGGAAAGTAGTGTATTGATTAGATATCTGCGCTCCCATGTTTATTGCAGCACTGTGCACAATAGCCAAGATTTGGAATCAATCTAAGTGTCCCCAAATAGATGAATAAATAAAGAAAATGTTGTACATGTACACAGTGGAATATTATTCATCCATAAAAATAATTAAATTCTGTCATTTGCAACAACATGGATGGAACTGGAAGACATTATGTAAGTGAAATAAGCCAGGCACAGAAAGACAAATTTCTCATGTTCTCACTTATATGTGGGAGCTAAAAATTAAAACAATTGAACTCATGAAGATAGAGAGTAGAATGATGGTCACCAAAGGCTGAGAAGGAAGCTTGGGGTAGGGTGGGGTAGGGGAGAATGGTTAATGGGCACAAAAATATACTTATATAGAATGAATAATATCCTAGTATTTTAGTATTTGATAGCACAACAGAGTGACTATGGTCAACAGTAATTTATTGTATATTTAAAAATAACTAAAAGAGTGATATTGGAATGTTCCTAACACAAAGAAATGATAAATGCTCGAGGCAATGGATACCCTGATTACCCTGATGTGATTATTACACATTGAGTGCCTGGATCAGTACATTGCCCTATGTACTCCATGAATATGGAGTATCCATAGTCACTAACATTTTTTAAAAATTTAAAAATCAATATAAAAATTCTGTACCCTGGTAGTGTTGCAAAAATGAAGTTCACAGTCACATTCAGAGTGATATTTTCTACAAATCCTCAAATAAATTTTGAAATTGAGCACACATATATAGGAATATGCTGATGCTTGTAATGTTTTCTTAATGTCACGAATTTTTTGAAAAAGGTTTTCTGCCATAAACCAGGGGCCTATATATGCTTATTATGTATAACAAACATGGTTTGAAGCAATGTTTCTCATGATTATAAAAGTAAATACAGTCAAGGTGTTGCCAACTAAACCTTGGGCTAATAATTTTATCTTATTATATGTCAGTATCTCCAACCTGTGATATATTTATAAAAACAAACGTTTCCATAATACTTTAACTCTAAGACCAGTGCTGTACTTATACTGAAAGTGAAATGTAAGACCTCCTATATTCTTCTCCTCTGAAAAAGTTTAGAGAGTTTTTCCATCCCTTGCATTCTAAAGTAAAAGGGGTGGGAGAGGAGGGGAAAATGAGACAGTTTAATTAAATGCAGTTGACTCTTCATTTGACCAGCATCTCTTGTCTGCTCACTGTATGCTAAGCACAGGGCTAGCCACAGACGGTACAAAGATGAATAAAGTATGCTCTTAAGAAACAGAAAAAAGGGCCGGGCGCGATGGCTTATACCTGTAATCCCAGCATTTTGGGAGGCTGAAGCGGGCAGATCATGAGGTCAGGAGTTCGAGACCAGACTGACCAACATGGTGAAACCCCATCTCTACTAAAAATACAAAAATTAGCCAGGCGTGGTGGCAGGCGCCTGTAATCCCAGCTACTCAGGAGGCTGAGACAGGAGAATCCCTTGAACCCAGGAGGCAGAGGTTGCAGTGAGCCGAGATTGTGCCATTGCACTCCAGCGTGGGCCACAGAGCAAGACTCTGTCTCAAAAAAAAAAAAAAAAAAAAGAAACAGGAAAAAAAAAATTCCTCTGGGAGTCAAAGAAGGCTTCCTGGAGGAAAGAACATTTATTTAGGATGATTTTAAAGAAGGATCAAAAGCTTCGCACTTATAGAAGGCAGGAATATAATAATAAATAGAAAGAGTTGCATGAGCCAAGGTACAGGAAGGTAAAAAGACTTGGTAGAGTCAGCACATAGGATGGGCCCCCTGTGCAGGTGGCTGGAGGGGCTGGGCAAGGGCTGCAAATGGAGGGTGGGTTCACATCACTGAAGGCCTTGAATAAGGGCGGTGGGGAACCACAGAGAGCTTTTCCAAGCAGAGGCGACGCGTGGGAGTAGAGTTTTCAGGGAATCCCCCTAGGGTGGTGTAGAGAATGAATTGCTGAGGCGGTTCTGGAGGCAGGAAGACTGGGGATGGAGAGAGGCCACCATCCATCCCTTACAACCCAGCTTCCAGCTCAGCATCAGGAACAGGCACGTGGCACAAAGATGTTCCCAGGGAGCAATGACTTCCTGGCTCAGTGCTAAGGAGGCTAAATTGGAGATAATTGTACTCCCAGCAAATCAGTAACAGCACCATCTCAGTGGAAACCTGCTGCCTAACCTGATCTAACTTCTGACCTTCAGATCCACCTTATGAAGTGAGAGCAGTGAGGAAGGAGCCCTGGCCTAGGGTCTGAAGGCCTGGGTTTTGGTGCCCAATTCAGCACTAGCTCACTGTGTAACCTTGGCCAATTCCCTTGCCCAATCTGAGCCATGTAATCTGTCACTCCTGCCTCACACAGAGGGTGTTAGACCAGCAGGCGTTTTCCTCTCTGACCATCTAGGACTCATTCCAGGCAACTTTACACTGGGTCAGATGCAGCTCCAGATCTCTGCACCCCACCTTAATATCCCAACCACCAGCTTGCTGTCCTAGCAGGGCCACCCCCATCCTACCACTGGGCTCCCCCACCTGGGGAAGCAAGATCTTCTGACTGTTCTCTTTCTTCAGAATGAAAACAACTTTATTGTTTTCATTATTAAAATAATATAGACTCATTAAAAAGAAATTTAAACCATAAGAGAAGTATACAGGAGAAAGTAAAATTTAAGTGAAATCTTATTATACAAAGGTAGCCACCATTAAGATTTTGGTAACAGTCTTCCAAGATAACTCCTTATGTTCACACACACACACAAACACACACCCACAACTTTATGTAAACTGGATCATAGTATTTTAACTATGGTGCAATCTCAGTTTTTCACTCCATAATATGTCATGGATATCTATGTAAAAAATATATTTATCTTATTACTGTCAAAGTTTTACTTTGATTACATACTCACATACAAATATACAATTTACATAAATGTATAAACGTGATCAGCATGAACATGAGCAGAATCCAGTTACGTCTTTATTTTTAGTGGCTCCCTATTTTTCTCTATAGTCCATAGATGGACCATAAACACTGTAGCAGCAAACACCTTTAAACATATATTCTTTTGCATTTTTAGGATAAATTTCTAGATGCAGAACAGTTAGGTAGAAAAATGTAGGGGCTGGGCATGGCAGCTTATGCCTATAATCCAGCACTTTGGAAGGCCAAGGTGGGAGGATCACTCGAGTTCAGGAGTTCAAGATCAGCCTGGGCAACATAGGGAGATACTGCCTCTACAAAAAATTTAAAAATTAGCTGGGCATGGTGGTGTATGCCTATGGTCCACGCTACTTGAGAAACTGAGGCAGGAGGATGACTTGAGCCCTGGAGGTCGAGGCTGCAGTGCCCTGTGATTACACACACCACTGCACTCCAGCCTGGACCCTGTCTCAAAAAAAAATGTGAATATTAAAATTTTTGATATTGCCCTCCAAAAAGCTAGTACCAATCTCACTGCTACTGACAATACATGAATGCCTGTTTCTCAGCACTCTTTCTAAAAGAAGGCATTGTCAATTTGTAATCTAACAGGTGAACTTGTCATTATTGTTTTTATTATCATTTATTTGGTTATTAGTGAAATTGATCATCTGCTTATTGGCTATTTGGATGTTTTCTTTTGTGAAATGGCCTGTTTATGTCCTTTGTCTATTTTTTTCTGTTGGATTAAATTTGTTTGTTTCTTATTGCTTTTTAAGAACTCTTTGTATATTAGGGATTTAACCTTAACCCATCTGGTTTCTCAGGGTCCGTGGAGTTGGGCAATGTAGTCCCCTGTGAAGTCAGATTCCCAAGAGATTGGAACAGTTCTGCCTCTGGTCAGTGGAGGGCAGCAGTGGCAGCAACATTCACTTTCAGGCTGGACGCACAGGTCTGCCCAGGAGCTGGACATACACACACACACACACACACACACACACACACACACACACACACACACATACACCACCCCCTGCCCCCCCGCAAGAGACTTCCTTCCTTTCTCAGGAAGCCACTTGATTCACTGACCCTTAAGGGCCCCAAACACAAATTATTTCCCCTTAGTCTCTAGAGATAACCTCTAAACATTGAAGAGAATCAGGCTCTGAAGTTAGACTGGAGTTCAAAATCCAACTCTGTCATCTCCTGGCTGGGGGCTGGGTGTGACATTCATGACCTCTGTACCCTCAATTTCCCCATCTGTGAAATGGGTCCAGTGGTACCCACCTTCACTGGGTATGATGACGGTAAAGTGTACGGTTGGCGCTCAGTGAGTGTGAGCCCACAGTGGGCCTGCCCAGCCCACTTCCCAACCTCTGCCCGCCATTCATTCATCGGCGGACCAGAGACAAGTTGGCTCCTGCTGTCTCAAGCCTGCCCACATGTTTGATTAATTCTGTGTCTAAGAAAGATTCACTGGGTAGTATGGAGGGAGATTGCAGGGCAGGAGCCCAGCGAGGAAGGGGAGGACTCGTGAAGACCTAACCAGGTAGCATGGGCAGCAGGGCCCAACAGGAAGATATGGTGTTCCCAGGCAGAAAAGGCCAGCACATGGCCGTGGGTGAGATGTGCTGGCCAGGAGAGGGGTGAGACGGGGCATGCCCAGGTTTCCTATCTGAGGGACTGTGTGGACAGCCAAGGAGTAGGGGCAGTTTTGACATGGGGTAAGTTCTGCTTGAATTCTGCTGAGTTTGAGGTGCTGGAGGGACTTCCAGGATGCTTTCAGCAGTGGCAAATCACAGCTCTAGCCTGACCTCTCCCCATCTCTCACACCTGAAAAACCTGGGTCTATCCCTGCCCAGGGATCAGAGCTGCTCTAGACTAATTCAAGCCAAGGGAGGAAATTGTTTCTGTCCTTACTTCCTTTCCCGTCTTCCTCCTTGCTACCCCAACTCCCCCTAGATACCCTTTTCCAGCTCAGGGCCCCCTACTCCTCCCTTATACTGGGAACAAGGCATGGCCGAAGAGGCCCCTGGCTCAGAAGGGGAAACTGGAAAAATGGGTTTCTGATGGGCATGACTATGGCCTGGGGGTGGATGAATCATCAGAGCCAGCAGAGGGAGAGCGCAGTGGAGCAGAAGGTGAGTGCTGGGCCCAGGCCCCGGAGGCTGTGGGCTTTGTAGGGAAGGAAAGGTGGGCAGGGAAGGGGTTGTAAGGTCACAGGACTCTGCAGTGGGGGGTTTGGGGGCCTGTCCTGAGTTTCCCTCAATCTCCAATCTGGTGCCATGGCTAAGGCAGGATTATAGACTTCTATTCCATTGTTTTTATTAATAATGATAGCAATAACAGCTGTTTGTAGATTGCTTACCATATGCTGGGCCTCCTGCTAAACTCTTTACAAGCATTACATCCTCTAACCCTCAGTTACCTTGTGATTGATCTCCACTTTAAGATGTGGACGCAGAAGCTCAGAGAGGTTAAGCCACTTGTCCTAGGCCACACTGAGGAGTCAGGGAGTCAGGGCAGAGCCATCTGTTTGTCCCCAGTTCCTTCAAACCCACCCCCCTACAGTCATGTTGGACTATGTCATGCACCCACCAGAAGGTGCCTCTGTGGGTGTGGAGGCGCCATCTGTGGCTGATTTGTCCTGAGGGCAGGCCTCAGGAGTCTGTCTGGCTTGCAGCATCGCAGGCCTGGGTTCTACCACTGCCCAGCCAGGCCTGACTATGACTTGGGTGAGTTCCTTTTGCTCTCTGGTCCTCAGTTTCCCCATCTGTCCAACAGTGTTTTCCAACATGGGGTCCCAGGAACCCAGAGTCTTTGGAGCTATAATCTGGGTGAAGCAACCCAGCGGGTGTGGGTACATTCAGCCACCGTTAGGTCACCCTATAGCCATGGTTCTCCTAATGCCACGAATTCTGGGCAAGTTCTTTGAATTTGTGGGTTTCGTAGGGAGGAAAGGAATGAAACTGGTTGATGCTCTGTGGGGAATGTGGAAGGGTGTGGCCCATCAGATTGACAGGGCAAGGGTCAGCAGAAAGAGGGTGGCAGGGCTCCTTGGGGTTCCTTAAAGTTGTGCTGTTCTGTGAAGAAGAGACAGGGCCATGTGTGTATGTGAAGGGTGGTGCTGGGGGGCGGGGTGCCGACCATCAGCCCGAGGCGTGGAGGGCAAGACCCGGTGTTTCTCTCCTAACCCTGGGATTGGCAGTGGGTGGTGGGTGTGGCTTCTGGAATCCTATCAATCCCTCCGGAATGTAAGAGGCTTAAGCAAACCCCAGCCGCAGGCAGAGGAGTGAGGTACGGGCCAGGACCTGTCCTGACTGTGGGTGGGGATCCTGGGAAGGGCCCCCATCAGGCAGGCTTGGGCTGAAGCCAGGTTTGGGGTGGGCCTGCCCAAGGAAACTGCACAGTGAGTTTCAGGCACCCCTGTCCCAAACTGGCTTTTCCTCCCTGCTGCCAGGAACCAGTCCAGCCTCACTCCTCCACACCCACATCACCAAGATTATACCCACAGGGTTGCTGCCGTCTTTGTATATCCATAGTTTTCAAAACATAGAGTGCCCAAACTATACCAGGCATTTCTCATCAAGATCTTATTTAATCCTCACAGCTTGCGCAAGTATATATTTGTAATCACTAGTTTTTACATAAGGAAAATAAGTCTCAGAGAGGTTAAGTGAGCTGTCCAAGGTCAAGCAACTACTAAATGTCAGAGCCAGGTACTGGCTCATTCCAAAGACAATTCATTTTTCATTTCACTAAGCTGGTGTTTCAGAGGGAGTAAGAACTGGTCCTTAACTTTAAGGTGTGTCTGATCTGTTCCTAGAGGGTTAAACAGATGGATAATCTCACCCAGCATGAACGATGGGGCAGTAGGATGCAGTGGATGGGCAGTAGGATGCAGTGGATAGGCTGTGGGAAGGCTGCCTTTCTTCCTACTGTAGACAGTTTCCTCCATGGGTGGAGGATTAAATCATCCCAGCAAAGAAGGTAGAGAGAAAAAGGAGAAGCAGGTGGAGGAGGAAGAGGGCGACAAGGAGACAGAAAGAAAGAGTGAGGTAGTATGTGTGTTCTGAGGACAGTTACGGTGCCCAGTATAGGTTCATGAGCTGTCCATGAGCCTGTATTTCCCAAGAGTACTAGCCAACAATTTCTCATGTTTGCTTAAGCCAGTTTGACACTTGCAACCAAAAGCCATCAAATTAATGCTGTTTGTATACCATGGAAATGGCATCAGAATGGAATGCTTGACCTTTATCTCCAAAACTATACCTTCCCCATACTTCCCCATCTCCATCCATCCAATTGCTCAAGTCCTTTTGGCCCCCCACCAACCCTATTTCTAACCTAGAAACAAGCCCTGTACATCCTACCTCCAAAATATATCTCAGATCCATCTATTTCTCTTCATTTGCAGTGCACCCTAGTCCAGGCTGCCAGCATCTCTCATCTACATTACTGCAAATAGTCATATCACTGATCTCCTTGCTTCAAGTTTTGCTTCCCATGAATATTTCTCCACATTCGCCAGAGTGATCTTTTAAAAACATGAATCACATCATGCCACTGCTTGTGTAAAATTTTCCAGTAATTTCCTACTGTGCCTGAAATCCACACTCTTTGCCAGGACTTCTAATAGCTAGCTGTTATCTACCTTGTAGTGTCATCCTGCCTTCTTTCTATTGCACAAAGCTACCAAGCTCATTTCAGCCTCAGGGCACTTGCATTTGCTGCTTAATCTGTCTGGAAGAACCTACATCTTCACATGGCTGTTTCCTTCTCATCATTCAGTTTGGCAGTCAAGTGTTACCTCTCATAGAGGCCTTCTTTGAGTACCCTAGTGATGTGGTTTGGCTGTGTCCCCACCCAAATCTCATCTTGAATTCCCATGTGTTGTGAGAGGGACCTGGTGGGAGGTAATTGAATCATGGGGGCAGGTCTTTTCTGTGCTGTTCTCTTGAGAGTGAATAAGTCTCATGAGATCTGATGGTTTTAAAAACAGGAGTTTCCCAGCTGGGCACGGTGGCTCATGTCTGTAATCCCAGCACTTTGGGAGGCTGAGGTGGGTGGATCACGAGGTCAGGAGATCAAGACCATCCTGGACAACATGGTGAAACCCCGTCTCTACTAAAAATACAAAAATTAGCTGGGTGTTGTGGCGTGTGCCTGTAGTCCCAGCTACTCAGGAGGCTGAGGCAGGAGAATCACTTGAACCCAGGAAGCAGAGCTTGCAGTGAGCCGAGATTGAGCCACTGCACTCCAGCCTGGTGATAGAGCAAGATTCTGTCTCAAAAAAACAAAAACCAAAAAACAAAAAAACACAGGAGTTTCCCTGCACAAGCTCTCTTCTCTTGTCTGCTGCCCTGTGAGATGTGCCTTTTACCTTCTGCCATGATTGTGAGGCCTCCCCACCCACGTGGAACTGTAAGTCCAATAAACCTCTTTCTTTTGTAGATTGCCCAGTCTCAGGTATGTCTTTATCAGCGGCATGAAAATGGATTAATACACTTAGCTAAAGCTGCATATATTTCTCTCTCCCATCCCAAATTACTCTCTGTTCTATTACCATTTACCTCCTTCATAGCACTTTTCAGAGTTTGTAATTTTGGGTGAATCAGAAGTAGATTAGCCATCATAAAGACTGAAGACCAGGCTGGCCATGGTGGCTCACGCCTGTAATCCCAGCACTTTGGGAGGCTGAGGCGGGTGAATCACCTGCGGTCAGGAGTTCAAGATCAGCCTGGGCAACATGGTGAAACCCTGTCTCTACTAAAAATACAAAAATTAGCTGGACATCGTGGCATGCATCTGTAGTTCCAGCTACTTGGGAGGCTGAGGTGGGAGAATCGCTTGAACCAGGGAGGTGGAGGCTGCAGTGAGCCAAGATCACGTCACTACACTCCAGCCTGGGCAAAAAGAGTGAAACTCCATCTCAAAAAAAAAAAAAAAAAGAAAAAAGAGACTGAAGACCAGCTTTGGATCAGCTTAGTCCCTGACTGCATTAAGGTGATCTGTCTCTACTACCTGTCACAAATAAAAGTGTATCTTCTCTTGAGAAAAAGAACATGATCCAGAGTTTCAAATTATCTCTACATTTTTCATACACAATGTTAAAATTTAATCAAAATTTACTGAACATGCAAAGAGACATGAATTTACCAAAACATCAAGAGAAAAAAAATCATAGAAAGAGACCCATAGGAGTCCAGATATTGGCACTGACTTTAAAGTAACAGTGATAAATAAATTAAATGTAAAGATGGGAAATTTCAACAGAGAACTGGAAACTATAGAAATTATCAAAAATGAACTCTAGAACTAAAAAGTGTAGCAGTTGAAATAAAAAACTCAATAGATGGGTTTGGCAACAGATCAGACACAACTGAAGAGAGAATTAGTGAACTGGAAATAGATCAAATTTCCAGACCTAAGTAAGGAGAGTGTAAAGGATGCAAAAATACAAATAACATTGTGTCTCTTACATTGCTATCTATATGAGATACATAATTTAAATGTATCCACTGTGTTTCATGTGTTTCTTACATAATTGGAAGGGATCTATAATTGCAAGAGATCTATAAGAGATAACAATGTAAGAGACATGTGAAACACAGTGGACATGTCTAAATTATGTATAATTTGAAGAGACCTATAATTGCAAGAGATCTATAAGAGATAACGATGAAAGAGACACATGAAACACATGGACATGTCTAAATTATGTATAATTGGAATCTCGAAGTGAAAGGAAAGAGAAAATAGGGCAGATGCAATATTTGAAGAGATGATGGTTGAGAATTTCCAAAACTGAAGAAAGATATCAAGTCATAAGATGCATTAAGAATTATGAACTCTATACAGAATGAATACGAAGAAAACCATATTCAGGCACACAGTAGTCAAACTTCTGAAAGCCAAAGACAAAGAGAAAAATCTTAAAAGAGGCCAGAGAGAAAAAGATATATATTCAAAGAATCTACAATAGGACTGACAGTGGACTTCTCCACAGAAACCACAAGAGCCAGAAGACAACAACTACTGCCCATCTAGATTTCCATATCCATTACAACTATGAACTGATCTTCTGCTCTTCCCTTCACTCATTTAATTCTAGACGTACTGGCTTTGTTATTCCTTTTACATCCCAGACACATTCACACTATAGACTCTTCACACTGGCTGTTTCCTCTACTTGATTATTCTTCTCTCTCAGACATTTATATAACTTTTGCCCTCATCATCTTTAAGTCCTTTCTCAAATGTCACCATTCCAATGAGGCCTACCTTAGCCACCCCTTTGAAATGGTAACACACTTATTCCACCTGGTACTCCTCATCCTTCTTCCTGAAATTATTTTTCTTTATGCATTATTACCTTCTGACATATTATATATTTTACTTACTTATACTTTTTGTGTTGTTGCTCTCCTTTTACCTAAATGTAAGCTGATTCATGTAACTGATTTATTTAAAAAATATATATGTATTTAAAATAACTACAGCTCTTTTAATCAGAAGGGTCATTCAGGGTATTTGGTATGCCATGATGCCAGAAGCATGAGTTCCCATCGTTGCTTGTTTACCCTTGTATTGATTTCTCCCTGTGTCTTTTATTGTAAGGTAAGACTAATCCTCTCTGAAAGTAGATGGGGTAGATAGACAGACAGACAGATACTGAGATGTGTTTAAGTATGGATGTTTTCCGTTGCAAGTTATAGGAAACCCAACTATAAGTGACTTAAAGAATAAAGACATTTATTACCTCACATAAGTCATCCAGAGGCAAGACTTCTCCAGGGTTAGCTCAATGCTGACATCAACTTGTTGTCAATCTTCAGATTTTATCTCACTCAGCAAGCTGATTACTATGCAGTTTCACAAGCAGACATGAAGATGTCTTGCTAAAAAGGGATGGTTTTTTCTTTTGCATGATTTTTAGGTCTAAGACACCCATTTACTGCAGTGTTCCCCAGCAGACCCCCTCTGTCTCATTGACCAGTAATGCATCATTAGGTCATTCCAAAACCATAAATAGGCAAAGACAATGGATTATTGTGATTGGTTTAGACTGATTATGATTTGTCTACTGTGGTGGGAGGGTGGGTGTCAAGCCCCCAGGAGGCACATACCTGACCAAAATCAGGGTTCTTTTACCAAGAAAGGGAGTGCTGTTGGGATGGCAACATGTAGATCTCTTACAAAGCTTTTCAGTTTATGATTTAAAAAATTACTTCACAGCCTTGAGCTCATTAATCCTCACCTGTCCAGGAATATTTTGTTGTCCCATTTTGCAGATGAGCTCAGAAATATTGAATGATTTTTCTGAAGGGCATAGAGCTAAGACATGTCAAAATCTTGTCTGGGGTCCACCAGCCTTGGAGCTCCTGCCCATGAGTCAGTGATGGTTTTTAAAAATTGGCCACAAAACTTTCACATGAATATTCATAGCAGCATTATTCATAATAGCCTAAAAATGGAAACAATTCAAATCTCCATAAGCTGATGAATGGATAAACAAAATGTGGTGTATTCATATAATGAAACATCATTTGGCCATAAAAAGTAACGAGGTGCTGATTCCTGCTACAATATGGATGGACCTTGAAAACGTTATGCTAAATGAGGCCGGGCGCCATGGCTCACGCCTGTAATCCCAGCATTTTGAGAGGCTGAGGTGGGTGGATCACCTGAGGTCAGGAGTTCAAGACCAGCCTGGCCAACATGGTGAAATCCCATCGCTACTAAAAATACAAATATTAGCTGGGCATGGTGGCGCATGCCTGTGATCCCAGCTACTTGGGAGGCTGTGGCATGAGAATCGCTTGAACCCGGGAGGCAGAGGTTGCAGTGAGCCTGGTTTGTGCCACTGCACTCCAGCCTGGGCCATAGACTGAGACTCTGTCTCAAAAACAAAAAGCAAAACAAAACAAGACACCCATTATGCTAAGTGAAATAAGCCAATCACAAAAACCACATACTATATGGTTTCATTTATATGAAATGTCCAGAAATGGCAAATCCCTGAAGATATAAAGTAGATTACTGGTTGCCAGGGGCTGAGGGAAGGGATGAGAATACTGGGGACAGTGATAACTATAGGGTACAAGGTTTCTTTTTTGGGGTGATAAGAATGTTCTAAAATTGGTTGTGGTGATGGATTGCACAATTCTGTAAATATACTAAAATTCATTGAACTATATACTTTAAATGAGTGAATCGTATGGTACGTGAATTATATCTCAATAAAACTGTTACTAAGAAAATTGGCTACAAATCCTTTGAAGCTCCTCCTATTAAGAAGTGGGGTCGATGCCCCATCCCCTGGAATTGAGTGGGCTTGTGTCAGCTTTGACCAATAGAGTATGGTGGAAGTGACCCTCTGTGACTTCTGAGGCTAGGCCTTTGGGCATCTTCTACCTGGCTCTCTCTAGACACTGACTCTTTAGATGTTCCTGCTCAGAACGCAACTGCCATGCTATAAGAAGCCCAAGCCATATATAAGCCATGAAGGAGACATTCCCAGCTAAGCCCAGCCTTCAGCCATCCAAGGCCAGGAGCCAGACGTGTGAGTGAAGGAACCCCCAGATGACTCCAGTCCCCAGCCACTGGAGCCTTCTCAGTTAACGCCTTAGACATCAAGAGGTAGAGATAAACCATTCCTACAGTGCTCTGTCCAAATTCCTGACTGCCAAATCCATGAGCCTAATAAAAATGTTGCTTTGTTCTGCCAAGCTGGGGGTATTTGCTATGCAGCAACAGATTGTAGAGGCCACCAGACCTACTCCTGGCTCTACCATTCCTGTTTCTATCCCATTGGATCCCTTTCCAGTCTCTCAAGAGTCCCTCATTCAGGTGCCCTAGAGAAGCCAGATGGTGCTCAGAAATGGAGAGGGAAGGGATCTTTTTTTTTTCCCACTCAGTTATTTACTGAGCGTGTTTCCTCAGAAAAGGTTGAAATTTACCTGTGAGTTCAAATTCCTGTTAATCCCTAGAACACCTGCATTGACACCTGTTTGCCCTGACTCGGAATTGTGAAAAGGGCTCAGGTTTATGGAGATTTGCATTTCTTTTACATAAATTTGTTGGGACCTCAGTTGCCCCCTGGCTCTGGCTTTTGCCCAGCCCTCTCTTCTGAGCTCATGACCTCTACATCCGACTAGAGCCAGGTTACTCCCTTCCCCTCTGTAATGTCCTCCAGGACCCCAAATCTGTGTGTCCACAAGTAGGCACATCATCTTCCCCTCCACACCTGCTCCTGCTCCTGTGCCCTCCATCTCTGAAGAAGGAAAATTATCCTTCCAGTTGCCCAAGCCTGAAACCCAGGAGTCATCCTTCCCTTGCTATGCTCACTCCTAGACCTTCCTATCTGGTACTCAGGCTTTCAATATCATCTATACTTTGAGGCCTCCTAAATTTTTGTCCCCAGTCCTGACTTTTCCTCTGAACTTCTTTCCAGTCCATCCACTTGTCTAGCTGACCTCTCCACACAGACATCTAAAAGGTATCTCAAACTCAACATATCCAACACCAAACTCTGGTTTGCCTTCCACAAATCTGGTTCTCAGGCAGTCTTTCCCTTCTTAGGAAATGTTTACTGCATTCTTCCAGTTGCATGGGCCACAAATTTGGGACTCACCCTTGACTCCTCTTCTGCACCACAATCCAAGAAGTCAGGAAATGCCGTCAGCTCTATTCAAAGATTCAGAATCCAATCACTCCTCAGTGTGACTCTGCCACTCTGGAAGCCATCACCATCTCTCCAAGATTATTGCAAAGACCTCCTAACAGACCTCCCTGCTTCCAACTTTGCCTTGTCTATTTCCCACACAGCAGCCTCAGTGATCATTTTAAAATGAAGGTCAAGCCTATCATTCCTCTACTGGAAACCTCCGCCACTTCCCACATGCCTCAGAATAAGAGTCTAAGTCCTGGCAATGGCTAACAAACTTCATCTCCTACTGCTTGTTCGGTCCCTCCCTCTCTGCAGCCACCCCAGCCTTCCTTGCTCTTCCCTGAAGATGCTCTTGCTGCAAAGCCTTTGTGATTGCCGTTTCCTCTGCAAGGGGTGGTTTTCCTCGAGGTATCTGTAGGGCTTGTTCTCACATTTCCTTCCGCCTCTGTTCAAATGTTTCTAAGGGTCAGGAAGGTTGGGGGTGGGGGTGGGGTTCCCTGACTACTCTCCACCCCACCCAGGACTCTCTAGCCCCTCTCTTTCCTTTTCTCCACAACCCTTAACATCTGACCCCACACGCACTGACATCTTTTCTCAGTTTTAAATGGAAGCTCCATGAGCTCTGGGATTTATCTGTCTTATGCAACCCTGGCTCCTGGAACAGTGCCTAGAATTCTAGAAAGAGCTTATTAGCCATCTGTGGAATGAATGAGTGGATCCCAGGCAGCTCCTTCACTTATGTCCAATCAGTCAAAAAGTCATTTCTATTCTGCCTTTTTTTTTTTTTTTTTGTGAGACGGAGTCTTGCTCTGTTGCCCAGGCTGGAGTGTAGTGGCATGATCTCAGCTCACTGTAACCTCCACCTCCCGGGTTCAAGTGATCCTCCTGCCTCAGCCTCCTGAGTAGCTGGGATTACAGGTGCCCACCACCACACCGGCTAGCTTTTTGTATTTTTAGTGTAGATGGAGTTTCACCATGTTGGCCAGACTGGTCTCGAACTCCTGACCTGGTGATCTGCCTGTCTTGGCCTCTCAAAGCACTGGGATTACAGGCGTGAACCACCACTCCCGGCCCTATTCTGCCTTCTTAAAATCACCTGCATCCACACTGTCCTCCCCTTAGCCCCCAGTCAACAGCTGGTTCAAACTCCACCTTCTTCCCCTTTAGCGATTACAATTGTCTAGTAACCCGCGTCCCTCCCTCTGCTCTCTGTCCATCTAGGCTTTTGCCACATACATTTAAAAATTATTATTTTTAACCAATATAAAAGTAATACATGTTGCTAATGGAAAACTTTGAAGACACAGATAGATGAAAAAAGGTGGGATCCCTACCCACATGCATACCATTTAGAGATAAGCACTATTTACATTTTGAAGCATTCTTCTATGCAAAAGCTGGATTTTTTTGTTTGTTTTTTAACATATAGCTGTGCTTCTACTGACTCTTCAGATTAATGCCCTATTTTGAAAAAAACCTATAACCATAGCAGCTGATGTTTATGTTTACTGTGTAACTTAAGCATGTTATTTAACATTCCAATGTCTCAGTTTCCTCACTTGTAAACTGGGAATGGTGTTAATACCCACCTCATTGGTGGGTGGTGAGGATTAAATCTGGAAAGTAAACCTGAAAAGTTCTCAATGAGTATTAGATATTATTGTTGTTACTGAGTGCTTATGCTGTACAGGAACCATTCCAAATACATCCGCGCACCAACTCATGGAATCCTCATACCCACCCTATGAAGCAGGTGTAGTAATAACATGATAACCTAAAGAGGCTACAGTCGTTTTACCAAGGAAAGGAAAAGCAAAACCAGTCATGGCTCTCTCCAGCTTGTAAGAGTCTGATGCTCCCACCATCTGTAGGATACATAATACTAATAACAATAGCTGATGTTCACCGAATACTTCACATGTGTCGGGCCCAGTGCTAAGTGTTCGCACGTGCAGACATTCCTCCCACAGTGCCAGTTTTCATAACCTGATCTGTGCATACCTTGATGGATCAATTAGGGAACACGATTTGCATCCTGCGGCTTGTGATTGGTTATACAGCAGCGCAAGCTGGAAGCAGCCTGGAAGCTGCGGCTGGGCTGCCGTGAGGTTGCTGCCTGGGTTTTGCTTTGTTTATCCAAACAATGGCTGCTTCTCAAGGTGTGTTACTGATGGTGCTGGTGGTGCTAGAAATAGGAAGGCCAGCACTCTGAAAGAAAATATAGATGTAATCGAAGCTCAGAGATGCTCAGGGATATAAAACTTTCATAACCATACACATATTGCTAGGGCAAACACTGTTATTATTAAGGTATCAACAAGAAGAATGACTTTGCAGTTGCTAGACTGAAAATCTCTAACCCAACCACATTTTCACATTCGTTTTTATGATTAATTTCAAAAGAACCACCACAACAATAATAATAAACTTCACTAACGCTTATTGAACTTACTGTGTGATGGCTTTGTGCTAAGAGATTTGCATAATGATCTATTTAATTTTCACGCAATGCTCTTTGTTATTGGCTCCATTTTACAGATAGGGAAACCAAGGCATAGAGAGATGAGACGATTGCTCAGTGTCAAACAGTTAGAAGGAAGCGGAGCTGGGCCTCACACACGTATAGTCTAGCTTGAGCCAGAGCCACAACCATTGTGCTATTCTACTGGTTTGTTGATTGCATGAGGTTTCTTAGAACTGCAGTTATTGCATGATGGCCACATCATCTCATTTGTTTTTTCTACTAATCCTAAGAGACATTTTCTCGTGCTTTAGCTATTTCCCAATGAAGACCAAGGCACGGAGACGTCAAACAAATTATCATTGCAAAGTTGCACAGCCAGTAAGTGACTGACCCTGGGCTCCAAAAGATACCTGTGGAATCCACAGTCCCCGATCTCCCTGCTGGGGTCAAGTCCCCTGATATTTCCTCCCATAGCACCACTTACCTGTCAGTCCACAACTGACGCAGTTGTCATTTTACACATGCCTGTGTAGTTATTTTGTTGTCTCCCCAACTAGAGAGTGAGGTCAGTAAGGGCAGGGTCCATGCTGGGTTTTGATTATCATTGTGTCCCCACTACAAAATAAATGTCCAATTAATATTTGTGGACTGAATGAGCGAATGATGGATTCCTCTGGAGGCACTGAGCTGGACCAAGGGGGTACAAGGGACACACCCCAGCTCCCTCAGCCCTACTAAGGCAGCTTCTAAGGCTCAGGATGTTTTCTCATCCTGTCCTGACATCAAGGGCTATAGAAGGTTGCTGGAGCCTAAGCCCATCAGTAGGTGGGAACTGAAATTACTGTTATTGGCCAGAGCCTGGACTTGGTTCTTGGAGTCACAGATGATGTTGATGACCTATGTAAATCCATCCCTCCTTCTTCCTGGCTGGAAAGGCCTGTTTTGCTTGGGTCCTTTTCCCTTGAGGCCAAGCACTCAGAGGACAGGGCACTCCTCAGTATTGGGGCATGAGTCACGATTGGTCTAAGCCAATCATGATTATATTCCCCTTGCCAGATATTGGTTTGGCAAAAGGCATGCAAGCCAATACTGGTCAATGGGACCTAAGGGGAAGTCTGATGAAGAGGTCTACAGAAAAGATTTTCTTCCTTTAAAGATGCGTAAGTGGAAATGTATTTTTTTTTTCTGAGACAGGGTCTCACTCTGTTGCCCAGGCTGGAGTGCAGTGGTGTGATCTCAGCTCACTGCAACCTCCACCTCCTGGGTTCAAGCGATTCTCCTGCCTCAGCCACCCAAGTAACTACAGGCTCACGCCACCATGCCAGGCTAATTTTTTTTTGTATTTTTTAGCAGAGACGGGGCTTCACCATGTGGGCAAGGCTGGTCTCAAACTCCTGACAAGTAATCTGCCTGCCTCAGCCTCCCAAAGTGCTGGGATTACAGGCGTGAGCCACCGCGCCCGGCCAGAAATGCATTTTTCACTGGACATTGTCATGTCTGCGGATGGTGGCTGGCACTGCTGCATTCATCTAGTTAGCATGAGGCAAGGCATTGACAATATGGGAAGGAAGCTGACACCGCTTGAAGACATCATTAAGCCACCGAATTTCCAAACCCCAGAACTTATACTCTTGTTATTATGTGAGAAAATGACCTCCTTATGGCTTAAGCCGTATTTAGTTGGGGTTTCTGTTCCTTGCTTGAAGCCTCCTGATGGGCACACGGCACCACTCCTGTGACACTTGTCTGCTTCTTCAACTGCCTCTCTGTGTTCTTCATTTCAGTGGTGCAGAGGTGGAGGCTGGAAACTAACATTTGTAAGGTTCTTACTACAAATGCATCATCTCATTTCTTCCACTGAATAACTACAGGTATGCAAAATAGTTTCTCTTAGTCCCAATTTACTAAGAAGAAAACTGAAATGCAGTGAGGTTATGTGGCTTGTCCAGGGTCACGCACTGAGACTCAGTTGCCCATAGGATAAAAATCAAACTTCTTAATGTGGCATTCAGTACTCTTCAGGCTCTCTGCTCCTTTCCATCCTCCTCAGCTTCAGATGTCCCCATTCTGTACTCCCATTCTCACTCTAAGCCCTGGGCAGACCAAAATCCTTTAGTTCCCCTGATTGCTCCTTCTGCCTAAGATAGTCTATTTACTTTCTGCCTGACCAACTACAGTTCATTCTTTAGGCATTGATTGCATTGTCACATGCTCTCAGAGGCCTTTCCTGGCCACCCATTCTGGCTTTAGCCTGCCTTTTCTCTGCATGCCTGCAATGCCCTGCTTTTCCCTCACCCATCCCTTCTCACACTTTTTTTTTTTTTTTGAAACAGAGTCTCGCTCTGTCGCCCAGGCTGGAGTGTAGTGGTGCAATCTCGGCTCACTGAAACCTCCGCCTCCCAGGCTCAAGCAATCTTCCTGCCTCAGCCTCCTGAGTAGCTAGGATTACAGGTCCATGCCACCACGCCCAGCTAATTTTTGTATTTTTCGTAGAGACGGGGTTTCACCATGTTGGCCAGGCTGGTCTTGAACTCCTGACCTGAAATGATCAGCCTGCCTCGGCCTCCCAAAGTGTTGGAATTACAGGCATGAGCCACCGAGCCTGGCCCCTTTTTACACTTTCTTATAGTTACCTGGAGTCATGTCTGTCTTCCCCTGAGACTTTGTGCCTCTGGAGCCTGGCAGGGTAGTGCAGTGCCGTGGTCCAGAGAGTGAACTCTGGCACACAAGAGTTTGACTTCCAGCTCCATCACTTCCTAAATATGGAACTGGGATGCCTCCTCTCAACTCTGTGTGCCTCACTTTCACTCTTAAGATGGGGATATTTAATAGTTTCCACCTTACATGACTGTTGCAGGAATTAAATGAGTTTCTGCATGTAAACACTTAGGATGAATGGGGCCTGACACATAGGAAGTACTCAATAAATCTCATCTATTTTTATGATTATTCCTGTACTTGAAGCACTTGCTGTCTGCCAGACATTCACCAAGTGTTTGTTGAAAGAATGAATGGGGCAGTGGAACTTGGATTACCCAGAATACAACCCCTAGGGTACTGATGTGGCCTAAAGTCAAATACTGCTCCTCAGTCAGAGAAACTTGGGCTCCAATCCTAGCTGTGTGACCCTACACAAGTTACTTCACCTCCCTCTATCTCCATTTCCTCAACTTTGAAATGAGTAAACTAACACCTGCCATGAAAGATTGTTATATTCGCATGGCACAGAGCCCAGCATACAGTAGGAGCTCAAATACCTTAAGTTTCCTTCCCTCCCCACCCACGCCGTGTCATCATTTTTGCCAAGGGCTACATCAGAAGAACAAATGCTAGGAAATTGGCTTCTTTCCACTTAAAAAAATCTCAAAGGAGAAAGTAATCTTTGTGATTTAAAGACCCCCCACCCCATCTTGTACTGACCAGATCCCCCGACCATCCAGGGGCCTTTGAACTCATTCAGCTTTGGCAGGAAATGGACCCTCCGCATCAGAGAGATCGGAAGGAGCAGGCCCTCCCTGCTGCCTTCCCGTTGAGCGAGAGGAAGCAGGAGGAACAGGGAGGTCTAGGACCAGCACGGCAGCTGGGATGCTGGTCCTGACTTGTCCACTGGCTCCCTGTGCAGCCTTGACCAAAGCCTGCACCTTTCAGGGCAGCATTGCTCCCATCTGTCCAATGGGGTCGGGTCCACGTACTCTGAGGTCCCTTCCAGAGCAGGCATTCTATGATGCAGGAAGTGGGACCCCTCTGCTGCCAGGGAGATCAAAGAGTGGTTTCCCAGAGGAGGCCTCACAGCTGCCTGCCCTCTGAGCAGCTCCTGGCTTCCTGCTCTGCATGGAGCCTGCTGTTCAGCCCTGGGAATGGCTGAGGCCTCAGCTGAGGTCGATCATTGGGCTTCCTCACTCCCCCTGCAGTCCCGGGTCATAGATTTAAGATGCTTGACTCTCCTCTGTTAGTCACCTGTGATGGAGGCACCGTGTTGTGTGTTCCTCAAGTTTAATTCGTAGGAAATGTCTGTCTGTACCTTAGGACACTTGGGAACTCCTCACTTTACTCTTCTGGAACCTCCCAGGACTCTGCTTGGTAATGGACCATGTTCCTCGTCATCCAGCCTCTGAGGCCCTGCAATACCGCTTTCCTGTGCTGATTTCTCCTTGCTCAAGGCTTTCCCCACACCTTTGCATGTGCTGTCCCTGTCCCACCCCGCCCCCCAGGCACTCCTGGCCAGACACATGATTAGTTTTCCTAGGTTATCTCTCTTCCTCACGATGCCTGTAAGGGAGACACTATTGCCATCTTCATTTGCCAGGAGAAGGAAACAGATACTTGGAAAAGTGAGGTGTCATTTTGAAGGTCTCCAGCAAACTCCAGGCTAAGCCTAGCCTAGGACGTGGCCTCCTCTCTCCACATCTGTGCCTTGTTAAAGAAAACATTCTTCAGGGATACTTGCTAAAGCACAGTAAGGCAGACTTTACTCAGGACTGTCACTATAGGTGTAGGGACCACTGCAATAGGATTTTGTAGTGGAGGAGTGAGATTGGGCTCAATGCTGAATACAGAACAGGCAAGTGGGAATTTATAGCCCGGAAGCAGGGTGAGGGTCAGTGCATGGAAAATTACTAAGAGGAAACATCAGAGATAAGGGAAATTCTGGCTAAACTGACCTAACAGGATTCTTGCTGAAGACAGGCCAGGGTGGGCATAGGGGTGGACCTAGGAGAAGGTTTAGAAGCCTGACTAGAGTTTGGTCAAGCAGCGGACCTTTGTCAGTCTTGTCAATGCTGTTCCTCCCTCCTTCTGTTGGTCAGGACTCTTGGGTTTGCACAGCACAGAAATCCAACTTAAAGATGCTTAAGCTGAAAGAGAAGTTACTGATTTATTGGAAGGGTGTTAGGGTAGACCTTAGAGGGAGATTCAGGAGCCAGACTGTTGGGGGTGCAAGTGCTGACTGTTGCCCCTTCTAACTGTGCAGCCCACAGCAAGTGAGGTCACTTCTCAGGGCTTCACCTTCCCTATTTATAGGACGGGCTCATAGTAATACCTCCTTCACTAGGTGAAGGCTGGATTAGCGCAATGAATTAGCACAGTGACTGCAGCCCACCTTGAGAAACATACTTTATATCATCACCCAGCACACACATAAATCGAAGACAAATGCTCATAAAACAGGCCGGTTGCAGTGGCTAATGCCTGCAATCCCAGTACTTTGGGAGGCTTTGGGAAGATCGGTTGAGGCCAGGAGTTTGAGACCAGCCAGGACAACATAGTGAGATCCCATCTCTACAAAAAATGAAAAAAAATTAGCCAGGTGTGGTGGTGTGCACCTACAGTCCTAGCTAGCTAGCTACTCAAGAGGCTGAGGCAGGAGACTTGCTTGAACCCGGGAGTTCAAGATACTGTAGCCTCCAGCCTGGGTGACAGAACAAGACTCTGCCTCTTAAAAAAAAAAAAAAAAAAAATATATATATATATATATATATACATACACACACACAATATTTGCCCTTACTACTATATGTAATATACTCTGATAATTTATGTTGTAGTTTAGTCTAGTCTAGTGTAGTCTATTTTGTTTATTCTTAAAAATGCTGACACTCAATGTTTTCACCACAAAAATATGATAAGTACATGAGGTGACCGATTTGTTAATTAGCTTTATTTAATCATTCTACTATGTAAACATATATCAAAATATCACATTGTGGCCAAGCACAGTGGCTCACACCTGTAATCCCAGCACTGAGGTGGGTAGACCCCTTGAGATTAGGAGCTCGAGACCAGCCTGGTCAACATGATGAAACCCTGTCTCTACTAAAAATACAAAAATTAGCTGGGCGTGGTGGTACATGCCTGTAATCCCAGCTACTCGGGAGGCTGAGGCAGGAGAATCATTTGAACCTGGGAGGCGGAGGTTGTAGTGAGCTGAGATCACACCATTGCACTCCAGCCTGGGCACAGAGCGAGATTCTGTCTCAAAAAAAACTCCACAGAACAAAACCACACATCACATCGTACCTCATAAATATATACAATTATTTTTTCAATTAAAAATAAAATTTAAAAATTTTTATTAAATGCTGGTATCAACTCCTTAAAATGATTTAATGACTCCTCCCCCTGCCATGGGTTGTGGTTTGAATTAGAAAAATATTATCTGTTAAGAGCTTAATGAAGCATCTGGCACATAGCACAGTTTAATAGATGTCAGGTACTGTTACTGTTGTTGTTGTTAAGAGCAGACTGACCAAGGCTGCAGAAGGACAGGCTTGATTGCAACAGACACTTCTGTGCAGTCAGGACTATCTCACTGGTCTCTTTCTGTGTGTCAGCATCTCTTCCCTACGCTGACCTTCTCCTCACAGTTGCAGCCATGGCTGCAGGCTGCTCCAAGATGACATCGATATGGCTCTACTACCAGAAAGGAAAAGAGTGCTTTCTCTTTCCCCCTGAAGCTTCAGTAATAATCGTAGCTAACATTTATTGCGTGCTTATGTGGACCAGACGCTGTCCTAAGTCTTTATAGTATTCTTCCCCTCAGTCCTCATGATGATCTGTGGTGGAGTCGTTGGCAGAGGATGGCTGGATGTACATCAGACCCATTTCTTCTTCCTGGGCCCACAAGTAAACTGCATTTCCCAGGCCTCTTGTAGCCAGGTGGAGCCATGTGACTAGTTCTGGCCAATGGTATGTGAGTAGAGGTTTCTCTTTCTTTACTCCGTCAGCTGCTGAGGACAGGGAAACCTCGAAGGCTGTGTTAAAGACGCTGGAACCACATGCTAATAAAAATGAGCATCTATGAAATCTATGAATCACTTCATAGAGCTTTTACCTGCAAGGGCAGAGTTTAACACAGGATTGATAGTTGTGACAGAGACCATATACTCCTTCTCTCCCAAAGCTGAAAATATTTACTATCTAGCCTTTTATTTAAAAAAAATTGTGACTGGGTGCAGTGGCTCACGCCTGTAATCCCAGCACCTTTGGGAGGCCAAGGCAGGTGGATCAGAGGTCAGGCGTTCAAGACCAGCCTGGCCAACATAGTGAAACCCTGTCTCTACTGAAAATACAAAAAAATTAGCCAGGCGTGGTGGCAGGCACCTGTAATCCCAGCTACTCAGGAGGCTGAGGCAGGAGAATCACTTGAACCTGGGAGGCAGAGGTTGCAGTGAGCTGAGATCGCACCACTGCACGCCAGCCCGGGTGACAGTGTGAGGCTCCGTCTCAAAATAACATAAAATAAAATAAAATAAAATAAAATAAAATAAAATAATAAAATAAAATAAAATAAATAAAATAAAATAAAATAAAATAAAAAAAGAGATCTCTGCTTCAAACTAAAAAATAAAATCCCTTGGAAAGCCCATTTGAGTCATGTGACCGTGGCTGAACCAATCACAATAGCTGAGGAAAGTGAGGTGCTGTGATTGGCCAAGCCTAGGTCAGGTGCTTGCACCTCAGCCAATCAATGCAGCTAGAAAGGAAGGGTCATGTAGCCAGAGCGAAGGGAGTTGTTATGGACTGAATTGTGTCTCCCCAGACTTCATATGTTAAAGCCCTAACCCCCAATGTGACTGGATTTGGAGACAGGGCCTTTAAAGGAGGTAATTAAGGTTAAATGAGGTCATAAGGGTGGGGTCCTAATCCGATAGGACTGGGGTCCTTATGAGAGGAGGAAGAGACACCCCCCTGAGCGTTCTATCTCTCCCTCTCGACGTATGCACACAGAGAAAAGGCCATGTGGAGACACGATGAAAAGCCCCCTCTGCAAGCTGAGGAGAGAGGCCTCACCAGAACCGGACCATGCAGGTGCCTCGATCCTGGACTTCCAGCCTCCAGAACTGTGAGAAAATGAATTTCTGTTGTTTAATCCATCCAGCTTACGGCATTTTGTTATGGCAGCCCCAGCAGGAGTGGTTTCCCAGAAGGTGCTGGTTGAGGGCATGGAGACTACCAACACAGTGAATTAGTTCTGGGAGTACCGCTGTGAGCCAGATAACACCTACTCCATCCCCCAATTTGTGTCTGTGGCACTATTATCAAATACCACTAATAATAGATTATTATATGCCAGAGTATTTATACTGGACAGACAGTGGCAGCACACTCACTCTGGTGGGGAGTTGCAGACAATGCTAAAGGTAGATCTCAGATTTGCTGTCTCCTGTTCCAATGTTGTTGGCAAGACCCCAAACGTGGGCCCTAATAGGGGCCCCAAATGTTCCCTCTGGGGTCCCCTAGATCATTTCCTGGTACTCATATACTTACTGGTACATATACTCACATGGGTTTTTAATAATACATAGTGGTACACATCAGAAAGTAGGGAAGTGCTCAAAAGAATGATAGTGTATTAGTCCGTTCTCACACTGCTATGAAGAAATACCCGAGACTGACTAATTTATAAAAGACAGAAGTTTAATTGACTCACAGTTCTGCATGGCTGGGGAGGCTTCAGGAAACTTACAATCATGGCGGAAGGCAAAGGAGAAGCAGGCGCCTGCTTCACGGGGGCGCAGGACAGAGTAAGTGCAAGCAGGGGAAATGCTAGATTCATAAAACCATCAGATCTCATGAGACTCACTTACTATCACGAGAACAGCATGGGGGAACCGCCCCCATGATCCAATTACCTCCACCTTGTCCTGCCCTTGACACGTGGAGATTACAGGGATTACAATTCAAGGTGAGATTTGGGTGGAGACACAGAACAAAATCATATCAGATGGGAACATGTCAGAAGGACATAGGAACCAACCTGAAAACGCTCCCACTGGCCAAATCAGGGATAATTTGAAAACCAAAATAAATAATGATAGTAACAGACTATCACCCATTGAAAAAATATGAATCTATGTATCCATACTGACATGAATAAGGAAATAAAGTAGGGAGAAGGGAATGCTTTTTCTTACAGTAGAATGCCAACTACTAAATATAGAAATGAGAGTTGGAAAATCATCAGAGGGTGGTAGAACTCCCGGGTGAAAGCCTGATGAGGAACAGGACATTAGTGTGGTCTTAGAGTATCTCCTCATGTTACTTATTAGTGACAAAGGGAAACATGTAACTTTACAGGGGACTTCATCAAGTGATCAAAGTTAACACAGCCTATATTGGAACAAACTGACAATCACCTGCTTCCTGATATGAGGCACTGAATTAGTGACATACCAAGGGCGGGAATCATCTGGTCTGGGTGCAGGCAGCGAGTCGCGCTTTTTAAGAATTTAAAAGTAGTAAAACAGACTAAAATTGAGGTGCTTTTTATTATCACCATGTGCCAACAATTCAGTGATAAAACAGTCTTCCCTTAAAACATCTGAGCAATTGCTCCCATTGCTTTTAGATATAATTATATATTCAGTATACATATACATATATACATAAACACACATACATAGACACATACATATGTACAATTCACATGAGCAAATTCTTACTACTTATCTTTTCGTAAATGTTAGGTTCAAAGTGGAAGTTTATCTGGAGAATTCCCAGGTAGACATTTTGCCCTGGTATATGTAGACTCTGCAAAATGTATTTGTTTGTTTACAGAGTACATTCATTTTGGTTCTTCTTGTTCAAGCTAACTTTGGTGCAGTCTGCACCTCCAACCCGTCATATCCCATATCCCTGTGTTTAAATAGTAGGCTCAAAACAAGCAGTGATAGCAGAGTGATGGCAAAGAAACTGATCCTGAGTACAATTCTGACATTCTATGTGATTACCTGGCGTTTTCCCCCATGCGTGACACTTTACAGAACTTTGGAAAAAATGTGCCCATGCTTTTCAATCTCACTTTGCTGGTGGCAGACGCTGCAGAATAAGGGTGTGACAGTGGAAAGACTTTCCCACGCAAAATGATTGCACCACACGAAGCTGTGCATGCAGTAGAGACGGTGCTTGAAAAGTGAACCCCAACCTTTGAAGTGCTGGGTAATCCAAAGGGGGAATCTGTTGAGATTTTGCTTTCTGCTGTATATGACAATTCCCCCGCCCCGCCCCACTCTGAGTTGTCCTTTTCAAGTGTGAAGTTTTAGGTAAGGTGAATCTGACACAAAAAAATCAGTCCTGATCACTGGAGAGTAAAATATCAAGCTTTAAAAAATTATGTATGGATTGGGCATGGTGGCTCACGCCTGTAATCCTAGCACTTTGGGAGGCTGAGGTGAGTGGATCACCTGAGATCAGGAGTTTGAAACCAGCCTGGCCAACATGGCAAAACCCCATCTCTACTAAAAATACAAAAATTAGCCAGGTGTGGGGGCGGGTGCCTGTAATCCTAGCTACTGGGGAGGCTGAGGCAGGAGAATCTCTTCTACCTGTGGGGGAGGAGGTTGCAGTGAGCCGAGATCATGCCATTTAACTCCAGCCTGGGCCAAAGAGCTAAACTCCATCTCAAAAAAAAAAAAAAAGATGTACGAATAAAATTTTTTACAAAGTTATGTTTACACTAAAATAAATAAGTAAATAAACAAATAAATAAATATTTCTCCTTGAAGACTGGTGTATAGAAATCATGGAAAAGTCCACTAACTATGCAATAACAAATCATAAAGGAATGAGTATTTACACAGAAAAAACGATCAAATCTCAAAGAAGAGAGTTGAGAGAAACAACAGAAGATGCCGGTCTTATGCTGCCAGAAGAAATAAAAGGGAAATATTAGAACATCTCACTGTGTTGCCAAGGCTGGTCTCGAACTCCTGGCCTGGAGCCATCCTCCTGCCTTGACCTCCCAAAGTACCTGGATTACAGGTGTGAGCCACCATGCCTGGCCCTGAAATTATTTCACAATGAAAATGTACCAACCCCCAACCCCCAACCCCAAAACCAAGCAAGTTAAGCTGGACTCAGTGGTATGTGGGGTAAAGGGGAGAGACAGCTAAAGATGACACTGAGCCAACCCTTGTGGGTGAATGGAAGAGGATGAGACAGCATCAGTCCAGCAAGAAGAACAAATTCCGGGAAAGGCGATGAGGAGGCTGTGGACACGTGGAATCTCAGATTCCTGAGGGATGAGCAGGGGGAGGTGTGCAGCAAGCCACTGAGTATGTGGTCCTGAGGCTGCAGGGGTGGATCAGGGAGGGAGAATTAACCTTGTGTAAGTCATGGAGGGGATGGAAGAGAGAGCAAGAATGAACCCTAGGGAAAGATGGCCGAGGAAGAGGAACCAGCAAAATGAACAGAAAAGGACAGATCAGAAGGTAAAGGGACAGTACAGTGACCGTGGTGTCACAGAAATCAAGGGAGGTGAGCATTTTGAGCAGGAGGAAGTGGTTGCTGGGGAGAAATGCCATGAGAAGTCACATAGGATAAGGATGAACTTTTAAAGTGGGTTCTCTCATTCCACACTCTCTGCACATAGCATCACTTTATACCCCATAAATATACGAAATTATAATTTGTCAATAATACATAAAGTGGATCCTAGCAAGCAGTTAGTGATACACCCACTAACATACCTGTGAAGACCCAGAAAAAGACAAAAACTCTCTAAGAAAGACACGGAAAACCAGCATTGAAAATCAACCCATGGCCAGAATCAAGACTTCCCACGGATTAGGAAGCGATGGAGGTGGGTTGAGAAGTGGAATTAAACCCCCTGTTGTACTTGATAAGAAAGTGCAAGGTGTAAATATCTCATTTTCCCCTCACTCTCTGCTCCTGGTTCAGAAACTGAAGATATGCTGCAACCAGAAAAATGGGCAGTTGTTGTGTTTCTAAGTCATAAATCCTGTTTTGGACAAGCCAAAGTGCTGCTTCCTCTCCTCCCTTCCCCATATATGTCCTTCAAAAAACATTCATACCAAAACCACAAGTCCCAGAAAACAGTAGGAGGTGGAGGGAGGAACCTGGATTGTGTCTGAGATTGGGGGATTCTGTTTAATATTTATGTTTTCTTTCTTTTTTTCTTTCTGTTCTATTTTTTTCGCAATGACAATGTATTATAATGAGAGATATTCAAAATAATTATATATGCTTTTATATTACCAAATCACCACAACTGTTATTATGTTATGTTATGTTATGTTATGTTATGTTATGTTATGTTATGTTATGTTGTTATGTTATTTTGAGATGGAGTCTTGCTCTGTTGCCCAGGGTGGAGTGCAGTGGCGCTATCTTGGCTCACTGAAACCCTCCGCCTCCTGGGTTCAAGTGATTCTCCTGCCTCAGCCTCCAGAGTAGCCGGGACCACAGGTGTGCCTGGGACCACAGGTGCACCCGCCGCACCACCCGGCTAATTTTTGTATTTTTTTTTTTTTAGCGGAGATGGGGGTTTCACCATGTTGGCCAGGCTGGTCTTGAAATCCTGACCTCAGGTGATCCGCCTGCCTTGGCCTCCCAAAGTGCTGGAATTACAAGTGTGAGCCACCATACCTGGCCCCAAATCACAACTTTTAAAAGTGTTTGGAGGGAATACATCAAAATCTTAGTTATTATAAGTGATGGACCTGAAGGAGATTCTTCCTGTTTTCCTTCGACTTTTATGTATTTTCTTTTCTTTTTTTTTTTTAGACGGAGTCTCGCTCTGTCGCCCAGGCTGGCGTGCAGTGGTGCGATCTCAGCTCACTGCAAGCTCCGCCTCCCAGGTTCATGCTATTCTCCTGCCTCAGCCTCCCGAATAGCTGGGACTACAGGCGCCCACCACTACAACTGGCCAATTTTTTTTTTTTTTTTTTTGTATTTTTAGTAGAGACAGGGTTTCACCGTGTTAGCCAGATGGTCTCGATCTCCTGACCTCGTGATCCGCCCGCCTCGGCCTCCTTTGCAAAGTGCTGGGATTACAGGCGTGAGCTACTGTGCCTGGCCGACTTTTATGTATTTTCTATCATAAGCATGCATCATTTTTAGAATGGAAAAAAATATGTGTAATTTACAGAAAAAAGGAAAAGTGTCCATGGATTTGGAGACTGATGAAAGAATTGTCAGTGGAGGGATGGGATGGGGGAAGCAGGATTGAGGTTCCCCTGTGTAATCACTATGATGTCTACAGTACTTTCTGTTTTTCAAGTGCTTTTACAAAGCAGAGAGCTTTGTTTTTGGTTTTTGCTTCCTCTCTGATTCTCCTTCCCCTTCCCGTCATTCCCAGAGGGGCAGGGCCAGGAGATGTGTGTTCTAGTATCAGGGATGAACTGTTTCCTTATATATCACATGCTTTCCCAACTCTTTAGTCTTCTGTCTGGGCCTAGGGTTTTGACACTTTAAAGGCCAGACCAGGATCCCTTTGTTGTCTGTGTTATCACGTCATCTCTTCCCTGAGGCACTAACCACCGGAATGCCCTCACTAACTGAATTCATTCATTCAACAAATGTTTATTGAGTACAGAGTATGTGCTAGGCACTCTTTTAATCACTGGGCATACTACTGTGAACAAGACAAAGTCCATGGAGGAATGACCAAGGGGACAAGGACATTTTGTGAGCGAAAGTCCTTCAGTTCATATTTCAGAATCCTATCTCACCATGGTGCTAATTGCTCTGATGCCACCCTTTGTGGGGAGGAGAGACTGGGAAGGCACTTATGGCTGAGGTGACAGTTACAGAGTTGCCTCAGGCTCCACAATTTACTCTGCTGTGTGGCCTTAGATCACTGGCTTCATCTCTCTGAGCCTCAACAACTTCGTAAAATGGAGATCATGAGAGCTGCCTCATAGGATTGTGGTGAGGATTAAAAGGGAGTGGGGGCAAGGGCCTGAGTGTGGGCCTGGCTTGGAGGAGGTACACAGTAAGGAACAGCTATTAATATTGTGTTGGGTTTTTTGGGTTTAATCGCTGGGATTTTCTTCATGGGACTGCCAACCTCATTTTATCAGCCTTGGGATTCCTGTCATTCTACAAGGCTGACAGACTTAGCCAGAGGCTCCAGCCCTCAGCTCTGCAGAAGCAGAAATTTGTTTTTGTCAGGTGCACAGGGTCTAGTCTGGGTGAACTCAGGCTGCCAGGACTCCTGGGAATTTGATGAATGAACCAGGTGTCAGGTGGCTCATTTGTAAGCAGGGCTTCTCCTTCGCAGGGGCCTGAGTGCTCAGGTCCACCATCAAGGCTGGGAAAAAGCTCTGATGTTTAAAGTGTGAGGCTGGGTCTGACCGATGACCCTTCATTTAATCCACTCAACCACCATTTAGATGGTATTTGCCCCATTTTTACAGGTGGAAAACAAAACCTGGGGCTCAGAGATGGATCATATTCTCAGAAAGGATTGGAGTTAGTTATTAAAATGTTGCTTCAGAGTTCAGGACCAGAACACAATGAGGAGGACTGATCCATGCCTAATCCTGAGGCATATACGAGGGATTTTTTTTTTTGGTTTACAAATGACATAGGCTTGCTATAGTGGGTTAAATGGTGCCCACCCCCCACCAAAAAAAGAGAGATATGCCCATGTCCTACCTCCCAGAACTTGTAAATGTGACCTTATTTGGTAAAAGGATTTTGCATGTATAATTAAGGATCGTGAGATGAGATCTGAAGATCATTCTGGATTACTACCTGGGTAGGCATACAACTGTGAACAAAAATCCAACAGCAAGTGTCCCTATAAGAGATGGAAGGAAGCCAGATGCAGTAGCTCATGCCTGTAATCTCAGTGTTTTGGGAGGCCCAAACGGGAAGATCGCTTGAGGCCAGGAGTTTGAGACCACCCTAGGCAACATAGCAAGACCTTGTCTCTACAAAAAATTTTTAAAAATTAGCTGGGTATGGTGGCATGTGCCTGTAGTCCTAGCTATTCAGGAGGCTGAGGTAGGAGACTCACTTGAGCCCAAGAGATCAAGGCTGCAGTGAGCCATGATTGCACCACTGCACTCCAGACTGGGTGACAGAACAAGACCCTATCTCAAACAGAGAGAGAGAGGGAGGGGGAGAGAGACAGCTGTGGGAAGACAAAGGCAAAGATCAGAGTTATGCACCCACCAGTAACTGGAAGGGACAAGACAGGATTAGAGCCTTAGGAGCCTTAGGAGGAGGGAGCATCGTCCTGCTGATGTCTTCTATTTGGACTTTGGCCTCCAGAGAATAAATTCCTGTTGTCTTAAGCCACTGAGTTTGTGGTAGTTTATTATAACAGTCCCAGGAAGTGAATACACCTACTCAAAGGGGGATTTGATTGACTCAATATAGCCAAACCAAGGGAAGGGCTTGCAGTTAGGCCCAACTCCAGGGTGGCTGGGACCAGGCAGGGGAATGCTGCCCTCTTGTCATGGGATGTCTGTTCTCTTGGGTGGGGCCGTGGCCTTGGGTGTCTCTCGAGGAAAGACCAGGAGAAGGATTCTGATTGGCCTGGCTTGGGTTATGTGACCCGCTGGTCCCCACCAGGAACACTCCCAAAGAAGGGGCCTGGCAGGCAGCACCAATCGATGTTCACTCAGGCCATGGAAAAGCCTGGGAATTGCTTTTTTCCAGGTGGGTGTAGTGATCAGAGTGGATGCTCACATAGGACTGGGTCCCCAGTTCAGAGGGCTGAGGTCTGAAGTCAAGCCCACCTGAGATGGTACAGCTCTCCCCTTCCCCTCCAAGGGAAGCCTCTGCTATTTCTCTGTTCCTGGTGATTTATGCCATTGCTTTGATTTTACAGCAACTTTCCCTTCAGTGTTTTGCAGGCCACGTGCAGGAATTTTGTTTTAGTGGATGACTATTATGTTGCCTGCCTAGTGGCTCCTACTAACTCTGTGACTGGCCCCTTCTCTTACTCCATCCCTGAAGTTGCTATAGGCCATTATAGACCCTGCCTTACTGGATGCAGTTATTGGTTCAAGGGTGGCTGCCTGGCTCAAGCCAGACCAGTGAGGGTAGATGCCTGTAGGTGGCTGACAGTCTGAACTGAAGGTTGGAGTAGCTGTTGGTGCTCTATGTTCCTTACCTTCTGAAGAAAGGTGGAGAAAGAATAAAGCTGATGTTCAAGAGGTGCAGAGAGGAAGGAGGCCTTGCGATGTCCTGGTCTCTGGTTTAATTGTTCCTGAGCCCTCTGCTTTTTTCACACACAAAAAGCAGAGGTCTCAGGACCTCCGGCTGTTCAACCCTTTCTAGAATTAGTAGACTGGTAACCCATTTTTTTCTGTTTATTTGCTGGTCTATGGTGGATTTCTATTTCTAGCAACCCAAAGTTTGCAAAAAGAATTTCCCATTACTATGTATGAACAAAGTCAAGTCTAGAAAAATATGCTCAGGGCAGGTCAAGTATTGACTTCATTTTATTTTACATATAGAGTAACTGAGGCACAAAGAGGGGAGTGAACCACCCAAACCACACAGCGTGTGAATGGTTTGAGCCAGCACCCAAAATGCAGGGCTGCGGCTATCTTCCACTTGGAGTCGTTTCTTTAAGGACCTTGCCCTAACGCTGGCGTTCTGATTTCTGTGTGACTTAAGAATGGCTAGCCTTATCCCCCTCTGCCTCAATTTCCCCATCATGTCCCTATGGGCATTCAATTCCTGGCAAAAGGCCGAACCAGATGTTATGATGTGGGCTGCTTTGAATTCTCAGGGCCAACAAAAGGCTATTATTATTTAATTACTGCAAATGGTAATTAAGAGGGAAGGTAATTGTCAGCCCTTTCATTATGGCACTTCTGCCCTTTTCCTCTGGCAGTCCCCGGGCCAGTCTTGAAAGGGAGCTGGGTCCAGATGTGCTGCGAGGATCCAGCACGGGAGGATTGTCAGCCCAGATGGGGGAAAGGCTGTAAGTAGTTACTGTCATCGGCCTCGCTTTCTGAAGACAATTTATGGATGATAGAGCCCTTCCACACCCATGAGCTCCTTAGACTCGGTAGGAAAAAGGAGTGAACAGTCATTGAGCACTGGTTGTCTTTTGGGCACTGTGCTGGGCACTCTCCCTTCTCTGGGTGAGGTCAAGTCCCCAGAAGTCCAGCAAGGTGCCTTGCTTATAGCAAATGCTTGCTAATTGTTGGTGTGTACTGCTTCTAATCCTGGCACACTGACCTGTGAAGTTTTATAAATGAGAAGACTGAGATCTTTCTAGATCCTAAAGCTAGTGCTAACCAAGATTTGAACCCTGTATATCTATCTGACCTCAAAGCACTAATGCTCTTGCCTTATAACTTGCCACAGGTACTACTGGCCCATTTCAAAGTTGAAGAAATTGAAGCCCAGAGATGCAACATGGCTTGCCCAAGCTCACTGTAGGATTTAACATTGTCAGGACCTGGTGCCCCATGTCCTGCCCTGCCTGGTCAAGGCTCTGCCCTCCTGCCCATTTCACTGCTATCTCCCTCCATCCCATAACCCCCAGCTCACTGCTGATGGTGACTGATGGTGAAAGATGACTAAGACATAGTCTTCACCCTCTGGCTAAGAGAACACTAAGCTCAACTGCAGATCTATGTAACCAGTTGTCACTGCCTATAACAGACATTGCTAATCAGTCACAGCATTCTTCCTGCTGAGAACCCAGATTACTAGTCCTTTGAGATTTAGATAAAAATGGACTGGAATTTCCTATCTCACATCTTGAAGAAATCCAGTGATGGCCCCAAGATTTCTTCAAATTCCAGTGACTTGCAAAATTGTGCTTACTTTCAGCCCCAGTTTTCTCCTCCCGGCACACCTTTCATCCCTCCTCTGCTCATCTTTCCTCTCTGCCCAGTGCCAAGCCAGGCAACCCTGTGCCAACCTCACGTTCAGTATGCAGGTTATTTTACTGAGATTGAAGGAGATGGGTTGTATCATAGCAATGCAAAGGGGAGCAAGTTGAATAATGGCTAGCTCTGCTCTTCAGAGTCCTTCAGCCACCAGTGCCGGCCACTGCTCTTCTCAGGCTCTCCCATTTTATGGATCACCCCCACACTTCAAGATAATGCTCAAATATTTCAACCTGTTCATTTGCTGAGCCCCCTCACCTTCAAAAATTCAATCTCCGTCATTTTTTATTGTATGAAGGAAGAGATATGTATTGAGCTTACAATCTGATGTCAAAGCAAACAATTAGAAATCAGAATGAATAATTACAGCTGAGATAAGTCTGTAAAAAAGGAAAGGTAGGTCCATGGAGCTATGAGAGTATCCTGAAGATGGTAGAAGGTCACCCTCAGGATGTGGCTGTGAGCCACATGGTGGGTGAGGAGGAGCTTGCTAGGTGACAGGGCAGAGATGGTTGGGGAGCACATTCTGAGAGGAGTGCCTGTGCAAAGTCCCTGTAGCAAGAGGAATCAGCATGCCTTCTGTGAACTCCAGGGGGCTTGTGTGGCTGGAGCACCGAGGCCAAGGGGGAAAACAGTTCTAGTTGGGGATGAAAGGGTTGGCAACGACCATGCCATGTAGAGACTTATACGCCATTATCCCCATCAGCTTATCATGTAGAGCAAGTTAGATCTCCATCTCCTGCTCAGCTCATGGACAGTTTTGGTTTACCCAAAGCTCCATTCATATCTCTGCTTAACAGGGCCAAATGATACTCAGAGTCTCCCCAGAGAAAGTGATAGAAGTTTTCCCCTTCCTGCCCCACTCCCCCAAGAAAGTGGAAAGGAGAGTACAGAGAGATTGAGTTTCACACCGACGTGAATTATGCCACTGCCCTTGGAAGACAGAGCATCTAGTTTGCGGTTTAAATGACACTTTTCATCTGGGTCATAACCTGGGAGGTACAGATGAGAAGGGCTTGAGAGGTTCTTATTGGGTGTGGGTAAGTGCAGGCTGGTGTTCTCAGGGAAGATTTTCCAAGGGAGGCAAGGTGGGAACAGGTCCCTGAAGAACAGGCAGCCAACATTACTCTGGCCTAACCCACACGTTCTCTTTTAATACCTGCTCTATAAAGTAGGTATTTGCATCCTTAATTTGCAGAGACAGGAAGAAACTTGCCTAAAGTCACTATCTTTAAATGACAAAGCTAGGGTTCAAACAGCTCTCTGGGACTCTTAAACCTAATCTATTAGCTCAATCTACAGCCTCTTTGAGGGAAACAAAATGAGCAAAGGTAAAGAAGTGAATGGGCAGACAGTCATGTGCTCATTCATTCATTCATTCATTTATTCTCTTGGCAAATGCCATACAGCACCCACTATGCACCAGGCACTGCAGTAAAAGAAACTCTGAACCAGGAGTTAGAGGACCTTAGCTAGAGGCCTGGCCCCAAGATGTAGCCAACCACTTCCCTTCTCTGGCCTCAGTTTTTTCCACTGTGAAATGGGGATAATGTTCCTACCAGCCTCCCTCTCAAGACTACTGTAGGGGGTCCAAGTAGAAAGTGCATGTGTTCAGTAGCAAAGACATGGAATCAACCAAAATGCCCATTAATGATAGACGGGATAATGAAAATGTGCTACATATACACCATGGAATACTATGCAGCCATAAAAAGGAGCGAGACCATGTCCTTTGTATGGACATAGATGGAGCTGGAAGCCGTTATCCTCAGCAAACTAATGCAGGAACAGAAAACCAAACACTGAATGTTCTCACTTGTAAGTGGGAGCTGAACAATGAGAATACGTGGACACGTAGTGAGGGAGCAACACATACTGGGGCCTATTTGGGGAGCAGGGGGAGGGAGAGCATCAGGAAGAAGAGCTAATGGATGCTGGGCTTAATGCCTAGGTGATGGGTTGATCTGTGCAGCAAACCACCATGGCACACATTTACCTATGTAACAAATCTGCACATCCTGCACATGTACCCTGGAACTGAAAAGTTGAAGAAAAAAAAAGAAGAAAGAAGAAGGAAGAAGAAAGAAGGAGAAGGAGGAGGAGAAGGAGAAGAAGAAGAAGAGAAGAAGAAAAGAAGAAGAAAGAAGAAAGAAGGAAGAAGAAGAAGAAGAAGAAGAAGAAGAAGAAGAAGAAGAAGGAGAAGAAGAAGGTGCATGGTTGATGCTTGAGAGCGTTTTTAGTTCTGATCGGAGGTACACCCCTCCTCCTACAGAATGAGGAGGTGGTTAGCTAGCTTGATGACAGAGAGGGACATTTAAGCCGACATGAGAGAGGAGCTGAAAGAAGTATTTCCAAAAGAGAGAATGGAGTGTGAAGGCCATGAGGCAAGGAGGAGCTTGCCACACTGAAGGGACAGAAAGAACAGGGAATCTGGAGTGGAATGAGGTGGGATTGCAAAATGACACTGAGGGCTAGATGTCCCAGATGAGTCCAGGGTCAAGGTCCCATGGTGAACATGCTGGGGATACAATGTAGTGGAGCCAGCCTTGTGCTGGGCACTATGAGGGCTGCAAAACCTGTGAGTCACCTGGACACCTCCTGCTTTCTTACTCCCCACATCTATCAGTCACCAAGTCCTGGTAGGGCTGATTCCTTAATAAATCCCATGTTTGTCCACTTCTCTCCACCTCTGCCAATGCCAAGGTCCAAACCATTGCCACCTTTCACCTGTAGGACTCTGAAAGTCTCCTCACTGCCCCCAGCACCCCCACCGCTTCCCTACTCTGCCCATTCCAGCCCATTCTCTCCTCAGCAACCACATGGACCTTTTGGAGAAAACTCTGCCATATCACATCTCTGCTTAACACCTTCCTGGGACTTCCTTTACCCTTAAGATAAAATCCTAAACCCTTACCTATCTGGGCCTGCCTACGACATCTAGCCCTGAGTGTCACTTCACAGCTCCCCTCTCTTTTCTGGCCCTTCAATGTGTCAAACTCCTCCCTGCCCCAGAACCTTCACGTACTGTTCTCTCTGTTGGAAACACTCTTCCCTGGTGTCAGCTTAATTGTCCCTTACTCTGGGAATCCCTCCCTGATCTTCTCTCAGACACTTCCAGCCTCGTATGAGACCTAATTAAAGCATTACTTCAGTAATTATTTGCTAAATTCTTTCTCCTGGGACAGACAGTGGAAGAGCTCACCCATGTCCAGTCTATTCTCTTTCCAGAGGAGCACTGTATTTCCCAGCCTCCCTTGCAGTAGGCAGGACCATGTGACTAGTCTTGGCCAATGGATGGTGAGAAGGGGTGGGTGTGTCACCTCCAGGCAGAAGCAGTGAAAAATCCATGCCTGAAAAAAATCATCCATTCTCGGCTGGGCGTGGTGGCTCACGCCTGTAATCCCAGCACTTTGGGAGGCTGAGGCGGGCAGATCACCTGAGGTCGGGAGTTTGAGACCAGCCTGACCAACATGGAGAAATACGTCTTTACTAAATATACAAAATTAGCCAGGTGTGGTGGCATGTGCCTGTAATTCCCAGCTACTCGGGAGGCTGAGGCAGGAGAATCACTTGAACCCAGGAGGCAGAGGTTGCGGTGAGCCGAGATTGCATCATTGCACTCCAGCCTGGGCAACAAGAGTGAAACTCCATCTCAAAACAACAACAACAACAACAACAACAACAACAACCAGAAAAACCATCTATTCTCTTTTCTTCTGCCATGGTAACTGAGAAGGTCACAAGTTCCAGTGGGTGCAGCTCCAAAATGGAAGGGACTCCTCAGTCTAGGTCTCTGAGTGACTAAAGTAGAGAAACCATGATGGGCATGTGGCACAAGTGGGCAATAAATGACTCTTGTGCTATGTCACTGAGATTTTGGAGTTCTTTGTTACTGCGGCATAGTCTGGTTAAGACAGTGCTCTATTTGTGCAGAGCTGGGGTCTTCCTCACTGCTGCCTCTCCAGAGCCTGGGACCCTAACTGAAACACTGGAGTAGGTGCTTTGTAAATACTTGAATGAGTGAAAAAACAGAAAGTGTGAGACATGGTTCCTTCCTTAAATAATGTACTCTAATCCAAGAGATTGATTCTTATACACACAATAGTTAGAATACAATTAGGGGCTAACTGCTAAAAAAAGAAAGGGAGAGGGGTTAATGGGCTGGAGCTGCCATGGAGGGCCTCCTAGAGGAAAGCTTTGCAGAATTGGAGAGGATGACAGTGGGCTTGCTGTCCATCCATTCAGCAAACATTTATTCCGATGCATCGTGATGAGTGTGTTGCCAGCAGTGTGGCAGAAGGACCATGGACACCTTGGGAACCAAAGGAAAGTGCCCTTTCTATGTGAAGGATCTAGAATGGCTTCATACAGGAGGTGATGTTTGAGCTGACTTGATAAGTAAGTATTCACTACAGAGATGAGATGAGGAGAAAAGGACTAAGAATACCAGACAGAGGGAACAGCATGAGCAGAGGCCAGGCATCATGAAGGTGGATGGTGTGTTCAGAGACAGGGCAGCATCTAGTATGGCTGGATTTGGGGGGAAAGGGGGATGGGTGCCAGTGGCAAAGAGCTGAGCTCAGTCTCTCCATCCCTAGCTTCCTGCACCTCACCCCAACTGCCTCCAACCAAATCATATTAATAGCATCTTGGAAGGTTCTGGAAGGCTTTTAAGAAAATGTCTAAGCTAAGACCTGAAGGATAAATTGAAGGTGGTCAGAAAAGGTGAGGCGAAAGGGCAAGGGAGGGTGTTCCAGGCAGAGGGAACAGCATATGCAAAGTCCTCAGAAGTGAGATAGCAAGGCCTTAGATGGCAGCTCACTTTGGCTGGCTGGAGCACAGCTTTCCAGGTGGCTAGGGAGGAGACTCGTGGGGCAAAGGTGGGCCAGCATGTACCCTTCCCCCATAAATCCCTTCCAAAGGCCCCAGCTCAGCACTCAAGGCCTTCAGGATCCTGTCTCCCATCTGCCTCTCCATTCTAAACTTCTGTGCCTTTGCATGTGCTGTTCTAAGTGCCTAGAATGATGATGATAATGATGATATTGATGATAACATAACTTTTTTGAGCGCTTAGAATGTGTTAGGTGCTGTGATGGGCATTATTTCATTGAACTGCTCAGCAATGCCGTGATTAATACCTTTTAAAATTAATTAATGCCTTAATTAATTAAAGGTATTAATTTTAAAATTTATAGACTTTATGTTTTAGAACATTTTTAGATTTATAGAAAAATTGAGATGATATTACAGACAGTTCCCATATATACCTCCTCTAATTTTCCTATGAGTAATACCTTATGTTACTATTTGTTACGATTTGTTATAATTCTTGGTAGATACTTTCCTTGACACATTATTGTTATTAATAACTAAATTCCATAGTTTATTTAGATTGTTTTTACCTAATATCTTTTACATTTAGTAGTTCGTCTGTTTTTTTTTTTTGAGACAGAGTTTCACTCTTGTTGCCCAGGCTGGAGTGCAGTGGCCCAATCTCGGCTCACTGCAACTTCCACCTCTGGAGTTCAAGCCATTCTTCTGCCTCAGACTCCTGAGTAGCTGAGACTACAGGCACGTGCCACGCCTGGCTAATTTTTGTATTTTTAGTAGAGATGGGGTTTCACCACGTTGGTCAGGCTGGTCTTAAAGTCTGACCTGGTGATCCTCCCGCCTCGGCCTCCCAAAGTGCTGGAATTACAGGCATAAGCCACTGCACCCGGCCGTGTCTTTAGGCTCCTCTCTGGCTGTGATGGTTTCTCGGACTTTCCTTGATTTGGATGACCTTGATAGTTTTGAGGGGTACTGGTCAGCCAGCAATTTTGTTGGATAGCCCACTCTTGGAGTCTGTCTGTTTTTCTCACAAGGCTGGGGTTATGGGTTATTGGGAGGAAGACCACAAAGGTAAAGTGTCATTTTCATCACATAGTATCAAGCACATATCAACATGATTTGTGGCTGTTGATCTTGGCCTTGATCACTTGTCTGAGTAGCAGTCATCAGCTCTCTCCCTGTAAAGTTACTCCTTTCCTCTCCCTTTCCATATTGTGCGCTTGGGGAGGACGTCACTATCTGCAGCCTACTCCTAAAGAGTAGGGAGTGATGCTCCCCCTCCCTGATTGTCTACATAAATTATTTGGAATTCTTCTGCACAGACAATTTGTCTCTTCTCTCCCGTTTATTAATTTATTATCTCATTGAATTTCTCAACAATGGGTTGGTCCTCTGATTATCGTCATTTCTGGAAACTGGAAGGCCTTCCTTTCTTCCCCACCTCGCTCACCCCAGAGCCAATTTCTGAAGCCCTCTCCACCTCTCCAGGAAAGAGTGGCCTCCTCTGTGCTCTCCCGCCATGCTTTAACATTCCAACTAATTCATGCCACACAGATTTCTTGTGCCCCTGCTCTGTGCCAGGCACTGTGCTTGGGGATTGAGAACAAGCAGTCCCTATGGGCCCTGTCTTCGAGTTGCTCACAGTGTTTGCCATCCTGTGCTGGACTAGAATCTTCGTGAGGGCAGGGGCATTATCCAGTTTTTTAATAGCTGTGCTCCAGCCAACCAGCTATTAAAAACAGTGGTTGATGTTTACTAGGTCCTCTATGAATATTTACTGAATTTGGAAATGCTTCCTGGAGGACAAACGCTGGCAGATGATTGTTTATCTCTGTGCCCTTCCCGGGGGACTGTGCGCTCCCTGAGGGCAGGGCCAGCCCTGATCCATCCTGGCCCAGCGGTCGGGGGGTGGTGGATGCCATAGAAATCTAAGCCGGTGAAGGGATCCTGGAACCGGCTGCCTCCTCAGGTAGAAGTGTAAGTTTGGAAGCTGACACAGCTCGGGAGGCCGAATCAGGAGGACTTGGTGACTGATTGGCTGGGGAGGGTGAGGCGGGAGGAGGAGTCACACAGATGGCTCTGAGGTCTGGAGCCGGGGGACAGCCGGTGCCACCTCTGATAGACTCTGCGAGAGGAGCCACTGCCAGCTTCGGGCCGCCCCATCCGTCGGGGATCCGGCCTAGGGCTAGGGAGGGGTGGCTGGGCCTGTGCAAACTTCTACTCCCCACCCCTATGTCCTCGTCTTAAAAAAAAAATCGGCCTGGATTTTGAGCAGGTCGTTATCAGGGGTGAGGGTCCATCCTGGGGGTCCCCTCCAGGCGGCCGTCTTCGAGGGAGACCCCCAGGGGCAGCCTGGCACCGCGCGGGCTCGGCCTGGTCAGGGCCGTGGCCCGCCAGGCCCAAGTCCCCAGCCTGCCATCACCCAGGAGTGGGGTGGCGAGGCGGCCGCCGGGCCTGGGCAGGACAATGGCCACGGCCGCCGGGGCCCCGGGAGCCCCCGCGCTGGGGAAGGGGCTGTCCTAGGGCCGGGCGCCGGTGCCCTCCCCGCGCGGCTCAGGCGGGCGGAGGGGGGCGAGGAGTTCCTTTGTGGCTCTGCCTCCGGCGCGGCGCGGGCGGGGGGCGCAGCGCAACTTTGCCAGGCGGTGGCGGCGGCGGCGGCGGCGGCGACGGCGAGCGCGAGACGAGGCCCCGGGGCCCGAGTGGGGGCCCCAGCGCGCGGCCCGCCCCCGCCCCCCGCCCGGCCCCCTCCCCTCTCGCGCAGTCGCCAGCGCCCGGCGCTGCCCACTCGCGGGAGCCCCCGGGGCCGGACGGGCTGCGCAGCCGGAGAGGCGGGGGCCCGACGCGGCCCCCCCGGAGCCGGGCGCCTGGCGCGGGGGCTCGCCGAGCGCACTGGGGGCCGCGCGGCGCTGCAGACCCAGCCTCCCGCCGCCGCCGCCGCCGCCGCCTCGGCGCTTGCAGAACCCAGAAGTGAACAGCAGGCGACCCGGAAGGTTTGCGCGCGGCTCCGCAGCGAGCCAGAGCCGGAGCCCGAGCCCGGAGCCTGTGCCGGAGCCCCAGCCCGGCCCTGCTCGGGCCGCCGGGCGCGGGGCTGCGGCCGCGTCCCGGAGGCGCCGCCAGCACAGCCAGGTCCGTGCGGGCCCGGGGCGCGCGGGGAGCGGGCCCAGCGGCGGCGGGCGCCTGCCCGCGGGAAAGTTGCGCCGAGTTGCGGGCGGGGGCCGGGCCGGGGCGCGGGCGCTGTCAGCGCGGGCCGGGGCGCTCCGAGGGCCCGGGGCCGCCTGCGCCTCGGGCCCGGCCCAGAGCGGCGGCGGCGGCGGCGGCAGCGGGGCGCGCGGGGTAGGAAGTGTCTCCCGCGGCGTGTCTGGGGCTGGTCTCCGAGTGTGTGTGCGTGTGTGTGTGTGCGCGCGCGTGTGTGTGTGTTTTCTTAAGCCGGGCTATTCAAACCCTGCTGCAATTCTCCGGTAAACAATGATTCATGGGGCATAATGCAAATAAACGGATTGCAAACGGCGCGGTTCGCGCACTTTGCAGCCGGCCCGGTGGAGCAGCCAGTGCCGGATTTCTCCCTTTTTTTGCAGATCTGCAGAATATGGCGTCCCTGTCCTGTTTTAAAAATAAGCCAGGCTGCCATTTTTGTTTTTCTTTTGTCTGAAAATTTTAATAAAACTGTCTGAGAATGTGGGAGAGGCGGCTGGAAGCAGAGGGGGCACCCGAAGGGTTGGCTTTTTTCCTTTTCTTTGGCGAGAGCCGCGAGCCTTTCGGGGAGGTGAGACACAATGCAATTGCACTTTAAAGAAAAAAAAAAAGGGAAGCTGCCGGGCGATTTGAGGGGGGAGGGCTGGGAATTTAAAGTTAACTCCGAAAGTTTGCTTTGCTTTGCTTCTCTTTCTTTCTTTCTTTCTTTTTTTTTTTTTTTGGAAGGCGGTGAAATGCCGCGAAAGGATCTCGAGGCCCATTTCTCCCCCAGCCAGCTGCCTTTGCAGGATTTTTGGGAAAAGTTAACTGCCGGTTTCCTCAGAGCTGCGCGGGATGGGGGTGGGGGGGCGGATGTGGAGGGTTGAGGATGGGAGTTTTGGGGGAACTGGGAAACATTTATTTGGAAGGGGCTCTATAAACATGGCATTGTAAGGAGCTAGATCCTCAGATCTGGGGGAGAGGGCCGGCAAGAGGGGCTCAGAATGGGTCCAGGATTTCCAGCAAAGACCCCTGGCATGAGGAAATAATCCTGCTGTCCCACCACCCTGCCCTCGAGCAGTGTGGAACCTTCGGGAGCTGTGTGTGTGGCAGTGGGCCTGTCTCCTTCATGGGTGGCCAGGACCCCCCGTGTAGGCTGGAATCTCGCCCAAGCCCTGGGGTGACCCTTGGACCCTGAGGCAAGTGAGCTTGGCCCTTTGCAGTTGGAGAGCCCCCTCCCCAACCTGGTGGTCCTCCTGCCCCCAGAGGTGGCAGCTGGTGGTAATGTCTTCCCCGACCCCACCCTATGATGAACTTTTGGTTGGGTGCAGGCCTGCGGCCCAGTGGGTCCCGTCTGAGGGAAGGGGCAGGAAAGGTAGTCTGGTTTGCTAGACCTCCTCGGTGTGAGCCTCACCCCTGTAGTATGCTCTTATTCCTTTCTGCCACTCCTGCCCTACGCCCGGGAGGTAGAAGCACTTTGGACTTCGGTTAAGTTCCTGAAGTATCTTGCTGGACAGGTCAGGGCCTGCTGGCTCCGCAGGCTGCCGAGGGGGATCTGAAGGCCAGGCCCACAAGGTCTGGGGTGACTGGTGCTGTCCAAGGCACTGGGGCAGTGTTGGGCCTAGCCTCTCATGTGTCCCCTACCCCAGCATTTCTTGGAGGGGAGACCCTTCTAGTCTCACTCCTGGTTTGTGTCCTGGCTCCACTAGACAGAGTGAGCTCCCAGAAGCCAGAGTCGGGGGTTGAAAGCTGGGGTTAGGGGTTCAGGGCTGTGGAACATGGCATGTCTTGGCCAGAGGGTACCAAGCCAGGTGGTTTTTAGATGGAGGAACTGAGGTCCAGAGAGAGGAAGTGACTTGCCTGAAGTCACGCTACCAGGTAGAAGGAGACTGAGACCGGGACCTGGGTGTTCAGGCTTCCACTGCTGGGCTCCCTCCACTGTTCTCCATGACGGGCCTGGACCCCTGGAAGATCCGTTTTGAACAGAACTGGACTAGAATGGGACAGCACGATCCCTTCACCCCCTCCTACCCCCGCCATCATAATCTTTCCTGAGAGAATTGAACTTCACAGTTTTCACAGTATGGTGTGGTGATTATCACATCAGGTTCTCCCAGAAACTCAGTTAGGGTTAAATTGTCCTAATGGGGATTATGAACCTCATTATAAGGAAACCAAGACTCAGAGAGGTTGAACAGTGGCAGAGGAGGCTTAAATTCAGGCCTGCAGGCTCCTCGCCTGGCCTTTTCCCAGGTGGACTTTGGTGCTGTGGGAAGGACTCTTCTAGGTTTTGGACTCTCTAATTCTTCTGCTGAACCCAGTGACTGTGTAAACATCCAGAGGCCCACCCCACCCAAAGAATGTCAGACTGAAAAGGCTCAGATGTCAGGAGGTCACCTGGGCTCAGAGAGGGGAAGCTACTGGCTGGAAGTCAGTGATTTGGGTCTCAGAACCAGACCCTGATCTCCTGCCTCCCTTCCTCTGTGACACTCAGAGGGACAATGAGCCCCTCTACCCATTGCCAGGCTGCACGGGCCCCAGGATGGCAGGAATTGCTAGTGGATGGTGGTGCTGGTGATGGTGTCATGGAATAACGGCCAGCGCTCCATGGAGACATGAACTTATCCCAGGGACTGAGGAATAGGCTATCTGCAGTCTTGGGGGGTGGAGGCAAGTTGGTCCCACATGGAAAGGAGGAAGCAGGTGTGTGGGTAAGGTGGGGACCGGGTCTGAAGCCAGGCTGGCCCTAGCCCTTCCCTGGGCAGACACTTTCCTGTCTTATCTCTCTGTAAAATGAGGAGCCATTCATTCCTTCTTCTGCCACGGGCTATTTTATTCATTCATTTGTTGCCAGATCATTCCTTTATTCTTTCATTATCCATTAATTAGTTTATTGGTTAGTCATCTCAGTAATCTACCCATCTGTCCTTCTATGCAATCCTTAGCTCACCCAGCCCACACTGGACAGACATGTGAGATACAAGTGTAGTCCTCCAGGGCTCTAAAGCCAACAAGGAAGAAGAGGTGAGACTGCAGGTGCATGAAGCACTAGCCAGGGCAGTGTTTGCTGAGTGCCTCCATGAGTCCCCAGGGGAGGTCTCTCAGAGAATGGAAAGCTTGAAGACACCAAAGGAGTTCCATAAACCATCACAGTGGTAGACCTGGGTCCTGAGATTAGGTCCCATTGTGTCACATGGCTTCTGTGACTTTCAGCACATTCTTTCCCTTTCTGAGCCTCAGTTTCCTCAACTCTAAAATGGGGTACTTTCTGTGAATCTCTCATGGGTTGTTGGGAGTGATATCAAGACAGTGTATGACACGTCTCCCTGCCCTGGCCAGGCATGTGGTGGGAGCTCAGTACGTACCCACTGAGTTATAAGGATTGCTGATGACTGTCCTAGGCCCTGCCATGAATTTGAGAACCGTGATGCTGGTTTCAGAATGAGGCAAATGATCTGGGCACCCTGAAAGCCCTGGTCTGCTTTGTCATTCCCCTGCTGAAACTTTTCTAATGTTTCCTAGGCATTTATAAGAAAAAATATCTGAAGTACTTTCTGGGCCTACAAGGCCCTTAATAGTCCAGGCTCTGCCCACCTCTCAACCTTGGCTCCCCGCATCCCATTGCCACCTCCAGCCACACACCAGTTTCATTCTACACCTTGAATTTACAAAGCCTGGTGGCAGGGCCTTTGCACATTCCCCCACCAGGACAGCTTTTCCCTGAGTGTTTACATGGCTGGCACCTTCTTGTTTCACAGGTTTCTACTTGAATGTTACCTCCTCAGAGGGTCTGCTTGGACCACTTGCTCTAAAATAGCTTCCTACTCTCACTCTCTCACATCAGCTGCTTTTTCTTTTCTCTTGTGGCTGTCACCAGTATCTGAAACCCTCTCATTATTCGCATTTCTTGCCTGTCTACACCATTAGAACATGCTGAAGCGCCATGCGTGTGAGTGAGCAGGTGGTTCTGGTGTGGTGTGGCTGGGGCTTTTGTAGAGGTGAGGAAATGCTAGGGAGTCCAGGTGTGGCAGCGCATTGCCTGGGAGATAAAGTTACACTGAGGGCTGTCTTCTCCTTCCTCCCACCCCGGGAGACTCAGGGCTGTTGTCAGGAAATAATGAGATGATTAAATCATGGAATCTAAGAATCCCAGTCTCTTCCAGTCTCAGAGCTTTAGCATCTGAGAAGCTTTCCAGCTCAGAACCTTTGACACTTGGAATCTTACCATGATAGGATGATCCAGTCTTAGGTTTAGAATCTTACAAAGTGGACTCTCACTGCCTTATTTAGCATCACAGAGGGCTCGCTTTGTGCCATGCCATGTTCTAAAAGCCTTTATAAATATTAACATATTTACAGGTGAGGAAGCTGAGGCACAGAGGTATTTAGGTATCATGGAGCAGTTGCTGGGATTTGAACCTAGCACTCTGGGACTCCTTAGAATCCCTCAACTGTTGAGGGGAAGCCCAACCTCACTTGACCCTTGCACAGAGCAGGAATCCTTTTCCCACACCTTTGTCAAAAGGGCCTCTGATCTCTGCCAAAAAACCCCCCTCCAGTGAACTCCCTCCTAACCAGGCCACCTAGCTTCCTGCTGTCAGAAAGTTCTCATTGCTAGTAAGATTTTCTTGACAATGTGTAAAGTGCTGCACCTCCCTTGTGAATAACGCCTGGGAAGTGGTGTTAGTGTCATGGTTTCCCAGTGCCTTTGACCTTGTGGATTCCTGGTTTCAGTGGCCTCTTTCTTCCCACTGGGTTGTGGGAAGAAAGGCAGACAGCCTTGAGGCAGACAGCCTCGGTGCATTGTTGAATGTAAGAATGAATAAATTGGTGCACAAAGACCGCATGAACCCTCAGGATTTCTGAGTTCCTATCTCTTTAGCCTGGTGCTCGGCACTCATCCAGGGTAATTGGTCAGGCTTGGTGTACTCAGGAAAAGGAGACACCGTTATCTCTCCAATAAAGTCTGTATCTGATGACATTTATGTATGCAATTCTTGGAGAATCATGTGAGATCTAAAATCATGCACTATTCGGAGCGAGGTGGATGTCATCTAGCCAAACTTCATTCTACCCGTTGGGGAAACTGAAGTGGGAAGGGAGAGGAGCAGGCCTTATCCAAGGCCACGTGCATCTCTGTCTGCTACCCAGAGGCCAACAGGCTGCTGCTGCAGTATCTGCCTTGGGGATCAAAGGCAGGGGAAAGTGCTCAATGGGACAGTTACTTCTTCTCTAGTGCAGAAGCTACCCCTGTACAATGGGGGCAACATTTTTGGATGCACAGGGTGTGCCTGGCACTTGGGGGGAGATTGAGGAAGCCAGCTGCATTGGGAGTTGGTTGGGGCTATGGTGATGGGGATGGCTTTCTAGAACCTGGGGCTGGAACTGGGCTTTGGAGGCTGGGTGGAATTTGGGGGAGGTGGCTGAATAGTGTCTTTAGTGGATAAGGTGTGTAGGGAAGGCCAAGGGATTTGGCTCTGGGGCCTAAGGGGTCCTGCCTTGTTCCCTGCCTCATGCATGTGGCCACAAGGGTACTCTTGGTGGGGTCTCCACCATCTGGGGTCCTTTTCTGAACTTTGGGCAAAGGCTTTAGGATTCTTTTTTTTTTTTTTTTTTTTTTTTTGAGATGGAATCTTGCTCTGTCCCCCAGGCTGGAGTGCAGTAGCGCGATCTCCCCTCACTGTAAGCTCCGCCTCCTGGGTTCACACCATTCTCTCCTGCCTCAGCCTCCCGAGTAGCTGGGACTACAGGTGCCCACCACCACGCCCAGCTAATTTTTTTGTATTTTTAGTAGAGATGGGGTTTCACCGTGTTAGCCAGGATGGTCTCGATCTCCTGACCTTGTGATCCATCCGCCTTGGCCTCCCAAAGTGCTGGGATTACAGGCGTGAGCCACCGCACCTGGCCGGCTTTAGGATTCTTGAGGGGACAGTCTAGGCAGCCATTCCAGGTTCTGGGGCTCTGTCGGGGGACACCTGCTTGAGAGGGGGCACAACCCTTCAACACACTCAAATACATTCATACATATTCACACTATTACCTTTTCCATTACCACCCCTGACCCTCCCTCCTGCACCATCCTTGCCAATGTGGAGCACTCCTCTGCTATTTCAGAAATACCACCACAGGTGTCCTAAACTGGATCCCTAGGAGCCAGGAGTTCAGGAAGCATGTCTGCTGGAGTGTGCATGCACACACGGTATGCACATCACATAGGAGCACGTGCATGTGCTCTTGCCACTGGGAGGACCACATACCCAAGCGTACACCGTGCACTCTCCTGGGAAACAGCACACAGCCACATGCCTGATCATCTGCACATTCTCCCACACGCATGGTGTTCATCTGTACACAGCTCTGTTCACTCAGGCCTCCTTGTGCACATGTGTGTTTTTACATGTAGATGAGTCTTGCATGCACATGCTTATTTACACTTGAGATAACATAGCCTCAAATTCTAGCCGTTGCGCAGTGTGTCTCATACACACCCTTGCATTCACACCTGCACCTACACCTGGCCTGGATCTACTGGAAATGGTGGAGCCGGCAGCCCGTTTCTGTCTCCTGCCTTCATTCACTAGTATTTCTTGAGCATTTACTATATCCAGGCTTTGTGCTAGATGCTGAGGATAGATGGGAGGAAAACTGATGTATATAGGTCCCTGCCCTAGCGGAGGTAGACAGGCACTATATAAAAGATCACACAAATGATGATTTTTTTTTTTTTTTGAGATGGAGTCTCGCTCTATCACCCAGGCTGGAGTGCAGTGGCACAATCTTGGCTCGCTGCAACCTCCACCTTCCAGGCTTAAGCAATTCTCCTGCCTCAGCCTCCAGAGTAGCTGGGATTACAGGCGTGTGCCACCACACCCGGCTAATCTTTGTATTTTTAGTAGAGATGGGGTTTTGCCATGTTGGTCAGGCTGGTCTCAAACTCCTGACCTCAGGTGATCCACCCACTTTGGCCTCCCAAAGTGCTGGGATTACAGGTGTGAGCCACCGTGCCCAGCCACATGATGATTAAGATTAGAGATTTTGGTCACTATGTTGACTGATGATGGGGGAGGAGCAGAGGGAACAGCCTGGGCAGAGACCCGGAGGTGAGAAATTCAGGGACAAAGAGAAGGTGGTGGCACTGGGACCTAGGGAAGTTGCAGGAGATGAGGCAGCAGGTGAGGCTGAGTCTGGTGGGGCCTGTAGCCGGTCTTCCCTGGCCTGTTCCCCGCGAGCCATTTGTCCACCCCACACCCTCCCCACTCCTTTCTCTGCCCAGCCCAGCTCAGCCTTCCCTTTGCTGCTGTGGCCTGCTTGGGGCCTGCTCTGTCTGCTGGCCTGCACCCCAGGCTGGAGGCCTGTTTGGCCTGCCCCACAGGCTGCCTGCCTTGGAGGTCCTGGGATATAGCAGGGAAGCAGGCTTCACTGCCTGCCAGGGGTTCCCTGTCCAGGACCCCTGAGACCTGTCTAGAAAGCTCCTGGGGGCCGGGCCAGAGCCAGGGTCCAGCAGTTGGCTTTCCTGTTTTTAGTTAATCTCAGACCTGGATCTTTGCCAGTCAGAAGAATGGTCCCTGTGGGTCCTGAAGGCCACCCAGAGCTACTGCCACCCCCCACCCCCTAGATGGCATTACTGGCTGGTCAGATTTCCATGTGGGTCTTTGGAATGTTGGGAAAGGCTCCCTTAGGCCTTAGAGAACCTAGCAACAGCAATGGCAGCTGACTGTTCAGGAGTCCTCACTGTGTGTCAGGCAGTGTTCGAAAGATTTTATCCATATTAGCTAACTTAGTCCTCAGTACAACCCATGGAGATACCATAATCATCCCCAGTTTACAGATGAGAAAATTGAGGCTTGGAGATTTAGGTAACAATCCCAAAGGCCTGAGCTGGGGCTATCTGCCTCCAGAATCCATACTTTGAACCCTTGAGCTGTCACATTTCCCCTTTAAGGGTCCAGGAGCCCAGACTATGATTTGGTTGAACCCCTTCACCTTATAGAGGCAGGAAAGGAGGCCCAGAGAGAAAATGGACTTGACAGAGGGTTCTGTTACCTCTGCCTGCACCAGATGCATGGTCTTGGGCAGGTTAGTTACCTCTCTGAGCCTCATTCCTGACCCCAAACAAAGAAGTGATGACCATAGAAGCTTGGGGGACACATGGGGACTGAAATTGAGAAAGGACCCAGGGTGAGGGCTTCTTAGGTCTCCTGATACATGCTTTGTAAGTGATTAAGCTGTCCGTTCATGTTCTAAGCATCTTTCTGAATATATGTTATATTTCAAAACACTCACAGCATCTACCTCATGGGGTCGTTAGGAGCCAGAGTGAGAAATGCTTGTAAAGTATCTTAAGGTGCCTGGCATGGAGGAAGCAACTATTATTATTATTGCCATCATCATTTCATACAAGCAGAAGGAGTTCCCTGTGGGGATAGGAGCTGGGGGTCCCCAGGAGAAATAGAAGTAGGGAGGGGGATGTGCTCCAAGCCTGTAGAACATTCTCTCAGAACTGAGAGAGTGTCATGGCCCCTTCCCTAGATGAGGGCACTGAGGCTCCCAGAGAGGCTCAACCGCCCTCAGTGTCTCTGGGTAGCTGGAGGTGGGAATGGGGGGCCCAGAGGTTGAGGGTGTTGGGGAGGGGGAGGGACAGTGAGGGGAAGGGGCAGGCTCCCAGCTCCCACTGACCTGGGCACAGACAGCAACCCCTCCTGCTCTGATTAGCCCTGCCATCACAATGAAAACAGCCCTTCCCAGCCCCGTGGGGCTGCGGAAACCCGGTCTAATTGGATCCAGGACCCTGGGAGCCTCTTTCCTTCCGGGGAAGGAAGTTCCCAGGAGTGTGTTTCTGGTGCTGGCCAGGACTGCCCAAAGTCTTGAGAGTGGGGTGGGGTGCAGTGGCTGGGGCTCAGGGTTCTAGCTGCTTGGAGTGGCAGAGGGCAGAGGGGCCATGGGAGGCAAACTTTGAGCGTGTCTCAGGAGCCTAAAACATGAGAAGCCTCAGTTTCCCTCTCCTAGACCATCTGCTTATCCTCTCCAGGCCATCCTTCTGGCCCCATACAGCTTGTCCATTGAAAACCTTGGCCATGGCCCTCCCTTGCTCAGGGACCTCCCATGTCCCCCCTATGTTCTTTCACCGGAGCACCTTAGCCTGCAACTCTGGTCCTTTATGAACGGCTCCAGCCACCCCACCCTTCTTCCCTTGTGAATTCCTGCACTATACCCCTGACCCACGTGATGCTGTGTGCTTTCCTGCCTCGGGGCCTTTGCACATGCAGTTCTTTCCACCTGCCATACTCTCCTTTGGCATCTCCCTCTTGCAATTTCCCCTTCCCCCATCAGTAAGTCCCACCTTCCTGAAGTCTGTTCTTCCCACAGTGAGATGAGTTCACCCTCCTGAGAATGCTGCCACTACCCTCCCTTCCCTCCCAGCCTGACTGCAGCAGTAGCTGTTGCCCCTCTCTGGGGGCAGGGATTATGTTTGAGAAACCTTTGCTCTCCCAGGGAGTTAACAGTTTTCCAGCTTCTGCACATGCTGCCCTTCTGCCGCAGTGGCTCTCCTGGCAAACTCGTCTGTCTTCACGGCTCACATGGAAAGACCCCTCCTCATCAATTCCCTCAGTGAACATCTGTTGAGTACCCAGTGTATACTAGGCACTTGAGGCCCTACTGCATGGCTGGCGCTGGGCTCTGGGGCTGCAGCAGTGACGGCTGATGGGGAGACAGGCCTAAAGCATATTTAGGTGCATGGTATTAATACAAAGGTGGGGTAGGGAGAAGGCAGGGGACCATGGGAGTGTATAACAGGGTAGCCCAATTCCTATGTGGGAAACGTCAAAAGTGACCTTTAAGTTGAGACAGGAGGGAAGACCTGGGTGAGCTGTGGGGCTATGTTGGGGTAGGGGTTGTAACTAAGAACCAGACCAAGCCCTGCTTTTGGGGAGCCCACAGCCTACATGGGGGACTGGACAAATAACCAGATAACCAGACAGTTCCTCAAGGTGGTGCCAGCTGAGCAGAGTTTTGAGGGCAGGGTTCCAGCTGGGTGGTATGGCTCCCAGATGGAGGGGCTCAGCCTGTGCAAAGCCATGGCACATCAGATCACCTTGTTCTGGGGGCCCTGATGCTGGAGGGATGCTGCCAAGGAGCACACCTGGTGAGATGAGTGTGGCCAGGGGACCTTCTTGGCGAAAACCCGAGCATCAGACTGTGGAGTTTGAACTATACCCCAAAAGTGATGGGAATCCAAGAAGGATTTTAAGCGGTAGACTTAGCGCCCTGGGAAGGCTCTCCTTCGGCTTGGTCCTCCCCGCTGGGGCCCCTGGATGGGACCAGGAGTCCCTTCCTGACTGCTCTCCTGGCTGGGGTCATGGGTGGGGCTGGAGGCTTTTGCTGTGGGACTTTGAGCAGGCCCCTGTCCCTCCCTGAGCCCCACTCTCCTGGGTAAACTTGCAGGGCCTTAGGCTGGGGTTTGGGGTGTCTTGCTTTGTCAAAGGTTGCTTAACTTTTGGTTTTATTAAAAATATTCCCTTAAAAAGTCACATAAGAATACTCTTCCAGGCCTATCGCCCCATCAGCTGTGACATGGAGAAAAATGAGAAAACAGGGATATGAAATAAGTAAAAACCCACCTCATCTCTGCCCCTGCTCCAAGCCGGAAGCATCACCACTGTTAGCATTTTGGTGTTTTCTTCCCCTCTTTTCTCTCAGCACCCAGTTTTTATATAGATGTCCTTGCTCCATCTATACATGCAGTTTTTAAAAATCTTCCCATTTCCCCCCTGACTATTGTTGTATCACAAGTATTTTTTTAAATGACTGCAGAGTGGTTTCAATCCTTCCTTTTAATGGATCCAGTGTCAGGGTGGAGAGTATGGGCTTTAGGGCCTGATTGTCTGGATTCAAATCCTACACTTAACTGCTTGACTTTAGGCAAATTTCCTGATCTCTTTGTGCCTTCAGTTCCTGACAGGCCAATGTGAGTGTTAAATGAGTCATTACAAGGCCAGTAACATTAGCTGTTATTAACGACCATAGACTATGACACCAGGTAACATGACTTAAACAGAACCTGTTTAAAATTTCGGCTGTTCCAGGTTTTTGCTGCTGTAAAAAACCACTGACGCAAACAGCTTTGTACATATAACTTTTTCTATATTTTTCTAGGGATGGATGACCAAGAATGGGATCACTAGGCCAGGAAGTTTGGACATTTTTAGAGCTCTTGACAAATTCATGCCAGATTTATTTCAGAAATGATTGTTACAGTTTACACTCCCACCAATAATACATGAGCGTGCCAATTTCACCATACCCTCACCAGTATTGGGTGTTAGCATTTTCTTATTTCTTTTTCCTATTTTGACAGGTTAAACTCATTGAATTTTCACTGCTATGGAAGCAGAACCATTTTCTGTGTTTATTAGCTGTTAACATCCTTTTTGGGTTGGCTCGTCTTTAGAGAACACACATAGCCCCTTCTTGGGTCAATTAGGAAGACAGGACTTGGGTCAATTAGGAAGACAGGACTTAGACACAGGAAATAGTAAACAGTGTTAACACAGAGGACAGCACAGTGCCAGAGTGGGTGGAGGGGACTTGGAGGAGGGGGAGGGGGCTTCCTTCCATCCAGGCCACAGCCCTTTCAGTTCCCCCCACCTGATTATTAAGTAAGTAATTAATCCAAACTTTTATCAGGTACTGTGCAGGGCTTAAAAGATAAATGATTCAGCCATGATCCCTCCCCATCAGAGTGCTTGTCTGGCAGCAGAGATGGATGAGCAAACAGACAGAACATGGGGTGAGAGGGGTTCTGATGATGGAAAGGCAGGGTACAAAGGGAGCAGAGAGGAGAGCACACAGTGTAGCTCAGGCATGGAGGCAGAGCAGTCCCCGATTGCTTCCAGGAAGAGGTGGCCTGTAAGCTGGGGCCTGAGGGATGCATTGGAATTCACTAGTGAAATGGGGAGGGCAGAGAGCACCAGGGAGAGGATGCAGCCTGTGGAAGGTGAGAAGGGAAGCAGAACCCTGGGGGAACTGTGAGATGTTCAGTCTGGCTGGGCAGTGCAAAGTAGAACAGCCAGAGAGATTGGCAGGGGCCGCACATGTAAGGCTTAAGCAATCCAGAAATTGTCTGGAGGGAAGTAGGGAGCTATGGAGGGTCCTAGGAAGGGCAGGGTTATGATCTTTTATTTTATTAAAATCACAGTGACTGCAGTAATGGAGTGGAGGATGAGGGTGGAGTGGGGGAACCTGTGAGCAGGCTCTTACAACAGCTGAGGCCAGAGCTGAAGGGGGCCTGGATCAGGGCAGGGGAGGTGGTGCAGACCCTCTTCTCTCCCCACCCTGTAGGATCCTAATCAGCTTCATGGTACAGATTGAATGCCACCTCTTCCGGATAGCCCTTCCTGACACCCACCCTCCAAGTTGTGCTTTGAGGCTGAGGCTGTGCAGGGCCTGGCATGCAACAGTCAACTGCCTGCCCACCAGCAGCTGACCCTGACCTCCCCCTGCCCCATGCCTCTGGACCCTCCATCTGTTCCCCGCACTGGGCTACCAACTACTTTCTTTCATTTTTTAAGAATAAATTTATTGTTTTCATTAAGCAGCTGAACAGCATTACAGAGAATTTGGAAATCAGAGAAACAAAGACAAAGACCAAGATTGGCCCCAGCTGCCTCCTGCCTTGCTCCCAGCCTCCCTCTGGGTGTGGCTCCCTGAAGCTTTCTTTTTCTGACGCAGGTTTTTATTTTTGCCTCCTTTGTAATCATAGTGTCCGGATAGTTTTGGGTCCTGCTCTCTCGCATTTGCTTTGTGAAGAGCTAGTTCCCATGTGACCATGGGGTCTGGGCAACTGTCTTCTTTTTAAAGACAGGTTCTCACTCTGTCACCCAGGCTGGAGTGTAGTGGTGTGATCATGGCTCACTGCAGCCTCAAACTCCTGGGCTCAAGCGATTCTCCTGCCTCAGCCTCTCAAAGTGCTGAGATTACAGGCATGAACCATGCCCAGCCCAGTCAAATCTCACTTTTTAATGTCTGTGGGTTGGGCTGGGGCGGGGGTTGGGGGATGGCCGTAAGTTGCTTTACTGAACCCTTCTGCCTTGCAGTGGGTAAGTCTTGTGACATTCCTCCCTGGGCTGCCTGTCCTCTTTCTGTCCATTTGTCTAGGTCTGAAAGTCTCCAGGTGGCAGGGCCTGGCACCTGATGTACACCTTCCTCAGTACCCCCTCCCTCAGTTCCCCTCTCTGGAGCTTGCTGGGCTGGCCTCAGAGACACCCTTCTGGGACGGAGTGATAAACAGACCCGGTTTCAAGTTCAGACTCAGCTCTGTGACCTAAGGCAACTTGCTTAACCTCTCTGGACCTCAGTTTCCTCATCTGTACAACAGGTTTATTGTGAGAGTAAAATAATGGCTGTAAATATCTTGACACAGTTCCCAGTCCATTGGAAGTGGCCACCTTGGGCTAGAGGCTGGCAGAAATGAATGAGCACCAACCCTACTTGTGAAGAGTTTGAAGTCTGGTGGGGAGGACACCCGGGAAAATATAACTGCACTGGAGTGCAGTTGGCCCTGTAGTGCTGGGCCAGTGCTGGGCATCCTAACTCCATCACTTACTAGCTGTGTGATTTGGGGCAAGTTGGTCAATCTCTCTGTGCTGCACGTGCATCTCAGAGTCATTGGGAAGATTCAGTGACATGAATCATGACATATTCAACACATAGATGTTGAAATCAATGGTAGCTGGCACTTTACTATTATTATTATTGTTATTATTGTTATTGTTATTCCCATATACAAGGTGCTGTTGGGAACACAGAGGAAGTGACTGGCTGGGGGTTCAGGGAAAGCTCCGTAGAAGAGGGAACACTTGAGCTGGGTCTTGAAGGATGAGTAGAAGTTCACCAAGTGGGAAAGGACACTCTAGGTAAGGAGCCTGTGATTCCAGGTTGCACTCTGTCAATGAGGGTTTGTTCTTTGGGGGATTAAAGCATTGTGTTCGTCCCACCTTCCCTGAGTGCCCCCGCTGCTACCCTCTGGGTCTGCCCTGGGGGAGGTGTGTGCTTACCCTCCTGTAGCGGCCTCCTGTGTCGTGGTGGCTGTGGGTTCCTCCTCACGGCAGCTGCTGGGTCCCCATCAGTCCACATTTGGGGCCACAGGTCTGTATCTGTCATTTGTGTCTGGGTTTGGTGCTGTCTGTCCGCATGTTCCTGTGGCTGTGTTTGTCAGCATTGGTATGCAGTGGGCCTCCTGGGCTCCACTGTGGGGGTCACCTTGCATGCTTCCTTGGCCTCCAGCTTCAGGCCTCTTTGGCCGCTCTCCTCCCTGGCCCAGGCGCAGCCCCTGCCTCTCTGCTCTGCTCCCCAGGGGCCTCCCACTGCCTCTTCTCCTGTCCTTTCTAGTCCCCTCTACATTGGGCACTCAGAGGGGCCTTTCTCAACCACAGATTCTGTCCCATCACCCACTGCTTCAAGTCTAGCCTTCAGGCCTAGGAGTCAGGGAGCAGCCTTTAAGGTCTGGCCCCAGCTGCTGGCTCCAGCCTCATCTCCCATCTGCCAGGCAACACCGAACGCTCGTGGCTCCCCTCACACTGTTGGGCTCCTCGCCTGGGGGGCCTTTGCTCAAGCTGTTGCTTCTGCTGGGAATGCTCCCACTTCTTCTCTGCCTGGCTAACTCCCACTCATCCTTTAAGACCCAAGGCAGGCATCACCTCCCCTGGGAAGTCCTCCCTGATCCTCTCCAGGCTGGGTCAGGTCCCTGGCTCTGGGCTGCTAATCCCTTACATGGGGGGCAGGAGCAAGTGCCTTGCCCAAGATCACACAGCTGGTGAGTTGGAGTAAAGATTGGAACCCGGGTATGTTGGGCTGCAAACAGAGCGGGCTGTTCCACAGTCCTGGTGAGGCGACAGTGGCTGGGACTGTTGGAGAAGAGTGGGTGGGCTTGAGAGAGATTTTGGAACTGGAATCCTGAGGACATGGCTGAGATGGGTGTGAGGTGAGTGGGGAGGGAGGGCGAGTGTGGTAGATCACTTTGTGTCTGCAGGAGCATCTGGGCAGATGTGTGGTAGATCACTGTGTGTCTGCAGGAGCATCTGGGCAGATGTGCGGTAGATCACTGTGTGTCTGCAGGAGCATCTGGGCAGATGGGGATGTCCCGCTGTGAGCTGGGGGTGACCAGACCAGGTGCATGGCATAGGGGAAGACTAAGTCCAGCTCAGGCCTGCAGAGTCTGAGCAGCCCAGGAGTCGGCCAAAGGGACTGTCAGGGAGAGGCCTGGCTGGAGGTGGGGACTTCGGGCTTGGCTGGTATTTAGATTCTAAAGTGGTTGGGCCACCCAGGGAACTGAGGCTGGTGGGAGAGAGGGGGCTCCCGCTCTGTCCTGAGGAGCTGAATTGGTGGGGAAGAGAGGCTAGGGACTGTAAAGGAGGCTGAGAAAGTGAGGAGCCAGGTGTCATGGTACACAGGCCTTCTCCAAGGGGCCAGGTGGCAGGGAGGCCATGGAGGACAGGACTGGAAGGTGGGCCATAAGCTTTGACCTCAGGGAGGCCACGGTGGTGTGTGGTTGGCCTTATAGGTGAGAGTTCTTTGCAGAAGCTTATGGCTCACTTGTCTGCTTCCTTCACTTAGCTTGGGGCTCGGGGAGGGCAGAGTTCTTTCCAGTTGGCTCAGGTTCCCCAGCGCTGGTCCCAGTTTGGCCCAGAGGATTTGTCCAATATGAATGGATGGACAGATTGATAGATGGGCCAGCTGCCATCAGCAGGCCGTTTTCTGGAAGGGGCGTTTCGTTCATCCGCCCATCCACTGTTTTTCACCTTTTAGAATAAGAGAAACAAAATGACATTTGCTCCCCTGTAAGGATCAGCCCTGTGTCTTGGGGCTCACAGTAGAGAGTCTTGGCTTTTGTCGTGCTTGAGGCCTGGCCACCAGCGTGTTTCCTCTGCCCATTCTGGTATGCACACTCAACCCCCGGGTGGCTGTTCTGTCTCCACCCCCTGCCCTCACCAGGTCCTCAGATAGTCCCCTCTGCTTCACTGCTCCCCTGGCCCAGCATGCTTCCTGCCACCTTCTCACCACCAGCATTCCAACCCAACATCTTAGCATGGCATTCAGTGCCCTGTGTCTCCCCACCTCCCTGGTCTGCAGCTCTCTTTGGTGTCTTTGGGTGCTGTTCACTGTCCCAAGCCTGCCTTGTGCTTTCACATCTCCACACCTTTGCTGAAGCTGTGACCTCTTCCAGGAATGTCCTTCTGCCTTGTCCCTCTGTCCTGAACACACTTCTGGCCATGTCTCTTTCTGGCTTCAAGCCCCTCCCTTAGACAAGGTCTGAGTGGCTTGGCCTGGCCCTGGCTGTCTTACCCCTTCACCTCTCACCAGGGCCCACCCTCTTGTACAGGTCCCAGGGCTGCACAGGGGATACCCACCTCAAAGGCATGTTGGGAGTCTCACATGAGATGCTGTTGATGAGCACCTAGCAGTGTGTCTGACACGCAGGAAGAGCTCAGGAAATGTTTGGCCCCTGCCCTGCCTTCCCTGTGCCTGTCACACAGTAGGTAGATACCAGGACTAGGGTCACTGACTGAATCATTAAATTACTTAGAACCAGCCAGAAAATGATGCAGAGAAATCAGGCAAAGGTGGTGTGGATCAGATTAAGTGATCTGGGGCCCATCTAGGGTGAAGGGTGGCCCCTGCCTGACCAGGGGTCTGATAAGTGGCAGGATGTTCTATCCCAGCTGTGGTACCCTGGGCAAGACCCCCTCTTCCCATAGCCTCCTGATCAGGGTAGTGGCTCTGAACTTGGCATTGAACTGAACTGAAGAGGAGGAAAAGACGGATCTCCCAGAACTGTCTGAGAAGCAGCGAGGTGCAGTGGGCAGAGTCCTGGGCCAGGGCAGGAGTGAGGCAGGGTAGCCTGTTTCACCCCATTTTACAGAGGAGGAAACCTGAGGCTTAGAGAGCTAGCACCCAGCATCACATCACAGTGCTGCTTCCTGTTTCTCATGCATGTGGCCTGAGCAAGGTGCCTCCCTCCTGGTGCCCTTGTTTCTTCCTCCGTGAAATCAGGGTGAAAATTCTTCCTTGCTTGCCATCCTCCTGAGGTTCTGATGAGAATGCCAGTGGGCACAGAAGAGCTTTGTAAACTGTGAGCAGTGCTAGATAATTGTATGGGATTGTCTTTAAAGTCATTCTGATTATTATTACTTCATTTATTCATTCCATTATGCAACTCACATTATTGATAACCTCTGGGCCTGGGTGCTGGGGATACCCAGATGAACAGGACAGGTGTATCCAATTCTCAAGCTCCCTGCCCCCAGCCGTGGAGCCTCCTTACCCTGGCTTTACATCTCGGTCCCCTCCACATTTCCCCCTGTGGACAGTAGCAGGGTTGGGACAGGTCCTGAGACTGCTGTGTGAGCGGGTGCTCACCTGTGGGGTCGCAGCCGTGTCATCCTAAGGTAGGGTTTATTCACAAGCCTGTGGTCAGGATGCGTCATTCCCCTGAATACGTAAGGGACTGATGAGCTGGACTTCAGAGTCAGGCAGATTAGAGTGGGAATCTCAGCTCTCTGCTTACTTGCTGTGTGACCTTGAACAAGTCACTCCACCTCTCTGAATTCAGTTTCCTGAGCTATAAAATGGGAATGATAAGAGTACCTACCTGCCTTTCAGTGTCATTGTGCCTGGCACAAGAGAGGCACTTGGTAACTTGCAGCCTCCTCACCATAATTATTGTTTCGAGTTTGTTCTGGGAAAGGATATGTCCCAGGGGTCTGGAGCATTCAGGGAGAACTCCAGGCAGGAAGTACTTCTTGTGTTGGGCTGTAAGGGATTGGTGGGCAGAGGGAAGAGCATCTTGGTGCCTGTGGATGGAGGAGCAGGGGGGCTGATAGAGGGCAGGAGCTGCCCCAGCCACCTGAGGAGGGTGCTCTGACCCAAACTGGCCCTCAGGCTGGGAGTGAGGGGTAAGGACATTTGCATATAGATATTGAGCCATTTGCATATGGGCATTTGCTCTTCCAAAGACTAGGGTTTGCAAAGCAAATTCCCCAGAGGAACCAGCTTGAGCAAATCTGATTTCTAGTTTTGACTGTGGCACCTTCGCTTTGTGGCCTTGGACAGGTCTCCTCCTTCCCCTCTCTCTGAGCCTCAGTTTCTTCACTGATAAAATGGTATAATAATACCTCTTGTGCCTACTTTCAAGTAAAGATCACAAGAGATAATTCATCTAAAATTTCTTTCTTAAAATATTGAGATTAGATTGTGTCCTTATTGAGGGTTTTCTCCCGAAGCCCTATAGCTACCATTCCAATAGGGGTTTCTCAAGCTCATAGAATCAGGAAAAGAGGTTGAAAGCACTTCATTTTGGTCTTTCCTGTCAAAATAAACAATTTCATTTAAGCAATAATACCAGTTAGGCAAGTGATTTCTGTAAGAGAGAGATACGAGAAACTTGACAGGGAGCAAGACTTAATGGAAACCCTCTGTGAGGCATGGTCCCTGTAAGTCACTTCTTGACTTACTCTAGGGTAGCAGGAAGACAAACCTTCTGGAAGACTGAGATAGCCCTGAAGGCCCATCCTTCATACTGCCCTGGTTGAAAAGGCCTTCTAACCGCACAGGCCTGCCATGGAACTTGCCAGAGGTGAGGGCCACCAGACAGTTTGTCACACACTTTTACCAAAGAGCCGCAGACTGCCCTAGCTTCAGCCTCTTCAGCCCCCTCCATAACCACAGCATTCTCATCCACGTCGTTGTAGGTCAGATGTTGCACGTGACATTGAACAACCACACGTGGCCTGTTTCTTGAAGATAACTTTCCAGAAGTACAATTTCTTGAGTCAAAGGGCAATAATCATTTGGGTCACTGTAAATTGTCCTGCCAAACTGCCCCTCAGAAAGGCTATATCTGGTGACCTCATGTTGCCCCCTGATTTTGAGAAGGATGTCCGTACTCAAGGGGTCAGGGGGCAGAAGAGCAGGGATCAGGGATGGGCATTTACAAATTTGCTGCAGTCCTCCCCAGTTTGTCTCTGGACTTGGGGGGCCTTCTGTATGGAACCTACGGGGTTGGCACAGCAGCCTGGGGCCCTCCTGGGGGATGGAGATTGGTTGGCCAGCACTGGGGTGATAGGGGTGGGAGCTGGTTGAGAGTACTCTGGTCTGGATGTGACCTTTGCCCTATGGGGCCCACTAAGGGGGGGTGGTGGGGGTGTCACTGAATTCCAGGTTTTTCAGCCTGGAGATGTGGCTTCCTGGCCTGGTGGGAGGCCTGCTGTGCTGTGAGGCTGGGGGACCCACGGGGACATGGATCCCAGACACTGGCCCTGACTTGAGTGGGCGCAGCTGAGGGGTGCTCGCCCCAGGCCTTGGGGAGGGCTCTCTTCCCGGTGACAGTCGCTCTCTTCCCGCAGGATGGCCGAGCCTCGATTTAACAACCCCTACTTCTGGCCCCCTCCTCCCACCATGCCCAGCCAGGTAAGACTGACGTCGCCCCTCCGGCTGCCCTACCCTCCTTGGCGCTGCTTCGCTTCCCCTGGGTTTTGGCTGTGGCCTGCGGGGAGCGGGGTGAGGAGCGAGGGGCTCGCGGGTGGACCAGCGGGCCTGGGCAAGGGGCGGGAGGTGGTCCAGACCTCCTCAGCCCGTCCTCTTCTTCCCGCAGCTGGACAACCTGGTTCTGATTAACAAGATCAAGGAGCAGCTGATGGCCGAGAAGATCAGGCCGCCTCACCTGCCGCCCACGTCGGCCTCGTCGCAGCAGCCGTTGCTAGTGCCGCCGGCACCCGCCGAGAGCAGCCAGGCCGTCATGTCGCTGCCCAAGCTGCAGCAGGTGCCGGGGCTGCATCCACAGGCGGTGCCGCAGCCCGACGTGGCGCTGCACGCACGGCCGGCCACCAGCACCGTCACAGGTAGGCCGAGCGGGCGGGGCCGGCGGGGCCGGTGAGGACTGGGCAGGAGGGGGCGGGCGTAGCGGGGGACTTGGTGAGGATGGGACCCGGCTAGGTAAGAGCAGGGCGGGCAGGGCCTAGGGGTAGGGCATAAAGCTTGGAGTGGCGGGGTTGGCCACGACGAGCCACAGCACCGGACTTCCAACGACCCAGTACTGGAAGGACCCTTCTCCCCCCAGTGGACACGACAGGAGCCGGTCACTGCCCCATGGGGCTCACCAGGAAAGTTAGGTTCACATAGAGAACTTTGGAAATCACGAGATTCTTTGGGAATCCAGAGAACGACCCTGACCAGATTTAGGGGGTAAGAGAAGACTTCCTTGGAGGAGCCAAAAGGCGAGGAAAGGTTGGCAGCAAACCAGGGAAATGGGACAGGAAGAGGGAACCGCACAGGCGGAGGGAGTATGTGTGTAGGAAGCAAGAGTAGGACAGACCGTCTGGGGTGGGGAGGCCCGGAAGATGGTGGTGATGACAGCTAGCTCCAGTCGAGCGCCTGTGTCTGTTCACCAGTGTTCATTGTACTCCCAGCAGCCTGTGAGGTGTGTGCTGTTGGTATTAGGTGGAACACTGGACCGTTTTGACTTAGAAAAACAGCAGTTTCATGCAGTTCACCTTAATGTCTCTATTCAACAGATGAGGAAACTGAGGCAGAGAAAGGTAAAGCCACGTGCAACCACGGTTTACAGCTAGTAAGAGGCAGAGGCCGGCAGTGTGGCTCCAGAGCCTGTATCTTCACTCTGTTTTGATGCTGAGTTCTGCTGAGGCTTCGAGGAAGCAGGGACCAGATTAAAAAGGGCCCTGTAGGCCACACAGTGGTTTGGACTTGACCCTTGGGCAGTGGGGAACCACTGAAGGTTTTTAAGTAGGGGAGGAAACACTCAGATACGGGTTGAGAAAACCGAGTCTGGCTGCTAGGTGGAGACCCGGTTGTCAGGGGGTAAGCATGGAAGCAGGGAGACCTTCAGGAGTGTGGTGGCCTGGGCAATGCCGTGGTAGTGGGAATGGAGAGAAGTGGACAGATATGAGATACATTGTGGGAGAAGAGAGGACAGGATGTAGGAGCATGAGGGGAGGGAGGAGGTGAGGGAGACTCCCAGGGCACCGCCCTTGTGATGGAATCCCCGGAGAAAGAACAGGGTTGGGGAAAGATGTGAGCTCAGTCTTGGATAGGTTGAGGCTGGGGTGCCAGGCGGACATCCTGGGATAATGTCAAGGGGCTGGAGCCACCGGAGGCCTCCTCGGAGCTTGGTGGATAGGCTTTCTTGGGAGACCTCAGTGGTTGGGCCTTTGTTCCTCCCCTGTCGCCCCTGCTGCTAGGCAGGTGCTTCTGCCTCTCTCCTTCTCTCCTGCATTTTCCCAGAGTGACCCAAGAATTACAGGGCCTGGTAAACCTCTCCAGGCCCCAGCCGCACTCTGTATGTCCCCTGTTATTATGATTTTATTAAATTTATTTTTTCCATTATAAAAGTAATATTAAAAAGTAATATAAGCATATTAAGGGAAATTTGGAAAAAAGAGAAACTAGCAACAAAAAAATCATTCATAATCCCCAGCTCCCAACTGAGCAGCTCAGAGAGGCTGTTGGTCCATTTCCTTCCTTTGCCATATTTTTGGCTTTTCAATGTTCATGTGTGTTTTGCTGAGCTTGTGGTAGGGCTGTACCCATGATTTTAACTTGCTTTTCCTACTCACCATTCTGTCATAAACATATATGTTCCACTTTTTATTATAAAGGTAATACATAGTCATTATAGAAAATTTGGAAATTGCCGATAAGCTGAAAGGAGAAAAAATAGCCTTAATCCTACTATTGTTAAGAATTTTCATATGTTTATAATTTATTTTATTTTGTCCTTTAATCACAGATGTTAAAAATGGATAAATTCACCAGGTAAAAGATTCAAATAATACAGAATCAGATAGACAAAGTATGAAAATCTCCTTTTACCAAAAAATTATTCTCTTTCCCTAGAGAGAACCACAATTAGCAGTTTGATGTGTCTCCTCTCAGATCTATTCCTGTGCGTTTACATGCACATATATCTTGTCCAAACTACGTATGTAGTTTGAGTGTGTGTTCTTTAAAATAGATGGCCTCGTATGTCTGTGATTTGCTTTTTTCACCTGACAGCTCATTTCGACCTTCTCTCTGTGTCACTGTATCACATCGATCTTGTTTTAGTGGCTGTGCAGTTCTCCCTAATGAGAGTGGACCACAGCTCTTTACAAAGCTCATGCTGAGGACAAACAGGTTGTGTCCAATTTTGTCTGATCACAATTTTGTATGGATATGTACACACATCTTTGTGCTCATGTGGGAATATTTCTTTATTGTAAATTTCTAGAAGTAGAATTGCTTGGCCAAAAGTTGTATACATTAAAATTTATTTAAATTAATTATTTTTTTTAAGAGTAGGGTCTTGTTCTGTTACCCAGGCTGGAGTGCAGTGGTGTGATCATGGCTCACTGAAGCCTCGACCTCTGGGGCTCAAGTGATCCTCCCACCCCAGCCTCCCTAGTAGCTGGGACTACAGGCACACGCCACCACACCCAGCTAATTTTTGTAATTTTTGTAGAGACAGGGTTTTGCCACGTTGCCCAGGCTGGTCTTCAGCTTCTGGGCTCAAGTGATACTCCTACCTCAGCTTCCTAAAGTGCTGGGATTACAAGCGTGAGCCGCCGTGCTTGGCCATGTTTAAATTTTAATGGCTGTTGCCAGACTACCCTTCATTAACATTAAGGCTTCATTAAGGCTTTGCAAATGTACACTCCCACCACCAGTGTATGATATAAAACATTCTCCTGCCAACTTGACATTATCTTTTTCAATGCACAAATTTTTAGTTTTTTTTTTTTTAAAAAAACATAGAACCACACAATAGGTACCATTTTCATGATTTTGTTTGCTTCAGTTGATATTATGTTTCTAGTCCTATCATTTTTAAAAGAATAACTTTTATTACAGAAGTTTTTAAAACGCTCATTGTCAAAGAATCAAGCACAGTTAAGCCTCTTTTTTTTTTTTTATTACTCCTGATCTACTATCCATATCACATTTTGGCACGTTCTTTCCTACTTATTTTTTTGTGTGCATACATACGTAGTTTGCTTAAACAAACATAACCTCCTTTTCAATGGGCAGTTCAGTAGAGGCAATTAATTGCTGTTTACCGAATCCTTCCCTAATGTTGCATATTTCAGTTGCCTCTAAAATTTTGCTGTTATAAATAAGACGGCAGTGAACTTCTTTGTGCCTCAGTATTTTTCTATAGTTTGAATTTTTCCAAAGTGCCCCTGTTATCTAACTCAATTTAATCTTAAGGTGTCTAAGGCATCTTACACATGCACAAGGTCTCATTTAGTTACCCCTGGGTAATAACTTATGAACGTTAAGGGGATGCTCGCCTGCCAAAATCACATAGCTGGGTGGGCAGCTGAGCTGGCCTCTGCAGCTCCGCTCACCCCTGCCCCCACCCACCTGTCTTCGCAGGTCTGGGGCTGTCCACCCGGACCCCGTCTGTGAGCACTTCTGAGTCAAGCGCGGGCGCGGGCACGGGCACGGGTACCAGCACCCCGTCCACACCCACCACCACCAGCCAGAGCCGCCTCATCGCCTCGTCCCCCACCCTCATCTCAGGGATCACCAGCCCCCCTCTCCTGGACTCCATCAAGACAATCCAGGGCCACGGCCTGCTTGGCCCCCCCAAGTCCGAACGCGGCCGCAAAAAGATCAAGGCGGAGAACCCGGGGGGTCCGCCTGTCCTTGTAGTCCCCTATCCCATCCTGGCCTCGGGCGAGACTGCCAAGGAGGGCAAGACGTACAGGTGGGGGTCTTGGCGGGATGGGGTCCGAGTGGGCTTGGGGCTGGGGCTTGAGCCAGGGCTGCTCCAGGAGCCCAGCAGCGGGGCTGAAACAGGACCCTTAGGGCTGAGGGGCAGGGCTAGGGTCCAGAGGGGCGGGGCCTTCTGGAGAGCCCCACCCACATCCCAAGTCCCAGTTCGGGGAGGGCTGCTGGGGAGGGGAATAGAGGCTTGGACCCTTAGGTGTGGTCTGTGGCTGGCAGCCACCCCCACAGCCTGGGGTTGTGAGAGTCGGTTTCCTCCTCCCTTTAAGCAGTGTTCTCAACCCTGGCCACCTTAGAATCACCTGAAGAGGCCGTGCACAATGGCTCATCCCTGTAATCCCAGCGCTTTGGGAGGCCAAGGCGGGTGGATCACCTGCGGTCAGGAGTTTGAGACCAGCCTGGCCAGCATGGTGAAACCTCGTCTCTACAAAAAATACAAAAGTTAGCCGGGCATGGTGGTGCGCCCCTGTAATCCTAGCTACTCAGGAGGCTGAGGCAAGAGAATAACTCGAACTTGGGAGGCAGAGGCTGCAGTGAGCCGAGGTCGGGCCACTGCACTCCAACCTGGGTGACAGGGTGAGACTCTGTCTCAAACAACAACAACAACAACAACAACAATTTTAAAGAATCACCTGAAGAGCTTTCAGAAAATGCGGATGCCAGGGCTGCATCTCCAGGAATTCTGAGTTAATTTTCTGAGGATGGAAAGTATGGAGGGTGGGGCAGGCGTTGGTATTTCTTAGACGCTCCCCAGATGATTCTAATGAGCAGCCTGGTTGAGAACTACTTCACGTGGTAGCGCCTCCTGCCCAGAACCGTGGGATATAGCCCTGGGCAAACCCTCACCAGGATCAGGCCTGTCTTCCCTATGAGGTGTAACCTATGCTCCAGGCTCTGTAATGTTCCCCCAGGCAAGAGCTTCCTCCTCCAGATTTAAGGGTGCCCAGGCTGGGAGACTGTCCCCTGTCTTTCCCAGGTGGTCCTGTGCTTCTTGGGCTCATCACAGGAAAGACCTGTCCCAGGTGCAAGGTCTCTCTGATGTAGAAGGCCTCCCCTGAGATGGACAGTCTGGGGGATCTTCCCACGTGAACCTGTCTCTTGCTCCGCAGGTGTAAGGTATGCCCACTGACCTTTTTCACCAAGTCAGAGATGCAGATCCACTCCAAGTCGCACACAGAGGCCAAGCCCCACAAGTGCCCGCACTGCTCCAAGTCCTTTGCCAACGCCTCCTACCTGGCCCAGCACCTGCGCATCCACCTGGGCGTCAAGCCCTACCACTGCTCCTACTGTGATAAGTCCTTCCGGCAGCTCTCCCACCTCCAGCAGCACACCAGGTGAGTGGCCTGCCTGCTGCCCTGCTGCAGCCCGACTCAGCTCAGCACCCGTGGCCTGGCACATGGAGCCAGTGCAAGGAGGGGCAAGGACCTTCTCCAGGTGCCCATTGCCCTCGGGGTCACGGCCCTTGTGGACCTCACTGGCCTCAGCTGTTGTTACTGCACCCCGTCCCCACTGTTTCTCATCTCTAGGTCTTTGCACATGCTGTGTCCTTTACCAGAGAGACACCCCTCTCCCGCTTTTCCCTGTTTCTCTGGCCATCCCCTTGTCCTCTCTCAGTCTAGCTTCCTCCAGGAAGCCCTCCCTGATTGCTCTAGCTGGGTGAGGGACCCGACCTCTGTGTCCCCACAGGGCTCTGTGCATGTCCATCATAGCAGTGGTAGGCTGTCACGCCCGTGTCTCTTTATCTGCCCACCTCACTCAATCTACTGGGAGTTCTTGAAGGCAAGAGCTCAGTCTCCTCCATTTCCATATCCCCAGTTTGTGGCACAAAATAAGCAATTATTAAATATTTTGGAATAAATATAACTGGTTTTTACAGAGCATATGATTCATCCATTTAACAAATACTTATAGAAACTTTTACTCTATGCCAGACACTATTCTAGATGTTGAGGATACAGCAAGGAAGAAAACAGACGAAAATCTCTGCCTTCGTGGGGCATACAGTCTAGTTGAGTGTGTGAAAGGGAGACTCAAAGCTATAAATGCTTTAAGAAAAATTTGTGGCTGGGTGCGGTGGCTCACACCTGTAATCCCAGCACTTTAGGAGGCTGAGGCGGGTGGATCACCTGAGGTCAGGAGTTCATGACCAGCCTGGCCAACGTGGCGAAACCCCATCTCTACTAAAAATACAAAAATTAGCTGGGTGTGGTGGTGGGCGTCTGTAATCCCAGCTACTTGGGAGGCTTAGGCAGGAGACTCGCTTGAACCCAGGAGATGGAGGCTGCAGTGAGCCGAGATTGCGCCATTGCACTCCAGCCTGGATGACAAGAGTGAAACTCTGTCTCAAGAGAAAAAAAAAAAAAAAAGTTTGTGCAGGAGGGTATAGACATCAGAAAGACTGGCTCACCAAATAAAAATACCATTGGTATTTTTAAAAACAAGCCAAAGATTACCAAGATTGCAGTCCCTCTGTTCAGAGGGGAAGCAGCACCGTTTTCTCACATGACGATGATCATCTGTGTGAGCATTGTCACGTGTTTGCCAATATCAGCATTGTAAAAGTCAGGGATAAAACTGGTTTTTGTTGTGGAGTTTGTAATTTACAGAAAGAATTCAAGGTTTTTTCTGTTTTGAGGACTAATACTATACAGAAGGGCTCTATTTTTTTGAGACAGAGTCTCACTCTATTGCCCAGGCTGGAGTGCAGTGTCATGATCTCGGATCACTGCAACCTCTGCCTCCTCAGCTTCCCAAGTAGCTGGGATTACAGGCGTGTGCCACCATGAGAAGGGCTCTATTTTTTATTTGCTTTTTTTGTTTTTGTCATTTATTCGTTTATCTCCATTGTCTTTGAATCCTTTATCCCTGGGTGCAAGATGTTTTACCTTGTCTATTTCTCTGACTTTGGGACATGATATGTGGGTATGATAGTAAGAATCAAATGGCAGGCTGGGCTCAGTGGCTCATGCCTGTAATTCTAGCACTTTGGGAGGCTGAGATGGGTTGATCACTTGAACTCAGGAGTTCGAGACCAGCAACATGGCAAAACCCCATTGCTACAGAAAAATACAAAATTAGCTGGGAGTAATGGTGCATGCCTGTAGTCCCGGCTACTTGGGAGGCTGAGGTGGGAGGATCGATTGCTTGAACTCAGGAGGTCGAGGCTTCAGTGAGCTGATGTCACACCACTGCACTCCAGCCTGGGGGACAGAGTGAGACCCTGTCTCAAAAGAAAAAAAATAATAAAAGAATAAAATGGTACAATGGCAGCAGGGCCAGGTGTCAGTCTGTTTTCTCGTTACCATGCCTCCCAAGGCACAAGTCTGACCATGTAAGTTAGTTTCAGCAATTTTCTGATTTTGTTGCTACTTTGATTTTTAAAAAATTTGGCCAGGTTTATGTACAGAGATGTATGTAACAAGGTGTTGATTGATAAAGTCCTCCCAGTTGTATGGTTCTTAAAGAGCATTTGATAGAAAAGCTTGAGAGTTAACTCTGTTAGGAGACTTTGTAAGGCCTCCAGGCCAGAATTGTGTATGTGTGTATGTATGTGAAAAAATTTTATATTATTAGAGATCAGGAACCTAGAACCATCCAATTCACCTCTGCCAGATTGTGCCTATACAACGTGTAATGTGGCGGTTACCCTTTTTTTGGAGAATCTTCGTTTGTCAGTGTTTCTGAACAAGCAGAGATTGATGTCTTTTTATAACCTTAAAGGCTGAAATTCCACAAGCCATAAGCAGGTCCAGTCCGGTTTCCTGGAGGCCCGGGGAGGCCTCATTCCCACTTTTGAAGTGCAGTCCTTGTTTCTTACTCTCAGGCTTGTCATGCCTAATTAAATGAAATTTGTCTTTAACTGTGACATTTCTGGCACAGCCATGGTTACAAATTTGATTTACCCAATTATATCCTGTTAGGAAGGAGGACAGATTCTTACAGATCCTGTTTACAGAACTAATGATCGTAAAAGAAAAGGGTCTCAGCAAAGGTACTTTGAAGAGTTTTTAGCTATTATTCCTAGTAGTTTTGTAGATAAGGCCAATTACATTTGTTGTTTTCAATAGAATGATTATTTGAACATTTCCTTGATGATTTATTATTTCATATCTATGTTAGGTTTTTATAGTCCCCCTCCCACCCTCACCCCCAGAATTCTGAAGAGTTAGTTGGAAGAAGGAAGAAGGCACCATTTTAGGAATATTTTATTCCAGTTTATTGAATACAGCCTCCTAAATTGAGGATTAGCGACAGTAATAAAGAAAAAAAAAGACCTTTAGAAAATTAGAACATTAAGGGTGAAATCAGTTTCATCCAGTCCTGGGGAAAAATTCCTGTTCCTCTGATCCTGGGTTAGTTAGCCTGCTTTCAAAGTTATCTACTTCTGGAGCAAGGACTCTTGGAGCCTACCTTGGCCTCTGGCAGTGTCTGGTCAAGAAGAGGATGTCAACGTGGCAGCCTGTATGCATTTGTCTTTTCTAGCTCAAAGCAGAGGCCTTTAATTAAGCAAGTGTGAGGGTAAAAATCAGACCTGTTGACTAGAACAAATGATTCTGCTTAGTTAATTGTAATAATCAACAATATCACAATGGAGGACAATGGAGTCCTCTATTAAGGTATAATCATGATCAATTTTTCAAATTAAAAACATGGTAGGCTGGCACGGTGGCTCACCCCTGTAATCCCAACACTTTGGGAAGCTGAGACAGGTGGATCACTTGAGGTCAGGAGTTCGAGACCAACCTGGCCAACATGGTCAAACTCCGTCTCTACTAAAAGTACAAAAATTAGCCGAGTGTGGTGGTGCATGCCTGTAGTCCCATCTACTCGGGAGGCTGAGACAGGAGAATCACTTGAACCCGGGAGGCAGAGGTTGCAGTGAGCCGAGATCATGCCACTGCACTGCAGCCTGGGTGACAGAGCAAGACCCCATCTCACCAACAACAAAAAAATGTTATTGGCAGCAAGCGCACTGGCCCATCTTCAGGGTCTTTTAATCCCATAAAGCATTATCACTAATTGTTTAGGGCATTCTAAATCTAGAGACAAAATCTTCTTAAAGAAATGTCTTTGTTGATGCTTGTTATGCCAGCCTCTGTGCATTAGATTAGGTTTTTTTGGTCCATCTTAAAAAGTGCACAAGAACATATTATATGTTATACATATTATATGTTTATGTATGTATAAAATTAACCCAGGGAGGTTGAGTTTCTCTTTTTATTTGCCAACTTTCTTACGCTACAAACTTTGTAGGGCAGCTGTCACTCTAGTGTTTGGCTAATTAAAACCATGGAGAATACATAGGCCGGGTGCCATGGCTCACGCCTGTAATCACAGCACTTTGGGAGGCCAAGGTGGGTGAATCACTTGAGGTCAGGAGTTTGAGACCAGCCTGGTCAACATGGTGAAACCCTGTCTTTACTAAAAATACAAAAATTAGCCAGGTGTGGTGGCGGGTGCCTGTAATTCCAGCTACTTAGGAGGCCAAGGCAGGAGAATCATTTGAACCTGGGAGGCGGAGGTTGCGGTGAGCTGAGATCGCACCACTGCACTCCAGCCTGGGTGACAGAGCAAGACCCTGTCTCAAAAAACAAAAAAACAAAAAACAACAAAAAAAGAAGAATACAAAACCCAATCATTGTAAGCATCCCTCCTTTTGTAAAACAAGGGAGCAAATCTTTGGTGTTGCCCAGCAGCCGTCTGGAAATGCCAAGAGCAATTGTATTTGCATTTGCACCTTGACAATTTTATCTTTCTGAGTGGGGACCTGGATCTGAGAAAGGCGACAGCACAAAGTTGACAGAACAGGCAAGCTAATAAACACAAGAGCAAGTGATAATAATGATGAAGAATTCTGTTTTTTTTTTCCAAGAAGTAGACTTTGTTTAAAAATATTATTTGAGAACATGACCAAAAAAAAAGCAACAAAAAATTAACAGGCCTTTGAAGGAGAGGAGAATATTTTGCCAGAATGTTCTTTGACTCAGGGATTATTCTCCATTCCTGAGGGCACAATTTTTTTTTTCCCTCTCTCTCTCTCTTTTGGACTAATTTGAGTTCATAATGGCAGGAAACCAAACAAACAACAAAAGAGGATTCTATCAACATTTGGAAGACAGTTTATAAGTCACTAGACGCTTGCACATATAATTAAACTGATATGTCCTAACTCAGTGGCAAAGAGGCGAGTGTCCCACATGCCCAGAACTCCCAGGATTCTTTAGACAAACAAACAAACAAAGCCAAAGCTGAAGAAACAACCAGATTCCAGATTCCTTGTCCTCTGCTATTTGACGGAGGCCCTTTCCTACTTATTTGTCCCTTGGCAGAGAACCAGGCATCAGATCATATAATCAAATCCATCTTCCCAATGTTACAGCCACTAATGAAGGGCATAAAAGAAGGTCATGTCCAAAACAGAGCCAGCCCCGGTCAAGCAATAGAGGTAGAGTTAGCAAGAGGGCAAGCAAGATCCACCCTGGGAGTTGAGAAGGTTGTGCTTGGGAGCATGGTCGGAGTGAGGCGGTTGAGTGGCGTTGGAGCATCTTAATTGGCCTGCAGCGTGAAAGGAAGGCACAAGCAAAGTGAGGGACTTGCAAAGTGTTGAACAAGTCCAGGCTTCAGAAGGATCAGCCCTCTACATAATAAACACCACATGGATTTATAGAGAAAATAGAACATTTTCTGTTCTTGTTAGTCTGTTCATGGTAGAAAACCAGCATTGTCTCGTGCAGTTAGTGTATGTGTAAGGGTCGTCTGTACCTGCAGATATCACAGTGTGGGAGTCAGGGCTTGAGACCAGGAGTCTGAGACTGGCCTGGGCAACATGTTGAGACCCATCTCTACAGAAAATTAAAAAGTTAGCCGAGTGTGGTAGCATGTGTTGTAGCTCCAGCTACTCAGGAGACTGAGGTGGGAGGATTCCTTGAACCCAGGAGGTAGAGGCTGCAGTGAGCTGAGATCACGCCACTGCACTGCAGCCTGGGTGACAGAGATCCTATCTAAACAAACAAACAACAAACAAACCAACCATTGTTTTGGGAGGAAGTTAAGTTATAGGAAATGGCTGAAAGTTTTATCTATTTGTGGAACTAGAACTAGACAGAGTGACTCTGGATTTGTCTGTTTATTCAGGGTGCAAAGGGGTTTTGTTTTTGTTTTTCTTTTCCTGACAGAGTGATGTTATGTACATGCCTAATGATCATTGCAGCAGGGGAAAGTGTCCTTTTAGTTTTTTCAAGTCTGATAATAATGCTAATAACAACGACAACTATTCCTTATTAAAGAACTTCTGTGTGCCAGGTCCTGCTTAAGGTGTTTTAATATACAAGGTGTCCATAAAATCCCTGTACAGTGTGAATTTGTTATTTCTTCATAAGAGATAATGAATTTGAAAAATGCCACAGAGGGGGAATCCTCTCAAGGAATGTTTAACCTTCATATATCTATGACCATTGTTTTAGTTAAAAAACACGACATGCCAAAAGCCATATCATGGCTGAGAAATAAAAGTGATAATTCATGAATCCTTAATAATTTTATTGAAACATTGAATACGTTTCCTCTGTTTTCATAAGTTGCTTAACTTAAATAGAAATTAATGTATTAAAAACTAACACTGCAAAAATATTTTATGAACACCCATTAAATTCTTATAGTCTATTATCCCCATTTTAGAGAGGGGGAAACTGAGGCTGAGGGAGGCAGAGTCACCTGCCCCAGGTTACCCGGCTAAGAGGTGGCAGAAGCAAGATTTGAGTGCAGAGCACCAAGAAGCAGCCCAGTTCAGAAAGAAGGAAGGGCTGGGGCATCAGGCTGCAGAAGAAGCACTTGGGGATGGCAGTGCCAGGCAAGAGAGAAGAGCAAGTCTTTGGAGCCCCTGGGTGGGACTGGGACAGTGGGGGGTGAAGTGGGGTAGTCCAGGGCCACTAGCTTCAGCTCAGCTTCCTTGTGCTGCCTAAAGAGGAGTGACCACCAGCCGGGTGCGGTGGTGGCTCATTCCTGTAATCCCAGCACTTTAGGAGGCTGAGGTGAGTGGATTACTTGAGGTCAGGAGTTTGAGACTAGCCTGGCTGACGTGGTCTTGAACCATGGTGGTCTACTAAAAATACAAAAAAATTAGCCGAGCACAGTGGCACAGGCCTGTAGTCCCAGCTACTTGGGAGGCTGAGGCAGGATAATCGCTGAACTGGGGAGGCGGAGGTTGCAGTGAGCTGAGATTGTGCCACTGCACTCCAGCCTCGGCGATAGAGCGAGACTCTGTCTCAAAAAAAAAAAAAAAAAAAGAAGCGTGACCACCTAGAGTCAGGGGTGGACTTCCCATCGCCGCAGATGTGGGAGCTGGGGCTGGGTGCTCCCCTAGTGGGAAGATGCCCTACAGAGAGAGGATTCTGATGTTAGAATTGAGGGCTTAGGCTTGACTTGAAGTTCAGGGACTGAAGACAAGAGCTTTGTGGCTAAAAGAACAGGTAGCCTGGTCCTTCCTTATCCAACAGTTGCTCCCTGAAGCTTTTTCTGAGCCAGCCCCATGCTGGGTGCCATGCACAGGGACACAGGAGCGGGCAGAGGCAGGCCCCTGCCACTGTGACCTAGGAGGATGGCAGATGTGGAAACTTCCTTGAGAGAGGGAAGTAGGAGGTGGAGGTTGCGGGGGATCATCTGGGTTGAGTACAGAGGGGTCCACAGCCCTCCCCAGTCAGAGGAAGAACGACATGAGCAAAGGCTCGAGGCCCGCCGGGAGGCTGCATCTGCATGTGTGTTGGGGGAGGTTGGTAAGATGCTCCTCTCAGGAGCGCAGTGGCAGAGGAGGAGGCCTTAGAAACCAAGGCCAGAATGTGAAGGGCCTTGCAAGCTGGGGAAGGGGATATGGACTCTGTCCTGGAAAAAGAGGGAGACCATGGAGGTTGCCAGACTGGGCTGTGACCAGGTCAGAGCCCTGCAGCTTCAGCCGTGCCGAGGCCTGGCGGAGAGAGGCTGAGGCTGGGAGTCAAGGGGGAGGCCGGGCAGTTGTTGCACGTGCATGGGAGGAGGCCAGAGGGGCAACTTACTGGTCAAGAGGGCTTGGCTGGTTCCTGAGGAAGGAGCTGAATCCACTGGAGGACTGTCGGTCAGTCAGTGAGCAAACCCTCATGAAATACACCCAGAGCATGGAAGTCGCTGATAATGTGGAACCTATTTCTCTTGTCAATGATTGACTTCAGGGAGAAAGAACTTGCTTTCCTTCATTCAGTCTGTGTCTATTTATGGAATCCCCTCTGTGCTGAGCCCATGCCAGGCGCTGGGGTGATGGTGGGGAATGAGCCCAAGGGAGTTCCTCTGAAGGAACACAGTGACCAGACATGGAGAAAATAAGTACCCATGCAGAGACTTCTGGGAAGCCGATGTCTTTGTTTCCTGCGAGGTGGGCCGCAGGGAGCCTGACCTGGTCTAGGGGGTCAGGGAAGGCTGCCCTGATAAAGGGACTTGTATGCTCAGATCAGGAGTTGGGTTTTAGCCAGGTGTTAACTGAGGAACAGGTGTTCCTGGTAGAGGGAACAGCTTGGATAAAGGATTGGAGGTGGGCAAGGGCTCAGTGCTGGAGGAGCTAGTGCAAGGCCACTGTGGCTGGGTGGGTTTTTTTTTATTTTTTTATTTATACTTAAAGTTCTAGGGGACATGTGCAGAACGTGCAGGTTTGTTACATATGTATACATGTGCCATGTTGGTGTGCTGCACCCATTAACTCGTCATTTACATTAGGTATAACCCCACAACAAGCCCCGGTGTGTGATGGTCCCCTTCCTGCATCGAAGTGTTTTCATTGTTCAATTCCCACCTATGAGTGAGAACATGCGGCGTTTGGTTTTTTGTCCTTGCGATAGTTTGCTGAGAATGATGGTTTCCAGCTTCATCCATGTCCCTACAAAGGACATGAACTCATCATTTTTTATGGCTGCATAGTATTCCATGGTGTATATGTGCCACATTTTCTTAATCCAGTCTACCATTGTTGGACATTTGGGTTGGTTCCAAGTCTTTGCTATTGTGAATAGTGCCGCAATAAACATACGTGTGCATGTGTCTTTATAGCAGCAGGATTTATAATCCTTTGGGTATATACCCAGTAATGGGATGGCTGGGTCAAATGGTATTTCTAGTTCTAGATCTCTGAGGAATCGCCACACTGACTTCCACAATGGTTGAACTAGTTTACAGTCCCACCAACAGTGTAAAAGTGTTCCTATTTCTCCATATCCTCTCCAGCACCTGTTGTTTCCTGACTTTTTAATGATTGCCATTCTAACTGGTGTGAGATGGTATCTTATTGTGGTTTCGATTTGCATTTCTCTGATGGCCAGTGATGATGAGCATTTTTTCATATGTCTTTTGGCTGCATAGATGTCTTCTTTTGAGAAGTATCTGTTCATATCCTTTGCCCACTTGTTGATGGGGTTGTTTGTTTTTTTCTTGTAAATTTGTTTGAGTTCTTTGTAGATTCTGGATATTAGCCCTTTGTCAGATGAGTAGATTGCAAAAATTTTCTCCCATTCTGTAGGTTGCCTGTTCACTCTGATGGTAGTTTCTTTTGCTGTGCAGAAACTCTTTAGTTTAATTGGGTCCCGTTTGTCAATTTTGGCTTTTGTTGCCATTGCTTTTGGTGTTTTAGACATGAAGTTCTTGCCCATGCCTATGTCCTGAATGGTAATGCCTAGGTTTTCTTCTAGGGTTTTTATGGTTTTAGGTCTAACATTTAAGTCTTTAATCCATCTTGAATTAATTTTTGTATAAGGTGTAAGGAAGGGATCCAGTTTCAGCTTTCTACATATGGCTAGCCAGTTTTCCCAGCACCATTTGTTAAATAGGGAATCCTTTCCCCATTTCTTGTTTTTGTCAGGTTTGCCAAAGATCAGATAGTTGTAGATGTGTGGCATTATTTCTGAGGGCTCTGTTCTGTTCCATTGGTCTATATCTCTGTTTTGGTACCAGTATCATGCTGTTTTGGTTACTGTAGCCTTGTAGTATAGTTTGAAGTCAGGTAGCGTGATGCTTCCAGCTTCGTTCTTTTGGCTTAGGATTGACTTGGCAATGCAGGCTCTTTTTTGGTTCCATATGAACTTTAAAGTAGTTTTTTCCAATTCTGTGAAGAAAGTCATTGGTAGCTTGATTGGGATGACATTGAATCTATAAATTACCTTGGGCAGTATGGCCATTTTCACGATACTGATTCTTCCTATCCGTGAGCATGGAATGTTCTTGCATTTGTTTGTATCCTCTTTTATTTATTTATTATTGAGCACTGGTTTGTAGTTCTCCTTGAAGAGGTTCTTCACATCCCTTGTAAGTTGAATTCCTAGGTATTTTATTCTCTTTGAAGCAATTGTGAATGGGAGTTCACTCATGATTTGGCTCTCTGTCTGTTATTGGTGTATAAGAATGCTTGTGATTTTTGCATATTGATTTTGTATCCTGAGACTTTGCTGAAGTTGCTTATCAGCTTAAGGAGATTTTGGGCTGAGACGATGGGGTTTTCTAGATATACAGTCATGTCATCTGCAAACAGGGACAATTTGACTTCCTCTTTTCCTAATTGAATACCCTTTATTTCTTTCTCCTGCCTGATTCCCCTGGCCAGAACTTCCAACACTATGTTGAATAGGAGTGGTGAGAGAGGGCATCCCTGTCTTGTGCCAGTTTTCAAAGGGAATGCTTCCAGTTTTTGCCCATTCAGTATGATATTGGCTGTGGGTTTGTCATAAATAGTTCTTATTATTTTGAGATACGTCCCATCAATACCTAATTAATTGAGAGATTTTAGCAACAAGGGCTGTTGAATTTTGTCAAAGGCCTTTTCTGCATCTATTGAGATAATCATGTGGTGTTTGTCGTTGGTTCTGTTTATATGCTGGATTACATTTATTGATTTGCGTATGTTGAACCAGCCTTGCATCCCAGGGATGAAGCCCACTTGATCATGGTGGATAAGCTTTTTGATGTGTGGCTGGATTCAGTCTGCCAGTATTGTATTGAGGATTTTTGCATCGATGTTCATCAGGGATATTGGTCTAAAATTCTCTTTTTTTTGTTGTGTCTCTGCCAGGCTTTGGTATCAGGATGATGCTGGCCTCATAAAATGAATTAGGGAGGATTCCCTCTTTTTCTATTGATTGGAATAGTTTCAGAAGGAATGGTACCAGCTCCTCCTTGTACCTCTGGTAGAACTCGGCTGTGAATCCGTCTGGTCCTGGACTTGGTTGTGGGGTTTAAAACAAAGGCAGTGTGAGTCCTGGGGACCCTTAAGGATTAGGTGATGGGGAGCCTAAGTAAACGAATTCCCCAGCCCTAGAGAGAATGAGGATGGGATGAAGTGAAGAGGATGCTGGCCTCAGGCGGAGTTGGTCCAGATGACCCTTAAGGTCCTTCCATTGTAGAGACGGTGCAGCAGCCTGGGATGGGATCCTGAAACATGTGACATCCAGAAATGTGCAGGGGTGCTCAGAACTGGGTCAGCCCAGCTTCTCTTGGCACAGCTGTTGTGGAAGGCCAGACCCCAGGCCTTGATCCTGAGACTGGGGCCCGTCCCTGCCCTCGGGATTCCCCATCTAGCAGGGGAGAGAAGTGTGGGAGGCCTTGAGAGTCCAGTGGGGTTGGCTCTGTGGTGAGGAATGTGCTCTGGAAGCCTGTGGGGTGAGCAGTTCGCTCGGGAGATTCCGCAGAGCCCCACTCGCCAACGAATCTGGAAGGATGAGCTGACATTTACTGGGCAAAAGAGCTGGGGAGGTCCCAGTGCTGAGGATGCAGACATAGCAGAGGTGTGGGGAGACTTATCAGACATGGCTGGCAGGGAAGAATCATTATCTGACCAGGACGTAGGGTGCGTACGAGCAGGGAGGGGATGCTGGACCACCTGGTGAAGGCTTGAATGACATATAAGGAATTTGGACTTTGTCAGTGTTTATAATGGCAGCCAATGGGCTTATTGGTAGCAGGGAGTGTTTCTTACTCAACCCTGTGTCTCTAAGTCTAACACTGGGCCTGGCCAGAGGGGCTTTAGTTTCTTTGATGAGTTTGTTGATGGGCTGATGGCAAACCCAGTCAGTGAGAGGGGCTGGGGCCTTGGAAGGAAGGAGTGGACACCCTTTTGATAAAATCTGGATATTCCCCTCCACTTCTGTTCCTCAACAAATTAGGCAAACAAGGTGCAGGCCCAGCTGGCATTTCATTGCTCACCTGCTTGGTACAGCAGATTTGCCCAAACAGATGCTTGAAGACACGCCCAGGGAGATGGTGCAAAGGCATGAGTGTGGAAAGCAGGGAAGGCCACTATTAGTGCATGCCAGGCTGCTGAGCTCCATTTGTGGACATCATCACCCAGTCCACAGCTCCATCCTCACCTGGGCTGTTGGGCAGGTACAGGGTCATCAGCCCTCAAGTCACTGCCCCAGTGTCACCTTCCTCATGAGGCCCTTATCTCCGTTTAAAACTGTATCCCTCCTTCCCGTCACTCATGGTCTCCCCATCTTGTTGTTTTTCCCACAGAACTTACTACCTTCTACATGTGATTTACTTATTTCACGCTTGTTGCTTATTTCCTCCAGGCAGTGGCTTTTGTCTGTTTTGTTCATGATATATTCCAAATACCTAGCACAGTGCCTGGGGCATGGGTACCCAATGTAATGAATGTGAATGAATAACGATAACTGGCAAACGTTGAGTGCTTACTTTGTACCAACACTAGGCTAAGCCCTTTACATGCATTATCTGATGTTATCTTCACAAAGCCCGATGAGATAGGAACTGTATTTTTATACCCATTTTGCAGATGAGGAAACTGATGCTCAGTGGTTTGTCCAAGGTCACCCAGCTGGTTAATAGCCAGGATGAGAACCCAGGAGTGGCAGGGACAGAAGGAGCTCTCAGGAAGGACACAGAGGGGCTGAGCTTCAGGGCCATGCTGTCCCACATTCTCCCATTTACTGGGGTGACCATGCAGCTGTCACGGAGATGTGCCTGACATGGGGTAGGGACAGGAAATAAGTGTCTGGGGCCAATTAGAGGGAGATGTCTCCTTCTTCTTAGGGAAGGAGGCTGGGTGGGCAGGGAAGGTCCCGACAAAGCTGTGCATCTGTGTTCTTTGCAATATGTGGTCCGTAGTGTGGGGTTTTCAAAGAGAGGGGCAGCCAAATCAGGCCCTCTCCGAGGCCTGCACTGGGTTGCTGCAAGGGCTCTGGTGGTGGGCTGGGGACAGCTGGGACCTGTGGGAAGTAGGAGGCTCTGGTCAGACTGGCAGTGGAGGCCAGAGAAGGAAGGAAGAGCCATGGCCGTTGAAGTCCCCAGCTCTTGCCTGGGCTCACTCTTGGTCCTTGGGGAGCATGGGCAGGGTAGGGACCGAGAGGCTTAGGGGCCAGAGTAAGGACTTGGGAACTGGAGCGGTCTTGGGGTGTGTGTCAGGGACTTCGACCTTACTGGGCTGCCCATTACAGAATCCACACAGGCGACAGACCCTACAAGTGCCCACATCCTGGCTGCGAGAAGGCTTTCACTCAGCTCTCCAACCTCCAGGTGAGTGCCTGCCTGCCTCCTGCCCACCAGGTGCTCTGGTGCCCCCCCACCCACCCCCACAAGGAAGCGTAGGAAGGGGGTGGGGTGAGGGAGCCCTGTTCCTCTCCTGACCCCCTGCTGTGCCCCTACAGTCTCACCAGCGCCAGCACAACAAGGACAAGCCCTACAAGTGTCCCAACTGCTACCGGGCCTATTCGGACTCCGCTTCTTTGCAGATCCACCTCTCGGCCCACGCCATCAAGCACGCCAAGGCCTACTGCTGCAGCATGTGTGGGCGGGCCTACACCTCGGTGAGTGCCGGTCGGCCTGTGCCCTGCCCCGGGGGAGCCACTTCGTCTTCCAGGCCTCAGTTGCTTCCCCATTGTCAGATCTGTGTCGACTCTTCCCATTTTCCAGACAAATTGAGGCCTAGAGAAGGGAAGTGACACCCTGAGATCACAGGGAAGGGGAGAACCAGAGCTTTTGCTTCCCACTTCTGGTTTCAGCTACCCCTGACCAAGCCCCTAGCCTCCTGCTCACCTTTAGCCTGAGTCTCCGAGGCCCTGGAGTACTCACAGCAGTGGCAGGAGGCTTTTCACCTGCTCCGCAGAGCTACAGAGAGAAGCGCCTTCCTGTCACCCAGGAAGCTGCAACCCCCATTGTGGCCACAAGGTGGCGCAGTGACATGGCCCATAGCCACCCTCATCTCAGGAAAGGCCTGAGCAGCCCGGAAAGCTCAGAGCATTCAGCTCCCGTCCCTGGGTGGGAATTTCCCCAAACGAGGGCCTTTTGGCACCCAGAAATACCATTCACCCCCAGGCGAATCGCTTGAGTGTGTGCTTCTGTTTGATCTAATATTCTAGTTAACAGACCCCGTATCCCCGACATAGAGGTCACTGAGCCTCAGTTTCCTCATCTGTCAAATGGATGAACTCACAGGGCTGTTGGCTGGCAGAGTGGTGCCAAATCAACCTGAGCTAGTACCATTATTTATTCACTCAGTCTTTACTAAACACTTCTGCCTGGTGCTCGGGCATTGGGATGAGCCAGACAGATCTATTTTTTGTCCCCAGGGAAATTAAGAACTGTTGGAGACAAGTATTAAACAAGTACACACGTAACTGTTTGACGGGAAATTGTGTAGCTGCTGTAAAGCAGAGACTCTCGGCCCTAGTCCAGATGGACATTTGGGCCGGACCTTTCCACTGTGGGCGCTGGCCTGCACGTGGCAGGGCTCTGAGCAGCATTCCAGGCCTCCATCCGCTAGATGCCAGTAGCAACCGCTCCCCAAGTGGTGACAGCCAAAAAATGTCTTCAGGGATGACACAGAGGGGCTGAGCTGCAGGGCCATGCCGTCCTGCATTCTGGAGTCCTGCATCCTGGGGGACAGCATGGCCCTGAAGCTCTGTCCCTCTGTGTCCTCCCTGGGAGCTCCTTTTGTCCCTGCCACTCCTGGGTTCTCATCCTGGCTCTTTGTCCCTGGGGGGCAAAATCACCTCAATTGAGAACCACTGTGATAAAAGTGTGTTTTGAAAGACAGCAGGGAGGACACAATGGAGCTGGGAAGGGGGATGAGTCCAGATTGACCACCTGGAGGAGCAACACTTAGGTGAAGCCTTGAAGGATAATTGGATGAGGAGGAGAAAGAGGGGAAAGAAGCTTCCATGCAGGCGAACACTGAGTGCGAACCCCCTGAGGGGTAACAAACTTGGCACGTTACAAGAACTCAAAGGAAATTAGGTCAGTTGGGGCCTTGGGGCTCTGTTAGAAAAGTTTGGATATTTTTTCAGGTGGAATGGGAAGCTACAGGGAGGGGACTGTCAGGAAGGGTTTTTTTTTTTTTTTTTTGGTATATTTTAGAGACGGGGTCTTGCTATGTTGCCCAGGCTGGAATCAAAATCCTGGGCTCAAGGGATCCTCCTGCTTCAACCTCCAGAGTAGCTGGGGCTACAGGTGTGCACCACTGTGCCTGGCAGGGAAGGTATTTTTGCAAGGTCACTCTGGCTGGAGGCTGTTCATGGATCATAGGTGGGGTTGTTGGCAGTACTTGTCAGGTGCCGGGCAGGGCTGCCACTTGCTAAGTGCTGAGTCTGTAACATTTATTCTTCCCTGGAGTTCAAAGGGCAGAGGAGGGTCAGGAGGCGAAGAGGACAGAATCTGCAGGGAAAAGGGCTCCAAAGGGGTGAGCAGGAGCCCTCGCTTGGCTAGCTGATCTCCAGTCAGTCCCTGCCTCTCTCCAAGGCTCAAGTTTTCCATAACCTCCTACACCATCAACCAATCCTGCCTCATCCATACTCCTATTTTTTGAAGTACAATCCAGACATCATACTATTTCTAAAAATTGCACTTTATCTCTCTGATAAAGACTCCTTTTTTGAGCATATCCACAATACCTTTGGAATATCAAAAAGTAATTAACCAAAGTCCTTATCATCATCAGATACTCAAATACCCGTTCAGCATTGACATTTTCATTTGTGTCACGAATGCCATGATTTGGTGTATTTACATGATTCCTCTTTTTTTTTTTTTTTTTGAGACGGAGTCTTGCTCTGTCACCCAGGTGGAGTGCAGTGGCACAGTCTCAGCTCACTGCAACATCCGCCTCCCAGGTTCAAGCGATTCTCCTGCCTCAGCCTCCCGAGTAGCTGGGAATACAGGCATGTGCCACTATGGCCACCTAATGTTTTTGTATCTTTAGTAGAGACGGGGTTTCACCATGTTGGCCAGGCTGGTCTCGAATTCCTGACCGCAGGTGATCCGCCCGCCTCAGTCTCCCAAAGTGCTGGGATTATAGGCATGAGCCACCGTGCCCAGCCTACATTATTCTTTTTAGATCAAGATCCAAATAAGATTCCTGCATCGTAGTAGCTCAGTAGATCTTTTAATCTCTAGGTCCCCTTACCCCCACTTTTTTTCTTTGTTATTTATTCACTGAAGAATAGTTTCCTAGCTAGGAATTTGCAGGTTGCTTCCCTCTGGTATTGGATAGCATGTTGCCGCCACATTTGAGGGCTTCCTCTGCTGGGTTCTGAGCATATTGAGGTCTGAAGTCAAGGAGTGGCAGGTGGGAGTACCGCCTCTGCTTCTGGCAAAGGCGATTGGAAGGATGTGGCTTAGTGTGAGGGCTTCTGGGCCTGCAGTGAGCCCTGGGTCACAACCTCACCTACCCAGTCCTGGTGCCTCAGGTCAGATCCAGCAGAGCCAGTGGAGGACATGATAGTACCCACCTGTAGTCCCAGCTACTTGGAGGGCTGAGGTGGGAGAACTGCTTGAGCCCAGGAGGTTGAGGCTGTGGTGAGCTGTGATTGTGCCACAGCATTCCAGCCTGGGCGACACAGTGAGACCTTAAGAAAAGGAAGGAAAGGAAATGTAGAGACTGGGGCAGGAGTGGACCCTTCAACCCTTACTCCATGCTAAGGGCTTGATCTTTGTCACCACAGCAACCTGTTGAGGTTGTTCCTCCCCTATGCCTGCTTACAGAGGAGGAAACTGAGGCTCAGAGAGACAAGATGACTTGTCCAAGTTCTCACCACTAAGAAAGAGCAGAGCTAGGCTCAGACCCAGTCCTGCTGCCTCACTGTCACTGGGATCACCAGCCAGATGCAGGCACAGTGCTTCACCTGGCAGACAGGGCTGAGGTTCAGCCAGTATACCCAGCTACATCCAGGTGGCAAGGGCCTGGGGGCCTGGCCCTGGAGAGCCACAGGTGGGCATTGCTGAGGGGTGAGCTCTCCAGCCAGCACTCATACTGGCAGCAGTGCAGTGTCTCTAGAACCAATGGCCGACGCCCATCTGACCCTGCAAAACTGTGGCTGTCCTCCACCCTCTGAACCGCCTACCAAGAGCCCTCCAGTGGCTGCTGGTGGGAACTGCAGCCTCTTCTCCCTCCCTTGCTGGTGGTTCCCTGTTCTGAATCTCATCCCTGCCCACAGGAGACCTACCTGATGAAGCACATGTCCAAACACACGGTGGTGGAGCACCTGGTGAGCCATCACTCGCCCCAGAGGACGGAGTCCCCCGGCATCCCGGTGCGAATCTCTCTCATCTGAGCCCACTGGAGGCGCCGCCCCACCCGGCCCACTGGCAGACACAGACCCAGGCAGCACCAGGCCCCAGCTCCCTCCGGGGGCCCTCCAGGAACCACCAAGCTCTCTCACGACCTTCCCAATCTTCCAGAAAGCTTGGTCCGCAGAAGCCCTGCCTGGTCCAGTCCGGGGGCGGCCAGGCCAACTGCAAGATTCTGGACTGTTTTGGTGGCATCCAAAGACGATCTCAGAGCACTTTGAACCTCTCTGTTGAGTTTTCTTTTTGTTCCCCACCCTTCACTTGCTTCACTGTTTTTTTTTTTTTCGTTTTTTTTTTTTAAGTTTGTTTTGGAAATAACAGAAAAGATATTTATTGGCCAGGAAGTTGGTGCTGCTAAGACCGAGAAATTTAAAGAATCGGACAGATGGACGCAGAGAACCAGAGGGCAATGTGGGACCTTCTCTTGCCATGGCCTCAGGTCTTGAGGGAAGGCTCGGGCCTAGGTTTCTGGACTGCAAAGGGGACCCCCAGGTGGGAGGGGCAGGAAGCAGCCGGAGTGAGCCCTTCGCCCCTGAGTGCCTGGCTCGCACCTCTCGAGCTGTGCCCTGGGCATCACTGAGCAGAGGGGTGCGGCAGCTTCAGGAGGCAGAAACGAGAGGGGTGGGAGATCCACAGGACCAAAGGGTGCAGTGATGGGCTGGGTGGCGGGCCCAGGGAAATGGGGTGGGGATGGGCTGGGTAAGACCTGGCCCTCCCCTGCTGCCCTGAAGACCACCCCAGTCTACCTCGGTGCTGGCCAGGAAACCTTTCGGCTACCTCTCCCACCATCCCAGACTGTGGGCAGGGGGATGGGGAGGGAGTGGGCCTGGATCTGGGACCTCCCTCCAGAATTTCCTCCAGATGGGGGCAGTGCCCAGGGAGGGGTTATTTGTCTTCCCTGCCATGGAGTGGGAATCCCCAGCCGAGGCCCTAGGCCCCTCAGCAGGGAAGGGATCCCCGGGGAGGCAGGTCCCAGGAGCAGACCCTGCCCCCAGCCCCCACAGACACACCCCAATCTGAAAGCCATGCGTGTCGGTGTATATAGGAACCATGTACAGAGCCCAGAGAAGCCCCCTACATCCCCCCGGGAAAAAAAAGAAAACTAGACAGAAACTCATCTATATATTCTGTATCTGGAGTTCCGTTTTGAATATTAACTGTGTTATTTTTATACACTTTTTAAGCCTTAACTCGCCATTGATTTACCAGTTTAACGTTTCCTGGGGTTTCTTTGCCCATGGGGTTCTCTGCCCCCACCCCCGGCCCTTTGTTTGACTTGCGTCGTCTGATACTCAGTATTGTAGCTTTTTGTCCGCATGTTACTCCCTGTAAATACGCTGTTATACATACTGTTAACACCCCTTTGCTTTTTCTATGGGACCTCCAGGCCACCATATTTAGAACTAGTTACCTTATTAAAAAAGAAAAAACAGTCTGTTGGCTTCTCAGTCTGCATCTTGGAGGCAGGGAGGTGAGGGCAGGTGCCCCTCAGACACTTCAGGAAGGTAGTTTGCATTCTATTTAAAAAAGGGAGTGGGGAGCAAATGAAAATCAAATGTGGGGGGAAAACACTAAAGGGGGCAAGAAACAAAGGAATTACAAACCCTCTGCTCTTTGTATTTCTCTGTTGTGAAGAATAAACTGTACCTGCACCCGGGTGGCGGTGGTGTTTGGCGTGCTCTGTGCGAGGGCAGGGCTGGGGGGCACCTTTCCATTGCTCCTCTCCCCTCCCCCGCCCCCCAGACTTGGAGAAGGAAGAAAGTGGCCTCTCACTGTGGGCTGGCCTCACTCCAGGTGCTGAACTGAGTGCTTTATGTTGATTGCCTCACAACTCCCTAAGAAGTGGGCAGCAAACCAAGAGAGGCCCTTTGCTAAGGATCATGCTGCAGTATAGTGGCAGTGACATAAACTGACCCAGCATTGCCTAGTTCTGGAGCCTTCTTGGATATACTAGGTCCACCAATAAGTCTCACTTCCACTGCTCCCTGAGGGGGCACCCCACCTATGTGGGGGGGGGGTCCATCATGAGTGCCTGATTTGTGGAAGTGATTCTAGTGATTGGAGGGGGAGTCCAAGACATCCTTGTCATACATTGTTTTTTCCCCATAGGAGTCAATGTTTTGACTGCCTAGGAAGGAAATTTAGTAATAAAATCCCCAAAAGCTTATCATGTCTGGCCCTGTGGAAGCACTGTGAGGGGGACAGTGCTTCCACTGTCCATGGAAGGTCATCATGGAGGTCATCTACCATGGAGGTCATCATTGGTTCGAACTCGTTTCCCTGAGTCCTCACAGTCCTCATGTGTCAAGACTTTGCTGCAAGTGATAGAAAGTCCAATCCAAACAAGGGTGTATTGGCTTATGTAACAGGACAGTGGTCAGGCCAGCTTCAGGGCTCAAAGGATGTGTCTCCAGCTCTCCACTCTGTTCTGAGTCAGCTTCAGCCTGAGGCGCCTGTGGGGTCAGCAGCTCTAGTCTCTCAGTCCCCAGGGTTCCAGCAATCAAGCCTCTTGTCTCTCTGACAAAAGCCTCAGTGTCTTCATCTGTTTTATGCTGCTATAACAGGATATCACAAACTCAGTAATTTATAATGAGCAGAAATTTCATTCTGTTCATGATAAATTCCAGTCTCATAGTTCTGGAGGTTGGGAAGTCCAAGAGCATGGTGCCAGCATCTGGTGAGGGCCTTCATGCCATGTCATCTCATGCCAGAAGGCAGAAGAGCAAGAGAGGGTGAGGCCAGGCTTGGTGGCTCATGCTTGTAATCTCAGCACTTTGGGAGGCCAAGGCAGGAGGATCACTTGAGTCCAGGAGTTTGAGACCAGCCTGGGCAACATAGGGAGACCTTGTCTCCACAAAAAAAAAGAAAAAGAAAATTGGCCAGGTGTGGTGGTGCATGCGCCTGTAGTCCCAGCTACTTGAGAGGCTGAGGTGAGAGGACTGCTTGAGCCTGGGAGGTCAGGGCTGTGGGGAGCCGTGATTGCACCATTTGCACTCCAGACTGGGAGACAGAACAAGCTCCATCTCAAAAAGAGGGTGAGAGTGAGAAAAATGGAACTCGAAGCCTCATATCCTTTTATAATCAGCATTAATCCATTCATGAGGGTGGAGCCCCCATGGCCCAACAACTCCCACTAGGCTCCAACTCCTAACACTGTTGCACTGGGGGTTGTTTCCAACACATATGTTTTTTTGGGGGGACACATTCAAACCATAGCACCCAGCAAAAGTCTAATTGGGTCTTCCTGGTTCTAACTGCATCATGTTGTGTGCTTGTTTGGCTTGGGCCTAGGGCCCATGCTCTAAGCCTGGAGTAGAGGGTGAAGCCCTCACCTTCTTTACTTTCTGAAGCACAAGAGGTTCCCTAACAGGAAACCAGAGTGTGTTACTATCAGAAGAGGAAATGGATGTGTGGTAGCCAAGAACCAGCATGTTTTCAGTAATCTCAGGGGCCTCATCTCTTTCTCTGAAATTGACCTCCCATAGCCTGCTTTGCCATGAAAGGATGGGCTCTGGCAGCCATATTTGTGTCACATGACCCCATTGCAGCCACAGCCGATTGGCCAGGGGTGGACACCTGACTCTGACTTGATACATAGGTGCAGCCAGTGGTGCATAATGGCTGTCCTGATTCATGTGAGAAAATTGTGCACACCTCTTCCAAGCTCTGCATTCAGGGAGTACTGGTAGCTTGAAATCAGCCATGGTGGGATTTACACCATGGATATTGGCCAACACTATAAATCAGGGCTTTCTTTTTCCCCAGTCAACTGCTAGACTTATACCAGCACACCACCGGACGGAGCTGACTCTCCTGTCAGATTCTCTATTCCATGAATTAGGAACAAGTTAGGAGATGGTGGGTACCTGAACTGGAAAACCCTGTAGACTGCGGTTTGGGGTGACTGTGTTGAGCTGGACACAAGCAGAAGAACAAAGCCGGCAGAGAAAGAGCAGAAATGGACCAAGGAGACCAAGAGCTAGTGGTAACCTCTGTTCCTGTCCGTCTTCATCCTCTGGCTATGTTTAATCTCCTGTTTGTTCTCACTTCAATGAGTTTAAGTTGCTAGTGGTGTGACATTGTGTTAGTTACTAAATCTGTGCCTGATCTCCTCATATGTAAAATGAGGTAAACAGTAGTAACCAACTTACAGTGTGGATGTGAGGATTAAATGAATCAATACCTGTCTAATGCTTAGAACTGGCACGTTGTAAGACCCAATATATGTCCACATCATTATTGCTGCTATTTGCCTTAGCCCTAAGGGATCTATGATCCTTATGATCAGTGATCCCTGACTGAGAGCTGAAGATGTTTGGGAATTTCTAGGGGTGGCATTTGAGCTTGCATGGCAAGGCGGGGCGGCTGGGACAGGTGGAGATTTTGCATGTAGCAGTGATGCTGAGGGGACTGAGTCTGATTTTCACTTGCTCACGTGGGGAGTGAGTGCCACTGCCCCTGGGGGAGCCTCAGGATAGGTGCTGAGGACAGTGTTGATGGTAATGGAGGCAACTGCAGAAGGAGCTTTAGCCCTCTTGTTATTCCTGCTTTAGATCCAAGTCCCTCTGTACCCACCCCCACAACCCCTCCTTAGGCCTCTGGGCTCACTAGGAGGGGAGCCATTCCCAAGGGCTGCCCACCCTGCAGCTTCCTGGAACCCCTCCCTCCTCAAGAAGATCCCCAACAACGCAAGGCTGCCTCCAGTCCACGCCTTGGAAACTCCTGAGCATGCCATTTATTCCCCCTTTAAAACAGAAATGACTGGCTGGGCAC